>NC_000015.10:50151874-50776874 GCF_000001405.40 Homo sapiens
CCAGCTTTATTCACAAAAGCATACTTTACCAAAATGTTGTAAACTATAGACAGCTTAAGAGAGAAAGTTTTCTTAAGTCTGGAAAACAAAACACTTGAAGAACAATTAATGTTAGATAAAAGTCATAAAAGCATTATCTTTATCATTTATATAATATCATGTAATTAATTTTCGTTTTGCCTTATCTATTGATTAGCAGTTTCATAAACCCATGTTTCTTCATTAGAATTTTGAAAAAAAATTATATTTAGTTCATTAAAGTTATTAGAAACCTGTATTTAAGAGTACTTTTTAGACTCTTTTCCATAAATCTGATTGGAAATGCTTTTAGAGAAGGACTTAAAACAGTAACTATGGAACTAAGGACCTAAAACAGTAACTATGGATGACAAAAACTTAGAATACCTGTGTTAAAAATCTGATGGAAGTGGATTACAATCAGCAATTGGCAAGAAAATTTAGTTATTTTTATGGCAGACAACATAATAGTGACTGATTTCATATTAGATTTCTAAGAGTTTTATACAATTTAGAAATATTCATATCAATAACATGCCCATAAATGTAATTGAAAGGAGATCTAGTATCACTTATTGTTTGACAATATTTTCCATTTAATTTGACAATTAAGCCTAATTATTTAATATCTCTACAAGATGAGAGATACAGTCCTTGAGGCTCTCCCAGGGCCTATCTAGAAAATCTCAAATTAATTCTAAATCAAAAAGATTTAATTTACAATTTTAATCCTGGGAAAGTCTGTCAAAGACATCAAAAAGTTCAAAACATTTGATCTAACATACAGGACCAAAGAGAATCACAGGTCACTGTGAAATAATGTTCATTTAACCAGAGCGATAATCAAAAGATTTCAAACGCAACACAGAAAGTTACATGGATTTTTAAAACCTTAACCCTTTCAAAGCTCAGTTTTCCCAAGTAATCAAAAACCTGGTGAAGACAACATTGAAATTTATCTTGATAAAATGTAATATTTTGTGGAGGTTTTTAGGCCAGTTACCAAAAAGGTAAAGAAAAACTTCCTGCATTGTGATTGCTTCTTCTTCTGGGAAGCCTGTTTAGATAACTGCAAGTCAAAACTGATGAAAAGGACATTGCATTTAATTACACACAGAAAGAATGTGTCCAAAGTTATCAAGGAACACCATATTATAAAGGAATGTAAATAAGAAAATGGTATATTGAGCAGAGGACTGCATGGCTCTTGGAAAAAGTAAGAGCATGTGAAATGTCCTGGTTACATGGAACAATTCAAACATATCAAGAAAAGCCAAGAGTATGGAATCAAATTATCCTAAAGGAAAACATTGTTTTTCTAAGCCTACAAACAGAACATTTCAATGACAAATCATAACAGCAGAATTAGAACTGAACAAGAGAAGTTACAGAAGCTGACAAAAAAGTTGAAGGAAAGAGTTTTCATTCCAGGCAAACAAAAAGATACACCTTTTTTTTTTTTTTGAAACGGTGTCCCACGCTGTCGCCCAGGCTGGAGTACAGTGGCACGATCTCAGCTCACTGCAACCTCCGCCCCCCAGGTTCAAGCGATTCTCCTGCCTCCATCTCCTGAGTAGCGGGAACTACAGGCGCCTGCCACCGTGCCCAGCTAATTTTTGTATTTTTAGTAGAGACGGGGTTTCACCGTGTTAGCCAGGATAGTCTCGATCTCCTGACCTCGTGATCCGCCCGCCTTGGCCTCCCAAAGTGCTGGGATTACAGGCATGAGCCACTGCGCCCAGCCTAGACACACCTTAAGGGGAGAAAGAGCTGAAGGCAATGATGCACGACCTACAAATCACGTGCAACAAGATAAAGCAAAAACTGAACTTCTGAGATATGAATCTGAGAAGCTTTAAGAGAAAAACCCTTAAAGAAATGAAATTATCATTCTGATTGAAAAAGACAGCATTTCCAAACTAAAATTAAGGAAATGAGTTATGTGGCAGAAATAGAAACTGTCTGCAGTTTAGAAGATGGCTGTTGAACAGAGTTTAGAATTAAAAATCAAAGCCTCTTCTAATTTTTACTAAGAGAAGATCGATACTTTAAAAAACCTTGTTGTTCTAAAATAGAGGACCAAATTTTTAGTTTTATATTAGTGTATTTTTAATATCCAAGCTCAATCTTTAGAAAGACATAAATAATTCCCTTCTAATCATAGCCAACTTGATCACATGCAAAATTTCTTTCATAAACACATCCTTCATAAACATTATCACAACTTATTCAGTCCTTTAACAACATGCTGAAACTTTCTGCTTTGTCCTATACTTTCTCTTTCATGAATAACTAATCATTTTACTTAAGGACAAAAATTTATCACACAGGATTCTTTTTATATAAAATTATTATCTTTTCTTTTTAACATATCTAACCAAAAATACATCTTAATAACCCATGACTTTTTTTACATCTCTCTATCCTATTCACTAGTTCTGTTCTATCTTGTTTTTATTTCCTTTCTAAATCCATATATTGAAACAAATTAGACAAAATTATTCTTTTTCCTCAATTAAAAAACACATTTTATGTCTTTCTTACAGTTTTTCTCACCAAAAACATATTTTTGGTACACTTATACAATTCTATATATACTAATCAGCAATTTAACTAGGAGTAACCTTTTTACCAAGCAATTATCAACTGTATGTTATATATCAATATTTCATAGATGAGAACAATTTTATAATTTTTAGAAACCTGTTTTTCTATTACATAATTTTTAATGTATGAGTATCCAAATATATTTAGTCTTTCTATAAAACAAACATATTTATATTCAGCAATTTTTTTTTTTGAGACAGGGTCTCACTCTGTCACCCAGGCTGGAGTGCAGTGACGTGATCTCAACTTACTGCAACCTCCACCTCCCATGTTCAAGCGATTCTTCTGCCTCAGCCTCCAGATTAGCTGCGACTACAGGTGCTCACCACCATGCCCAGCTAACTTTTGTATGTTTTGGTAGAGACAGGGTTTCACCATGTTGGCCAGGCTGGACAGCAATTTGTTTAAGTTTTTTATTTTATTTGGAAATGATCCAGACATTTAATGAGTATCTATTACTTAATTTAACATAACATAACTTTAAGATTTTGAATTACATGAAAGCTCACTTATATTTATCTTGTTTACATTACCTACTTTTAACCATTATGCATAGATTACTTATGAAAACTGAGATATTTAACAAAGCTAGTTATTTTTCTTGTTAACTACTTTTATAGCCTGTGAATATCAGGTGTCCACCTAAGTAAGAACCTTGAAGTTAAATATATATTCATTTTGTCAATAACTCAGAAGCTGTTTCTCAAATAGTTATTTCTATTAAATCAATAATATTGAATTAGCCTTATTTATCAAAGAATTGCACAAACAAAGATCACTGTTTTAGGCTTATAGTGTATAGTTGTATATGTTTATATGTTTATAAAGATTCTAAAACTATAAAGTTATATGTTTATAGCTTATATGTTTATAGTTTTATAACCTTTGTGTCAAACTGTGACACCTTAAAACAACTAATGAAGAAAAAAGATAAAACTGTCTGACCAATAAACCCAGGAAAAATGTGTGTTTACAATCTTGAAGTCATTTTTATTTTTATTTTAACAATTTTTAAACCAACTTATTTACTAAAGATTTACTTAAGTCACATGAACTAAAAGGTATTTGGGTTAATTAGTATATATTTTACATAAACACTCATTTATCTAAGCCAATTTAAATAGAATTTCTTAAGGGGGTTCTACATAACTATGTCACGTTTTACCATGTAGACACAACATACAACGTAATGTATGTACATATGCATAAATATACTTAAACATGTATACACACACAAAGATCTTATAACTTTCATTTTAGAACTTTAGTCATGAGATAGCAATACAAATTTACCAGTTAATAAAAAGAATAGGTAGATCCAAATTATATTTCTGACAAAATGAGAGCTGTTCACATGGCTAAATTTTATTTGCCCCAATAGGTCATCTAATGAAGGCTGTGAACTACAATTTTGGATAAAGAAGTTTGGTTTTAAAAGATGTTTTTTTCAGTTTCAAATGAGTTTAGGGCTAAACTTTCAATGTTTATATTTTAGCTAGGACTGGCTGACTGGTATAAAAAAAAAACAAAATCTCCTAATAGCCCTGAATTCTTGGTAATAAATAAATAAATAAATATATATATATATATATAAATATATATATATAAATATATATATAAATATATTTATATATATATAAATATATATATATATATTTGTTTGCTGGTTTAACTAGTCAATGCAGATGGCAAAGCATTTTAGATGTTTTTGTTTTGTTTTGTTGCTTTTCCTTTTGGCCCCTGTGTACCAAACAAAGCAATTTTTATGACAGACAGAGATACTTGATATAATTGCTCTGAGAGCCTAACTTTTATACACATTTATCTAGGCTTCTTTTCCTTTAAAACTTCAATCCTTCAATTAAATGTTTCATCACCTTAAGCAATTGTTAGACAGGCAAACCTAAATTTACATTTCCAAAAGCTCTTTAGGCAGTTGGGTACATAATGCTGCTGTAATTTGTAAAACCATTAATTTCAAAGCCATTTAATACTCACCCCCTCTCTTTTTTTGGCTGGAATATCATAAGCAGTGAGTTTTATTTCAACACCAGAAGAAAGGTCAGCAGATTCAAGGTAGGCAAAAAAGAGAGACAGAGATAAACAAAAAACTTAGTAGGCTCTACGTGTTAACTACAGTTGTAGATTTTTTAGGTTCAAATAATGATAAACTGAGCTCTACATTTTCCTTGATGCAATTTGCACATCAGTTTTTAAATGTGCAAGAGAATGGATAATAATATAGCTGGCCAGTGTCTCAGAAAACCTTGGCATGACTTAATGTTTGAGATTGCCATTCCACTTCTTAGTAATCTCTTAAGAGCAAAGACTATCTTATAAATCCTGTCAGAGAATATCAGGAGCTTGGACTGGTATTTTAGATTGTGGTGATAGTCTTAGCGGCTTTTAATTAGCCATCTTGTATCTACCATTTAGTGTGTTTATTTTTGCTCTTGAAAGATTTTTAGAAACAAGCAAGGGAAAGAGCCAAATCACTTAAATATCCAGACCAAAATGAAACCAAGATTAATGTTCAGAAAAATTTTAACTCAATTGTACAGATCAAACGAAATATTAAATTAGGCACAGAGAAAGAACCACAAGTAAATTTACCAGAAAAGACATACCCACAGATAGAATATAAGTTCTGTAAAAACCAGAGTACTCAAACCAAAGGGATAAAGAATTTGCCAGAAAAGATAGAAAGTTTTTTTTACCATCCCAAGAGGAATATATAAGGTCCTTTATATAGAGTGGCCTCATAACCAAACCAAATCCCAAATAAAGTCAAAAGCTTCTATCAAAAAGAGAGAGACTCAGCCTGAGAGAAGACTCACCAGTGCAGAAAAGATGAGCCATGGAAGTGGAGAGCTCAAAGAGCTCAATGAAGTATTGTACACCAGATCTAAGAATCATCCATTCTTTACAACAGTGATCCTGCTTCAGATCCCACTTCTTTCTTTTTTATTTCAATAGCTTTTACGGTACAAATAGTTTTTGGTTACACGGATGAATTGTACAGTGATTAACTGAGATTTTAGTGCACCCATCACCTCCAGGTTTGTTGTTGTTTGTTTGTTTGTTTTTGCTCAGGATAGCTTTTGTGGTTCCATATAAATTTTAGGATTTTTTTTTCTATACCTGTGAAGAATATCATTGGTATTTTGATAGAGATTGCACTGAATCTGTAGATTGCTTTGGGTAGTATGGACCCTTTAACATATTTATTCTTCTTCTTCCTCTCCCTCTCCCTCTCCCCACGGTCTCCCTCTCCCTCTCTCTCCACGGTCTCCCTCTGATGCCAAGCCAAAGCTGGACTGTGCTGCTGCCATCTCGGCTCACTGCAACCTCCCTGCCTGATTCTCCTGCCTCAGCCTGCCCAGTGCCTGCGATTGCAGGCGCGTGCCGCCACGCCTGACTGGTTTTCGTATTTTTTTGGTGGAGACGGGGTTTCGCTGTGTTGGCTGGGCTGGTCTCCAGCTCCTAACCGCAAGTGATCCGCCAGCCTCGGCCTCCTGAGGTGCCGGGATTGCAGACGGAGTCTCGTTCACTCAGTGCTCAGTGGTGCCCAGGCTGGAGTGCAGTGGCGTGATCTCGGCTCGCTACAACCTCCACCTCCCAGCCGTCTGCCTTGGCCTCCCAAAGTGCCGAGATTGCAGCCTCTGCCCAGCCGCCACCCCGTCTGGGAAGTGAGGAGCGTCTCTGCCTGGCCGCCCATCGTCTGGGATGTGAGGAGCCCCTCTGCCCGGCTGCCCAGTCTGGGAAGTGAGGAGCGCCTCTTCCCGGCCGCCATCCCATCTAGGAAGTGAGGAGCGTCTCTGCCCGGCAGCCACCCCGTCTGGGAAGTGAGGAGCGTCTCCGCCCGGCAGCCACCCCATCCGGGAGGGAGGTGGGGGTCAGCCCCCGCCCGGCCAGCTGCCCCGTCCAGGAGGGAGGTGGGGGGTCAGACCCCGCCCGGCCAGCCGCCCCGTCCGGGAGGGAGGTGGGGGGGCGCCTCCGCCCGGCCAGCCGCCCAGTCCGGGAGGTGGGGGGCGCCTCTGCCTGGCCGCCCCTTCTGGGAAGTGAGGAGCCCCTCTGCCCGGCCACCACCCCGTCTGGGAGGTATACCCAACAGCTCATTGAGAATGGGCCATGATGACAATGGCGGTTTTGTGGAATAGAAAAGGGGGAAAGGTGGGGAAAAGATTGAGAAATCGGATGGTTGCTGTGTCTGGGTAGAAAGAAGTAGACATGGGAGACTTTTCATTTTGTTCTGTACTAAGAAAAATTCTTCTGCCTTGGGACCCTGTTGATCTATGACCTTACCCCCAACCCTGTGCTCTCTGAAACATGTGCTGTGCCCACTCAGGGTTAAATGGATTAAGGGTGGTGCAAGATGTGCTTTGTTAAACAGATGCTTGAAGGCAGCATGCTCCTTAAGAGTCATCACCACTCCCTAATCTCAAGTACCCAAGGACACAAACACTGCGGAAGGCCGCAGGGTCCTCTGCCTAGGAAAACCAGAGACCTCTGTTCACTTGTTTATCTGCTGACCTTCCCTCCACTGTTGTCCTATGACCCTGCCAAATCCCCCTCTGCGAGAAACACCCAAGAATGATCAATAAAAAAAAAACATATTTATTCTTCCAATCCATGAACATGAAATATCTTTCCTTTTTTGTGTCCTCTTCAAATTCTTGTATCAATGTTTTATAGTTTTCATTGTGGAGATCTTTTACTTCTTTGGTTAATTCTTAGGTATTTTATTTTATTTGTAGCAATGTAAAGGGGATTATATTCTTGATTTCTTTTTCAGGTTGTTCACTTAGCATATAGAAATGCTACTGATTTTTGTGTGTTGATTTTGTATCCTGAAACTTAACTGAATTTGTTTATCAGTTCTAATCGTTTTTTAGCCGAGTCTTTAGGTTTTTCCAAATATGAGATTATATCATCGTAAACAAGTATAATTTGACTTCTTCCTAATTTGAATGTCCTTTATTTCTTTCTCTTGTCTGGTTGCTCTTAAACAGTACTTCCAGTACTATGTTGAATAACAGTGGTGAAAGTGGGTATCCTTGTCTTGTTCAACATCTCAGAGGAAAGGCTTTCAGTTTTTTCCCCACTCAGTTATGTGTCAGTATGTGGGTCTGTCATATATGGCTTTTATTATGCTGAGGTCTGTTCCTTCTACCCAGTTTTTGAGGGATGTTGAATTTTCTCAAATGCTTTTTCACCATCAACTGAAAAAATTATACGGCTTTTGTTCTTCATTCTATTGATACGATGTACCACATTGATTGATTTGTGTATGTTGAACCATCTTTGCATCCCTGGAATAAATCCCACTTGGTCATGATGAATGATCTTTTTAATGTGTTGTTGAATTTAATTTGCTAAAATTCTGTTGATGATTACTGGCCTCCTAGAATGAGTTAAAAAGTATTCCCTTCTCCTCTATTTTTTGGAATAGTTTGAGTCGGATTGATATTGGTTCTTCTTTAAATATTTGATAAAATTCAGCATCAGGTCCTGGCTTTTTTTTTTTTTTTTTTTTTTTGCTGGGAGACTTTTTATTATGTCTTCAATCTCATTGCTTGTTATTGGTCTGTTCAGGTTTTGGATTTCTGCATGGTTAAATCTTGGTAGGTTGTATATGTCTAGGAATCTATCCATTTCTTCTAGGTTTTCCAATTTATTGGCATATAGCTGCTCATAGTAACCAATAATGATCCTTTCCATTTCTGCAGTATTGGTTGAAATGTCTTCTTTTTCATCTCTGATTTTGTTTGGTCGTCTTTTTTTATTTTTCTTAGTCTGGCTAAAGATTTGTGAATTTTATCTTTTCGAAAAAATTTCATTTCATTGATCTTTTGTAATTTTTTTAATTTCAATTTCATTTATTTTTGGTCTGATCTTTATTATTTCTTTTCTCCTACAAATTTTGGGTTTAGTTTGCTCTTGCTTTTCTATTTCTTTAAGGTGTATCGTTAAGTTGTTTATCTGACGTTTTTCTACTTTTTTTAATGTAGATACTGCTATAAACTTGCTTCTCGGTGCTGCTTTCACTGTATCCCACAGGTTTTGGTATGTTGTGTTTCCATTATTTGTTTCAAGAAATTTTTCAATTTCCTTCTTATTTTTTCATTGAGTCACTGGTCATTCAGGAGCATATAGTTTAATTTCCAAATGTTTGTATAGTTACCAAAATTCCTCTTGTTACTGATTTCTTTTTTATTCTGTTGTGGTCAGAGAAAATATTTGATATGATTTCCAATTTTTTGAAAGTTTTAAGACTTGTTTGTGGCTTAAGATATGGTTCATTTTGAGAATGATCCATGTGCTAAGGAGAAGGACTGTATATTCTGTAGCCATATGAAATTTTCTATAAATATCTGTCAAGTTCATTTGGTTTATGGTGCAGAATAAGTTTCATGTTTCTTTAGTGATTTTTCTGTCTGGATTAACTGTCCAATGCTGAAAACATGGTGTTGAAGTCTCCAACTATGATTGTATTGGGGTCTATCTCTCTCTTTAGCTCTAATAACATTCACTTTATGTATCTGGGTACTCCAGTGGTGGGTGCATATATACTTAAAATTGTTATATCCTCTTTCTGAATTGATCCCTTTATCTTTATATAGTGACCTTCTTTGTCTCTTCCAGTTTTTGTCCTGAAATCTATTTTGTCCAATATAAGTATAGTTACTCCTCCTCTTTTTGGTTTCCATTGGCATGGAGTATCTTTTTCTATCCCTTTATTTTCTATGTATTGTGTCTTTATAAGTGAAGTGTGTTTCTTGTAAGCAATAGATCATTGGGTCTTGCTTTTTTATCCATTCAGCCACTGTATGTCTTTTCATTGGAGAGTTTAGTCCATTTATATTCAATGTTATTATTAATAGGTAAGGATTTACTTCTTCCATTTTGTTGTTTTCTGGTTGTTTTGTGATCTTCTCTTCTTCCTTCCTTCTTGTCTTCCTTTTAGTGAAGGTGATTTTCTCTAACTGTATATTTTATCTCTTACTTTTTATTTTTATGTATCTGTTGTAAGTTTTTTTATTTGAAGTTACCATGAGGCTTGTAAATAATATGTCATAAGCCATTAGTTTAAACTGCTAACAACACAGATTGCATAAACAAACAAGCAAAGAGAAAATTAATAAAAACTCTCCACTTTAACTATATCCCCCACTTTTTACCTTTTTGTTTTTTCTATTTATATCTTATTGTGCTATGTTTTGAAATCTTCTTGTAGTTACTATCTTTGATAGGTTCATCTTTCAGTATTTTTATGCAAGATATGAGTTTTCACACCACAATTATAGTGTTGTAATATTCTGTGTTTTTCTCTGTACCTACTATTATCAGTGAGTTTTGTACCGTCAGATGATTTCTTAATCATTTTTTAATCTCATTAATGTTCTTTTCTTTCAGATTGAAGAACTCCTTTTAGCATTTCTTGGAGGACAGGTCTTGGGTTGATGAAGTCTCTCAGCATTAGTTTGTCTTGAAGTCTTTCTTTTTTATGCTTGAAGGATATTTTCACTGGATATACTATTCTAGGATAAAAATTTTTTTTACCTTCAGCACTTTAAATATGTCATGCCACTTTCTCCTGGCCTATAAAGTTTCCACTGAAAAGTCTGCTACCAGATGTATTGGAGCTTTCTTGTATGTTACTTTTCTTGTATGCTTCTTTTCTCTTGCTGCTTTTAGGATCCTTTCTTTATCCTTGACCTTTGAAGTCTGATTATTACATGCCTTGAGGTAGTCTTCTCTGAGTTAAATCTGCTTGGTGTTCTATAACCTTCTTATACTTTATTAATATCTTTATTTATATATATACTTTATTAATATCTACTTATACTTTATTAATATATTTCCCCAAATACGGAAATTTTTCTGTTATTTCTCCCTTGAATAAACATTCCAGTACAATCTCTCTATCTCCTCTTTGAGACCAATGACTCTTAGATTTGCCCTTTTGAGGCTATTTTCTATATCTTATAGGCAAGTTTTATTCTTTTTTGTTTTTTTCTTTTTTAGATGGAGTCTCGCTCTGTCGCCCAGGCTGGAGTGCAGTGGCGCGATCTCAGCTCACTGCAAGCTCCGCCTCCCAGGTTCACGCCATTCTCCTGCCTCAGCCTCCCAAGTAGCTGGGACTACAGGCGCCCGCCACCACGCCCGGCTAATTTTTTGTATTTTTAGTAGAGGCGGGGTTTCACTGTGTTAGCCAGGATGGTCTCGATCTCCTGACCTCATGATCCACCCGCCTCTGCTTCCCAAAGTGCTGGAATTACAGGCGTGAGCCACCGCGCCCGGCCTCTTTTTTGTTTTTTTTCTTGTTTCCTCTGTGTATTTTCAAATTGCCTGCCTTCAAGCTAACTAATTCTTTATTCTGCTTGATCAAGTCTGCTGTTAAGAGACTCTGATGTATTCTTCAGTATGTCAATTGCATTTTTCAGATTCAAAATTTCTGCTTCTTTTTAATCATTTCAATCTCTTTGTTAAAATTTATCTGATAGGATTCTGAATTCCTTCCCTGTGTTATCTTGAATTCCATTAAGGTTTCTCAAAACAGTTATTTTGTCTTTTCTGTCTGAAAGGTCACATATCTCCATCTCTCCAGGGTCGGTCACTAGTGCCTTATTAAGTTCATTTGATGTGGTCATTTTTCTGGATGTTTCAGATGCTTGTGGAGTTTGTCAGTGACTAGGCATTGAAGAGTTAGGTATTTATTGTAGTCTTCATGGCCTGGATTTGTTTGTACCTGTCCTTCTTGGGAAGGCTTTCCAAGTATTCCAAGGCACTTGGGTATTGTGATCTAAGTCTTTGGTAACTGCAGCTATATCTGCATTGGGGGCACCCCAAGCCCAGTAACGTTGTGACTCTTGCAGACTCATACAGATACTGCCTTGGTGGTCTTGGTAAGATTTAGGAGATCCCCTAGATTACCAGGCAGATACACTTGTTCTATTTCTTTACTTTTCCCCAAACAAATGGAGTTTGTCTCACTCAGCTGAGTTGCCTGTAGCTGAGTGAAAGGTGACACAAGCACCCCAGTGGCCACCACCACAGAGACTGAACTGGGTTGGTCCCAAAGCCAGCACAGCACTGGGTGTCACCCAAGGCCTATGGTGACAACTGCCTGGCTATTGCTTATGTTTACTGAAGGCTGAAGGGCTCTACAATCAGCAGATGGTGAATCCAGCCTTGCTTGTATCTTTCCTTTCAGGGCTACAAGATCCCCCTAGCCCTCAGTGGGTCAAGATGCTGTTCAGGAACCAGGACCTAAAGTCAGGAACCTTAGAAATCTACTTGGTACTCTATTCTACCATGGTTGAGCTGGCACCCAAGCTGCAAGACAAAGTCCTTCCCCTTCTTCCTTCCCCTTTTCTTAAGCAGAAGAGTCTCTCCCCATGGCCACCACTGTCTCAGGCTCATGGAAAGTACTGCCTGGCTACTTCCAGTGTTCTCTCAAGGTCCAAGGGCTCCTCAGTCAGCTTGTGGTGAATGCTGCCAGGCCTGAGTCTCTCTTCTGGGCAGTGGGCTCCCCTGTGGCCCAGGGCAGGTCCAAGAATGTTGTTCAGGAGCCAATGCCTGGAGTCAGGGACCCCAGGAGCCTGCTTGGCGCTCTATCCCCACTGTGGCTGAGCTGGTACTCAAGCTACAAGACAAAGCTCCCTTTACTCATCACATTTTTTCCCTCAAACAGAATGAGTCTCTCTCTGTAGCCACCACAGGGGAATGTGTTGGGTTACACCTGAAGCCAACATATTTCTGAGTCTCACCCAAGGCCCACAGCAAATACCGTCTGGCTACCACTGCTGTTTATTCAGGGACCTAGGGCTCTTTAGTCTCAGGTGATGAATCCTGCCAAGATGAGATTTTTCCCTTCAAGGTATCAATTCTCTTCTGGCCCAGAGCATGTCTAGAAGTGTCATCTGGGAGCTAGGGCCTAGAATGGGGACCTCAGGTCCCTGCCTGTGTCTTATTTCACTGTGGCTGAGCTGGTAAGATGAAGTCTTCTTTACTCTCCCCTCTTCTCTCCTCAAACAATCTCTCTACTGTACTGCCTGGGGTTGAGGGAGGGATGAAGCAAGTACTCCCTTGGCTGCTCCAGCTGGTGTCTCACCAGGTCATGTGTACCCAAAGTCCACTGGCTCTAAGCCCAGGACAGTACCAGGACTTGTCCAGGAATTGCAGTCCCTGTGGTCTAGATGACCTTTCAAGTTTATTTAGGACTCTACATCACTTTAGCCCATGGTGACGGGCTTCCAGAACTCAGACTCTGACCATTGAGATGGGAGATTCACCTCTGGCTATGGCTGGTCTTAACACTCTCTTCATGGGCAGCAGCTGAATTCTGTCAAATGTTGCTTTCCATTGTGAAAGGACAGTCCTGAGTTCCAATGCAAAGTCCTACAATCACTGTGCTCTCCTCCCAAGCACATAGACTCTTTCTCCATGCCATAAGGCTTCTGCCAGGGTATTTGGGAAGGGTTGTGTAGGCAATTCAAGAGTTTCAAGAGTGTCTTTCCTACCCTCTTCAATACCTCTTTCCTTTTTTTTTCTTTTTTTTTGGGGAGATGGAGTCTCGCTCTGTTACCCATGCTGAAGTCCAGCGGAACGATCTTGGCTTACTGAAACCTCTGTCTCCCAGGTTCAAGCAATTCTCCTGCCTCAGCCTCTCAAGTAGCTGGGATTACAGGTACCCACCACCACAGCCCCCAGCTAATTTTTGTATTTTTAGTAGAGATGGGGTTTTACCCTGTTGGCTAGGCTGGTCTCGAACTCTTGACCTCCAGTGATCTGCCCGCCTCAGCCTCCCAAAGTGCTGGGATTATAGGCATGAGCCACCACGACCAGCCCCTCTTCCGTTAATATGATGTTAAAACACAGTGAGGTACTGTGTTCACTCACCTGGTTTTTTTGTTTTTCTTATGAACATGTTTCTTTTGTGTGGATAGCTGCTCAATTTGGTGTTCCTGGTGGGGGATGGTGGGGGCAATCACTGGAGGCTTCTCTTTGGTCATCTTGCTCTATCTCCTCCCCCTAAATAAAAAAGTTTTTAAAGGATCTAGTTGAAAAAGTCAACAACATGTGTGAGAAGATGAGGAAACATCAACAGAGATGAAATGGTAAAAATAAAAAGGGGGGTCATATGGAAATTCTGGAAGTAAAGAAGCACAATATCATAAATGAAGAATTACTTAGAGTTAGTTATCAAAGCTGAGGTGGAAATCTCAGTCAATTGAATGTAGGTTTAAAATTATCAAAATTGAAACACAGAAAGAAAAAAGCAAATAAAAAATGTTCATGTAAAAACTGTTGAGCAATATCAAATGACTCAACACAAACTGGAGTCAAAGAGAGAGAAGAGAGATAACAGAACAGATAAAAAATTTGAAAAGATAATGACCCCAAATTTTTCCAAAGATATAAAAGATATCAAACCATAGATCTGAAAGCTCAGAGAATCCCAGAGAACACACACACACACACACACACACACACACACACACACCTCATCTAACTGCTGAAAATTAGATAAAGGGAAAATCTTGAAAACAATCAGGAATAAAGAACAAATATAAGAATTACAGCAGTCTGAAACTCTGTAAGTCACAAGACAATAGAGTGATATCTTGAAAGTACCAAAGAATAAAACCTATCATAGAATTCTATACTCAGTGAAAATACTATTCAAAAATGAAAGATAAAGACTTTATCAGAAAACAAAGATGAAAAAATTAATTGCCAGCAGATCTCCAGTACAAGAAATGTTAGGGGAAATTCCTCCAGCAGGAGGAAAATGTCATCAGACAAAAATTTGAATCTCCATAAATTCTTCAAGATATAATCTTGCCACACAAGTAAGCACTAAATTACATCATAATTCATTAGCAATAGAAAGTAGCTATTCATGACTGCTGTATGTAGTCATCAGAGAGAATAATATCTTAACAAAGCAGGAAATAAGCTCCTGTAGAGGGAAACTGCCAACCCTCTACTGGTGAGTGCCTTATTTATAGTGACGATGTTTTGAATAAGGAAACCCAACTACCTTCCCTATTTCCACTTCCATCCACCTCCAGGAATGCACACAGCTGACTGGACCAGGACCATGCATCTTACTTGAGTACAATAGTCTAATGGCTGGACAGAAACCTCAGCATTCTACACAATCATGTATGTGGGTGATTGTCTGGGCTACCAGATTTGTTATCTCAAGAATATGACCTAGAAAACTGGGAACACAGTTGAGTCTACAGGGAGCCAAAGCAGAAAGATTTGCAGGGAGAAGGAGGTAATCACATGCCATAAGCCAATAGAACACCTGATTACGCAGAATCCATGCATGGGGGGTTGGGGGTTGGAATGTTTCATAGTACTGAGGGTGAAATTTGTGGCAGGATCAACAAAACAGCAATAGAAAAAAGCTGAATTACCACAACAGTAAGTGATCCGTTAATTTGAGATTCTGGGTCAACAAGCTGACCCTGAACTCCATGGAAATGTTTAATTCCCAGATCACAATTTTACTCACCATGAGGCCAATTACATGAGGATTCTCACTGTTTCAGTGAAATAGTTACAGCCTACTTTAGGTCCTTGTACTTTTTTCTATTTTGTCAACTACTGGACTTTTTTTCACCATTGTGCATCCTAGTTTTGAAGTCAAAATCCCAATTTATTTGAAACACAATGTGGTTTAGCATATTAGTTTCCTAGGGCTACTGTAACAAATCACCATAAACTTGATGTCTTAAAACAACAGAAATTTATTGTCTCACAGTTCTGGAGGACAAAAGTCCAAAGTCAAGGTGTCAGCAGAGTTGATTCCTTCTGAACACTCTGAGGGAGAATCCATTCCAGGCCTCTCTCATACCTTTTAGTGCCTGCTAGCAACTTTTGACATTCCTTGGCTTGTAGAAATAGCACTTCAATCTCTGCCTCCATCTTCTCATTGCCTTCTCTTCTCTGTCTCTTTTCTCTTCTAAGGACATCTGTCATTGAATTTAGGGCCCAGCCTAACCCAGAATGATCCTGTCTCAAGATCCTTAGCTTAATGATATCTGCAAAAACACATTTTTTCAAATAATGTCACATTCACAGGCTCTGGGTATACACATCTTTTTTTGGAGGGCAGCGCGAGACACATTTGATCCACTACACTTAGCATATCAGCACTTAACTAGGAATCAGAAAATTTGGGTTATAGTCCTTGCTTCACAATTGACTTGCTGTGTGTGGCTTTAAGCAAGTTGGTTAATCTCCCTGAGTTTCAATTCCCTTACCAAAAAATGGGAATAATGTTTGTCCCACATGCTTCAATGTGAAGTAATCTGTACATAGTATACTTTAAATAAACAGCAAATGAATACATTAATATGTGAGTAAATAAAGGAATGGATTCATCTGGAGGTGCTCGGTAGGCCATAATTAAATCAGATCTAGAACTCAGCAGACATATTTGGGCTGAATATTTACAATTCCTCAGCATACAGGTGGCACTCAATTCCATAGGAATAAATGAGATCAACTAGATAGAAAAACAATAAAAAGCTGAAGTAGAAGACATAATGCTAGGAAACTTACATTTAAGAATTGAATAAGAAGAAAAGATATTACAAGAGAAGGAAACAAAGAAGTAAAGGACCTAAGTAGTAAAGAATTAACCAACACATTCGGGAATGAAGAGTACATTGTGACTGGGAGCTCCCAACAGAGCAGCATGCGAAGGCTCGCATTGCGAATTTTAGCTCCAGAGCGACTGCAAGAACAAACCAACAATCCCAAGAGGACCCACAGACCCTCTGAAGGAAGTAGACTGCTCCTGCAGGACCACAGAGACACCACAAATACTGTGAGTGCCCCAACTGCAGAAGTGGGAAAGGTAGACCCTCCTCTCTCAAACACACACCCCCACTGCAGAAGCTGAAGGTCTGTTTGTGGAAGAGGTTTCCGAGGTTACTTGAAGCTGAGTCAATTTGGAGAGCCGAGTGAAATACAGGGGTAGAGAAAGCAGCAGAAAGGCCCTGGGAGCTCGCTGGGCCCTCAAGCAGCCCATTCCTGCCTGACACCAAAGAGATCCATCAGGAGGGTGAACAGAGGAGCAGGGGGTAAAAGTCCACAGGGAGAAGGAATTCTCTAGTTAAACTTTGTGACAATTTGAATGGAGTGAAAAGCCTCCTGGCCAGAACTCAAGAGGAGGGCACGAAACAGGCATGTAGACTTCACAGGTCAGGGAAGGACTAAAGCCCTTTTCTCTTGCAGCTGGTAGGTGGAAAGCCTCAGGCAACTTTTCAAGCCCCTCTCGCCCTCCTCCTGGAAACAGACTTGGGGCCGTTGGTGGGGTATGGTGGGAGTGAGACCAGCCCTTCAGGTGGCCTGGGAGCTGGGTAAGGCCTGTGACTGCTGGCTTTCCCCGACTTCCCTGACAACCTGCATGACTCAGCAGAGGCAGCCATAATCCTCTTAGGTACACAGCTTCAGTGACCTGGGAATCTCACCCCCATCCTCAACAGCAGCCACAGCAAGACCCGCCCAAGGAGAGTCTGAGCTCAGACAGGCCTAGCCCCACCCCCATCTGATGGTCCTTCCCTATCCACTCTGGTAGTGGAAGAAAAACGGCCTATAATCTTGGGAGTTCTAGGGCCCTGCCCACCACCAGTCCGTCTCCACACTACTACAGCTGATGCTTCCTGGAAAGTGCCACCTCCTGGCAAAACGCCAACCAGCACAAAAATAGAGTACTAAACCACCAAAGCTAAGGACACTCATGGAGTCCATTGCAGCCTCCACCACCTCCACTAGAACAGGTGCTGGTATTCACGGCTGAGAGACCCATAGACGGTTCACATCACAGGACTCTGTGTGGACAACCACCAGTACCAGCCCGGAGTCAGGTAGACTCACTGGGTGGTGAGACCCAGAAGACAGAAAACAATCACTGCAGTTCAGCTCACAGGAGCCACATCCATAGGAAAAGGGGAGAGTACTATATCAAGGGAACACCCTGTGGGACAAAAAATTCTGAACAACACCCTTCAGCCCTAGACCTTCCCTCTGACAGAGCCTACCCAAATGAGAAGGAATCAGAAAACCAACCCTGGTAATATGACAAACCAAGGCTCGTCAACATCCCCAAAAGATCACACTAGTTCACCAGCAATGAATCCAAACCAAGAAGAAATCCCTGATTTGCCTGAAAAATAATTCAGGAGGTTAGTTATTAAGCTAATCTGGGAGGGACCAGAGAAAGACAAAGCCCAATGCATGGAAATTCAAAAAATGATACAAGAAGTGAAGGGAGAATTATTTATAGAAATAGATAGCTTAAAGAAAAAACAATCAAATATTCAGGAAAGTTTGGACATACTTTTAGAAATGTGAAATGCTCTGGAAAGTCTCAGCAATAGAAGTGAACAAGAAAGAAAAAGAAATTCAGAGCTCAAAGACATGGTCTTCGAATTAACCCAATACAACAAAGAAAAAGAAAAAGATTAAGACAATATAAACAAAGCCTCCAAGAGTCTGGGATTATGTTAAATGACCAAACCTAAAACTCATCAGTGTACCTGAGGAAGAAGAGAATTCTAAAAGCCTGGAAAATATATTTGGGGGAATAATTGAGGAAAACTTCCCCAGCCTTGTTAGAGACCTAGACATGTAAATATGAGAAGCACAAAGAACACCTGGGAAATTCATCACAAAAAGATCTTCACCTAGGCACAGTGATCAGGTTATACAAAGATGAAGAAAAGAATCCTAAGAGCTGTGAGACAGAAGCACCAGGTAGCCTATAAAGGAAAACCTATCAGATTAACAGCAGATTTCTCAGCAGAAACCCTACAAGCTAGAAAGGATTGGGGACTTATCTTCAGACTCCTCAAACAAAACAATTATCAGCCAAGAATTTTGTGTCCAGCAAAACTAGGCATCATATATGAAGGAAAGATACAGTTGTTTTCAGACAAACAAATGCTGAGAGAATTCACCATTACCAAACCCCCCCCACCCTCCACAAGAACTGCTAAAGGGAGCCCTAAATCTTGAAACAAATCCTGGAAACACATCAAAACAGAACCTCTTTAAAGCATAAATCACACAGGACTTATAAAACAAAACTACAAGTTAAAAAGCAAAAACAAAACAAAACAAAAAAAAACAAAGTACACAGGCAACAAAGAGCACAATAAATGCAATGGTATCTCACATTTCAATATTAACATTGAAGGTGAATGGCCTAAATGCTCCACTTAAAAGATACAGAACCACAGAATGGATAAGAACCTACCAATCAACTATCTGCTGCTTTCAGGAGACTCACCTAACACATAAGGACTCACATAAACTTACAGTAATGGGGTGGAAAGAGGTGTTTCATGCAAATGGACACAAAAAGTGAGCAGGTGTAGCTATTCTTATATCAGACAAAACAAACTTTAAAGCAACAGTGGTTAAAAGAGATGAAGAGAGACAGCATAGAATGGTAAAAGGCCTTGTTCAACAGGAAAATATCACAATCCTAAATACATATGCACCTAACACTAGAGCTCCCTAATTTATAAAACAATTACTAACAGACCTAAGAAATGAGATAGACAGCAACACAATAATACTGGGGGACTTCAATACTCCACTGACAGCACTAGACAGGTCATCAAGACAGAAAGTCAATAAACAATGAATTTATACTATACCTTGGAACAAACAGACTTAACAGATATATACAGAACATTTCATCCAACAACCACAGAATATACACTCTATTCAACAGCACAAGGAACTTCCTCCAAGATAGACCATGTGATATGCCATAAAACAAGCCTCAATAAATTTAAAAAAATTGAAATTATATCAAGCACTCTCTCAGACCACAGTGGAATAAAACTGGAAATCAACTCCAAAAGGAACCTTCAAAACCATGCAAATACATGGAAATTAAATAACCTGATCCTGAATGAGCTTTGGGTAAAAACGAAATCAAGATGGAAATTTAAAAATTCTTCTAACTGAATGATAATAATGACACAAACTATCAAAACCTCTGAGATTCAGCAAAGGCGGTGCTAAGAGGAAAGTTCATACCCCTAAACACCTACATCAAAAAGACTGAAAGAGCATAAACAGACAATCTAAGATCACACCTCAAGGAACTAGAGAAACAAGAACAAACCAAATCCAAACCCCAGCAGAAAAAATGAAATAACCAAGATCAGAGCAGAACTAAATGAAATTGAAACAAACAAACAAACAAAAATACAAAGAATACATGAAACAAAAATCTGGTTCTTTGAAAAGATAAATAAAATTGACAGACCATTAGGAAGATTAACCAAAAAAAGAAAAGAAAAAAAAATCCAAATAACCTCACTAAGAAGCAAAACAGGAGATATTACAACTGACACCACTGAAATGCAAAAGGTCATTCAAGGCTACTATGAACACCTTATGCACATAAACTAGAAAACCTAGAAGAGATGGATACATTCCTGGAAAAATACAACCCTCCTAGCTTAAATCAGGAAGGATTAGATACACTGAACAGTGAGATTGAAATGGTAAATTAAAAATTACCAAGAAAAAAAAGTCCAGGACCAGACGGATTCACAGCAGTATTCTACCAGACATTCAAAAAAGAATTGGTCTCCCTCTCCCTCCCACTCCCGCTCCCTCTTTGCACAGTCTCCCTCTGATGCCGAGCGGAGGCTGGACTGTACTGCCGCCATCTCCGCTCACTGCAACCTCCCTGCCTGATTCTCCTGCCTCAGCCTGCCGAGTGCCTGGGATTGCAGGCGTGCGCCGCCACGCCTGACTGGTTTTCGTATTTTTTGGTGGAGACGGGGTTTCCCCCTCTTGGCCGGGCTGGTCTCCAGCTCCTGACCGCGAGTGATCTGCCAGCCTCGGCCTCCGGAGGTGCCGGGATTGCAGACGGAGTCTCGCTCACACAGTGCTCAATGTTGCCCAGGCTGGAGTGCAGCCGGCGTGATCTCGGCTCGCTACAACCTCCACCTCCCAGCCGCCTGCCTTGGCCTCCCAAGGTGCTGAGATTGCAGTCTCTGCCCGGCCGCCACCCCATCTGGGAAGTGAGGAGTGTCTCTGCCTGGCCGCCCATCGTCTGGGATGTGAGGAGCCCCTCTGCCCGGCCACCCAGTCTGGGAAGTGAGGAGCTCCTCTTCCCGGCCGTCATCCCATCTAGGAAGTGAGGAGCGTCTCTGCCTGGCTGCCCATCGTCTGAGATGTGGGGAGCGCCTCTGCCCCGCCGCCCCGTCTGAGATGTGAAGAGCGCCTCTGCCCGGCCGCGACCCTGTCTGGGAAATGAGGAGTGTCTCTGCCCCGCCACCACCCCGTCTGGGAGGTGAGGAGCGTCTCTGACCGGCCGCCCCGTCTGAGAAGTGAGGAGCCCCTCCGTCCGGCAGCCGCCCCGTCCGGGAAGTGAGGAGCGTCTCCGCCCGGCAGCCGCCCCATCCGGGAGGTGGGGGGCAGCCCCCGCCCGGCCAGCCGCCCCGTCCGGGAGGTGGGGGGCAGCCCCCATCCGGGAGGTGGGGGCAGCCTCCGCCCGGCCAGCCTCCCCATCCGGGAGGTGGGGGGCAGCCCCCGCCCAGCCGCCGCCCCGTCTGGGAGGTGGGGGGCGCCTCTGCCCGGCCGCCCCGTCTGGGAAGTGAGGAGCCCCTCTGCCCGGCCGCCACCCCGTCTGGGAGGTGTACCCAACAGCTCATTGAGAACAGGCCATGATGACGATGGCGGTTTTGTCGAACAGAAAAGGGGGAAATGTGGGGAAAAGAAAGAGAAATCAGATTGTTACTGTGTCTGTGTAGAAAGAAGTAGACATAGGAGACTCCATTTTGTTCTGTACTAAGAAAAATTATTCTGCCTTGGGATGCTGTTAATCTATAACCTTACCCCCAACCCCGTGCTCTCTGAAACATGTGCTGTGTCCACTAAGGGTTAAATGGATTAAGGGCGGTGCAAGATGTGCTTTGTTAAACAGACGCTTGAAGGCAGCATACTGGTTAAGAGTCATCACCACTCCCTAATCTCAAGTACCCAGGGACATAAACACTGCGGAAGGCAGAAGGCGGCAGGGCCCTCTGCCTAGGAAAACCAGAGACCTTTGTTCACATGTTTATCTGCTGACCTTCCCTCCACTATTGTCCTATGACCCTGCCAAATCCCCCTCTCCGAGAAACACCCAAAAATGATCAATAAATACTAAAAAAATTTAAAAAAAAAAGAATTGGTAGCAATCCTTTTAACACTATTCCACAATATAAAGAAAGAACCCTCCCTAATTCATTCTATGAAGCCAGCATCACCCTAATACCAAAACCAGGAAAGGACATAACCAAAAGAAGAAAACTATAGGCCGATATCCTGGATGAACATAGATGCTAAAATCCTTAACAAAATACTAGCTAACTAAATCCAACAACATATCAAACAGATTATCCACCATGATCAAGTGGGTTTCATACCGGGGATGCAGGGATGGTTTCACGTACTCAAGCCAATAAATGTCACACATGACATAAACAGAATTAAAAACAAAAATCACATGATCATCTCAATAGATGCAGAAAAAGCATTCAACAAAATCCAGCATCTCTTTATGATTAAAACTTTCAGCAAAATCGGCATACAAGGGACATACCTCAATGTAATAAAAGCCATCTATGACAAACCCACAGCCAGCATAATACTGAATGGGGAAAAGCTGAAAGCATTCCCTCTGAGAACTGGAACAAGACAAGGATGCACACTGTCACCACTCCTCTTCAGCATAGTACTGGAAGTCCTAGCCAGAGTAATCAGACGAGAGAAAGAAATATAGAGCATCCAAATCGGTAAAGAGGAAGGCAAACTGTCACTGTTTGCTGACGATAGGATCATTTACCTTGAAAACACTAAGGACTCCCCTAGAAAGCTCCTAGAACTGATAAAAGAATTCAGCACAGTTTCCAGATACAAGATTAACGTACACAAATCAGTAGCTCTTCTACATACCAACAACGACCAAGCAGAGAATCAAATCAAGCACTCGATCCCTTTTACAATCACTGCAAAAAAAAAAAAAAAAACTTAGGAACATACCTAACAAAGGAGTCAAAAGACCTCTACAAGGAAACTACAACACACTGCTGAAAGAAATCATAGATGACACAAAGAAATGGAAACACATCCCATGCTCATGGATAGGTAGAATCAATATTGTGAAAATGACCATACTGCCAAAAGCAATCTACAAATTCAAGACAATCCCCATCAGAATACCACCAATCTTCACAGAATTAGAAAAAAAACAATTCTAAAATTTATATGGAACCAAAAAAGAGCCCACATAGCCAAAGCAAGATTAAACAAAAAGAACAAATCTGGAGGCATCACACTACCTGATTTCAAACAATACTATAAGGCTATAGTCACCAAAACAGCATGGTACTGGTATAAAAATAGGCACATAGATTCATGGAACAGAATAGATAACCCAGAAATAAACCCAAATATTTACAGCCAACTCATCTTTGACAAAGCAAACAAAAACATAAAGTGGGGAAAGGATACCCTTTTCAACAAATGGTGCCTGTGACAATTGGCTAGCCACATGTAGAAGAATGAAACTGGATCCTCATCTCTCACCTTATGCAAAAATCAACTCTAGATGGATTAAGGACTTAAACCTAAGTCCTGAAACTATAAAAATTCTAGAACATAACATTGGAAAAACCCTCTAGACATTGGCTTATGCAAGGATTTCATGAACAAAAACCCAAAACCAAATGCAATAAAAACAAAGATAAATAGCTGGGATCTGATTAAACTAAAGAGCTTTTGCAAAGCAAAAGGAACAGCAGAGTAAATAGACAATCCATAGAGTGGGAGAAAATCTTTACAACCTATACATCTGACAAAGGACTAATATCCAGAATCTACAACGAACTCTAACCAGTAAGAAACTAACAAATCTAATCAGTAAGAAACGAAGAAACTAACCAACGAATCTAATCAGTAAGAAAACAACAAACAATCCTATCGACAAGGGGGCTAAGGACATGAATAGACAATTCTCAAAGGAAGACATACAAATGGTCAACAAGCATATTAAAAAATGCTCAACATCACTAATGATCAAGGAAATACAAATCAAAACTTCAATGTGATACCACCTCACTCCTGCAAGAATGGCCATAATTAAAAAATCAAAAAACCGTAGATGTTGGCATGGATGTGGTAAACAAGAAACTCTTCTACACTGCTAGTGGGAATGTAAACTAGTACAGCCACTATGGAAAACAGTGTGGCGATCCCTTAAAGAACTAAAAGTAGAACTACGATTTGATCCAGCAATCCCACTGCTGGGTATCTACCCAAAGGAAAAGAAGTCATTACTCAAAAAAGATACTTGCACACGCATGTTTATAGCAGCACAATTTACAATTGCAAAATCATGGAACCAAGCCAAATGCCCATCAATCAATGAGTGGTTAAAGATACTGTGATATATATAGTGTGTACATATGTATCGCAGTATATATATATCATAGTATAGAGAGAGTGTATATATATACCGCAGAGTATATATATATATATACCACAGAGTATATATATAGTGTGTATATATATATACTGCACAGCATATATATATACACTATATATAAACATTGTGTATATATACACACACAATGGAATACTACACAACCATAAAAAGGAATGAATTAACAGCATTTGCAGTGACCTGAATGAGATTAGAGACTATTATTCTAAGTGATGCAACTCAGAATTGGAAAGCCAAACATCGTATGTTCTCACTGACATGTGGGAGCTAAGCTGTGAGGATGCAAAGGCATAAGAATAATACAATGGACTTTGGGGACTTGGGAAGAGTAGAAGGAGGGCAAGGGATAAAAGACTACAAATCTGGTGCAGTGTATACTGCTCAGGTCATGGGTGCACCAAAATCTCACAAATCACCATTAAAGAACTTGCTCATGTAACCAGATACCACCTGTACCCCAATAACTTATGGAAAAATAAAATATTTTTTAAATTAAATTAAAAAATAAAAAACAAAATAAATAATAAAATCCAAAAAAGAGTACATTGTGACTGGGATGGAGAGTATGTGTGTTGCAGTGGGATATTGAAAGAAGAGAGAGAAAGCTGTTGAAAAAATACAAACCAAATCTGGAGAATTAGCACACATATTAGCACTAGAAACAATGATGATTTCATCAGGAGTTTTCCCTGAGTTAGAATTCAACACCTAATCAAAGACATTCTGGTCAGAACTAAAGAGGGCAAACATCTTTTTCTCAAATTATAAATTGTCCTGACTGTGTAGCAAGCACAACTGGGATGCCAATGCAAGGGTTTCCTGCTCTGTCATGTCTAATATCAATAATCAGTTGTTCTCAGTCTCACCTTTTTTTCATTCTCCAAAAAGAGGGTCAATCTTATCACATACCACCTCCATCAAACCCTTGCCATTTTGTTGGCTGAATACCTGCACATCCTGTATGCCTATACTCAAATGGTACCATGCTAGACAGTCAATAGGATGACAGGCACCCACATTTCAAGAAATGTGATTAACTTATGGCAACAACAGTCAGAGATTATTCTTCCCACAAACCACTGAATGAGTCAGTCACACAAAATTTCTATTTGTACCAAGTATGTAATGTCACAAAAATTGCAAGCTTCATAATCTATACTTTTTTGTCAAGAATGGCCCTGTGCATTAGGTGCCTCAAATTCTACAAAATTAACACAAGTCACTGTGAGAGCTCAGTACACTTCTCAAAGCTACTCAGCCAATGCATGACAGATAAAGACTCAAAATCAGGTCTTCTGGCTTCAAGTCTCACAATCTTTTCTATTACTTCATTCCAGGAAATTGAATTCTAGTTACGAAGGCAAAACTAACAGGTAAGAAACAATCAAAAGCCCACCTATGCGATGGGTTTATAAGTTCAGTACAAGGGCTGGATCAGCATGGGCTGGAAGATTTAAAGGAAAATGTTTGGGAATACTTTTTTTCACATGAACTCTACATGGAAGTGTAAAACAAGTATATGAGCTGTTTTGATTGGAGCTAGGGTAGGATCCTCCCAGAGCCCCTTTCCCACTCTATGCAATGAACTCTCCTCAGTAACTTCTCAGCCACTAGGGCTCTACCGAGTAGTTTGGAAGCCAATGGACTAAATCAGTAGTTCTCAAAGTATAGTCCCTGGACTAGCAGTGTCAGCAATACCTGGTAACTTCTTAGAGATGTGAATTCTTTGAATCAGAAATTTTGGAGATGGGGCTTAATAAACTATATTTTAGCATGTTCCCCAGGTGATTCTCAGACTTGTAAAGTTTGAGAAATAGTGAACTACTTCATCTCCATAAAGTAGGAAGGGACGCCACCTGCTTTAAAAGAACATTTGAGATTGGGATTGGAAACTTTGAAGGGGGTAGGGAAGGTCTGGGACTGCCAATAGGAAGCCTTCTCTCAAATAGCAGAGATAGATGATAGGGATGAACGTCCTGACCAAGGCTAGAAGGTGTCAGTATGCACACCCAGTAATCCTGTCTTGCCCCTAAACTTCTCCTGCAATACCTAGAATAGGACAGAAGACAGTGGGCATTTGAGGTCATCTATACCTGGATAGAAAGTTTAAGGAAAAGAGGGGTCTAGGAGGCCACGTTGAAGTGACTGGCCAGGAAGGGACCGAAATCTTGATAGAGGAAATGAATAGGCTCAGTAATGTCAGAGAATGGGAGAAGTGGAATGAGGAGGCTTAACTAAGCCTATGGGGACGGAGAATCTCCATGTCTGAGATCTCAGTGCTGACAAAATCCTAAATTACATCAAAGTCCAAGATCTGGCTCTATTTCATATTTCCCTGTGGAATTTATGTTACTGAATAGACAAACTTGTATAAAAACAATTTCTATATGGTATAAAAACCCAGACAAAAGTTGCAGTTTTCTACATTCAAAAATATTTTTAATGTTTTTATTTTTATCTGTTTGTGAGAATTTGTAAGATTATTTTGTTTTGTTTTTCATATGAGATGGGGTCTCACTGTGTTGCCCAGTCCAGTCTTGAACTCCTGGCCTCAAGTGATCCTCCTGCCTCAGTCTCCCGAGTAGCTGGAATTACAGGTGCATGCCCCCACACTTGGATAATTTCTGTACTTTTTATGTGTTGGTGTAACATTGTCTTCGTCTTTTCTTGGAAAGGGCTATATGTTTATTGTTACTGTCTTTAAAATTGTGGTAAAATATGCATAACATAAAAATTAACTATTTTAACCATTTTTAAGTGTACAGTTCAGGTATACTTTTTTAGTGCCAAAAATGTCATTCTTCTATAAAATAACAAATATACTGTGATGGGGGAGGGGGTTGTTCTTACTAGAAAAATTAAGAAGTCGTTACTTATTTTGAGTCCCTAACTTGGTTTCGAAATATAACACGGGACTAAGAAATTCAGGAATCAAACAACTACTGCCCTAAAGGAGAGTTGAGATTTACAGGGTTAGGATGGTCAGGGGTGGAAAGTGGTAAGAACAAGCCAGTAGAAAGAGGAAGGTGCAGGGCATTTTTAGGAGTGTGCAGACCAGACTTGCTAAAAACAAAGTGCGCTTGAAAAGGAACAGTTAGAATTAAGTTTTGGTCCATTTTAAAATATTTAATACCTAATAATGTTTGGTTCATAGCAGAAACTCAATAAATATTTGTCAATTGAGTGTAGTGAAAGCTTGAGTGAGATTCAGAAGAGCCAGAAAATAAAGTTTAAATTTCATTTTATAGACCAGAGGTTCCCAAGAGATGTACCAAGAATGGGCAGCCAACGTGCTAAGCTATCGATCACCTTTCAAAGGAGTCAGGCAGAAGCCAGGGCATCTGGTCAACTCTAGGCCAGGTATGTTCTAGTATGCTGTACAAGTACAACTGTCTATAGATGTCATTGGTGGAAGACAATAGGAAGCAATGGGGAACCACTAAAGATAATTGAGCAGTGGAGATATAAGATGGCAGCAATATTTCCAGGAAGACTATTGCTGTGGTTTTAATGTTCATGTCCCCTACAAAATTCATATATTGAAATCCTAACCCTCAATGTGATGGTATTAGGAGGTAGAGCCTTTGGGGAGTAATTTGATCATAGGGCAGAGCCCTCATGAATGGGATTAGTGCCCTCATAAAACAGGCCCCAGAGAGGTAATTTGTCCCTTCTACCAAACAGTACACAGTGAGAAGGCACCATCTGTGAGAAAGTAGCCCTTCACCAAACACCACATCTGCTGGCACCTTGATCTTAGACTTGCCTCCAGAAGTCTGAGAAATAAATTTCTGTTGTTTATAAACTACCCAGCTTACAGTATTTTGTTATAGCAGCCCAAACAGACTAAGACATCTATTAACCTCGTGATAAAGCAAGAGCTGGATCCCAGGCTCAAAGCTGGAATCACTGGGACTCCCAAGGTATATATTATAGACATTTGAAAATTACTTCCCCAAATTTACTCTCCCTAACCCCACTTTTTAATAATACCGTAAAACGTTCCACAAAATGGCCTAGGTGAAATTGATTATACTCTCACCCCCATGGGTGAGCGCTGATTGGCTTAAAACAACTAGCACCTTTTTCCCCAGGACCCACAGACATTGGTTCAGAAATGGGCGCATAATCCAGTCAGGGATTTTTTTTTTTATGAGAACTCCTAAGAAAAAGATTCCTGTACTTCTCTCTGAAGTTGAGCCAGAAAGCATGTACCCCTAAGGGCTGTTGGCAGCCATCTTTGGACAAAAACCAGAGAGCCTGAATGAGAACAGAGGAGGTGCAGAGGAGAAATAGTGAAAGCAAAACTAGATCCAGGTGTCAGCATTTAAAATCCTTGATGTCTTAGCCCCGGACTCTCCAGTTACTACTTAAATTCCTGTTTCTGCTTCAGCTAGCTTGGGTCTTGTTTTCTTTTACTTGTAACTGAGGTTAAAGTGATCCTCAGAATAAGAGGGGAAAAAGTGGACCCTTGTGGTAATCTAGCACTCTGGGTAGACAGTAGCTGTTCAAGGAAAAGAGAAGAGGGGTGCAGGTGGCTACACAGAAGCGATTAGCCATCAAGGGACGAGGGTGGCATTGGGATGAAAAAGGAAGGGCTGGCTCTGAGCTTCACCATGAAAGAAGTGCACATGAGAATGGTTTCTGTCGGGCCCTCACTTTGGTTAATTCTACTGCTTTCTCCTCAGGGATGATGAAGGCCCCCAGCTCATCCCCAGGGAAATGATGCAACCAGGTAGCTGGATCAGAAATGAAAAAGTCAGGAAAAGGGAAAGGTTGCTTGCGCAGTTACTAGGGATACGAAAAGGAGGCTAAAAAACGGCAGGGGGTGGCCTGGAGGGAATGTGAAACATTTTTGTGTGTTTTACACACACCGAAAAAAAAAGAGGACATGGACAGAAACCTAGAGAATAGGAGGACAGCATAGTATAGTTACTAAGAATAAGCTAAGAGTTGGTTCCCCGGGACCAAACAGATACCATTTCCAAAACCCACGAATTACTTACCGGCTGTCTCAATTCACCTAAGCTTCCCTTTCTTGTCTGTAAATGAGCATGAAAGTGCCACCTGTATAAAATAACTCAGGCTCCCAAAATGTAACATAGGGAAGCTCCTAGCAGCGTGTCTGGGAGGAATAAGCATTATCTGTATTTATCGTATCAAATTAAGATAGAGGAACACAGGAGGACAGTAGAGGATGAAAATAAAACACTACTTAGATCCTGACCCTCCTCAGTGGCAAGTAGTGAGCATTCACTTCGTACAGAAGTAGCACTAAGGCAAATTAAAAGAAAGGTTCACATTTCCTCTAAAAGAAATGGTTTTTGAGTCATGCCAATACCACTTACTCAATGTCCTCTGTACTATACTATTCTCTGACAGAGCCACTTATTAAATGTGTGAACTGTGCTGACAACACTTGACAACTTTCAACATGAGGGAACAGCAGGATCACTTAACAGAACAAAATCGTAAAATAATGTCAAAGCTTGATTTCAGGTGGTGCGGTGTAGCACTGCTCTTCACGAAATCAGGACTCCCCCGACCAGGCAGGGCCGACTAGGTTAGAGTGTCCTGCCCTCACTCACCTGGCAGGGCTTGGGATGAGCTGGACGTGACTGCCACAGGCATTTCTGTTCAACCTTGAAGCCTTCGCTACAGGAGACCGCCTGGCAGTCGGGCTGGGAAGCAAATCTGAGAAACAAAGAGAGACCAGGCGGAAAGCCCTTGGGACCAGGAAGGAGAGATGAGATTCTGGTTTGGCAGTGGCACCTGGTACCCGCTATTAATAAATAATAGGACTGTCTGACATTTATAAGGCACTTTATCGGTAATAACAGTGTCATCTCCATAAGCCATTCTATTAGTGGTAACAAATAATAGCCCCACGCCTGCAATATCTCCTTTAATATTCCCAACGTCCGCTAAGCGCGTCTCATCACCATTTAAAGAAACCGTGGCTCCTAGAGGTAAAGTACTTCGGTCACAACGCGAGGAGGTCCAGACTTGACCCCAGACCTCCAGACTCGAGCTGGGAAGTGGCCGAGGCTCCTGGTGAGCCGCAGGGCAGCCTGCCCAGCCCCGGGAGGACCGCGTGGGAGGGCCGGGAGAGCAGGTGGCTGCCCCCCACAAGGGGGCGGGCTCAGCCGGCCAGTCCTGCCCGGAACCCCCGGCAACGCGCATACGACTACACCTGCTCCGGAGCCCGCGGCGGTACCTGCAGCGGAGGAGCTCTGTCTTCCCCTTCATCTCACGCGAGCCCGGCGTCCCGCCGCGTGCGCCCCGGCGCAGCCCGCCAGTCCGCCCGGAGCCCGCCCAGTCGCCGCGCTGCACGCCCGGGGTGAACCCTCTGCCCTCGCTGGGACAGAGGGCCCCGCAGCCGTCATGCTTTCCGCCATCTACACAGTCCTGGCGGGACTGCTGTTCCTGCCGCTCCTGGTGAACCTCTGCTGCCCATACTTCTTCCAGGACATAGGCTACTTCTTGAAGGTGGCCGCCGTGGGCCGGAGGGTGCGCAGCTACGGGAAGCGGCGGCCGGCGCGCACCATCCTGCGGGCGTTCCTGGAGAAAGCGCGCCAGACGCCACACAAGCCTTTTCTGCTCTTCCGCGACGAGACTCTCACCTACGCGCAGGTGGACCGGCGCAGCAATCAAGTGGCCCGGGCGCTGCACGACCACCTCGGCCTGCGCCAGGGAGACTGCGTGGCGCTCCTTATGGGTAACGAGCCGGCCTACGTGTGGCTGTGGCTGGGGCTGGTGAAGCTGGGCTGTGCCATGGCGTGCCTCAATTACAACATCCGCGCGAAGTCCCTGCTGCACTGCTTCCAGTGCTGCGGGGCGAAGGTGCTGCTGGTGTCGCCAGGTGAGCCCCGAGGATCGCCCTGCCCTGGCACCAGGGCTTCTCGGCGCCTTGACTGACGAGCCACAGCGTGGCATAAGGGGTTCGCAGAGGGAGGTTCAGATCGGAACTGTAGGTATAGAAAAAGGTTGGCAGTGTTTCCTTGAATCGCAAATAATGATCTTTTAGGACCACCTGTTGTGGAAGCTGATAATGTGCTAGGTTCTGTGTTAAGCACTCTACAGGCAGTGTGGTTTTTAATCCTCACAATGGGTAGGCTTTGTTATAGGACTTTTATAGATGAGACCACTGAGGTCCTGAGAGGTGAAGCCTCATGCCCAGCCATCTATCTCCAAATTCCAAGCTCTTAATCAATACTTATAACATCTGCATTAAAATGCAGAGGATCTTGAGTGCGAACTCTAGTGGATCCAGAGGGGCTCTTCTCACCTCTGCTGCTTGACTGGCTGTGTGATCATGGGAAAGTCACTTCTCCTCTCTGTCCCTTGGTTTGCTCCTCTCTAATGAGGCAGGCTTCAATGTTGCTTCCAGCTCTCAACTGCTGTTAGCATCCTGTCCCCTCCCTGCAGAACAAAGGTGACCCCACCTGATCCCCAGGGAGAAGATACTGGGGATCTGCTACAGGACCGTTGTGAGCCCCCACTGCATCTATCACAATAGTGACCCTTTCAGTTCTGTGGTTAGCTCCTGCCACATTTCAGCCAGACTTGAAACAGTAACTTAAGTGATGACAAGGTCAGGAAGTGACAGAGAACCTGTTACTCACAGGGCTGATGGCTTTCCCCTCCCAGAGAGCTTGTCTCTGCACTTGAATAAGGACCAAGGGTTCCTTCTCTCAGTCAGTAAGAAGAGGCCTACACAGGAGTGGGCTGAAAGACCTGGGTGACAGGGTAGGGGTCGAGGGAGCCGAGGAGCCTCAGCTTTCTAGAATGCATTTCTGTGCTAAGCCCTATAGTAGATGCTTTTATTACCCCGGGAGATAACATATCACTATCCCCACCACCACCACCACCATTATACAGTTGAGAAAACTGAGGCTTAAAATTCCAACCTAGCTCTATCCAACTTCGAAGCCATGCTCTTTCCTACATCTTTTTTTTTTTTTTTTTTGACAGTCTCGTTCTGTTGCCCAGGCTGGAGTGCAGTGGCGCTATTTCAGTTCACTGTAACCTCTGCCTCCCAGGCTCAAGCGATCCTCCCAGCTCAGCCTCTCAAGTAGCTGGGACCACAGGCATGCACCACCATGCCCAGCTAATTTTTTGTTATTTTTGGTAGAAACAGGGTTTCACCATGTTGCCCAGGCTGGTCTCAAACTCCTGAGATCAAGCGATCCACCCACCTTGGCCTCGCAAAGTGCTGGGATTACAGGTGTGAGCCACCACACCCAGCCTCTTTCCTACATCTTATTGTTTTCCTCTGCATGGATGTAAACTGTTAAGTGTGCTGGAAGGGATGAAGTGTCCACTTGCTCTACCCCTTCATTTCATAGCTGGGGAAACTGAGGCAAGCTAAGCGGGTTACAGAAAGATGAAAGGTTAATTCACTTGTGAGAAACCAGGAATCTTACACACCTGCTTCATGTGGCATGAAATAAATAATCCAAAAAATATAGGCTTTGTATAAAAGTTTAAAAGCAGAAAGCCAAATTTTAGGCTGGGCGCAGTGGCTCAAGCCTGTAATCCCAGCACTTTGGGAGGCCGAGGCAGGTGGATCACTTGAGGTTAGGAGTTCAAGACTAGCCTGGCCAACATAGCAAAAACCCCGTCTCGACTAAAAAAAAAAAAATTAGCTGGGCATGGTGGCGCGTGCCTGTAATCCCAACTACCTGGGAGGCTGAGGCAGGAGAATCACCTGAACCCAGGAGGCAGAGGTTTCAGTGAGCCGAGATCATGCCACTGCACTCCAGCCTGGGGGACAGAGTGAGACTCCATCTCAAAAAACAGAATAAAAAAAAGACAAGTTTAAAGGTGGCTAAATTATTTGGAAGAGATGGTCCTTTCAAGAAAATTCCCATTAATTTCTAGCTGCCTGAGAAAAGCGATAACTTCACTACTTTGTAACTAGAAGACTCTCCTAAGCCTATTACTTTACCAGCTTGCTTGGAGGGAAATTATTAACACAGTGATCTTTGTACCACTTCAGGAAGCATTTAAATTCTGTTTATCACTTTAGTATCCCAGGTCCCCTGAGAGGGAGGTCACAGGGTTTGGAGTTTTGTTGACAAAGAAGTTCAGGATTAAATGACCATAATACAGTTTGATTCTGCAATAAAGTCAGAATTACAACCAGATACCCTCTTCCCACCCAGCTAACAGTTGTCTGCCATAGAGCTATGTGTTTACATAGAGAATATATGGGAATTTCTATATTAAACTCAAACGTGAACCAGACTTTACAGTGGACCTAAGGCACTCTCTGGACCGTCAACTGACCTCTGAGGGAGGCCACATATTTGAAAAAAAATCAGTTTTTCCAAATCACTGAGATACCTTTGCACATGAAGCAAAATTACAGTCTGTCACAGAGTTGCATGTTTACTAAACATGCCCATGGGAAAATATGTTGAATGGACTGATTCTTAGAATTCTTTGGTGTTGGAAGGGACCTTAGAGATATTCTAACCCTATAATCCTGTAAGTTTAATGAATGTGTTATACTTTAAAAAAAAAAGTTTACAGAAGAAACTTTAATAAGCCCAAGAATCACCTAGGAAGCTTACTTTTTTTTTTTTTTTTTTTTTTTTTTGAGACGGAATCTCGCTCTTTCGCCCAGGCCAGGCTGCTGTGGCGTGATCTCGGCTCACTGCAAGCTCCACCTCCCTGGTTCACGCCATTCTCCTGCCTCAGCTTCCTGAATAGCTGGGACTACAGGCACCCGCCACCACGCCCGGATAATTTTTTGTATTTTTAGTAGGGGCAGGGTTTCACCGTGTTAGCCAGGATGGTCTTGATCTCCTGACCTCGTGATCTGCCGGCCTTGGCCTCCCAAAGTGCTGGGATTACAGGCGTGAGCCACCACGCCTGGCCGGAAGCTTACTTTTAAAAACATTCTGAGGCTGGACACTATGGCTCACTCCTGTAATCCTAGCACTTTGGGAAGTGGAGGAGGGAGGATCACTTGAGCCCAGAAGTTCGAGACTAGCCTGGGCAACATGATGAAACCCCATCTCTACAAAAAAAAAAAATACAAAAATTAACTGGGCATGATGGTGAGCACCTGTGGTCCCAGTTACTGGGGAGGCTGAGGTGAAAGGATTGCTTGAGCCCGGGAGGTTGAGGCTGCACTGAGCTCTGACTGTGCCACTACACTCCGGCCTGGGTGATAGAGTGAGACCCTGTCTCAAAACAAAAAAATAAAATTTCTGAGATCATCCCCAAAAATGCTGATTCAGTAAGACTATGTTGGGGCCCAGGAATGTGTATTTTTATAAGAAACCCCACCGCCAACCCTAGGTGATTTTGAAACAAATGGTCTGAGGACTAGGCTTTGAGAAACAGTCTAGTTTCCCATTGTTTTTCATTGTTGTTTGTTTGTTTGTTTGTTTGTTTGTTTTTGAGACAGTCTCGCTCTGTTGCCCAGGCTGGAGGTGCCGTGGCGCGATCTCGACTCACGGCAACCTCCGCCTCCCAGGTTCAAGCCATTCTCCTACCTCAGCCCCTCAAGTAGCTGGGACTACAGATGCCCACCACCATGCCCAGCTAATTTTTGTTATTATCAGTAGAGATGGGGTTTCACCATGTTGGCCAGGATGATCTCCATCTCTTGACCTCGTGATCCACCTGCCTCGTCCTCCCAAAGTGCTGGGATTAGAGGCGTGAGCCACTGCTACTGGCCTTCTCATTGTCTTATAGCTGTATAAACAAAGGCCTAGAGGGATGATATGAATTGCCCATGATCAAGTGGATAGTTAGGAACAGAAAGGTAGAGATAGAACCCAAATATTTTTTTCTCACTTACGAGGCACTGTTTATTCTATCACACCATCTTGAACATGATACATAAATGTCAGTTTGATTCCATATTTTGAGTTTCAGCCCAGGGCTTGTGGACTAGTAAGAGCTCTTGAGCTCCATCTGTCAGTCAAATTCTGCAGTATATGTAAAGGACCAGCACAGAGGCATTTATCATGAGGATTGATCCAGTTGTTATGAATTTGGGGGTTTCTTTATAACACTTAACAGGACTCAACCCTATCAGGAATTTCAGTACTCAATTACTCTTTTCAATTTTACTATAGTTACAGAAAGTCAAGACTCATAAACACTTCCCTGAATCAAGCAGCAGCACTGTTTCCCAGAGAATATGACTTTCTCTCTGTTGTACATTTCAGGATCGTTCTCCAGGGCAGGGTATGATCTAGGTAATCACATGGGAAAATTGTCTCCAAGGATAAGAACCTGTATCAATGTTGTAACTAATAAAAGCCACATGGCTGGGCCAGTAGTTTTTCACCCAACTTTCCAAATACAGAATATGGGTAAAACAGTAAAACATATTTTATTTCACACAATATGGGATATTTTATAAAAACCTACAAAAGAGGCCTGAAATTGTACATTTGTTCCATTTCCATTTATCCTAGCATCAAGACCATCAATAAACTAGCTCTTCCACTGGGTAGATAACCCAGGTCTCCTGAGGGTCCCTTCATCAGCTCACTGGCAGGGTATACACTGCCTAACTCAACACAGCCATGCGAGGCTCCCACAGTGTAGGCACTACTCTTATGCAAGGCTTTAGTAACAGTTAAAGATACTCTCTGTTGCAAAACTGAGTCCCAGGTAAGTTATAAAACGTTCCAGATTACCTTTGACCTGGTTTTGCAAGGTTGCAGAAAACAAAATTTGACCTCCTTTAAACAATGTGATAAAGGAAAAATGCTTACAATAGCTTTCAAAAATATTGCATCATTAAAAGCTATAAGACTGAAGAACTTCATTACAAAACAAGTGTTGGGACCAAGGATAACCCTTGTCATCCAAACTTTTGAGATTAGATTGAGAAAAACTGATGGTACAACAATTTGATTTTCAAAGCAAGAAACATTTAGAGGGAGGAGAGGCCACCAAAAAAAAAAAAAAAAGGAGAGAGAGTCCCAACAAGGTACAAGCTAGTTTTCTCTGTGCCATGATGGGATGGAGAAATAAGATGAATTAGTTCAAGGATCTTACAGTCCAGTAAAAGAACTAAACCGCATGCACAAATGATTGTGACACCCAGTAGAATGTGCTCAGTGTGCTGGGAGGGCTACAAGTGCTGCAGGAAAACAAGCAGAGGTCAAGAGAAGGCTTTTTGGGGCACTGACTATTGAGCTGAACAAATGCAGTGGGGGAGGGGGCATTCCAGGCAAAAGGAGCACCAGAGGCAGTTCTGATCAGGTGCTTAAAACAGTGAGATGCTTCATTAAAGGATATTGCGATGTAAGAACAATGGCAGTCTGGACCTAATAATAGTCATTTTTTTAAGCTGTTTCCTGAAGGGACAGGAAATGGAAAAAATAGGGACTCAGAGAGTCCAAAGAATGGCCAACAGCAGTGGCCTCACTTCCACAGAAGGAAATATTTAATTTTCTAATGCCAACTTTAGTCCAGAATCAAGGCACAGAAATAATCTAATCTACACTCTTCCCAACTCTTTGGACTGCCCAAGGAGTAACTTAAATGAGTTGTTTCAATGCACTTTGTCTCAAAGGCTTAGAATTCTCTCATATATCTTTGAATAATTCCCTAGTAATGTCTAGCACATAGTAGGCAGGCAGTCAATAAGTGTCTGTTGGGCAGGGCACGGTGGCTCATGCCTGTAATCCCAACACTTTGGGAGGCCAAGATGGGCAGATCACCTGAGTTCAGGAGTTGGAGACCAGCCTGGCCAACATGGCGAAACCCTGTCTCTATTAAAAATACAAAAATTAGTCGGGCATGGTGGCGGGCATCCGTAATCCCAGCTACTCCGGAGGCTGAGGCACAAGAATCACTTGAACCTGGGAGGTGGAGGTTGCAGTGAGCCAAGATCACACTACTGCATTCCAGCCGGGATGACAGAGTGAGACTGTCTAGATAGGTAGATAGATAGATAGATAAATAGATAGATAGATAGATAGATAGATAGATAGATAGATAGATAGATGCATACAAACATACATACATACATACATACATAATGGATAGATAATGTCTGTTGAATTAATGGGTTCCATTATTCTGGTTGATTGTGACAGGCTTTCTCTCCTGAAGCTTAAGGACCACTGGGTTGGGCATGAGGGCCTGAAAAATGATGTAACAAAATCAGATGTGAAAAAATCCATTTAAACTCAATCTACCCCAGGCCCAGCCTTACCCTACCACAGGCTTACTTACCTCTCAAAGGTCCTCCTAATCAATGACTCTGTCCAGCTCTCTGGCAGTACATGGTAGGACAGCGGTGCTCTCCTTGGGTCTCAGTGCAGCAAGTAAGCAGGTGGTGAGCACAGGATGGGCTGGAAAGGACCTGTGAGTAGGGTGGTGGAGGACCCTGTACAAGGACAGAAACCCAGACACCAAATGATTAATATATCCAAGGGCTGGGATTCCCAGCCTAGTAGCCCAAGGAAAGATAGCTTAAAGATATTCTCTAAGATTTTTCTTCTCTCCCTGCTCTTAACTAAAGCTTGCAAAGGAGGTGATTGTACATCTCCATCCAAGAACAAAACTAGCACTTTGCTGGCATATATGGGAATGCACTTTATTTTCTTCAGAAACAGGGACTGAAGAGGTAAAAACAAACTCTGAATCAGGTGTTGTTATTGAATCTGAAAGAGAAGGATAGAGTTCAGATTATTCTATATAATAGGTGCTAGTATTTGAAAAGGACCTTCCCACAGCCTCTGAGAAAAGGGAAGTAGATCATTGGTAGAAAGATGACATGGTTGCTTACAGATATCAAATGCTAACAATTATGTAAGGCCTTATGTGACCTGGTAACTCATGATAAGGAATTACCTTTGATTCCAGGGCTATTTAGAAAGCAAGAGTTCATATAAGCAAGAACTTTAACTTGGAGAAATAAAAATTAACATCAAGGAGATTACTACTTAATTACCTAAATGTAAAATGAGTATGTATTTCCTTGTTAAATTTTTGCTTACTCCTGGTGGAACTTAAACATTTTTATGACCTCCGGGTGATTTGTGTGGGGAAGAAGGAGGAGCACATGCATGTCTCTCTCTCTATATATAGTATTATAATGTGCATCATCTTGCTGTACAAAATACTGTCATTCCAAACTGCCAATGATTGAGATGCAAAATTACAGTTACAAATGGCATTTTAGGAACTATTTTTAGGTTGTCTTCAAGGACTATGTTATTAATAGCACCAGTTTGCATTTCAGTTGCTTTTCTGAATGAAGAAAAGAGATAAATCTTCAAGCTTGACTTGCTCATCAACCAACCATTTCATGATCAGAGTACATTTCCTTTCACTACCTTCCTTTTGGACCTTACCTTCTTGGTAAATATTTCTGGGGTGTTTTGTTTAATCCAGTCAGTTACTCATTCACTGAGGCAGTCTAGTAGCAGAACAAGCTACTAGACTGAATGTTTTCCTATTGGAAAGCTGCAGGTTTAGCCTGAGCACCTGACACCTTAGTAATGAAGATTGATTCAGCTCACCACCTACCCAATCTCTCTGCCTTCTAGCAATGGACTTGTTTATTCAGAAAATTCTTCCTTTTTCCTTAAAAAAAAAAAAAAAGGCAGGGGCAGACTTAATATGCTACCTTAATTTTTTAAAATTTTCTTTGAACAGACTTTAAAGGGGATGGGGGAGTAGTGTTGTAATCACTTGATTTTTCAACACCCAAGTGTGTGCTCTTTCTCTGTGGGTTTATTTCAGTCTACAACTTAAAACTAGACTGATGAAGAACCGACTGATGGAGCTGCTCTACACCCTTCAGGCAACTTTCTGTGACCACTGTTTCTCATACTCAAACTTTTAATAAAGCTTGAGGTTTTGCTCTTCAAGAAAAGATCATCCATGTTACTCATTAAATGCAGATCCACATGATTGAACAAGCACTGAGCAGAAGGCCAAGCAGCCAGCCTCTTCCAAGAAATAAGGCACTTTGCTAGAACTTAATCTGAATGGCTCATACAAGGAGGTGGGAACCTCAGAAGCCCAGAATGATTCTTTTCATTTTGCATGTGACCCTCCATACACTGACTTGGTGAGCCTCTTCTCATTTGTAGAAATAAGATTACTGGTATCTATATCACAGAGTTGTTATGAAAATTATGTGAAGTGATGTATGTAAAACTATACCAACAGTTCTATGCAAATGAAAATTTTAAATGTTTGTTATTAGTAAAGAGAGAGGTGGGTGCATGCTCTGATGTGCCACCCAGATCCCTGCTTTAGGACTGACGGACTCACTCTTCAGCTGCTGGGAGCTCTCAGCTGAGACCTCTCCCAGGACTTCTCCTTGGTTGAAGAGAGACACTTTGCCCAAGGTTAAGCACCACCACCCCAGCCTGAGTCCATTGGACTGGTCAATGGGCAGGTGTGAAGGCACAGCCTACCTCCCTTAATTTAGGAGGTAACTCTGAAGGGCATCCCAGGTCCAGAGTCCCCTTAGGATTAGAGGATCTGCTGAGGGAGACTTCTGTTGTGACTGCATTACAGTTCAATGTCTCCCTCTATCCAGTCTGCTTCCCTTGCAGCCTCACAGGTCCCATTCCCAAGAGCACTCCTGCATGCACATCTCGGAGTCTCAGAGAACCCAACCTTGACAAATAGAATTATAGGAGCTTACATGTTCTGATTGATAGATGAGCAGACTTTACAATAAAAATTATAAAAGGTAGATAGATATTTTATGCTTGCATTAGAAAATATGTAGGCCAACCAGGCAGTGGCTCATGCCTGTAATCCCAACACTTTGGGAGGCCAAGGTGGGCGGATCACTTGAGGTTGGGAGTTCAAGACCAGCCTGGCCAAATTGGTGAAACCCCATCTCTACTAAAAATACAAACATTAGCCGGGCATGGTGACAGCCGCCTGTAATCCCAGCTACTCGGGAGGCTGAGGCAGGAGAGCCGCTTGAACCCAGGAGGCAGAGATTGCAGTGAGTTGAGATCACGCCATTGCACTCCAGCCTGGATGACAGAGTGAGACTCCATCTCAAAAAAAAAAAAAAGAAAAAAGAAAATATGTAGGCCCAAACATATCTACAAAAGACTCAAGAAAATAAAAGACATTAAATATCAACTAGATAGTTGACAGGTAGATTCACATCCAGAATTTCCTTTCAAATTTCTTTTTTCTTTCTACATCTTTAAGGGAAGAAAGGCTTCCATAGTGTGTCCAGATATGGTTGGCAAGCCGCTGGAAACTCAAGTCTGCCCAAATAACAAATCTACACCAACAGCCTAGAGGAGATGGAAGGAGATGGTGTAGGGCAGGGGCAATGGCCCTCCCTTCAGATTAGATGACTTGCATAAAAGGTCAGGAATCACAAACTACATGCCTGCAGAGGGCCAGCTGGGAACATGAATGAAGTACACATGAGGTGAAGTTGCTTGGACTGTGATCAAGCATGACACCAGCTTAATTACATTTCCTTTTATTATTAATTTTTCATGCTAATACCTGAGTACATTTTTCTTTTTTTTTAAATTTTTTTTTTGAGACAGGGTCCCACTCTGTTGCCCAGGCTGGAGTGCAGTGGCATAATCATGGCTCACTGCAGCCTTGACCTCCCAGGCTCAGGTGATCCTCCCACCTCAGCCTCCAGAGTAGCTGGGACTACAGGTGTGCGCCACCACATCCGGCTAATATTTCTTTGTGTGTGTATTTTTTTGTAGAGGTGTTTTGCCATGTTGCCCAGGCTAGCTGTAAGTACATTTTTCTTAAAAAAAAAAAAAAGAAGAAGAAGTACAGAAAAACTTAAAGTCCCTTTTGACCTACCATTTTCCCCTCATTAAGATGATTACTTGGAGGTGAAAAATAAGAAAAAAAAAAGACTGTTGCTAAGTCCTATCTACTCTACCTACCAGATATCTCTTAAGTACATTCACTTCTCTCTACCCACACTGCTGCCTACACAGTGTAGACAAGCATCATCTAACAGCTGGTCTCCCTACCTCTTCTCCCAACCTTATTCCCCTCCAACTCTACATTCCAGTCAGCTTTAACCTCTTTTAGTTACTCAGGCCCCAGGCTGCGTTGGCTCTGGGCCTTTGCATAAGCCGTTCCACTGCCCAGACTCAGGCTTAGTCAGTCCCAGCTGATCTTCATCTCCACCGTCTGCTCATCTTTCAGGTCTCAGTTTACAGGGCACTTCTTCTAGGTCGTCTTTCTGCCCCCCACCACCTGCTCCCCAAATACCTTCTCCTTCCCCTGTTGTGACACCTGTGGCAATTTATTTTGATTTTTGTTTGTTTGTTTCTCCTCTATTAGACCTGGGCTCTATGAAAACAGGGAGAGCGTTTTGCTCACTGTCATATCCAGCATGTAGAGACCTGCCTGGCACACAGGGAACACTCTTTAAATAGATGTTGAATAAATGTTGGGAGGGAGGGAATGAGAATGGATCCAGGTAACTTATGAACGGATTGTTTGACTATGGACCCTGAGTCTCATGACAGGAGGAAAGAAAGGAGATTTCACAATTCTTTAGCAGTAGGAGTTGTTGTTTTAAAATTTGCCTCTGTGGGCCCTTACTTGTAAGCAAGGCATACTTGTATCTCAGAAATTATTTCATCTTACATTATGTTTCATTAAAGGTTTATCAACTGCCAGATCTGAATCCTTTAAGCAGCTTTACCTTATTCCTCTGTGTCTTCCACACTAATATCATATTTTGTGCAAAATTTTTTCAATTATAAACATTTATTGAGCACTTATCTAGTAGTTCTGGGGGTACAAAGATGATTTGATTATTATCTTAATTTCAAAGATCTCCCTGTCTAATAGAGGAGAAAATGAATTAAACCACATCCACCAGGCATGGTGGCTCACACCTGTAATCCCAGCATTTTGAAAGGCTGAGGTGGGAGGATCACTTGAGCTCACAAGTTTCAGATCAGCCTGGGCAACGTAGCGGGACATCATCTCTACAAAAAGTTAGCTGGGCATGGTACTCCTGTAGTCCCAGTTACTTGAGAGGCTGAAATGGGAAAATCACTTGAGCCCAGGAGGTTGACGCTGCAGTAAGCCATGATCACGCCACTGCACTCCAGCCTGGGAGACAGAGCAGGACCCTGTCTCTAAAGAAAAATTAAAAAATTGAACCCTATCATACTGTGTATAAGCGCCCTGATAATTGTAAATACGGGCTCCTATGGGAGCTGTAGAAGGGAGCAGCTAACTTTGCAGAGGGAGGGAAGATAACAGAAAAGAAGTGCTACCTACACTGAGTCTTGAAGGATAAGCAGGAGTTTTCCAGGTGACCAGGGGGTGAGAGACCATGAAACAACCTGGGCAAAAGTAATGAGACGTGAGCATACAGGTACCTTCAGGGATTTTCCATAGATCAATGTGGTTAGAGGAAAGAGGGCAAGAGGTAGAGAGTAGGAGATGACACAGAAAGCACGCAGGAGTGGGACCGGGAGGCACCTCCGGTCCTCCCGAATAAGGAGAGTGGATTCTATCACAAGGAATGAACAGCCCTGAAGGATCTTAAACAGGGTGGCAACAAGAAATTGGATGAGAGTGAAGCTGATAAATTAGAAGCAGGAAGAGACTCAAGGGCAGGACATTGGTCAGGAGGCTATAGCAATAATCTAGGTAGGAAATAATGAGGACATGAGCCAAGGCAGTGGCACAGGAGTGGATGCTACCACTCCCGTTTCTACAACAGTCATATTTATGGTAACCTTTCTGGAGTGCTGAAGGATTAGAGAGCAACCAGACAAAATTTTTTAAAAAATGTAAAGGAGGGGAATAAAGATTCTTGGGGCAAAAGAAAAAAAAAGAACTGTTCAAGAAAGTAAGTACAATTATAGTACTTTACTTGGCTCCGTGGTGAATATTTTCATAGTCACATTTATGTTGATTCTGATTATTGGTTTTCAGCTTCTAGAGCAAATCCATAAAGCTGGGAAGACAGAATAATGGTATCAGAATAAATATAAATGCTATTACCCTAGACAATGTAAAGGGAAGATAATAACTGTCAGAAATGAACAGGGTGAAATGGAAGTAGGGATCAAAATTGATAGGCCAAGAACTAGCAGGAAATGCATATTTTTTGGTGATGGAAAGGTAATTGCCAGAAGAAACAGCTTTTAAAAAATTGACAGTGGTGGGCCAGGTGCTGTAGCTGATGCCTGTAATCCCAGCACTTTGGGAGGCAGAGGCGGGCGGATCACGAGGTCAGGAGATCGAGACCATCCTGGCTAACACAGTGAAACCCCGTCTCTACTAAAAATATGAAAAAAAAAAAAAAAACAAAAACAAACAAATTAGCCAGGTGTGGTGGCAGGTGCCTGTAGTCCCAGCTACTCGGGAGGCTGAGGCAGGAGAATGCTGTGAACCCGGGAGGCGGAGCTTGCAGTGAGCCGAGATCGCGCCACTGCACTCCAGCCTGGGTGACAAAGTGAGACTCTGTCTCAAAATAAATAAATAAAATAAATAAAAAATTGACAATGATTTCCCCTAGGCATTAGCTTTAGTTGTGAGGAAGGCCTGGGTGAGGACTTGTTTATTTTCATTGTAAACACTTTTGTACTATTTGATTTATTGTTACCAGGTGCATGAGTCTTTTGATTAAAATATTTTTTTAAATTTTAAATGCATCTATCCCGGTGATATTTCTTGTCTTTATGGAGATATCATACACAAACATCTGAAAAACAAAGCATATCAGATGAATTAGGTGTAGCCTCCCCAAGGTAATACCCTGGGACATTTAGTCACCTTCCTACCCAGCACTTTGGGAGGCCGAGGCGGGCGGATCCCGAGGTCAGGAGATTGAGACCATCCTGGCTAACACTGTGAAACCCCGTCTCTACTAAAAATACAAAAAATTAACTGGGCATGGTGGCGGGCGCCTGTGGTCCCAGCTACCGGGAGGCTGAGGCAGGAGAATGGCATGAACCCGGGAGGCGGAGGTTGCAGTGAGCCAAGATCGCGCCACTGCACCCCAGCCTGGGCGACAGAGCCAGACTCTGTCTCAAAAAAAAAAAAAAAAAAAAAAAAATATATATATATATATATATATATATATATATATATATATATATATATGTATGTACATTCACTTCCGTTATCACAATTCAAGACAAGTAGGCTTAAAAGCAGTCTCACTTTACGGCTTAAAGGCACAAAATCCAAGTAGCAAGCATGAAATGTGGTTTGCATATTAAATCGGTGCCTTTAACATTTTTGACCTTAACCCAGTAAGAAATACTTTTGTGCGTGACCCAGTACCCACACACCCACATAACTGAAACAAAACTTTTAAAAATGAACAGCCCTGTTCATCTATTAGGAATAATTCCTAAAACAGTGTTATAGGAATACTGCTATCTGGAAGAAGCAATATTAAGAGTAGTGTGTACTAGGCATTTTTCAAGGAGCTCTATAACATTTATTGATAAGATTCTGCTACCACTCTTGAGATGAGTACTATTTTTATTCCATTTTAGAGATTCAGAAAATGATGCTTAGAGAGGTTAAGAACTTCTCAAGATAAGCGGTAGAACTGTCAGTAGAACTGTTACCTTTTACTATGCTAAGATGTGCTTCAAAATTTCTATTTCCTTAAGTATTTTTCATTTTTTTAAATATCGCTCAGTTTAAATGATTTTAACAATCCACTACTGTAATTATGACCCACAGGTTGGGAAACACTGCTCTAAATTAATCACTCCTTTTTTTTCCCTCAGATTAGAAAACAGGCTTTTGAAATTTAGAGCTTATTTCTCAGATCAGTTTAACCTTCCTAGGAAATTACTTGTTACTGATGCATAAGAAAAAATTGTTACATAAAGTTAGCTTCTATCATCTTTGTTAATTAGCACGGCTCCCTTCTTTTCATTTCTCTTCTCCTTCCTTAAAATTTTCTCTTTTTTTCATCTTTAGTCCTGTGTGGCACATATTAGGAATAGCCAAATTTATTTCTGGAGTATATTTAGATATACATCAGTTACACACGGATATTTCTTGGGTTTTGCCCATATGTCTATTGGTTTGCACTTGCCACAAGAAGTACAGATTTCAGCCAACCATCTGCTATGCTTGTGAAACCATCAAAACCCAACCTTCCCTCAAATATTGGAATCCTGTGATTTTTTTTTTCAAATGTAGTAAATTTCATGTTTAAAATGCATAATAGGGCTGGGTGCAGTGGCTCATGCCTGTAATCCCCACACTTTGGGAGGCCAAAATGGGAGAATTGCTTGAGGCCAGGAGTTCAAGACCAGCCTGGTCAACATAGACCCCATCTCCATTAAAATAATAATAATAATATAAAATGCATAACGATAAGCATCATTTGTCATGCCCACACATTTAAGCAAAAAATTATGCTGAAAATAAAATTATGATGCTTGTTGAAGCACTAATAGAACTTTAATAGACTGATTTAGTTTGTTTTGATATTTTTCTTATTAAATTAAGAACTACAAGCAGCTGTCGAAGAGATACTGCCAAGCCTTAAAAAAGATGATGTGTCCATCTATTATGTGAGCAGAACTTCTAACACAGATGGGATTGACTCTTTCCTGGACAAAGTGGATGAAGTATCAACTGAACCTATCCCAGAGTCATGGAGGTCTGAAGTCACTTTTTCCACTCCTGCCTTATACATTTATACTTCTGGAACCACAGGTAAAAATAAAGGGGGGATTCTCCAAAAAAATTAATCTGAAGGAGTTAAATGTTGACACAGGTTTTCAAATCTCTTTCTTTGGCAAAACGTATTGGGTAACTAATACTTCAGGAGATTTAGTTATTTGCCTGCGGGAACTGATCTTATTTCATAGCATGTGATCCCATTTGCGTTTCTCCAAGCTATGCATATTTTCCGCCAGTTGGTATAGAACAGATAAAGAGGTTAACCAAGAACTACAGAAGTAGTTATGATGATGAATGAGATTTGGCACTGAATGGGTAGTTGGAATTTTTTTTCATGCTTGTTGTATTTTGATTATATTACATCCAGAGTCCATATAGACTGTATAATTGATTATAAATGGAACACAGGAGAAGACCAGTGAACAATGAGGAGGTTCTATTTATATAAATGTTTTAACCGTTATCTTCCCATGCAACACTGATTTGGAGCTGTTTGGTGCTGTGGATGTGGGGTGGCTGTAGCATAAGACCTAAAATACTGTATTTCATCAAATCTAGGATGCCTTCAACTGTAAGCTGCCCCATTATGAGCCACTAAGAAGAAACACTGCCAATTAACAATGTTATGGGAACACTGCTGTATGGAAGAAGCAATATTAAGGGTAGCATGTGTACTAGGCATTCTTCAAGGAGCTTTACAACATTTGTTGATAAGATTCTGCCCCCACTCTTGACATCGGTACTCTTTTTACTTCCATTTTAGAGATTCAGAAAATGATGCTTAGAGAGGTTAAGAACTTCCCAAGGTAAGCATTAGAACTGTCAGGATTCACCTTGCAGGCTGATTCCACAGCTCATACAATTGACAGCTCTACCCCAGTACCTTCTTGTTTATTCGTGTGATAGATATTTAGTGTCTGCCTACTACAGGCCAGGAAGACCAAAATGTAATAATATGAAGCCTGAGGGATATATTTAAAAGAAGGACAGGAAGCCAGCCCCAGCATGCCAATTATTATTATTAATATTGGAAAATTGAATCTATGAGTCTTTTACCTCTGTTGATTAAAATTTTAATTTAATTTAAGCAGGTAATACAGGTCTTCTCCTTGTTAAATAATCAATAGACCAGGATAAAATTTCCTTGAGCCTTTTATCTCAGCTGCAGCTGACAGGAACTGTCTCCTTCACCTCGACAGGCCCTCAGCACCCACCTGAGCTCACAGTTCCTGGACCTGAGTTTAACCTGATTGTTGACTTCACTTCATACAGTCACTTTTGCTAAGTATTTAAGTAAATGAGAGGAAGCCAGGAATGACATATTAAAGCTGGTGCCCAAAACATAATGTCTATCTTTTTTTTTTTATTTTTATTGCCAGGCCAACAGAAAGGTGAGATGGCACAATTAACCAATTGCTTCTGCTGCATGCAGACACTCCCTTAACATATGGGACTTTTATCATCATTTCTTAATAGAATGGTAAAATTAAATTGTAAATGTTTATAACTTTGTTACAATGCATGTTTTCACAGTCAAATAGAAAACCCCTTTTATTGGGAGGCCGAGGCAGGCAGATCACGAGGTCAGGAGATCAAGACCATGCTGGCTAACATGGTGAAACCCCATCTCTACTAAAAGTACAAAAAATTAGCCAGGTGTGGTAGCGGGCACCTGTAGTCCCAGCTACTCAGGAGGCTGAAGCAGGAGAATGGCATGCATGAACCAGGGAGGCGGAGCTTGCAGTGAGCCGAGATTGCGCCACTGCACTCCAGCCTGGGCGACAGAGCGAGACTCTGTCTTAAAAAAAAAAAAAAAGAAAGAAAAAAAAAGAAAACCCCTTTTAGGGAGAAAAAAGAGAATGAGCATCCTCTGATTTAATCTCGTAAGTCAGAATTTATATTTAATTGGAAGACAATTAGAAGGGTGTTTATTTTACTTTTTTCATTTTCTCTGAATCAAATATTTGCTAGGCCAAGCACAGTGGCTCACATCTACAATCTCAGAACTTTGGGAGGCCAAGGCAGGAGGATTACTTGAGCCCAGGAGTTTGAGACCAGGCTGGGCAACATAGCGAGACCACATCTTTACAAAAACATTAAAAAATTAGCTGGCATAGTGGTACACCTTGTAGTCCTAGCTACTTGGGAGACTGAGGTGGGAGGATCACTTGAGCCCAGGAGTCTGAGGCTACAGTGACGTGCCACTACACCCCATGCTGGGTGACAGAGCAAGGCACTGTCTGTAGAAAAAAAATAGTGCTAAGTTACTCTTGTAAACATTAATTAAAAGAATTTGTTTAAACAGTTGGAGAATAAATGTTCCTGCTCCTCAAAGGAAGTCATTAGCACAAAATTATATAATAGTTACCAGATATTCTCATTTATTCATTAATACAAAATCTTAATTTAGGAAAGTTCTGAAAGTACTTCAAGGCAACAAAGATGAGCATTTCTTTTTAAAAATTTCAGAGGCCAGGCATGATGGCTCATATCTATAATCTCAACACTTTGGGGCCAAGATGGGAGGCTCACTTGAAGCCAAGAGTTCAACATCAGTCTGGGCAATAAAGCAAGACCTTGTCTCTACAAAAAATATAAATAAACAGCCAGGCATGGTGGTGCACACCTGTGGTCCCAGATACCTGGGGGGCTGAGACAGGAGGATCACTTGACCTGAGGCTGTGGTGAGCCTTGAACACCACTACACTCCAGCCTGGCAACAGAGTGAAAGCCTATCTCAAAAATAATAATAATAATAATAATAATACATAAAACAAAACAAAAAACTGGGCCATTGTCAAAGAAAATGAATTTTGAATTGTGTTTACAATAATGGTAGGTTGCTAGCCATATTTGTCTGCCTTGTAACAAGTTGCTGCTATTTGGGCACTATCTGGTGAAGGTACCACCAAGTATTGAAGAATCTGAGTCAACAGAGATCTGTCTTCCTCTTCACGAAGTCTGTTTACCCACTCAGATCTTAAACTCTTAGTCCCCTTCCCAGTGACTTCATGCCCTCCCCAATTGAACTGTTCTTCCATGGGAAACAACATAAGCATACACTTACAGAAGAAAATCTTACAAAAAACGTATATAAATTATGGTTAAGAAAGTGCAAGCGCATTTAGTCTAATGTACTAAAACTACACTGAGATACGGTTTTTCACCTTTCAGACTGGCAAAGGCCCCAACATTTAAGAGCACACATTGACAAGGCTAGGAGGAAACAGGCACACTCATGTATTGCTGATAGGAGAATGAATGGGGACAGCCCTTATAACTGGCAATGTGGAAGTTATCTATCAAAATTACAAAGACTCTTACTCTTTTTTTGAGACAGAAACTCATTCTGTTGCCCAGGCTGGAGTACAGTGGCAGGATCAGGGCTCACTGTAGCCTCAACCTCCTGGGCTCAGGCGATCATCCCACCCAAGTAGCTAGGACTACAGGTGCATACCGCCACACCCAGCTAATTTGTTTTACTTTTTGTAGAGGAGGGGTCTCACTATGTTGCCCAGACTGGTGCTGAACTCCTGGGCTCAAGCGATCCTCCTGCCTCAGCCTCCCAAATTGCTGGGATTACAGGACTGGCCAACTTTTATCTTTTGACACAACAATCTCACTTCAGTGAATTTATCCAAAAGATATGGTGTCATTCATAGTGTGAATTGCCACGTGGACGAGCTTCTTCACTGCAGCATCATTTATAACAGCAAATAGTATAAATAAATTATAATACACTTATAAAAGGACTTGAAGGAGCTGAGAAAGAGAATAAATAAATGAATAAATAAGGGAAATCTTTATGTACAAACATGAACAAATCTCCAGTAAACATTGTTAAGCAGCAGAGACAAAAAACATGCAAAAGAGTGTGCATATTTCTTTTTTTTTTTTGAGATGGAGTCTTGCTCTGTCACCCAGGCTGGAGTGCAGTGGCGCTATCTCGGCTCACTGCAACCTTTGCCTCCCAGGTTCATGCCATTCTCCTACCTCAGCCTCCTGAGTAGCTAGGACTATAGGCACCCACCACCACGCCCGGCTAATTTTTTGTATTTTTAGTAGAGACGGGGTTTCACCATGTTAGCCAGGATGGTCTTGATCTCCTGACCTTGTGATCCGCCCGCCTCAGCCTCCCAAAGTGTTAGGATTACAGGCGTGAGCCACCGCGCCTGGCCAAGTGTGCATATTTTTTAATGGAAAAGGCAAGAACATATAAGCAAATGTTCATATTTGCTTTGTTTGTATAAAATAACTCTAGTACGTAAGAAATCTCTCTGACTCTCAGCCTTCACATCTGTGGATTGGAGAATATAATTCTGTTTATGTCATATATAAACTTGTTATGGATTTTTAAAATGTCTTGCAAAGTGGTAGCCACAGGGCAGAAATTCAATGGACAGTCATTCCTCTGTTTCTGTTTCTCTTCAGATTACTACTGTCATAACCATCTAACTCAGGAGTTAGCAATCTATGGCTTGTGGGCCAAATACAGCCTCCCACCTGTTTTTGTAAATAAAGTTTTATTGGAACACAGCCACACTCCATTTATGTATGTGTATGGCTGCTTTTGACTACAATAGCAGAGTTCAGTTGTTGCAACAGAGATTGTATGACCCACAATCCCAAAACATTTACTCCCTGGTCCTTTATAGAAAACATTTGTCAACTCCTGGACTAACTGGTCATGGCCCTTCCCAGTGCAATTCTCAAAATACAGGGTGATGAATCTTCCTAAGCCAGATCTCTCTCCTACACTGTAAATGCCCAATCTTGGTTAACTCATGCCTTCTCTTGTATATTTACAAAGGTCTTCCAAAAGCAGCCATGATCACTCATCAGCGCATATGGTATGGAACTGGCCTCACTTTTGTAAGCGGATTGAAGGCAGATGATGTCATCTATATCACTCTGCCCTTTTACCACAGTGCTGCACTACTGATTGGCATTCACGGATGTATTGTGGCTGGTAAGCTTTTTCTACAAAATGTTGGAGGCGAGTGCACATTTACATTTTCCCAGAAGGAACAGTAATACAAAATTTGGCTACGTTGCTGTCTGCTAGGAACAGTTTTCAATTTTGCATTAACAATAAGGCAATTTGAATCACATATTACAAGCAAGCATCTAAAATAATCTGTTTTTCATGCCTGCCTATCTAATAATGTAATGCTATAATTGTTCAGTATATCAAGAGACAAACTCCTTTAAAATATTTTAGGGCTGGGTGCAATGGCTCACACCTGTATTCCCAGCACTTTGGGAGGCCAAGGCAGGAGGATTGCTTGAGGCCAGGAGTTCAAGACCAGCCTGGGCAACATAGCAAACCTCATCTCTAAAAAAAATATATATATATATATATATAGCCAGGCATGGTGGCTCAAGTCTGTAGTCCCAGCTACCCAGGAGGCTGAAGTAGAAGAATTGCTTGAGTCCAAGAGTTCAAGATTGCAGTGAGCTGTGATTGCACCACTGCACTCCAGCCTGGGTGACAGAGTGAGACCTTGACTGTAAAAAAAAAAATTTTAGGTTATGACACTTGAGTCTTAGATTCTATGTCATGTCATTTCCATCTTTAGAAACTTGCATGTTAATCTCCATCAGCTTTAAACTTCTGCAGTTGTGTGCACTCTTCTGTAATCTCCCATTTCCACAGCTTTTCAGCTCTACTAGAAGGAGAGAAGATGGCAACTCCATCAGAATACTTGGCTTGGCTTGGCTTGCCATCTCTTCTGTTTCCTTCTCAGACTTTACTATTCAAATTGGAGTTGCCATCCTCTCTCCTTCCAGGAGGATTCATGTCACTTGTATACATTACCGCAAAGTTCAATAGCCAACTCTTCCAGGAAGCTATATGTAACTTTCTGACTGAGCTAAATAAACAACTTTTTCTCTCATGTGGCATTTCATTTTAAATAATCATATATGTATATATAAAAATATATACACATATGTATATACACACACATATATGCGTGTGTGTATATGCATGCATGTTATGGATGGATATTTGTGTCCCCCAAAAATGTATATGTTGAAATCCTAACCCCCAATATGATGGTATTAGCAGGTAGGGCCTTTGGGAAGTAATTGGGTCATGAGAGTAGTGCCTTCATGAAAGGTAGTGCCCTTATCAGAACAGGAGACAGCCAGCTTCTTTCCTGACTCTGTTCTGTTCCATGTAAGGACACAGGGAGATGATGACCATCCCCAAACCAGGAAAAATGCCCTCACCAGACACCAGACACCTTGATCGGGACTTCCCAGCCTCCAGAACTGCAAGAGATAAATGTTGTTTAAGCCACCCATCTGTACTATTTTGTTATAGCAGCTCAAACACACACACATACACACACACACACACAATCCAAAAATTTGAAATCCAAAATGCTCCAAAATCTGTAACTTTTTAAGCACCAGGACACCACAAGTGGAAAATACTACACATAAGTACTTAACACAAACTTTGTTTTATGCACAAAGTTATTTAAAATATTGCATGAATGGGCCAGGCACAGTGGCTTATGCCTGTAATCCCAGCACTTTGGGAGGTTGAGGTGGGCGAATCACTTGAGGTCAGGAGTTTGAGACTAGCCTGGTCAACGTGGCAAAACCCCATCCCTTCTTAAAAAATACAAAAATTAGCCAGGCATGATGGTGTCCACCTGTAATCCCAGCTACTTAGAGGCTGAGGCACGAGAACCCACAAGGCAGAGGTTGCAGTGAGCCAAGATTTCACCACTGAACTCCAGCCTGGGCAATAGAGTGAGACCCGGGCCAGGTACGGTGGCTCACGCCTGTAATCTCAGCACTTTGGGAGGCCAAGGGGTACAGATCACGAGGTCAGGAGATTGAGACCATCCTGGCTAACACAGTGAAACCCCTTCTCTACTAAAAATACAAAAAATTTGCCAGGTGTGGTGGCACGCGCCTGTAATCCCAGCTACTCAGGAGGCTGAGGCAGGAGAATCACTTGAACCTGGGGGGCGGGTGTTGCAGTGAGTCGAGATGGCACCACTGCACTCCAGCCTGGGTGACAGAGCGAGACTCTGTCTCAAAAAAAGAAAAAAAAATAGAGCAAGACTCTGTCTCAAATATATATATATAAAATACATATATATGTATGTGTGTGTGTATATATATAATATATATGTATGTGTGTGTATATATATGTATGTGTGTATATATATATACTTGAGACAGAGTCTCACTCTATTTATACATATATTTAGTATATATATAATATAATATATATATATATTGCATGAAATCTCTTTCCCTCTCCCCTCCCTCCCTCTTAGGACTTCATTTGAATCTCTTACTGCAAGCTAACTTTTATTAAAATGACCTTTGTATGAGTCTTCTCCTCCATAGATTGGAAGCCCCTATCGAACAAAACCATGTCTTACTAATTTTTTGCATTTGAATATAAGGTACTCAATACTTGTTTGCAAATATAATTTATTTTTAAATTTCTACCGTTCAAAGTTGACAAATTAAACATAACTGGGAGAATTTTTTCCACCATTTCTTTCTTGACACTTTCTGTGCTTTCTCTGTAGGTGCTACTCTTGCCTTGCGGACTAAATTTTCAGCCAGCCAGTTTTGGGATGACTGCAGAAAATACAACGTCACTGTCATTCAGTATATCGGTGAACTGCTTCGGTATTTATGCAACTCACCACAGGTAACACTCCCCCCGTTTTACTATCATTTTGAAATGGGTAAGATGGAAATTCAAGTCACTTTGGGTTGTGCTAGGCTTCAACTGATTTGCATATATCAGTTTTGAGTTTAGGATACAATTATCATGATAAAGTACTTGGCACTATACCTACCATATAGAGGGGACTTAGTAGGTGGGAGTTAATATTATTATTATGATGATGATTATTTCCTGCCTTTTTACTTGTTTTCACATCTTACTCCCCACCTAGCATATCCTGCATTTCCCCCTCTGCTTACTAAAAGCCAGTGTCAAAGCCCAGTTCAAATGATACCTCATACATTAAACATATTTGGGTCACTCCAACAAAAGTCATTACTCTTCTCCCCTACGTCATTTTATTTCTACCCTCTGTGGCCCTTGTCATGTTGCAGGAGTTTGTGTTCATGTCTCCCATCCTTCCTTGGCTGTAATATCTTTGATGGCTGGAACCACATCTTGTCTCCTTGTTTTCTGTTATACCGAAGGCATACAGGAAACTTTTACTTAATGCTGTTTAACAAATAAATCTCTGTGTGACTTTGAAACCAGCCAGCCAAGTCTGTCACCAAGCTGGGAACAGATGCCCCAGGGCATCTCCAATGGCCTTGGATCTGCCCTGTTTGCAGATGTTCAGCTCTCGATGGGGTTGTTCTCAAGAGCTCCTCCTGCCCAGTCCCTCAACTCTCATCAGAGATCTGGTATCAGATAGGATTTATCAATGGTGGCACTGCTGACATTTTGGGCTTTTAATTCTTTGCCGCGCGGACTTATTCTGTGCATTGTAGAGTGTTTAGCACCCTTTGGACTTTGCCCACGAGATGCCAGTAGTAACCTCCCCACCTCCCCAGGTCATGATCATCAAAATGTCTCCAGAAACTGCCAAATGTCTCTTGGCAGGGAAATGCTAACCTAGTTGAGAACCACTGTACTAGACAATGCAGTAAACTCACCAGATTCTAATCCCTTTCACCAGATTCTAGTTCCTTTATTCAGTCAGTTTAAACTCAAAGGATCACTAAGTTGATAAATTGCTATTGATAAGCACCTGTTGTACTCACCTAACATACCAGCTGCCGTGTGACGCAGAAAGAAGTGTCAGATGCTCTTCCCCCAGGTCTCTCTCACCTCACTTTACTCAGTCTCTGCCCAGATGTTGCCTCATTAGAAGACAGGCCTCTTCTGCTAATAATCAAACATATCATCTGCCCCTCACTGTCCAGCTTGTCACTGCATTTCATGGCACCTGTCACTCCTGACATAGTAAAGGTTTATGTGATTATTGTCTGCCCCCCCTCGCCCCAATTAAATGAAAGCCGCATATGAGCAGGGGCTCTGTCCACTACCAGATCTACGGCACCAAGATCTGTAAATGACACATCATAGGCATCAACAGATTTTGTGGACTGAACCTCTAAATCCTTGCCCCTGAAAAATGTGTAGTTGAGTTGAGGGAGCTAAAATGTTTCCCCAAAATGTTTGGGCTTAGCACATATTATTCTGATTTTTTGGCATATTCAATAGATTCTCGAGGATCATCATTAGCAGTGAGTTGGGTTAGGGTATTTTCCACAGCAGTTCTGTTCATGTCATTATTGAATTTTTTTCACATTAATATTCCACGTGGCCTCCAAGATAGCATGTCTCTCTATTAAAATCCAGAAATCCATATGGGACCCTTCTGCTGGGCTTTTCTTCTCTACCTTAAAGGCACTCCTTTGTCAGTTAGAAAATCTCCTGGGGAGTGTGTGTTGTTTCTGTATGTTCTAATGGGAGCTTCCTTTGGACTGGACGAAAATAAATATGTTTGTGTGTAGCTGTCTTCAGGCCCACACATATCCACATATACACATGCACACATACACACATGCATGCACTCTCCCAGTTTTTCTCTTACTGTTGTCTCAAATACTGGAAAACAAAGACAATTTCACTGGGGTTTTACAACTTCAAAATATACTATGATTTAATGCATAATCTTGAATGACCCCTGGACTTCCTATTTGCCAGTGCTTCCCCACCCCTGAGTTCTGTTTGGAAAATATTTATAAAAAGTATAATAAAAGATCAAAGTTATCTCAAAAAAAAACCTTCAGTTAAAGATTTTTTTAAATTATAGGTCATCAGTCCAGGCACGGTGGCTCATGCCTCTAATCCCAACACTTTGGGAGGTAGAGGCGGGCAGATCATTCAAGGTCAGGAGTTCAAGACCAGCCTGGCCAACATGGAGAAACCCAGTCTCTACTAAAAATACAAAAATTAGCGGGGCTTGTTGGCACGTGCCTGTAATCCCAACTACTCAGGAGGCTGAAGCAGGAGAGTCGCTTGAAAGCAGGAGGCAGATGTTGCTGTGAGCCAAGATTGCACCACTGCACTCAAGCCTGGGCGACAGAACAAGACCCTGTCTCAAAAAAAAAAAAAAAAGGAAAGAAAGAAAGAAAACAATCATATGTCATTAGACAAGCAGGAGATCTATGCAAATTTTTTTAAATTTAATCATAGGTCATCATAGGAAGTAGAAAGTACAGATTGTATGGGATGTAGGGAAAGATTATATCAAAAAGACTTTGCAAAAAAAAAAAAAGAATTGGATAAAAACTAGAATGAATGGGGGAAGGGCCTGGATCAATGTAATCAGGAACTTCTTCACCCTTAGAGCTGCCTAGAATACGCTGTTGCTGGAGGGACTAACCCCACCAGCGACCCCCAAGCACTGGATGCCAGGGAGGCAACCTCTGCCTTAGCAGAACAGCTAAACCAAGTGACACCCATCCACAGACATATATGGCCCAGCTCATCAGGAGAATCTGGGGCCAGTGTTGGGAGGTAGAAGCCACTGTGCTTCTCTGCCCTCTTCTTAACCATATTCAGTAGCTTCTCTAGTAGAGCAGTGGGCTATGGAGAATGCTTCCAGCCCTGCTCAGGTCAGTGGTTCAGATTTGGCCCCAGGTACTTAAAGTAATGCTGAGAGCAAGTACTCTGGAGTTAGTCGGCCTGCATTCTGACTCTGGCATTGGAGCAGGATAGTTAACCTCTCTAAATCTCAGCTTCCCGTCAGCCAACAAGGAGATAATAGTACCTACCTCACATGGGGTCTATGAAGACAACCTGAGATGATATATATAAACCACATAGTAGCTGGAACTTAGTAAATTCTCAACACATGTTGCCATTATTATCATTATCACTTTCCATGCCTAACAGTGTGTAGCTCATAATAAGTACCCCATACATATTTGTTGAATGAATCAATGAAAATTCTGCCCACTTACACAAAGGAAGAAATAAGGGAAAACATTCTACTTAGTTAATCACTCTCATCTGAGGTTGAGTAGGGGATGGGATAGCAAAGCTACTGACTTAAGTGATTTTTAAAATATTATAGTGAATATTTTCTATTTTGCCGTCTTCCCGCATTGTATTTGGGCCTTTGCTTTCAAAGCGACTGTTTGTAATGAAAGGCCATTCTGATTCATTTCTTGCAGTGTATGGTTGTCAGCTCCCATTCGGTTTTTGTAGTTGCCTAAAAACAATGTCATCTAGGGAAAGTTATTTATTGGAGCATGATATTGCTAAAGCTCAGTGTTTCTTTCCTCCAGTTACAGACTGAAGCTACAGTCTGTACTGGACAAGGCTCCAGTACAGGGGTCTCAATGAGGCTTTATGACACCTGCTGGAGTGTGGGAGGAGGAAGACAGAAAGGGAACCAAAAAAGAGTTCCAGGGGCCACACATAGAACCATGATATTTGGAAGGAGAAATAATATTGGCCAGAACCCTGAAAAAGCTGAATAGATTCAACTTACCTCTAGTGTTGACTGCGTCCCCCCAGAATTAGATAACCTCTGTGGTCCCTTCTAGCCTAAAATTTCTGTCTCTGCATCAGCTTCATTCTGTTCAAAAAAGAGAATGGATGGATCTGTTGCAGCACAGAGTGGAGAGTGGCCAATATGACTGGGGCCCAAGACAGAGGGAGGCCAAAAGAAAGAGGGAAGGGGAGCAGAATCAGGAAGGTTCGCCAGGGAAGGTGGGCTTTGAAGAGTACGGAGAAGTTCTGCAGCCAGGCAAGAAAAGAAGGGCTTCTGGCTAGCAGGAAAATCACGTGAGCAGTGAGATGAAGGACCCAGCACACTGGGAACTGCAAGCAGTCTGGCAGGAGGTGAAGCTGAGGGGCTGGGTCAGGTGGCAAGGGCTTTACTCTGCTGAGACTCAAATGTGAACATGACAAGCCATGACTAAAGGGCCTTACATGGAAGAGCAATGTGGGAGATGGCATTTTTAGACAGTCCTTTTGGCTACGATGTGAGAATACACAGAAGGATGAAGGGCCTCTTCTGTAAAGCAAACAGGTGGAGCCTTGTCCAGGCAGAAGTGTAACATATTAATTATTAAGAACAGGGACTCTGGAGTTTTTCTAAGGTGATAAAGACCTTCTTCCCTTTCACCTCTTGGAAGTCACCCCAAAACAAGGCGATGAGAAAAACACACACAAGCACCATCATCTCAGAAACTAAGAGACATTGCAACCATGAACTACATAGTATAGGAAGCTAAAAGATAACAGTGACTGACATAGTAGGCTGAGAAGGGTGAAACTTAAGAGGCAAGTCCCAACAGGAAGGAAGCCAGTTGCCTTCCTGAAGGCTGAGAAATTGCAGGCTTTGAATACAGCTGAAGGTGGGATGAAGTGTCAGACTTAAAACAGGGGAGTTATTTGAAAATCTGTGTAAGAAGTAAAATACGGAGGACAGGATCATGGCGAGCGGGAGGCAGGACTAGATTGTGGCTCCAGACAGAGCAGCATGAGAGGCTCACATTGTGAATTTTAGCTCCAGCTTGACTGCAAGAACTAACCAGCAACCCCAAGAGGACCCACAGACCCTCTGAAAGAAGTGGATTGCTCCTAGAGGACCCGGGAGACACCCCAAATACTGTGATCGCCCCAACTGCAGAAGTGGGAAAGGGAGACCCTCATCTCCCGAACACATACTGGAGAAGCTGAAGGTCTGTTTGTAGAACTTCCCGACTTTACCTGGAGCCTCGTCAAGTTAGAGAGCCAAACCGAGCAAAATACAAAGGTAGAGGAAGCTGCAGAAAGGCCCTGGGAGCTCACTGGCTCCCCTAGCAGCCCATTCCCGCCTGGCACCACAGGGATCCATCAGGAGGGTGGCCAGAGGAGCAGGGGGCAAAACTCCACAGGGAGAAGGAATTCTCTAGCTAAACTTTGGGATAATTTGAACGGGGCAAGAAGACTCCTGGCCAGAACTCCAGGGAGGGTGTGAATCTGGCTTGCAGACTCCACAGGCGGAGAAGAACTAAAGCCCTTTCTTTAACAGCTGGGAGGCAGAAAGCCTTGGGCAAGTTTTCAAGCCTGACTCGCCCTCCACCTGGAAACAGACTCGGGGCCGTTGAGGGGGCACGGTGGGAGTGAGACCAGCCCTTCAGGTTGCCTGGAAGCTGGGTGAGGCCTGTGACTGCCAACTTTCCCCCACTTCCCTGACAACCTGCATGACTCAGCAGAGACAGCCATAATCCTCTTAGGTACACAACTCCAGTGACCTGGGAATCTCGCCCCCATCCCCCACAGCAGCCACAGCAAGACCTGACCAAGGAGAGTCTGAGCTCAGACAGGCCTAGCCCTGGCCCCACCTGATGGTCCTTCCCTATCCACCTTGGTATCAGAGGACAAAGAACATATAATCTTAGGAATTCTAGGGCCCTGCCCACTGCTGGTGCCTGTCCACACTATTACAGCTGATGCTTTCTGGAAAGTACCACCTCCTGGCAGGAGGCCAACAGCACAAAACAGGGAATTAAACCACCAAAGTTAAGGATCCCATGGAGTCATTGCATCCTCTGCCACTTCCACTGGAACAGGTGCTGGTATCCATGGCTGAGAGACCCATAAATCATTCACATCACAGGACTCTGTTCAGACAACCCCCAGTACCAGCCCAGAGCCAGGTAGACTTGCTGGGTGGCTAGACCCAGAAGAGAGACAACAATCACTGCAGTTCGGCTCACAGGAGCCACATCCATAGGAAAAGGGGGAGAGTATTACATCAAAGGAACACCCCATGGGACAAAATTCTGAACAACACCCTTCAGCCCTAGACCTTCCATCTGACAGAGCCTACCCAAATGAGAAGGAATCAGAAAACCAACCCTGCTAATATGAAAAGCCAAGGCTCATCAACATCCCCAAAAGATCACACTAGTTCACCAGCAACGAATCCAAACCAAGAAGAAATCCCTGATTTGCCTGAAAAATAATTCAGGAGGTTAGTTATTAAGCTAATCAGGGAGGAACCAGAGAAATATGAAGCCCAATGCAAGGAAATCCAAAAAAACGTTACAAGAGTGAAAGGAGAAATATTCAAGCAAATAGATAGCTTAAAGAAAAAAACAGGGCCAGGCATGGTGGCTGAAGCCTGTAATCCCAGCACTTTGGGAGGCTGAGGCAGGCAGATCACAAGGTCGGGAGATTGAGACCATCCTGGCTAACACAGTGAAACCCCTTCTCTACTAAAAATACAAAAAAATTAGCTGGAGTGGTGGCAGGCACCTGTAGTCCCAGCTACTCGGGAGGCTGAGGCAGGAGAATGGCATGAACCTGGGAGGCAGAGCTTGCAGTGAGCCAAGATCGCGCCACTGCACTCCAGCCTGGGAGACAGAGTGAGACTCTGTCTCAAAAAAAAAAAAAAAAAAAAGTAAATGAAAAAAACAAGCAAAAATTCAGGAAACTTTGGACACACTTTTAGAAATGCTAAATGCTCTGGAAAGTCTCAGCAATAGAATTGAACAAGTAGAAGAAAGAAATTCAGAGCTCGAAGTCAAGGTCTTTGAATTAACCCAATAAATAAAGACAAAGAAAAAATAATAAGGAAATATGAACAAAGCCTCCAAGAAGTCTAGGATTAAAAGACCAAACCTAAGAATACTTGATGTTCCTGAGGAAGAAGACAATTCTAAACACTTGAAAAACATATTTGGGTGAATAATTGAGGAAAACTTCCAAGCCTTGCTAGACCTAGACATGCAAATACATGAAGCACAAAGAACACCTGGGAAATTCATCACATAAAGATCTTTGCCTAGGCACATTGTCATCAGGTTATCCAAAGTTAAGACCAAGGAAAGAATCTTAAGAGCTGTGAGACAGAAACACCTGGTGACCTACAAAGGAAAACCTATTAGATTAACAGATTTCTCAGCAGAAACCCTACAAGCTAGAAGGGATTGGGGCCCTATCTTCAACCACCTCAAACAAAACAAGTGTAAGCCAAGAATTTTGTATCCAGCAAAACTAAGCATCATATATGAAGAAAAGATACAGTCGTTTTCAGACAAACAAATGCTGAGAGAATTCGCCATTACCACGTTACCACTACAAGACCTGCTAAAAGAAGCTCTAAATCTTGAAACAAATCCTGCAAACACATCATAACACAACCTCTTTACAGTATAAATCACACAAGACCTATAAAACAAGAATACAAGTGAAAAAGCAAACAACAAAAAAACAAAAGTTCACAGGCAACAAAGAGCATGATGAAAGCAACAGTACCTCACATTTCAATACTAACATTGAATGTAAATGGCCTAAATGCTCCACTTAAAAGATACAGAACTGCAGAATGGATAAGAACTCACCAACCAACTGCTGCCTTCAGGAGACTCACCTAGCACATAAGGACTCACATAAACTTAAAGTAAACAGGTAGAAAAAGGCATTTCATGTGAAAGGACATGAAAAGTGAGCAGAGGTAGCTATTCCTATATCAGACAAAACAAACTTTAAAGCAACAGTGGTTAAAAGAGACAAACAGAGACAGTATAGAATTGTAAAAGGCCTTGTCCAGCAGGAAAATATCACAATCCTAAATATATATGCACCTAACACTGGAGCTCCCAAATTTATAAAGCAATTGCTACTAGACCTAAGAAATAAGATAGACAGCAACACAATAACAGTGGGGGACTTCAATACTCCACTGACAGCACTAGACAGGTCATCAAGACAGAAAGTCAACAAAGAAACAATGGATTTAAACTATACTTTGGAACAAATGGACTTAACAGATATATACAGAACATTTCATCCAACAGCAGCAGAATACACATTCTATTCAACAGCGCATAACTTTCTAACTTTCACCAAGATAGACCACATGGTGGCCCATAAAATGAACTTCAATAAATTTAAGAAAATTGAAATTATATCCAGCACTGTCTCAGACCACAGTGGAATAAAACTGGAAATTAACTCCAAAGGAACCTTCAAAACCATGCAAATACAGGGAAATTAAATAACCTGCTCCTGAATGAGCATTGGGTCAAAAACAAAATCAAGACAGAAATGAAAAAATTCTTCAAACTGAACGACAATAATGACACAACCCATCAAAACCTCTGGGATACAACAAAGGCGGTGCTAAGAGGAATCTTCATAGCCCTAAACGCCTGTAACAAAAACACTGAAAGAGCACAAACAGACAATCTAAGGTCACACCTCAAGAAACTAGAGAAACAAGAACAAACCAAACCCAAACCCAGCAGAAGAAGGGAAATAACCAAGATCAGAGCAGAACTAAATGAAATTGAAACAAACAAACAAACAAAAAAAAAGATAAATGAAACAAAAAGCTGGTTCTTTGAAAAGATAAAATTGATAGACCATTAGTAAGATTAACCAAGAAAAGAAGAGAAAAAATCCAAATAACCTCACTAAGAAACAAAACAGGAGATATTACAACTAACACCACTGAAATACAAAAGATCATTCAAGGCTACTATGAACACCCTTACGCACATAAACTAGAAAACCTAGAAGAGCTAGATACATTCCTGGAAAAAATACAACCCTCCTGGCTTAAATCAGATTAAATCAGAATTAGATACCCTGGAACAGACCAATAACAAGCAGGAAGATTGAAATGGTAATTTAAAAATTACCGACAAAAAAAAGTCCAGGACCAGATGGATTCACAGCAGTATTCTACCAGATGTTCAAAGAAGAATTGGTACCAATTCTTTTGACACTATTCCACAAGATAGAGAAAGAAGGAACCCTCCCTAATTCATTCCATAGAGCCAGAATCACCCTAATACCAAAACCAGAAAGGACATAACCAAAAAAGAAAACTGCAGACCAATATCCTTCATGAACACAGATGCTAAAATCCTTAACAAAATACTAGCTAGCCAAATCCAACAACATATCAAAAAGATAATCCACCATGATCAAGTGGGTTTCATGCCAGGGATGCAGGGATGGTTTCACATATGCAAGTCAATAAATGTGATACAACACATAAACAAAATGTAAAAAATCACATGATAATCTCAATAGGTGCAGAAAAAGCATTCAACAAAATCCAGCATCTCTTTATGATTAAAACTCTCAGCAAAATCGGCATACAAGGGACATACCTTAAAGTAATAAAACCCATCTATAATAAACCCACTGCCAACATAATACTGAATGGGGAAAAGTTGAAAGCATTCCCCCTGAGAACTGGAACAAGACAAGGATGCCCATTCTCACCACTCCTCTTTAACATAGTACTGGAAGTCCTAGCTAGACCAATCAGACAAGAGAAAGAAATACAGGGCATCCAAATCAGTAAAGAGGAAGTCAAACTGTCACTGCTTGCTGACGATATGATCATTTACCTTGAAAACTCTTAAGGACTCCTCTAGAAAGTTCCTAGGACTGATAAAAGAATTCAGCATAGTTTCCAGATACAAGATTAATGTACACAAATCAGTAGCTCTTCTATACACCAACAGCGACCAAGCAAAGACTCAAATCAAGAACTCAACCCCTTTTACAATAGCTGCAAAAAAAATAAAATACCTAAGAATATATCTAACCAAGGAGTCAAAAGGCCTCTACATAAAACTACAAAATGCTGCTGAAAGTAATCATAAACTAAACAAACAAATGGAAACATATCCCATGCTCATGGCTGGGTAGAATCAATATTGTGAAAATGACCATACTGCCAAAAGCAATCTACAAATTCAATGCAATCCCATCAAAATACCACCATCATCCTTCACAGAATTAGAAAAGAAAATTCTAAAATTCATATGGAACCAAAAAAAGAGCCCGCATAGCCAAAGCAAGACTAAGCAAAAAGAACAAATCTGGAGGCATTACATTACCCCACTTCAAACTATACTATAAGGCCATAGTCACCAAAACAGCATGGTACTGGTATAAAAACAGGCATGTAGACCATTGCCACAGAATAGAGAACCCAGAAATAAAGCTAAATACTTACAGTCAACTGATCTTTGACAAAGTAAACAAAATCATAAAGGGGGCAAAGTACACCCTATTCAACAAATGGTGCTCAGATAATTGCCAAGCCATGTGTAGAATAAAACTGGATTCTCATCTCTCACCTTATACAAAACTCAACTCAAGATGGATTAAGAACTTAAACCTGACACGCGAAACTATAAAAATTCTAGAACATAACATTGGAAAAACCCTTCTAGACATTGACTTAGGCAAGGATTTCATGACCAAGAACCCGAAAGCAAATGCAATAAAAACAAAGATAAATAGCTAGGACCTAATTAAACTAAAGAACGTTTGCACAGCAAAAGGAACAGTCAGCAGAGTAAACAGACAACCCACGGAGTGGGAGAAAATCTTCACAATCTATACACCTGACAAAGGAATAATATCCAGAATCTACAACAAACTCAAATCAGTAAGAGAAAAACAAACAATCCCATCAAAAAGTGGGCTAAGGACATGAATAGACAATTCTCAAAAGAAGATATACAAATGGCCAATAAACATTAAAAAATGCTCAACATCACTAATGATCAGGGAAATGCAAATCAAAACTACAATGCGATACCACCTTACTCCTTCAAGAATGGCCATAATCAAAAAAATCAAAAACAGCAGATGTTGGCATGGATGCAGTGAACAGGGAACACTTCTACACTACTGGTGGGAATGTAAACTAGTACAGCCACTATGGAAAACAGCGTGGAGATTCCTTAAATAACTAAAAGTAGAACTACCATTGATCCAGCAATCCCACTTACTGGGTATCTACCCAGAGGAAAAGAAGTCATTATTCAAAAAAGATACTTCTACACGCATTTTTATAGCAGCACAATTCACAATTGCAAAATCGTGGAACCAACCCAAATGCCCATCAATCAACAAGTGGATAAAGAAACTGTGGTGTGTGTGTGTGTGTATATATATATATATATATATATATATATATATATATATATATATAGTATAGTTTGAAGTGAGGTAATGTAATGCCTCCAGATTTGTTCTTTTTGCTTAGTCTTGCTTTGGCTATGCGGGCTCTTTTTTTGGTTCCATATGATATATATATATATTCCATAAAAATATATATATTCCATAAATATATATCCACAAAATATATATATTTTATGGATATATAAAATATAAATATATAGTACATATATCCATAAATATATATATATTCCATAAAAATATATATATTCCAAAAAATATATATATATTCCATAAAAAGGAATAAATTAACAGCATTTGCAGTGACCTGGATGAGACTGGAGACTATTATTCTAAGTGAAGTAACTCAGGAATGGAAAACCAGACATCGTATGTTCTTACTGATATGTGGGAGCTAAACTATAAGGAAACAAAGGCATGAGAATAATACAATAGACTTTGGGGACTTGGGGGGAAGAGTGGGAGGGGGACGAGGGATAAAAGACTACAAATATGGTGCAGTGTATACTGCTCAGGTGATGGGTGCCCCAAAATCTCACAAATCACCACTGAAGACCTTACTCATGTAACCAAATACCATCGGTACCCCCAAGAACTTATGGAAAAATAAAAATAAATAAATAAAATCTGTGTAAGAAGTAGCTGGACCTGCTATTCCCCTCTTCCACTGTGTGGGAGACAGGAGGATTTTTCTCTGGAGAGCTAAAGAAGCTTTGACTGAAGGACCCCAAGAACAGAGGAGAGCAGGGACGAGGCACTGAAAACAGAGATTAAGAAAGTATCTACGTACTAACCAGGGAGACCCCACCAGCTCCTTTCCCCTGCACAGATACTGGAACTCCAGTAGCCAGGTTATGCTTGCAGGCAGGATATTGAAGGAGTGTAATTCTTAGGAAGAACTAAACTTTCCCGGAAAAGACATTGGACATGGGCTCACTGCCTCGTCAACCAGCAGTGCAGCCCAGCTAGCAGTAGCCCCCTCACCCTGCCCCCACAGAACTGCCTAATCATCTTTCTGTTGCATTACTCTTAAATCTGAACAAACATGAAGAATCACCAAGCACCTGAGGAACGCCTCCTACAGGAAGGATCATCAAAAGAAAAGAAGCATCAACTCAAAAAACAGAAGAGGCCAGGCACGGTGGCTCACGCCTGTAATCCCAGCACTTTGGGAGGCTGAGGTGGGCGGATCACAAGGTCAGGAGTTCAAGACCAGCCTGGCCAACATGGTGAAACCCCATCTCTACTAAAAATACAAAAATTAGCTGGGCACGGTGGTGGGCGCCAGTAATCCCAGCTACTGGGGAGGCTGAGGCAGGAGAATCATTTGAACCCGGGAGGCAGAGGTTGCATCGAGCCGAGATTGCACCATTGCACTCCAGCCTGGGTGACAGGGCGAGAGGCGAGACTCTGTCTCAAAAAAAAAAAAAAAAAAAAAAAAAACCGGGAGAAATGTTTTTAATGTATCATTAATATCCTCAGAGAGACTGGAGAAGATATTGTATCCATAAAACAAGAATAGTGTACTGTTTTAAAAGAAAAAAAGAATCAGACTTGAAAACTAAAATGATGTTTAAAAATCTTTAATTCATAGAAAAGTTGGAAGATAAAGCTGAGAAATCTTACAGAAAGTTAAAAAGATAAATTGATGGTCATAAAGGGAGAGTAGATAGGAAAATTAGAGACTAATCAAAGAGGTCCCATATATATTTAATTGGAAATCAGGAAAAGAGAATAGAGAAAGTGGAGAGGAGGAAATGATCAAAGAAATAGTACAGGAAAACATCCGAGGGCTGGACAGACTGAAAGGGCTAATGGAGTAGCCAATAAAATTAGTGCAGGAAAAAGAAATTGTGCCATGATGAAATTTAAGACTACCAAAAAAAGATAGTGAAAGTTTGACTGTCAGTAGCAACACTGCAAGCTGAAAAACAAAGGACTGGTGCTTTCAAAATTCTAGATACAAATTATTGCCCATCTAGAATTCTATATCCAGCCAAATCATCACTCAGATATACAATATTCAGATATTCCAAGTCTCCACAAAAAAATAGTAAAAATAAAATTAAAAAAACTTACCATGTACATACTCCCCTTCGGGAATTTACTAAAGAAAATATTCCATCCAAACAGAATGAAAAAAAAGCAGAGGAAAACACAGGATCAAGGAAAGAGAGACAAAGGGACCCCCCAGGCTTAGAAAATAACTAGTCCAGACTGGAGCAGAGGAGACAAAGAAGCATAATGGAAAACAGGAAATTCCATGAGCAGATAGATTTCACCATGAGGAAAATTTTAGAGGCTGTTGGAGGATAAGGGGAAACTTACCAATAGAAACTAAGGAAATGAAGCAAATTGGAAGAAAGGCAATTAATTCCAGGAAAAATAAAAATTTGTTCATAGTGTATTACTTGGCTCCTCAGTGTTGTATTATGGGCAGAATAATGTGAACACTGAATATTGGTTTAACCAAAAATTGTGATACTGGAAAAATGGGAGAGAGAATAGGAAAGAACTGAATCCTCATCTACCACAATAGGAAATCTGAAATTGACGAAACAAGAGAAAGAAGTATAAGCATTTAATTTAGAATTTAATTTAGAAATATGCAGATAGCAAGAAGCAGCTACAAGAGTTAACTGTCTGCCTCTGGGTGGTAAACTGGGGGTGAAGGGTGGGAACAGGTAGATGGCGTGAATACAGCATTGTTCACTTAAGGGTCTTTCAGGACTATTTGTTTCTTATCTTACACTATGTGTGTGGCACTCTCTCTTTGTTGCTTTTTTTCCTTTTTTCTTTTTTTTGTGGGGGGTGGAATTTATTGGTGGGCATGAGTAAGGAGGGGCAGCACAGTGGACGCCCTCTCAAGTGCAGGGCTTTAAAAAAAAAATAAGGAAAAGAGCTCTCTGAAGCCACATTGATTCAGATTTGAATCTTGGAGCAACCGTTTTGCTACCTTTGTGATCCTGGGAAAATAATTTTAAGCTTCCTGAGTCTCCATTTCCTCAATTGTAATATGAGGCAAATACTTTTATTAGCTATCACCTTTCATAGGGTTCTTTAGAAACAGGTCAACTGCCTGACCCACAGAAAAGCCTTCAATAGAAGCTTTCTGCCTGTGTTAATTACCTGGCACCCTTCATTCCTCTCTGGACATCTTGACCTCTTGCTCCTCATCAGTCCCCCAGGTGTGTTTGCATGTTTCACCTTAGCTCTAATGTGACGAAGAAGGTTTTTTTCTTGTTTAAAAAAAATAAGCTGGTGACCCTTGATCTAGAAATCAGTTCCTCTGAGGAGTAGCTTTGGTGATGGAGAAACACTGTTCGCCCTATGGGAAAGGAAAACTTGAGTCATACTCTTTCAGCCACTGGTGAGCAAAAGCTTAGGTGAGAACCAGACATCTTAGAAGCCTCCAGGATCTCCCATTTGTGCCCACAAACATTTCCAGCCTTAATCCCTTTTGCTGATGTAATAAGATTCTTCAGCTGGATGATGAAAACTGAGCCCATGGTGTTGTGATTATGAGCTCAGCTACCTGCTACTGGCAGGTGATAGCTGCACCTGTGAGGCTGGTCAGCTTCCCACACACCCAGGGTGCCTGCGGCCTCCTGCACCCTAAGCCCTGCCCTGACCTGGCCACTAATTATTGAACAGGGAGTGAGGTTTCCTGGTAGAGATTATCTATTTTACTGCCAGGATTATGCTCTATGCAAAGCACAGGTCCAGGCACTGGGGATGACATAGAGATACATGTACATTTGGCCTCAAAGGAGTTTACCATTTAATGAGGGAGATAGATAATCACCATCCAATAGACAAGGAAATAAACGAAGTGGGTAGGAGAAGGGCTGCTGGCGGGCTGCATGTGGGATAAGTAAGACCTTGGGTCTACATGTGGGAATGCTGCTTTGGAGCTTCCATTGCAAGCCTGGGAGCAGGTGAGCACCCAGCTCAGGTGATCTTCTTTAAGCAAAAGCAAGTCTTCAAATATGTGTGATGTTTTATCCTTGGGGCGGCAGTGGGAGGGGGTGGTCTCTGAATACTGACAGTCCTTATGGAAGAGGATAGTGCCTTGTGGGCAGGGTGACCCTACAATTCAGTATCCAAACAGGGACACTTGAGAGTGAAGGTAATGAAAGATAACCAGCATTCCAGGACACGTATAGCCAGGGCTTGCCCTGGCAAACCAGACATATGATCTCTGGACTTAACGGGAGCTTGGTAATTATAAAGCGGGGTAGAGTCAGTGACCTAGGGACCAGAAGAGAATAGATTCTGGCTGGGCACAGTGGCTCATGCCTGTAATTCCAGCATTTTAGGGGGCCGAGGCAGGAGGATAGCTTGAGGCCAGGAGTTCAAAATGAGCCTGGGCAACATAGTGAGAACTTCATCTCTACAAAATTAATAAATAAATTAGCCAGGTATGGTAGCACGCACCTGTAGTCCCAGCCACTCATGAGGCTGAGGCAGGAGGATCGCTTGAGCCTGGGAGTTAAGGCTGCAGTAAGCCATAATTGCACCAGCCTAGGCAATGGAGCAAGACCCTGTCTCGAAAAAAAAAAGAGAGAGAGAAAATAGATTCCTACTCAGTCTGAATGTCTAGGTCTCATGCAGGTTCAAAAGGCTTCTCAGGCAGCTCCCCCAGACACCCTGGGTAAGAGCCACTGGCGGTGGGGTGGGGGTGGGCTGGTCTCTCTTGACACATTTCCTCCTCAGAATGACTGCTCAAGGGGCCCATTTTCACCAGTGACCAGCATCAGTCCACCTCTCTGGGTGGGACTCCTCAAAAAGCCGCATATGTTCTGGCCAAGCTACTTAAAGATTAAATGTTTATTTTCTGCTTCCCTGGCGCCTTAGCTCCTCCTGCATGGAAACCAATTCAGAGTTTGCCTTGGTGTGGTTTTTAATTGCCATGCCAAAGTCCCGTACCCTTATAGTGCTTTTCAAAGAGTAATTCTTATTCCAAAACCACTTCACAGTGATTTCACAGTGTAAGAAATAATATAGAAAAAGCTCTAACCAATTGCTGTTTTATCAAAGAAATTAACAGTTGATGTGAGAGGACAGCCCTAATGACCTAGCACTGTTACCCCATTTCATTCTGTATCCTGATAGAATAAAGGTCATAGAGTAACAGAATTTACAACGTAAAATTATACCTATTTATTTGTCTCTTCCACCAACCTGTGATTTCCTGGAGGACATAAATTACATTATTAACATAAGATATTAAAACCATCACCGGGCTGGTCTGAAGGTAGTGAGTTACCTCAATTGATTGTTCACAGTTATAGATCAAACTTCTTGTTCTACTCTTTCCCCTCTTCTCACTACTGTACTTGACTAGTCTTTGTTAACAATTAAAAATAATAAAATAAAATAAATAAAACCATCATTGGCATGGACATATTTGTGGGGTCTCCTAAATGACTGTGGTTGAATGGAAGGCAGCCTGGTCATAGCCCCACCTCTCTTGCTGACACCAGAGAGACTCCTTTCAGTCCTTACACCCAAAACAGACTTTCCTTTGTGATCTTTACTTACAGCAAATCATATTCTTCCCAGGCCACCTGAGGCAACTGGGAGGTGGCCTCCTCCTTCTCTTCCCCTCCCCATCCCACTGGGACAGTTTTGTTGTCTCGGTTCAGCTCTGCCTGATCTTATGAACACTGGAGTCTACCTGTTAAATGGGGCAGGGCATGGTCAAGACTCTTCCCTGCAGTTCCCACAGGATCCAACTGTTGCTCTTTAATGGCTTTGTGGAAAATGGCTTTCTCTCTCTCTCTGTCGCTCACTGGACTGTGTTTCCTGTTTTCTTCTTTATTGTCATAAAAATCCTAGACACTGCTCAGGGTCCCACTGGTAGTAGATTGTGCCCATCTCTGACAGATCTTTCCCATGTGGCTCTTCCTTTCTGGAAATTCACCAGTGTTCACCAGCCCCATCAAGAAAACTATGAACATATTATACACATTATTCTAACTTTAGATTGGATATGGATTAAATGTTGGCATCACCTGGTTCTGTCAGATTGCCTCATCTGGCTCCTTAGAAACCAAAATGGGAGAATTCACATGTTTTGGTTGTTAAATCATAGTTCCAGCTGTCAGACCATACTGCTTGTGCTAGAGGAATAGGGAACGATGTGTGTGGGTGGCAGGAAAAAGGCAGACACTAAGGGGCATTTATAACCAACATAAATATGTAATAAAGGCAATGTCAGTATAAATTAAATACATACAAAATAAAGGCAATTATTAATATGTAAGCATAGGCTCCAGAGATGTTTCAGTTTGGTCTCCTTCTTCTCCCCCACCACAGAAACCAAATGACCGTGATCATAAAGTGAGACTGGCACTGGGAAATGGCTTACGAGGAGATGTGTGGAGACAATTTGTCAAGAGATTTGGGGACATATGCATCTATGAGTTCTATGCTGCCACTGAAGGCAATATTGGATTTATGAATTATGCGAGAAAAGTTGGTGCTGTTGGAAGAGTAAACTACCTACAGAAAGTAAGTACATTGAAAAATGAGAGCATACGTAGCCAGTTTTCAGAATACAGAGACTTCTTAAAAGCCAAGTCATGATGATGTTATCAGAAGTCAGGCAGCATCAGAGCCATGGCCCATTCCTATCACCAAGAGAAGTTTTGCTCATTCTCTGTGATGATGACTTCAAAAAATCAGATCCTCCAATTAAAAGCATCTCAACTTCTATTAAGAACAATCCATTGTGCCCTTGCCATCTGCAACTTAGGTGAAGTCTTCCTGATGCCATTTATACTTGCATGTGATAAAACACCTGAAGGTTACAAGTTCCGTAAGCTAATCGTACACTGTGAAACATAGTATTTCCCTTTAATTGTGTCGTGCAGCACCATCACCTGGGGAGTTTTTTTTATATGCACAGATGCAAGGACCAACCCGCTAGGCTTTGGATTCAGTTGTTCTGAGGTGGAGCCCAGGCATCTCAGTGCTAGGATCTGGTGAACATTTATGTCTACCTAATAATTCCACCAGAAAGATATTTGTAAGCCAGCTCACATAGCCGTCTCTTTTCCCTGTCAGTCATTTTATTGCTCATGGGTCTCTGTTGTCTTTTTTGTACTCAAGCAGTCAGTCTTCCAGATAACCAACAATTCTGCAAATATCCAGAAATGTTCAGCAAATGCTGAGCCTCCTTTGGCTTGAGAAGTCACTGCGGTCATTGTGCCTCTGGGCAGCTCATCCTTTCTGGCCATGAAACAGCCGCACCAGAACTCCCACGCAACCTGTGTCCCCAGGGACAGGCCAGCAGAATACAGAGGACAGTAGTTCATGTGCGTAAGAGCCCTGGCTGTGGAGAGCAAATCTCAGTGCCACCATATGCTAGCTGAGTGACCTTGGGCAGGTCACATATGCTCCTCAGGCCTCAATTTCATCATCTGTAAAACAGAGATAACAAGAGAAAATATTGAACCCAGTGCCTAGCCCACACTCGATAAGGGAAAAGGATTGTTGAAAGGATTAAACAGCCAGGCGCAGCGGCTCACGCCTGTAATCCCAGCACTTTGGGAGGCCGAGGCAGGTGGATCATGAGATCAGGAGATCGAGACCATCCTGGCTAACACGGTGAAACCCCGTCTCTACTAAAAATAAAAAAAATTAGCCGGGCATGGTGGCGGGAGCCTGTAATCCCAGCTACTCGGGAGGCTGAGGCAGGAGAATGGCGTGAACCCGGGAGGCGGAGCTTGCAGTGAGTCGAGATCGCGCCACTGCACTCCAGCCTGGGCAACAGAGCGAAACTCCATCTCAAAAAAAAGAAAGGATTAAATAACTTATGAAAAGGCCCTTAGAGGCTATAGCCCAATGCCTGTCATTTAACAGCCTTGAATAATTGTTAGCCGTAATGATGATAATCACTCTATTTCTTATATTCTGGCCTAATCTCAAGGTGTTCCCAAGTTCAAGGACCCTCTCTGACAATGACAGCTCCACCTACGCTACACAAGTCCCTCCACAGTCCTCTAGACCTGCGCTGTCCAAACAGTAGCCACTAGCTACATGTGGCTACTTAAATTTAAGTTATATTAATAAAAGTTTAAATCCAGTTCTTCAGTCACACTAGCCACATTTCCAGTGCTGAATAGCCACGTGTGGTTAGTAACTACCGTATTGAGCAATGCAGACAGAGAATATTTCCATCATCACAGCAGATTCCTGGGCAGTGCTGCTGCAGACTGAGAATCGATCTCCTACACCCCACTGGAACTGCTGCTGAGGGTCAGCTAATGCTGTATATTACCCATTCTTTACTTTCTCATCCATTGATTGCCATATTTTATTGTCAGTTTTTCTACTTTAAGCAAAACATTAAAAAAAAAAACTTTAAAAACCGGATGATCCCATGCAATTGATGTAGAAAAGAACATTTATTACTACCTATAAATTTTTTACATTCCTGCAAATAAGATCTACATTTGTTGACCATAAACACCACTTGTTTTTTTAACAAGTACTAGCTGTCTGCTAATACTAAAGCATATGATTGTTTGCTTCATCACATAGACTTGAATATAAATTTGAAATAGACACAGTAATCATGGCTAATAATTATATCCAAATACTGTCATGTTTGCATTTTTCTTCCAACAAGGAAAATAATATATTTATTATTGCTCTTACTGAATTGCTGATAATTAAATTCTTATGCTTTGAATTATATGTTAAATATGATAGAGTTTTCATAATTTTATAGTCATGGGCATGAAATAATTATGGCTTCGATTCTAAAATATATTAGATAACATTTCCTTAGAAACATGAAAAATCTAATAGTGTCATATTAATATAAGGTTATACAAGATTTTAAAAACCCATTTGTGATACATCCACCAAAAGACACAAGAATGTTCATAACAGCTTTATTTATAATAGGCCAAAACTAGAAATAATCCAAATACCCATTAACAGGAAAATAGATAAATAAATCGTGGTATGTTTATACAAGGGAAAATTGCATGGCAATAAAAAACACCAACATGGATGGATGAATATTATAGACATATTTAGTGAAAGAAGCAGACACAGAAGCATACATTTATTTCATTTATTTGATATTTAAGATTAATTGACAGCAGTATAAGTCAGAATAGTAGTTAACTTCACAGAAAAGGGCAGGAGGAAACTTTCTAGGTGAAATGAAAGTTTTCTCTGTCTCTCTCTGGGTGGCAGTTTTAAGGGTATATGCAAATGCAAAATTTCTTCAACCTGTACGCCTAAGATATACTTTGTGTTATACCACAATTAAAAAGGGAAAAATTATAAAAGATTTATACTCAAAATTATTTTAATCTTGCTAGAAAATCATAACTTATGACCTGATTAAATATGATGTGGAGAAAGATGAACCTGTCCGTGATGAAAATGGATATTGCGTCAGAGTTCCCAAAGGTACAGTGGACTTTTGTTCAATCAACCTGTGCCCCTTCTTATCTTGATCAAGTGACTTTTAAGGACTAACATATTATTGCCACATGGTAAAATTTATCAGAGTGGGGAAAAGGGGGGTTTATTTAAGTACCCTCCAATATACAGGAATTCCAAAGGTGCTAATTTACCGCTGCATGTAACATAATTCTAGTTTTAAACATAGCTTAACAACTTCTTGCTTATGAGGTAATGTTTTGTGGGAAGGGATATGTAATTGTGGTTGCAAAACTATAGTTTTAGGTGGCCTTTACCTTTAAGCTTTAACAACTGTGCGTTTGTGTAAGTGTGCATAAATCATTATTCAGTAAAAAATTAGCAGTAAAAGAATTACAGGCCAGGTGTGGTGGCTCACGCCTGTAATCCCAACACTTTGGGAGGTTGAGGAAGGCTGATCATTTGAGATAAGGAGTTCGAGACCAGCCTGGCCAACATGGCAAAATCCTGTCCCTACTGAAAATACAAAAATTAGCTGGGCACGATGGCACACACCTGTAACCCCAGCTACTTGGGAGGCTGAGGCAGGAGAATCCCTTGACCATGGGAGGCAGAGGTTGCAGTGAGCCGAGACTGCACCACTGTACTCCAGCCTGGGCAACAGGGCAAGATTCCATCTCAGAAAAATAAAAATAAAAGTAAAATAATTAGGCCATATACAATAATGTACAGTATATGTGTGTGTGGTGTATGTATGTGTGTCTGTAATATATATGTACATATAATTCACAGGTATACATGCATGGAAAATGATACTTCCTACAGCCAGCTTGTTGCCAGCAGGTTGTATGGCATTAGTTTTAAGAGAAGGTTGATGTATAAATTTGACCTCTAGCACATAAAATAAGTTTACTTTCTTCTGTCTTAGGTGAAGTTGGACTTCTGGTTTGCAAAATCACACAACTTACACCATTTAATGGCTATGCTGGAGCAAAGGCTCAGACAGAGAAGAAAAAACTGAGAGATGTCTTTAAGAAAGGAGACCTCTATTTCAACAGTGGAGATCTCTTAATGGTTGACCATGAAAATTTCATCTATTTCCACGACAGAGTTGGAGATACATTCCGGTTGGTTTTTCTGAATCATTGAGCCAAAAACAAACACACGCACAGTTTGGCTTACTCCTAGTGGAATCGCATTCCACTTTGGTTATGGTGCATTTCCTTCTCTATCTTTGGCACATCAGGTCAAACTCCTGTGTTCCCAGAGAATGAGGAATGAAGTGCATGAAGTGTCACTCTGCAGTGCACGGTTAACTTGGCTGAGCAACACCAGATGAGAATAAGGCAGGAAACCTGTATCTGATTTCTGGAGACAAAAGTACATTTAACTCCTCTTGTTTCTCCTGCATTATTACTGGTCACTCTTAGGACAGCCAAGGATTTTCACCTTTCCAATCATGGAGGTGTTTAGATAAAATCAGATGCAAATTAATGTGGAGCTGATCTAGTTGAAGAGGAGGTGAGGGGTTCGGAGCCCCTTCCCCCAACCCCTTTCATCCCCAACCAGATGGTTTCCCACAGAACCCCCAGGTCAGCACAAGGAAGTTTGGAAGTCCTTCTAACAGACCATGGAATTAACTTCCAACCATAGCACAGTCCTCCAGCCTCATGACACAGCTTCCTTCCTGTGTAAACTCCCTGAGGGCAGGCCCTGTGTCTGCCTGTTCACCCCCAGCACCTACCATGGTGCCTGGTGTCATTTTTTGCATGAATGAATGAGGAAGGGATGGAAGTTGTCTAACTGCAGTAGAAAGACAGCAGGTGGAATGAGGAGAACCAGGCTCACCTCTCCCACTGAGCAGCAGTGGTATCAAGACAGATAACCATTCTGGACCTCAGTCCTTTTGCCCTTGAGATGTGGGTCACGATGATTCTCAGGGTCCTTCCATCTCTACTATTCCATGTCTTAAGATCCATATCACTTTATGCCATCTTCATGTTATTAAGATGATACTTCTGGGAGGGCTAAAGAATTTTTAATGGGCCAGGCGTGGTGGCTAACGCCTGTAATCCCAGCAGTTTGGGAGGCCGAGGCGGGTGGATCACCTGAGGTCAGGAGTTCCAGACCAGCCTGGCCAACAAGGTAAAATCCTGTCTCTACTAAAAGTACAAAAATTGCTGGACATAGTGGCACGCGCCTGTAGTCCCAGCTACTTGGGAGGCTGAGGCAAAAGAATCACTTGAACCTGGGAGACGGAGGTTGCAGTGAGCTGAGATTGCACCACTGCACTCCAGCCTAAGTGATAGAATGAGACTCTGCCTCAAAAAAAAAAAAAAAAAAAAAAAGAATTTTTAATGAAAACAAAATTTAACTCTTTATTAAGTGAAAAATAGCACCTGGTTGGGCCTTAACATTAGAATCTCCCTGTAACTAAAGTGTGATTTTTTTTTTCCTTTCTTGTTGCCGTGAGACCCTGAAATAAAATATGAAGTTCTATTAAAAAGAACTTCAGAAACTGAATTAAGTAGCAACTGAGTTAGTAAATGAGAAATTGAGAGACCTAAACAGCAGAAAATCGTTGAGATTTCTTTCTAATTTCCACTGCCTTTCTTAGCTAGGGCTGTATTTTAACATTAGAACATTATTCTGTGTATTGTGTTTCATGTGGCAACATTGAAATTCCATATTTTGTTATCTAGGTCTATACTTTTCCCTTTTATGCCTCAAACAAGATACCCCGGCCAGGACTAAGTTGGGGAGTTTGAGGGGCCAAGATGAGGAACACGAGATCAGGATCATGCAGAAATCTAAAGGAAACACCAGCTCTCCGACATTGCAACCTGGGCCAGAAACCACCAGTGACCTCTGCTAACTTTGTCCTTTCTTCCAGGTGGAAAGGGGAAAATGTGGCCACCACTGAAGTTGCTGATACAGTTGGACTGGTTGATTTTGTCCAAGAAGTAAATGTTTATGGAGTGCATGTGCCAGGTATATACAAGATATGATCTGTACCTAACCCATAGAGTAACTGAACATAATTTTGGCCTCAAGGCGAAGTTTGTCATTGCTTTCTCCCGCCATCCAGAGTTAAACAGTTCTTTCAGCTGCCAGGGAGTAAGGAGCTTATGTCTGGCTTATGTTCCACTATAAAAGCCAACTCAGTGCATCTGAACATGGCCTTCTCTTCATTTCAGCTCCCAGCCATTCTTGGGCTCTCAGGCAAACAAAGTCTCAAATATGGGAGCTCCATGCCACATTTGGCACACCTCGAGAAAAGTCGTGTCATGCTTAAGAGCTGGGAAATGATGTCCTAGCCTCTGAACTAGGAGGCAAAAAGAAGAGCCAGTGCAGTTGCTAGAAGAAAAAGCTGGGGAAAAGTGGATTTTGTACAGCCTCTTCTTTTTAAGATTTCTAAGCCCAGTTCACCACACTAAGTTTCAGAATCATCACACAAGAACGTTGTCACCGCAGCTTCATCTGCAGATCCACTTCTGCCAGCAGAGTCAGGAGGGCCAGTGTCTGACCTTGAATCCTGGCTTCAACATCTGCTGGCTGTTTGACTGCAGGCAAATCACTAAAATTAAGGATAATGCCAGCCCTGCAGTTAAGCTTGTCAAGAGAACAAATTCATTTTAATTACATCAACGCTAAGCATATATTTATCAAATATATATATAAGGGTTGTTGTGACAATAAATCACATTAATAATAGACATCAGAGAGGATTCCAGCCTCAAAATTACTGTCCAAATATAAGGCATTAGGGGTATTATTATTCCCCCACAACTCATATTTGGGATTCCCACCCATATTCAAAGTAGAAATCTAAAAGTCCCTTTTTCCCAAGCTCTGACACTTCTACATGGCCCTGTGCTTGTTATTTTTTAAAGAATATTCAAGGCCGAGCATGGTGGCTCACTCCTGTAATCCCAGCACTTTGGGAGGCCGAGACGGGCAGATCATGAGGTCAGGAGATCGAGAGTATACTGGCCAACATGGTGAAACTCCATCTCTACTAAAAATACAAAAATTAGCTGGGTGTGGTGGCACGTGCCTATAGTCCCAGCTACTCGGGAGGCTGAGGCAGGAGAATCGCTTGAACCAGGGAGTCGGAGGTTGCAGTGAGCCGAGATCGTGCCATTGCACTCCAGCCTGGGCAACAGAGCAAGACTCTGTCTCACCAAAAAAAAAAAAAAAAAAAATTAAGTCCGGACACTGTGGCTCACACCTGTAATCCCAGCACTTTGGGAGGCCAAGGCGGATGGATCACTTGAGGTCAGGAGCTTGAGACCAGCCTGGCCAACATGGCAAAACTTAGTCTCTACTAAAAATACAAACATTAGCCAGGGGTGGTGGCTCCCATCTGTAATCCCAGCTACTTGGGAGGCTGAGGCAGGAGAATCACTTGAACCCGGGAGATGGAGGCTGCAGTGAGCCAAGATCTCACCACTGCACTCCAGCCTGGGTGACAGAGTGAGGCTCCATCTCAAAAAAACAAAAAGAATATTCAAGAATATCTCTTGCTTGTTCCTCCCCAACTCAGGGACAATGACACGAGGGGAAATATGGCCACATCTTGATGTGAGAGGGGACAGAATGGAAGGGGGTGTGAATACTCCCATTGGAGAACTCCCCAGGCCTTATGCTGAGTTAACACAAGGGTCTAAGTTGTGGTTGTCAGCCATTGTGCCACCCTACGCTCTTGCAGACCCTTCCTCAAATGTTGTGTAAACATCTAAATGCTTGATTTTAAAAAGAAGAATCATACAAAAGAGTATGTGTGAGGTGAGAGAATCTAGAAGATGAAACAGAAGGATCTAGCCTAGTGTTCCTCAAAGTGGGTCCCCAGATCAGCAGTGTCAGCATCACCCAGGAGTCTGTTACAAGTGTAATTTCTCAGGCCCACCCCGAACTACCAAGTCAAAATCTCTGGGGTGGGGCCAGGAAACTGTGCTGGCACAAACACCCCAGAGATTCTTAAAAACATTGGAAGTCTGATTTAGGGGGTGATGAAAATGCACTAGAACTAGATCCTGGTAATGATAGTACAACATTGTAAGTGTGTAAAATACCACTGAATTGTACACTTTTTTTTTTTTTTTTTTTTGAGACGGAGTTTCGCTCTCGTTGCCCAGGCTGGAGTGCAATGGCGCGATCTCGGCTCACTGTAACCTCTGCCTCCCATGTTCAAGCGGCAATTCTCCTGCCTCAGCCTCCTGAGTAGCTGGGATTACAGGCATGCACGACCAGGCCCGGCTAATTTTGTATTTTTAGTAAAGATGGGGTTTCACCATGTTGGTCAGGCTGCTCTCGAACTCCTAACCTCCGGTGATCCACACCCCGACCTTGGCCTCCCAAAGTGCTGGGATTACAGGCATGAGCCACCACGCCTAGCAAATTGTACACTTTAAAAATGAGTTGGAATGATAAATTTTATGTTATGTGTTTATCACAATTTAAAAAAAAACACACACACTGAAGTCTGAGAAGCACTAAAGCCCAGTGGTTCCAAAAATTTGGCCAATCATCAGAACCATCTGGGAAACTTTTTAAAGCCTGGATCTAATGGACCAGAAGCTCTGGAGTATGGGACTCAGAATCTGCATGTCTTTTTTTTAATTCCCAAGTGAATCTAATGATCAGTGAGTTCTGGGAGCCACTGAAACAGAACAAAGGGAAGGAGATTGACAGTCTTACAGTGTTGGCAGACAGTCAGATAGGATGAGGAGCAGGTGTGTTCTGTGCTGCTCCAGTGATCAGAACTAAAACCAATGGATTAAAATGACCAGGGAGCCAGTTTTAGCCTGAGAACTCCCCTGTAACCAAAGGAACCATCAATAGAATGGGCTTGTCTCCCAGGATAGGAAATGCCCCCACCAACTAGGGCATGTAAAGAGAGGCTGGATGTCCACCTGGGATCCTGGGAGAACTCTTGCAGCAGTGAAAGATTAGAGATAAATTCTAAAGTCCCTCCCAACTTTCAGATTCTGTGATTCCCAGTGCCACAACTGCTGCTGTCTGGCCCCCCATCCACAGAGGCCAGTCCCATTCCAGACTAGAAATGCAGCAGTACTGTCTGAAGTAAGGCATCATTCCACTATGGGTGATTCTGCACAAGGCAATCACACACCTCAGCTTTGGAACAGGAGAGAATTTCCAGGTTTGGGCCTGGAGAGGAGTTCACTTTTTCTAGGTGTCACACCTGAACTGCCCAACTACTCTGTAGAACTTTCTGCAATGATGGAAATGTTCCATATCTGCACTGTCCAGTATGATAGCCAATAGCCACCATGTCACTATGGAACACTTGAAATGTGGCTAGTGCAACTAAGGAACTGAATTTTTCATAATATTTAATTATAATTTATTTTAGTTTTAATAGCCACAAATAACCAGTGGGTGTCATATTAGACAGTGCAGCTCTAGAGAACCCTTGGCCAAAATTGACCTTTACAATTAGCCCAGAGCTCCTATAGGCTGGAACCATTCCCCCTGAAGCTGAACTAGTCCCAAACCACCCTCCGAGAGTTGGGGCAGAGGCCTGAGACCTGACAGGCCCATTTGCCCGTAGGTCCAGCGTCGCTACTACCAGAGCAAGAAGCAAGGAGACGGTGAATGTGGAGGATTTCTGTTGCATGAGCCTTAATTCTAAAAGGAGCTTATTGGAGACACTTGAGATTTCTAAGACAGGTGCTAGGGACCCTAAACTAAGAGGATCTGGTGCCACTGCCTCTCTCCCTCAGACAAGAAGCAAACCAAATGAGGGGGCATCTTTTTTTCCTTTTGCTGTTTGCCTTCTTTAGAGCTATAGGTAAACACACAATCACCATAGGAGAGATTTCGAAAGCTGGGGCCCAGGTAACCAAGGGAGGCTCCTGTCTCCTCTCTGATTACAGCTGAGTAGTTTAGGGAAGTGGAACTGGACTCCCGCTGGGTCTGCTGGATCAGGTAGAAGATACATTAATACCTAATTACCACTGTCCTCACAAGAAGGCAGTGGTAATTGTTGGAAACTTCTCTGGGCTAAATTCCCTGATGTAGGATCTGTTCTCTCTGTGGAGAGCACATCCTCTTGGGACTAATGGGCCTTAATGGGAGGGCACAAAACAGCTCCTCCCTGTGCCTGCCTTCACCTCCTGTCCCACATCCTCTCCAAAATGCAGACAAGAAAAGCCATTAGAACCTTGATTAGATAAGTAGGTCTCCAAGGTGGTATTTGTGCCCAGAAGTGCAACAAACCTGACATTGCAACCTGAAGAACAACCCAAGCTCAGTAAGTCATGCATGGAGGTGGAGCAAGGACTTTCACTGGAGTCTAAAGTAACTTCCTGTAGCCACCAGTCCAACCTACTCCCTACTAAGATGTGTTTGTATAGGCTGCTAGAAAGAAGGATGATGGTTATAAGCACAGGATCTGGAGCCAGGCTGCCTGAATTCAATTCTGTACCCTGCCTAGTATTTGCTGTCTGACCTTGAATAAGTCTCTTAATGTCTTTAAGCCTCAGTTTCTTCATCTGTAAAATGGAAATAATATCTACATCTCTTCAGAAGGTTGTTGTGAGGATTAAGTGAGATCATCAATACAACACACTTAGTATAGGGCCTGGAATATAATAAAGATTCAACCAACTGTTATTATTGCTATTAGTATTAGTACAATCACTTTACAGTATCTTCATGTATTTTTAATAAAAATTCCAGCTATCCAAATGAAACCCATGCTATAAATGTTGTCTGAGCCCACAGTTCTTTGAACTAATAAAGCATCATAAATAGCCTTAACACTTCTAATTTTTTCTCACTTTATTTCTAGATCATGAGGGTCGCATTGGCATGGCCTCCATCAAAATGAAAGAAAACCATGAATTTGATGGAAAGAAACTCTTTCAGCACATTGCTGATTACCTACCTAGTTATGCAAGGCCCCGGTTTCTAAGAATACAGGTGAGATCTCTTATTATCCAGTTCAATGATCTGTCCTCTTGGAGATTCCTACCACTTAGGGAACAACTCGCCTTCTCCCAGGATGACTACATTTGCCAAGTTTTCACCGCACTTTCCAGGAAGCTCAGAAAAGTGTCATAGACCAATAAGGAAGTGGTAATATCAGGCTGGGTGCGGTGGCTCATGCCTGTAATCCCAGCACTTTGGGAGGCCGAGGTGGGAAGATTGCTTGAGCTCAGGAGTTTGAGACCAGCCTAGGCAACGTAGTGAGACTTCATGTCTACTAAAAATGAAAATTTTTAAAAAAGGCCAAACGCGGTGGCTCACGCCTATAATCCTAACACTTTGGGAGACAGAGGCAGGTGGATCACCTGAGGTCGGGGGTTCGAGATCAGCCTGGCTAACATGGTGAAACCCGGTCTCTACTAAATAGACAAAATTAGCTGGGCGTGGTAGTGCATGCCTGTAGCCCCAGCTACTCGGGAGGCTGGGACAGGAGAATCGCTTGAACCTAGGAGGAGGAGGTTGCAGTGAGCTGGGATCACGCCACTGCACTCCAGCCTGAGCAATGGAGTGAGACTCCATCTCCAAAAAAAAAAAAAAAAAAAAAATTAGCCAGGCATGGTGATGTGCACTTGTAGTCTCATCTACGTGGGAGGCTGAGGCAGGAGGATTAGTTGAGCCTGGCAAATCAAGGCTGCAGTGAGGTATGATTGCACCACTGTACTCCAGCCTGGGCATCAGAGCAAGGCCCAGTCTAAAAAAAAATATATCAGAAAACAGCTAGAAGAAATCCAATCCTAATCCCTTTCTCCTTACAATGACAGGCCAGTTCATTCAGCAAGAGACTTAGCACATAACTCACAAAGTCTGTTTGGTGAGTCCTGACAGATAGCGCAAATAGAAATGCTCTGACCCTGTTTGTTGTTTCCAGTTTTAAAGAACACAGAAATCCACAGAAGTTCTACACCTTTCTGTGGTGTGAAATTTAATTGGACATTAGCCAGCTGGAATTGCCTAAGACTTAACTATCACCGCTAGGAGGATTTTTTTTCTTCCTCCAACATTAACCCTTTGGTTGGTTTAATACTCTCACTTTTAGACTTTGAGCTCTGTGATTCTGTAGCTGAAGACTTGACAAAGGAGGTCTTAAGATTCCAGATATTGTGTGTATAGGATTATTCCTGTTGATGTTCATAGGGCACCAACATTTGCTTTGCAACCAGATGGTAAAGTGGCATGAAAATGAAATATCCTCAGATATTTTGATTAACACATAATTGAAGGAAAAATCAGTCTTCAATCTAATCTAATAGACAAGCAGACTGAGAAAACAGAGTTGTCTGTAAATGATCCCTCCTTCTAATCCCACCATGAATCAGGATATCCTAGCGGTACCTGAAGCCTTACCAAGAAATAGGCACCACCCCTCTGCTCAGAAATCTATGCACAGGTATCTCATCCTTGGCAGGTCCTCCCTCCCCACAGGTGATCCTAAAGCTTTAAGGGAATAAAAAATACCTCACAAAGGGCTCCCTAATGGAGATCCTGCAAACAGAATGTATGGGTATCATATAAAACTTTCACTTCGCTAGAAAATGTAAAGAGTGGATGTTACTTGCCCCTACCACAAAAATGATATCTATATGAAGTAATCCATTTGCTAACTAGCCAAACTATTCCACGATGTATATGTACTTCAGCACATCATATTGTACATGAGAAAAACACACAATGTTATCTGTCCATTTAAAAATAAATTAAAATGGAAAACTTTATTTTAACTTTCACTTCCCAGCTCTCACATGAGCCAGGGATGCTAATGATTTGCTAGATCCCCATGCCCCACCCCTACCCCTTGCTCTGCATCCTAATCTATTGCAAAATGCAACCAAAATGTGGATTATTTGATGTTTTTCAGGACACCATTGAGATCACTGGAACTTTTAAACACCGCAAAATGACCCTGGTGGAGGAGGGCTTTAACCCTGCTGTCATCAAAGATGCCTTGTATTTCTTGGATGACACAGCAAAAATGTATGTGCCTATGACTGAGGACATCTATAATGCCATAAGTGCTAAAACCCTGAAACTCTGAATATTCCCAGGAGGATAACTCAACATTTCCAGAAAGAAACTGAATGGACAGCCACTTGATATAATCCAACTTTAATTTGATTGAAGATTGTGAGGAAATTTTGTAGGAAATTTGCATACCCGTAAAGGGAGACTTTTTTAAATAACAGTTGAGTCTTTGCAAGTAAAAAGATTTAGAGATTATTATTTTTCAGTGTGCACCTACTGTTTGTATTTGCAAACTGAGCTTGTTGGAGGGAAGGCATTATTTTTTAAAATACTTAGTAAATTAAATGAACACCAACATGTGAGATGGCACTGTCTCTGTGTTCTTTCCTCACTTTACTCTAAATACAAAGCCTGTGTCAATTACTCCAAAGCCTGAAGTCCTCACTGGTAACTTTTCATAGGTGTCCCATTCGTAAGAGTAAAGACGTTCTAGGTAAAAATGGCTGGGAACGGGGGGTGGGGTGAGGGATGGTAGGGTGAGGCGGCTAGATCAGCAGTGGCCAACACAATGGAAATCTACTCCAATGTGAGGAGGCCAACTTTCCCTACCCGGAGGCATCCTGTCCACTGTGTATAGGTAGCATTATCCAACAGGTAATAATGCCATCTATAGTCCTTACAGGAGCCTAATTCTATGGCATCAGAGTTCTGTACACAAAAGGTGTTCAGGCCGGGCTCAGTGGCTCACGCCTATAATTCTAGCACTTTGGGAGGCCGAGGCAGGTGGGTCACGAGATCAGGAGTTCAAGACCAGCCTAGCCAAGATGGTGAAACCCCATCTCTACTAAAAAAATACAAAATTAGCCAGGCGCAGTGGCAGGCGCCTGTAATCCCAGCCACTCGGGAGGCCGAGGCAGGACAATCGCTTGAACCCGGGCGGCAGAGGTTGCAGTGAGCCAAGATCACATCACTGCACTCTAGCCTGGATGACAGAGTGAGATGCCGTCTTAAAAAAACAAACAAACAAACAAACAAAGGTGTTCAATACATTTTAGCTACTTTAGGGGTTGCAAACTCAAGTGTCTTCAGAATTCACATAGGTAATGTGGATGAGAAAAGCAGGTCACAAATGAATGTGGTAAACTTGGGGACGGCCACTAAGCTTCAGTCAGCTAAATACAGGCCAAGTATTGCTGGAATTTTTTAATTATTCAGAAAACAGAAATCCATCAGAACTTATTAACATTAGTGTCACTAAAGTTGATCTACAACCACCCCCCCCGCCCACATACACACTCTCACAACTACGAAGTTTGACTGGCTTTTTAAAAAGAAAACAAATCCAGATATGTATGTGAATCTCCCAATTTTTGAAATCTGAAGTCTCAAAATTTTTAAAACTTCTATGCATCCCAAACAAAATGTGTGTCTGGGCCAGATAAATCCCAGCTGTCCAGTTAGCACCCGAGTCCCACTTACATGTGCCCCTACTCCTCAGATGGCAACTGGTTTCACTCCAAAGCCAGTCTCCTGCCCACGGACCCTTTTCAAAGACCGGAGGACCTTTAGGGTGGCACGGGAGGCTTTGGGAAATTCTGAGGAGCTCTTTCACATAAGCCCTTTCTCCTTAGACCCAGCTGCCTCCCTTCCTGGGTTTAATTGCTTTACCTCTGCATGTATGAGCTGCAACAGAATTCCAGGAGCAGGTCATGGGTGAAAGCATTCAAGACGACATGTACCTTACCTAGAGCTTGTCCTAGGCATGGGAGCATCATGGTCATTGAGTTCACATCCAGAAAGCATGGCCCAAGTTTACCACAGCCTCTCTAGAAGTTTCTGTCATGGAGTTTCCTTCCCTAGAGGACATCTTCAGATGACCAGGAGCTGGTAATGTGTGCTAATTCTCCCCCAGTTTAGTCCCCATAAAGCCCCAGGCAAACACTTCTAGGACTTCTCAATGATACATGATGAGAGGTGTTGCCACCCCCAGCCCCAACAGAGTACTAGAAATATTTTTTTTAACTCTCTCCACTCTTTTGGGTGACTTTAAGAAGAATCATGACCAAAATCCTTGCCCCCACTCATTATACCTAACAATAAACATTTCCTGAGTGCTTAATATACACTGAGGACTTGAGGAGGGTCTAAAGAAAACTCTAGATAGGCTGCACCTTTGTGAATTTTGCCAGTAATTAGAATGATTATTGTTTGTGGGTCAGCACTTGCGAATTTTTGCAAAATTCTCTCTGCCTTTGAGTTACAGGAGAATGTGAACCTAAGTAGTGGGAGATAGGACAGCCTTTGAGTATCACATTGTGCAATTGTGTTACCTGGAATCTTGTCAAAGGAGAAGGTTGTCAGCAGGGGTCATGTTAGAGCAGTGGCTGCATTCTGTGTCACAAGGGGTATCTTTTTGGGTAAGAGGTCAGCATTTACACTGTTGGCCAGAATATTCGTGTTATATTAACCAGAACCTGGTTGCCCTGATCTCATTTGACCCATGTTTTAGACCTTCCAGTCAGAAACTCAGAGACCCAGGTCCTCGCATCCACACCCTGCCCAGCTCTGCCTCCCAGCCTGATGGTTTCCTCAGTCTTCCACTTCCCCACACCTCCCTGAATCTGGCCAGGTAACACAGCTCCATTGAGATAAATAGAGACACCCCCACAATGTCCTCAGCCCCTAGGTTTGCATGTATGTAAACAATTTTAAGCCATCACCTGTGAGAGATAATACCTTAAAGACTGATTTTTCTCTTTGAAAAGGGTAAGAAATTGTGCCCAAGAAATATCTGCACAAGTCATTCTCATTTGAAAATATAAGTGAATTTAAAAAAATAAGCTGATATCCATGTAAATTATCCAACAGGGCTTTGATTTCAAATGTATTGTTTGGAAACCTGTAATCAGTGCATAGATGGGATGCTATAGGCACCAAAATAATTTGGGGATAAAAGTAGGAAATGTCAGCCTCTGAAATGGATGCTAATGAGAATCAGTATTAAAATGGGTAAAGTTAGCCAGGCATGGTGGGGTGTGCCTATAATCCCAGCTACTCGGGAGACTGAGGCAGGAGGATCACTTGAGCCCAGGAGTTTGAGTCCAGCCTGGGCAACATGGTGAGATCGCATCTCCAAAAAAAAAAAAAAAAAGATAGGTTTAACTAACTGCAGTGACTCAACCTAAGAGATAATTTGCTAAATGTGTCGTTCATTCATACATCCACCCTACAAGCACTTAGTGGGTGCCTGCTACGCACCAAGAAATGTTCTCAGCACAAGAGTGCTGAGTCCCATCCCCCCAAACTAGAATTGGAGTTTGCATTTCTAACAAATGCCCAGGTGAGGCTAATGCTGTGGGACGGGGGCCACATTTGGGGAATCACTGACATCCTGAGTTATACAACATGTGCACTTACTTAGTGGGTAACTCAGTTCCTCAGAGCCAGGTCATCCCTTACTAACTGAGGCTCAGCTCTTAGCTCAAGTGGCTCAAAGTGCAGTCCCCAGGAAAGGCCCAGCATCAAGAAGCACCTTGTCATCACACAAGCCTGCAATTGCTCTTGGAAATTTACATCAATTAGAGCTTATATCTGCTTGCTAGATACATACACATATATTGTGATTTGCTATAGCAAACGAAAAGCAATCCTAGAGAGTAGCTAGTCAAACCTCTTTACTTGATAAATGAAAAAACTGAGGCCTGAGGTTAAGTGACATGACTGAAGTCACACAGCTAATTGGCATCACTAAGCTCTCACCTAGTACTTGCAGGAAGAGAGTACCATCATAGACCAGTAGTTCTGAGTGTGGTCCCTGAGCCAGCAGCATCAGCAGCACCTGGGAACTTGCTGGACCAACAAATTCTTGGACCCTGAAAAATTCTAGACCTACTGAATCAGAAACACAGAGGGTAGGCCCAGACATCTGTGTTTTGACAAGCCAAAGCCCTCCTGGTGTTACTGATGTGGACTCAGTTTGACAATCACTGGCTTAAAGCAGTGCACAAGCTTTACTGTGCATGAGAATCACTTGGGGACACCAGTGCTTTGAGTGCTTGGAGTGCAGTGAGTGCTTGGGGCACACACACTGCTTTGAGTAGCATGTCAATCTAAAGCAGTGGTTCCCAGATGTCCCTGCACATTAGAATCATCTGGGGAGCCGTCAAAAATCCCAAAGCCCAGGCCCATGCCATACCAATTAGATCAAGGATTCTGGGAGTGAGAACCAAGCATCAGTATTTTTTTAAGGACCTCCAAGTGATTCCAGTATGCAGCAAAGCTCAGGGATCACTAGTAGAGAACAAGTGGCTAGTTTTCAGCTTTTGGCCAGGTGCAGTGGCTCACACCTATAATCACAGCATTTTGGGAAGCCAAGACAGGAGATGCTCTTGAGCACAGGAGTTCACAATCAGCCTAGGCAACACAGAGAGACCCTGTCTCTACAAAAAAATTTTTAAAATTAGCCAGGCCAGGCATGGTGGCTCACGCCTGTAATCCCAACACTTTGGGAGGCCAAGGCAGGAGGATCACCTGAGCCCAGGAGTTCCAGACCAGCCTGGGCAACACAGGGAGACCCTGTCTCTGTAAAAAGTTATAAAAATTAGCCAGGCATAGTGGTGTGCACTCATAGTCCCAGCTACTCGTGGGACTGAGGTGGAAAGACAGCTTGAGCCTCAGAGGCTGAGGCTGCAGTGAACTGTGTTCACACCACTGCACTCACAGAATGAGACCCCATCTCAAAAATAAATAGCTACTTGGGAGGCTGAAGCAGGAGGATTGCTCAAGCCCAGGAAGTTGAGGCTGCAGTAAGACATGATTGTGCCTCTGCACTCCAGCCTGGGAAAGAGAGAAAGCACTAGTCTCAAAAAAAAAAAAAAAAAAAAAAAAAAAAAAAAAAAAAAAAAAGCTTTAAACTCTTAACAAAGATTCTTTTCTCGACCAAACTCTAGCTAAGCTCCTCCGAGCCCCCTTCTCAACTAGGCCTCAACCTTTGCCTATAAAGACTTGAACAAACACTAACACAGTTTCTCACAGCTCAAGGCCACATCCCTAAGTTGATCCTAGCTCACCTTAAAGTGCCTGCTTAAGAAAACTCAAAGCTGCCGAAAGAATTAACTGTTTGTTCCAGCGAACCCCTGAACACAGGGCCCTGACTCCCAGTCTCTGTGGGAGGGTAAGAGTCTTACTTCAAAAAGCACCAGTTAGCAAACCCAGAGGGGTTTCACATCAACCACTTTCCGCTTTTTGTAATTTTTCACATTCCTGACTCTTCTAAGTCTAGGCTGGCCTTCTCCCTATTCTCCCATTCACGCTGTGAAATGCCTAGTCACCTTTGCACAAATCCAAGTTGAGTTCAGTTCACATGGGACCCTTTTCCCTATTGTGATAGTATATTACTGTTTAACATCTATCCTTAAAGTTCTAACTAATGCCCAGCTTTGTTTGTCTTTAATACTCTTTACATAACCCATTTCAGAGTCACAACCTATCAAAGTACCATCTGAAATGGAAATAAAATTATGTGTTTGGCCTCTGAACTAATTATGGGCAAGCCACTTGTGAGCATAGCTTTTATTTGACTACCGGGTCCAGGAAAATAAGGGGAAAATGCACAAGTTCCAAACCTAGAAAGGAAACATTTAAATGTACTGGAGGACCAGAGCAGCCTGCTGGGCTGTGAGCTCCTGTTCAGGTCCAACCTTGAGCAGTACTGCATGGTGGAAACAGCCTGGGCTTCACTGGAAGCCAGGAGACCTGGGTTTGCCTATTTAAAGCTGTGTGACCTAAACGTTGGTTTCCTCATTTATGAACCATGAGCCACAGTGCCTGACTCATAATTGATGCTTCAAAAAAAGTACATATGTTTAAGCTCCCAGACTGGTTAATCAATGTTTCAGCAGCCAATTAAGTGACACAGGGTATGTTTTGTTTCAGGGACAAGCATAATTTATTTCTGTGTTATATATCATGTCACAAGCTGAACCACAGAAGCTGCCTGTCTACCCTCGGCCCTTTCTCACTGACCAGACTGCTGAACCCATCTGGATCATGCTGGCTTAAACTCTTCGTTTGTATCCTATTGTGGGTCATGAACCCCTATGAGAATTTGATTAAAATTATGAACTCGCCCCAAGAAAAATGCATGTACACATAAGCACACAAAGTTGGCATACAATTGTGAGGGGTTCACAGAGTCCCTGAAGTATATCCTCAGACTCTGGCTGAAGGCCCTGTGTCTAAACCATGGCCTGCAGAGGGCAACAGGGCAGCTGGAGTCCACATTGAGAGCTGCATTCAGGAAAGCTGGGGACGCTGTAGAATTTGATGAGTTTTTTGAAGGCACTTTTCTTCAGCATCATCATGTCTTCTGGAAACCTGGAAAAGATTCTGACCCTGGAGGAGCCCCCATTCTTCACAGAGGCCTCTGTGGGCAGTGGCTTCTGAGCACTCACTGGCACACTGTTGCAACTGAGGGAGCGCACCGTCTTCTTCTTAGTCTGCACAGACAAGTAACTGAACAGGAAGGAGGACAGCTTGTGCTTGGTGGCATCTGGGGCCTCTTCTGAAAAGCAGTCATCAACTGGGTCCAGCAGGGTTTCAAGATGGAGGCCATTTTCCCTTTTCATGGGACCGGCTCCCACACGCTGAGGCTGCTTGATGATCTTCCTGGCCTGGACTGGATCATCTCCTGCCCCACTGACAGACTGAAGGGACGTTCCACAGGCCCAGGCTCTGGCACCCCTGATTTGGGAGATGAGGTTCCCAACCCGAGGGCTGGGTTGGGAAGTACAGTGCTGACTCAGGATGAGAGTGGCAGCATCTCGAATGAGATTCCAGTCTCTCAGGATGTCATCCCTAGTGGTAAACTGGGATGTCACAGTGAAACGGATGATTAACTTGTCCTGGATAGTGGCCGGGATGAGGAAGAGACGGCCAGCTTTAGCTATTTCCTTTAACACATTTTCTGTGAGACAATTAGGACCCTGTTTGAAAAATAAAGGAAGTGAAGTCTCCATCGCACCCCCTGTCAGCATCCCCAGAGCCCAGCATTTGTGTTTCCGAGAGGCTCTGGAGCACCACAAGACATCATTCACAGAGGGGCTTGGAAGATGGTATTACCTTTAGACGAAAAACCACCAGGCCAAGGTGCCTCTTGGCAGGAATTTCAAAGGAAGGGTCGTTTCTGACCAGAGATTCAAAATATTTAGCCATTTCAGTACCCTGGAATTGCAAGTATAAAGAGAACTGAGATTAATCATCAGACAAGAGACTATGCATAAACTTTCAGACTGCTAAATGGTTTTAAACCAGGGCCATCTTCCCGTCACAGCCGTTGTAAGCGGCTTCTGCCTCATTGTCATCTCCATTTGATTTTGCTCATATTCCAAGCTGGAAAATTTCCAATGGCGCCCTGTTTCCTGTCACATGGGATCCACCTCGAGAACTCATCTCAGGGCCCTCTTTCAACTCAGCCCCAGAACCCAGAAGGCATGTGCTTTGCAGTCCAGGCAACCCGGCCTCAACTCCTGATTTCACAGCTCCTTGACTGGCCAAGTGGGCAAGTGAGGGCCAAAACCCAGTCCATGCTCTGCGTTCCCAGCCAGGTGCCTCATGCGAGCTGCGTGTGCCTAAAGGAAGAGATGCCTGTTTGTAGTGCACATCAAGTTGCCATATGGGCTAGTGGCGGCCCTGCCCCATCCTAAGCCTACATGCTTCACTTGCCTCTCAAACCTCTTCTCACCCTGTACCCCAAATGCCCTTTTCATCCCCTGTTTCTGACATTCCATAGAGAACATATTTTCACATCTTGTCTCCACCCATCATGGAAAGGTTTTGGACCTGGTTAATGGATACAGAGTTTCTGCTCGGGATGATGAAAAAATTCTGGAAATAATGGTGATGGTCACACCACATTGTGAGTATTCTTAATGCCACTGAATTGTACACTTAAAAATGAGTAAAATGGTACATTCTATGGTATGAATATTTTGTTACAATTTTAAAATGTTAAAGGCTTTGTATTATATTAATCTTCCACTGAAGTTCATACCATCTTTTTAAATGTCCTGGGGTTTTTTGCTTTTTGTTTTTAACCCAGGATTACTAACTAAACAAGGACAGGACTTGCCTTCTCTTTTCTTTTTAAAAATTTCTCCAAGCATCCAGAAGATCTCAATAAAATATTTGCTAAGTAATTCTATCAGTTAGTTCTCATACTTACTGCTCTATTTCAAGAGAGGGCAAGGGAGTTAGCTGAACCTCTTTTTTTTTTTTTTTTTTTTTTTTTTGAGAGATAGGGTCTTGCTTTGTCACACAGGCTAGAGTACAGAGGCATGTTGCACAATCAAAGCTCACTGCAGCCTTGAACTCCTGAGCTCAAGTAATCCTCCCACCTTCACCTCCTGAGTAGCTAGGACTACAGACATGCACCACCATGCCCAGCTACATTTTTTAATTTTTTTGTAAAGACAGTGGTCTCACTAGGTTGTTCACCCTGGTATCAAACTCCTGGGCTTAAGCGATCCTCCTTCCTAGGCCTCCCAAAGTACTGGGATTACTGGCATGAGCCACCATGTCTGGCCCTGAGCCTGTCTTTTGACCATAATGAAATGAGTTTCTCCAAATCTTTCTCAGAGCCCCTTTCTCCCCTGCGTGGTCAGTTTCAAACAGCACAGGAGTTTTGACCTGCTCCATTTCTAACCTGGGCCCCTTCACCCCTCCTTAGGCAACCTGGTGATCCCTTGCTCCTGGGAGGTCACCATATTGATGCCGAACTTAGTGCGGACACTCAATTGGCATAGCACACCATAGCCCAGAACTCCCACCTGGGCTATGGTGGGAGCAATTGAGCTTCCCACCTCAGCCTCCCAAGTAGCTGGGACTACAGACACGTGCCCCTGTGCCCAGCTCAATCTTTCCATTTTTTAGAAGGAACCAAGGGAAAGTGACTTTCCCAAGGTACAAGTGACAGTAGGTAGATCTCCTCCCACTGTGCTTTTATCCCTCCTACAACACATGCTGTTTGCAATAACAGAAGCAGAGGTCAGGGGAGAGGAGAATACAGAGCACAGGCAGCACTGCCACCTCCAAAGCCCCACTTTACAGGTCATGAAAGCAGAGCTGCTGCCAGTGCCCTGCACCGCTCTAGGTCAAGGGCAGGCACAGTGCAGCCATGGCCAAATATAGCCCCCACCTGTGTTTGTAAAGTTTTTTGGAACACAGCATTCCCATTTGTTTACATATTGTCTACGGTAGCTCTTGTAGTACAGAGGTAATTACAATAGAGTATGGCCCACAAAGCCAAAAGTATTTAGTATCTGGCTTTTTACAGGAAATGTTTACCAATCCCTATTGTAGGTGATAGGAGATGAGGATGATGATGATGATGATGGTGATGATGATGACAATTTATTATAATTAGATGAAGAAGGAGATGATGAAGAAGGGGAAGAAGAGAAGAGGAAGAGGTACTCATTGAGTACTTAACTGAGTAGTAGGTAGACCCTGTGCTAAGGGCTGCATATATATTATCTCATTTAATTTGAGAGAGGTAGTATCCTTTTCTCATTTTTATAAATTAGGAAGGCATGGCCAGGGGTGGTGGCTCATGCCTGTAATCCTCGCACTTTGGGAGGCCAAGGTAGGCAGATTGCTTGAGCCCAGGAGCGTGAGAACAACCTGGGCAACATGACAAAACCCCATCTCTACAAAAAATACAAAAAGTAGCCAGGCATGATGGTATGCGCCTGTAGTCCCAGCTACTCAGGAGGCTGAGGTGGGAGGATCACCTGAGCCTGGGGAGGTCAAGGCTGCAGTGAGCTCTGATGGCACTACCGCACTTCAGCCTGAGCAACAGAGACCTCATCTCAAAAATAAATAACAATAAATAAATAAGGCAGACAAATATAGAAAGGTTAAGTAATTTGTCTAAGGTCATCAAACAGTAAAGGGTAGAACTAAAAATCCATTCTTTAAAGCACTTCTCTGTAACACAGAAATATGAAATTTAATTTTATATAACTTTCCAAGAGCTCAGTGTAGTAGAAAGCAGCCCAGAACTATGAAGAAAGGATTTGGAATTGGGAGGCTTCAGGGAAAGTCCCGGGCCTTCTTCCCTCAAGCAGGGCAATTACTCCCTCTGAGCCTTGCCAGGTTAGAGTGACCACCCCAGGCACTGTGCTAAGGATCTAATGAAGAACTAGAATTTATTTTTGTATTGAAGGCATTACGCAAGTGTCAATAATTATCATCACCGTCAAGTTGAAGAGATAAAATCAAATCATATCAAACAACTTTATTTTAATTCCATTTCTTCTATTGTGGGACATTGGAAGAACTTTGAGCACAGTTTTGTAAAGGTGTTTGAGTAGGTGATCACAGGAATGCTAATGAAGCAGAAACCAGAACAGATGGAATAGGCAGAAAAGCTTCTAGTGGAAGCAGAATTTAATCCATTCACAACATTTGGAGAGGAGAGGGTAGTTCAGGTGAAGGACACGGGTGAAGGTGCAGAGATGGACTGAGCATGAGGTCTGGATGGGTCGATGAAATGCCCAAGCTAAGGTAGGAGCTAATCGTCAAGTCCTTGAAAGCCAGGCCCAGGAGTGTGGGCCTCATATGGTAGGCAATGGGGTTGCTAATAGGAGGAATTCAGGGGTTTGATTTGCAAACAGAAGTGCTAAGGGAGGTTAGTCAGGATCTGCACATTGAATATCCAGTCCCAAACTGTAAGCAAAAAAATGTTCCTAATTACTTGTAACCTCCACCAACCATTCCCCGCCCACAACCCTCCAGTCTTGAGTCTGCATTTCTAGAAACAGCACAAAGTGCCTAAAGTTCCTCAATATTGTTGGTGGCAGCTGCTCATTGGTAAACAACCAGTGGTGATTACAAAGGTAAAATTACCAACATTAAAACCAGTCATAGGAAACTGGAGAACATTATGTTAAGCAAAATAAGCCAGGCACAGAAGGACAAATTTCACATGTTCTCACTCAAACGTGGGAGTTAAAAAGTAAGCAAACTGAGCTCGTGGAGACGCACAGTAGAATGATGGTTGGCAGAGGCTGGGAAGGGTAGCAGGGAATGGGGGATAAAGAGGTGATAGTTAACGGGCGCAAAAATACAATTAAATAGATCTAATGTTAGGCGGCACAATAAGGCAACTATAGTTAACTATAATTTGCTGTACATTTCAAACTAACTTAAAGAATGGAACTAGAATGTTTCTAACACAAAGAAATGATAAATGGTTGAGTGGTGGATACCCAGTTACCCTAATTTGATCATTGCACATTGTATGCCTGTATCAAAACCTCACACATACCCCATAAATATATACGTAATTATTATGTAAGCATAATAATTATTTTTTTTAAATGTTAAAAAAAATCATAGTTACCGCTTCCACCACTTCATTTTGGTTTGTGTTTGTTTAACCAAGAAGGAATTCCCTAGAGGAAAGGTGGAAGGACAAAGACACACATAGGCAGAAAGGACAGTGTCTTCAGCTTCCCCCACTACTTTTATCAATGGCTTTGTCTTGCATGTGGACTCTTGTAGAAGTGGGAGAACAATGCCAGTGGCCAGAGTTCTTAGTTAAGTCCCGCTTCTTCCATGAAGAACATGGGAGAGAGGCTGCACCTGTCTCATTTACCTCTGTGTCCCTTTCTTAGCACAATACCTTGTAATTGTTGAATTGAATAGAAATAAATTAAGCAAAATAGGCCTTCAATAAATGCCTGTTGATGCAGGGAGGTTTGTTCCAGACTTGGTAGGTCTACCTGTCCAAGCCAGGGGAGCTTTATTTCAGGCATAATCATAATAGTGCTAAAATATTCAGCCAGCTGTGACCATTGAGGTAATTCCAAAGCAGATAGGATCCTACCCTGGCCACACACACTTCCCCTTGATTTACTTTCTCTTTCTCTTTCCTGCAAACCAGACTCTGGGGCCAACCCTCCCCAGTGCTCAGTGACAGCAAGGGGAACGGTGAGACACTCAGCAGAGGACAGGCATCAGGCAGCCCTCAGGGCATGTTGTGCTCAGCGCTCCTCTGGTTAACAAAGAGAATCAAGTCCCAGGAGCTGAGGAACAGGCCCAGACACCTGAACCACACACCGCAAGTCTCCTAGGCAGATCTGCAAAGTAGAAACCAGCCTTCCTCGCCATGAGAAAACAGAGGAACACAGGCTCAGCCCCCACAGCAGCATGCTACATACATGTCTGACATGTGCTTGAAGATTCTTCACCCCGAAGGACCGAATCACGAACCAGAGTTTAACAGAGCGAAACCGTCGGCTCAGGGGGATCTGCCAGTGCTAGAAACAAAGGAACACAGTGCCCAAGGTTAGAGACAAGGGTGCCCCACTCCCTCGGGCATTTCTGGGCATTATCTGTTGCCTGCCCAGCCCTCCAGGGATGGACGATGTCACCATGACTCTGGGAGCTGTTGCTAAGGAGTAAGCCAAGCTCCCCAAGGGTTGCCCCATCGTGTGACCAAATCACTGATGAAGGTGGCCAATAGTCACTTGTCTGAGAGCCAGACAAGTGGAAGTCAAGTCCATTACCCTGAACCAATGAGAAGGGCACTTTGCTTTCAAGTGCTGCTTTAAACATTTCATCCCGGCCCAGAAACTCAACATAAGGGAAATACATTTTTACTCTAAATGAATCTTTATTCCTTGAATAGCAGAAAATAAAGTTCTATTTTTATTCCTCCCAAAATGTAAAGTATGGTAGTTAGAGCACAGACACTAGAGCCCTGCAGACCTAGGTTTCGCCTCCAGCTGTGCCACTTACTAGCTGTGTGACCTTGGGTAGTGCCACCTCACTGGCTCATCAGTCCGGGACATAAAGAACCAATTGCACCTCCCGGGCAAGTGGTGTGAGGACAAAGAACGCCAAGAGCCTCAGAAGAAGTTGTCAGTAGGTGTTGGCTATTTAGATTATTTTAAAATGTGAGCTACAAATCACAGTAGCATTTCTGTCTAGAGCCAAGATGACCCCTATTTAACCTTACACTGCCTTGTTCATTTTCCTGTGAGATTCCTGTGATCTGAGAGCCATCACTCCAGCTGTCAGATTTCAAATGAGCACCCAAATTTCTGCCGCTGTTAGATGAAAATTGACTCTTTGCTCCTGGTGGCCAAATTCAACAGAGCTTAAAGTTCAAGGTTGCAGTCACCATACATCTGAAAATTTCCAAATCAATTTCAGACTGATTTCTCAGATCTGAAAATAGAGCAGAGGATTTGGAAAACATTTACAGTTATTCTAATGAGTCACGTGGTTTCCTAATGACATCTCCCTCAAACGTCAGAAAGTTTCTACCACAATTTCTGTTGACTAAAAATAAATGTTTGTCCCACTGCGTATTTATCTGCCCATACACAAGATTATCAAATCCTCACAAATGTCCTCACCTTCACCCTTCACCCCAGTTTCCTGAGCCAGGCACAGTTGGGATGTTACCCCTTTGTTGATGGACAATGTTTCCCCAGCAGAAAACTACTAAGCCTTTGATTTCCAAGCAAAACTCTGTTGTGCTGGGGAGCAGCTTGGGGGCTTTTGTGCCAGCAGAAGGCATCAAAACCTGAAAATGGAACAAAATTGCTGTAACAAGGAAAGTGTCAACTCCACCTCTTGTCCAATGGACACTCCAAGAGAATAATGAACGGATGATAGGGATCATCTGTCAAAAGGTTCTGGTTTCCAGATAGTTATAGCCAATTTATTTCATATATAGAGAGAGCTACTTTATTTTACCAGCAAATAAACCAGGATAGGCAGAGGTGATTTTATTTTGATTTCTTCACAATCTTCCTTATTCCCAGTTGCTCCTTTTCTTGTCACTATTCCAAAACTGATCCATGCTGACTCAGCAGAGTGGTTCTAGCCAACATTTTCTGTTGGATCAAAAAATCTGGACGTATAAAGCCTGACAGGGCTCTTCTTTACCTTGAGGCATCTCCAGCCTCCTCTGTGTCCTTGTAAGGTCCTTGCAGGGCTCCCTTGCCAAGGCTAAGGTAACGCTCCCTCCACTGGTGCTCTCTGTCCAGTGAGAGGCAGAAAACAGGGAGCTTCTCCGCTGTCAGAGAATCTAGCCCTGATTTTAGGTGATTCCAGGACCCCAGGGGTTAAGCACCTAAGTCTTCTCTCCTGGGATGCTGCCCTGTTTCTGGCTCATCTCAGAGCAGGACTGAGCTTCTGTTCAAAGCTGCAGCCACCTGGGTGGGAAAGACATTGGGCCCAGGTGAGAGTAGCTCTGAGGACCCTCAGGATCATGAAAAAGATAGCAACTTCACTTTTCTAGGAGTTTCTTCATGGACTTGAAAATCAAATCCATAGGATTAAAGGTGGGGGAAGGGTAAGTGTAAGGCAGTGCCTTCTGGGTGGAGAGGTAAAAATAATAAGGTTCCCCAGAGCAGGGCTGGGAAGAGTTTACTCTAACATTTTTATGAGTTATCTGGAAGACAGAGAGCACTGTAAAATCTCCAAACTCCTAGGAATGAACCCCGGGAAGATCCTGAGGCACTGTGGTAAATGAATTTAAACGGTAACATGAAATTCAAAAGGGCAAGGGTGAATATAATGCTCCTCAGTTATGATGACCCAAATACACTCATAGGAGAATGGGCATCAATTCACACTCAGGAAGCAAACCTACAGTTATCCCTAAAGATATCTGACCCTTGGGCTGTTCTGGAATTTTTTTAATTTTTCATTAAAAATCTCTGAAAACCTACCAGAAAGAGCAGTGGAGATAAAGAACCATTATTTTTCTTTCTTTCTTTACCTCTAGAGGGTCTTCTGTCACCACCAGTAAGCCGTGAGGCTTACCGCTGCAATTCTAATCCAAAAGCTTCAAATATCTAAAGAGGGTGTGGACTGGTCCAAGGGAGAATAGCCAGTATAATCAAGTGATGACGAAGCTATTATTTTAAGACTAAAAGGGCAAGACACTTCAGTTGTCCAAGAAGATAAGATAAAACCATCTCTTCACAAGGAAGGATGCTTACAGGGGTCAGACACTGCTCTCAGCACTTCAGTGTATTAATTTGTATAATCCTCACAGCAAGCCTAAGAAGCCAGAACTGTGGTCATCAGCCTCATTTGACACAAGAGGAAATCTGGACACAGAGTTTAAGTCACTTGCCCGAGGTCACACAAGTTAGTAAACAGAAAGCCAGGACTCCAACACATGCCATCTGGCTTTAGCACCTACATGCCTAACCACTGTCCTAACAAATCTCTGCAGCTTCAAAGAAGAGCTTTCAGAAATACTATGCCTACCATATATTGAGCACTTGCCACACGGCTATTTTGCTAGGTGATCCACACGTGTTCCCATTTAAGCTTCACAATACCCTATGAATCAATGCCACTATTCTCATTTTACAGATAAGGAAAGCAAGGCTCAGAGAGGTCCAGTTAGTTTCCCAAAGGGCCACTGCTGGAATGGAATTCCAAACCAAGCTTGCCCCCACTCTGCTCTGCTGCCTCCGTTGGCCAGGTTATGTGTAATACATTCGTTTACATCCCTGTCTCCCCTACAAGTAAAGGAAGGGCTCATCCTCAAACTGCGGAGTCAATTTGTTAAGAACTCGTTTCCCTCAGGCAAAATACTGGCTGAGGATGTGGAATCAAGAGAGTTGAGGTTTGCTGGGCGCGGTGGCTCACGCCTGTAGTCCCAGATACTTGGAAAGCTGAGGCAGGAGAATCGCTTGAACCTGGAAGGCGGAGGTTGCAGTGAGCCAAGATGGCGCCACTGCTCTCCAGCCTGGTTGACAGAGCGAGACTCTGTCTCAGAAAAAAAAAAAGAAAGAAAGAAAGAAAGAAAACAAAAGAAAAGAGAGAGAGAGTGAGTTAGAGAGTTGAGGCGCAGTCAGTTGGGAAAGTCAGGAATGCTTGGAGGCTTCCAGAACCTCACACAAGTCCTGCAGCCCATCACTACCACAGAGCTGCCCCACAGCGCCTCTGTCAGGGACAAAAAAACAAAAGCGATTTCAGCAAGAAAGCTCTTTCCCCACCAGGGAAATTCTCCACCCTGCCCTGCTGCTGGGTAAGAAACAAAAAAGATGACCCGAGATGGAGGCAGAAGGAACTGGTCCACCTGTGGTAGGAAGAGCATTTCTGGGAATTAAAAAATGCCACAAATATTCAGGAAATGTGCACACTGCCTCAAAGGCTGGTCTCATTTTCTAGGGTTTTTAACCATTTTCTGGGTTTCATTCTATATACTTAGGCACAATTAGAAACCAAGGTATGCATTGGCAGTATTATGAGATGAGCTCATAGTGTGCTGCCTTCTGAAGGGAGCCACCGTACAGATTTTGGGGGGTCAGACGCCTACAGTTCCCACTGGCCACCCGAGCCCACCAGGCTGCCCGTCCCTGGCCACTCACCATGAAGTCGGTGGCCACGCCTGAGTTGGCATGCCTGAGGTAGATGGGATTCACACTGAAGGTCTGCTGCAGCTTGTACTTGTCCTTGACCCTGTGGGTTTCCAAATGGGCATTAGTGGCTGAGGTCTCTCCAGAGGAGGCAAGGCGTTCCTGCGTGCTCGGAGCTGGGCTGCTACACTCACCAGAACCCAGTACAGTCAAAATGCACCATCATCCACTTGGAAGGATTAAAGGTGAAGGAGTCGGCATACTCAATCCCCTTCAGAAACCCCCGGAACTCGGGGCACAGGAAGGCAGTGCCTGCATAAGCAGCATCGATGTGGAGCCACAGCCCCTCACGGGCACCTGAGGAGGCAAACATCACCTGGCCGGAGGGGAGGTATGAAGTGGGGAAAGATGTCTCGCACCTGGCCAAGCTGAGTGGTGGGCTGCAAGGATGATGTGCTTTGGCTAAATGAGAAACGGAGGGGTGTGGAGATGGGAGCAGGTGGAGTCAGTTTGAAGAAGTGGGGCTGAAGGAGGCATCATTACCTCCGAATGGGAAAGTCTACAAAGCCTCACCCTTGCCTTTTTCTTCCACTGGGTAAAGGGCCAGCACCCTCTTGGCCTCAGCCTAGAACATCCTGGCACAGAAATCAATTTCCCACCAGCACAGAGAGCAATGTCAGTGCACCGAATACAAAAGTTAGAGGGAAGGTATCTCTCTTTCCTAGTGGTTTCTTGCTTGGGGATTAAACAGTCCCATCTGGGTTTCCTCTCTGCCTTTAATCTCTCCCATGATTTCCCCTACCCTACCCTTTTCCTTTTCTGAAGGTAGAATAGAAAGCATTTCTATTCTAGCCTAATTCACACTGTATTTTGGATATAGCCTGCATTAAGTAAAGTTCAACATACAAGTAAGAGGATGAGAAAACCGAAGGCTCTCCTACTGTCGCCTCCTAGGACAGGAGGCAAGGTAGGCCACCTCTAACTCTTGTCACACCACTGGGAAAGGCAATGTCCAGGGATCCCTGGAAGAGACCCTCATGACCTTTGGTGGTTCTTCCCATGTCTCTGCATTGACCAAAGAGGAACAAGAATAATCCCATAGAGCTGGTTTCAGGTCCTTGCTTTAGGAGACATTTAAAAATGTATTCCTTGTCTTCCTAGCCACAGAGGGAAGATACTTACAGATGGGGCCCAGCTCTGACAGGCAGTCAAATGCACAGACCCCAGTGGTCCCTAGTGTTGCACAGACCTAGGGGAAAATTAAGGCAAGTTAACACAGGAGGGTGGGCTCGTGTGACACATTTGGCCTGAGAAAGATTTCACCACAGACGTGATCTACTCCCATCCATCCCACCAGAACAGTGTATATTTCAGACTGTGTTTTACCATGGCTCGTAAGAAACACATTTTATATAACAATCTAGTACATGTATACGTGTGTATTTGAAAAAAAAGTTTCATAAAACAATACATACTCTGGCTATATGTGTGCACTCTAATATTTTATACTATATTTCTTTTTAATGCTGGTTATGACCCACAAAATTTATTCCATAACACACCTATGGATAGCACCTCATGATGTGTAAAATACTGTATGGGAGGACCTTTCTGCTTTTGTGTGCAGCATGTTACTTACCTGAATTCTGCCAAAATTCCTTCCTCACATCCAAGTTCTATCATTCTAAGCTTAGGCATATATCCTGACTTACAAAGACGGGCACCAAGCCCCGCTGCTTGTCTTCCTCGATGGCCTTCTGAAGAGCTTCCCCTCGGAGTGAGAAGTTGTCATCCACAGGCAGAAATTTCATCTTCACAAGGGAAATCAAACCAGCCTTTTCCACAGAGGAGTGAGCCTAGAAGGGCCACAGAAACCTGTCAGCAAAGAGTCATCCTGGAATGATCACCCCCCAGAAACTGCTGAAGCCTAAGACTCGGGAACCAAATATGATCATTGGAAGCTTGTCTTCCCTACAGTTGCTGGAGACAAGCTCCCATGTCTGAGCTGCTCAGAACCCCAGCGTACTCACGTCTAGAAAAAAATTGCTCAAGGACCAAGATTCCAGAAGCCAAGCACCAACCCGAAGGGCTGTCCTGCGTCGGGCAACTCACCTGGTCAGAGGCATAGGCCACGAGTCGGGCATTTAGGCAGGACTCATCAGCATCGGGCTCAGACGTTTTCATTTCCAGGATTTTGTTCTTCCTTGCTGCCAGCAGGGCAATCAAAGTGGATTCACTGACCGTGCTCTGCAGGGGAAAAGGATTATCATGGCAGCCTTTCTGTATTCTCTTGCCAAATTTCCCCAGGCTTTCTAGTTTTTTCTCTCTCTCTCTCTCTCTCTCTCTCTCTCTCTCTCTCTGTGTGTGTATGTGTTTGTGTATGTGTGTGTCATAGCTATTCACAGAAGGAAATACACAGCTCCTCCTGCCCAGGGTGCCCATGTCCCTCCCCAACTTTCATTCCTATTCTGCCTTCTAAAATAAGTTTGCACCTAATACCAGCCTCTCTATTACAGAGGCCACAGAAACCAAAAAGAGAATGTTCTGTCCCTCCTGGATGTGTTTGCTCCCCATGTAAAACATATTTAAAAGAAGAACTCTCAGCTTATTACACAAATGGATATGGAGTTTGAGTCCCCAGGAAGAGAGGATCCTGGCCTGTGTGAGAGGCTGGTGACTTGGGCCCATTTAGTTGTCAATAGCTCTTGTGACCTTGGGCTAACATTTCCCCTCCAGAAGACTCTTTTCTGTCTATGAAATGGAGAGCATCCCTTTAACTGCTTCCCAGGATGGGAGTATAGATTATCCAAACAAGGGTTGGGTAGGATTTTGCTCTGGCCATGATTGTGGAAATCTTCGGGGCCACCTCAGGAACTTCACAGGAGTCTTTATGGTTCCTTATCATTCATTCACCCAGTCTTTGATGTCTTTGCTTCTTGAAATCTTCAAGTGACCTACAGCTGATAGAATCCTGCTAAAAATGCCTGGCAGACACTGTCATGGAGAGTGGTGTGGACCAGATCCCACAGATATTAAGTGCCTGGGAGTTACTCCATAAAAAGAAAGCTATTTATGTAAAGAAGTATGTAGCATAATAATAATAATAATCAGCTGGGTGCAGTGGCTCGCACCTGTAATCCCAGCACTTTGGGAGGATCCCTTGAGTCCAGGAGTTTGAGACCAGCCTGGACAACATAGTGAGACCCTGTCTCTACAAAAAAAACAAAAAACAAAAAGCCAGGTGTAGTGGTGCACACCTGTAGTCCCAGCTACGTGGGAGGCTGAGGTTGGAGGATTGCTTGGGCCCAGGAGATGGAGGCTGCAGTGAGCCATGATGGCTCCACTGCACTCCAGCCTGGGAGACAGAACCAGGCCCTGTTTTTAAAAATAATAATAATGGTAACAACACCTTCCATCTGTATTGCAATTCATAGTTTACAAAACACTTTCTGGCATTCTACTTGCTCCTCACAACACCTCTTTGAGATAATTATGATTCTTGTCACACTAAGATGAGGAGAGTGATGCTCAGAGAGGTGATGGGACTAACTCAAGTTCACATGGCTGACGATACAGGAGAAAGCATGGTTTGGATTTAGACAGGCATCAGTTTGAATCCTCGTTCTTCCGCTTATCAGCTGTGTAAGCTAGGGCAAATTATTTAATCTCTCTGAACTTCAGTGCTCTTATCTCAAAACATTGGGGAATGGTACTATTCACCTGCAGGGTTCCTGAGATAATCAGATGAAAAGCAAGATCATGTACCGCAGACATTTAGCATGTTCTCCCAAATATGATATCTGAAGTTGTAACTATTTGCTGACAATCCAAAATGTCCACAACATGCTGCAATTTGTCTTTCTTCCGAGGTTCAGATTTTAATCTTGCTGCAAGGCTGCAGTGAGAGAGGGAGTCACTTAGCTAGCAAGAGGACCTAGTGAACTTCCTGGTTCTCATCTCAGAGCAACATGGCAATTTTTTTATTTTTTGAGACAAGGTCTTACACTGTCGCCCAGGCTGGAGGGCAGTGGCACAATCATAGCCCACTGCAGCCTCAATCTTCTGGGCTCAAGCAATCCTCCTACCTCAGCATCCCAAGTAGCTGGGTCTACAGGCACATGCCACCACACCCAGCTAATTTTGTTTGTTTGGAGAGATCAGGTTTCACCATGTTGCCCAGGCTGGTTTGAACTCCTGGGCTCAAGTGATCCATCTGTCTCAGCCTCTCAATGTGCTGAGATTACAGGGGTGAGTCACCATGTCCAGCCACGATTTTTATTTAAAAAAAGAATTCATTGAATCCTTGCATATACTCTTTGAGGGAAATAGTATTATTATCTCTGTCTCATAGATTATAAAACCAGGAAACATACATTAAAGTAGAATTCAAGAATCTGAGGAATCTCAAAGGTCTTAGAACCAAGCCCTCATGAACGTCAAGGATTTATAGATGCAAAAGCACCTAACAATGTGTGTGGTCCATGGGAGGCACCCAGAAAGCTCCACTCCATGGCACTACTCTTGAAAAAAAGAAATATTTGAAGAACCATAATTTGACAAGTATCCAGAAGATAGGGTCAGAGGATACCGTTAATCAGTTTATGCTGTTAATTGCTCTCACTGCAAGGGATCTCCTGAACCTAGCAGGGAGAGAAAGAGAAGTCCTCTCCTTGCCTTCTCCTTTCCCCTTTTACCGTGAGATACAAAATGGGACACCAAAAAGGAATTGTCAGATTATAGACTAAGAAACCTGAATCAAGTCATACTGGAAATGTGATCATGTGTTGGCTCTTTAATTTCTTTCAAAGGAAGTAGCAGTACATGTGAATGAAGCAGAAGCTGAGGTGGGAGTAGAGGTGGAAGCTGTGATGATGGTGCTGTTGGTGATGACGGTGTGGGTAATGTGGGGGAAACTCCATGGAGAACGGGAGAATTGCCAGGTTAGGGTTTGGCTTGTCTTTCGCTACTTAGCCCCCAAGCTAGGTGAAGCTTTGCCAAGGGAGGTACCTGCAGGACGCCTCCGCCCTGGCTGCTGGGGTGGTGGTGCAAGAAGTGCTCTGGAAGTCCCAGCATTTTTGCCAACCAGTCCATGACGTTCATCTCCAGCTCTGTACACGCAGGGCTGGATGCCTGAGAAAGGAAAAGGAACTTCAAACTGCACAGCCCCAGGGCACTGAGGTGCCCCCACGAGCTCCAGAAACATGTCTGCCCCTGATGGTGTCAATGGGAACATTTCTGGAGAAGGGGTCATGTTAGGCCACGTGCCTCTCTCCTGGTCCACTCTCTGTCAACCAAAAGAGAAAATAATGTGGGGTTTTGGATTCATGCTGCCCTCAATGAGGCGAATTCTCCAAGGCTCTATGGAGAAACAGCCCTAGAAATGGTTGGCTTGGATTTGGTTCTCCAAGTCGCTAAAATACATAGCTGAGAAGTCCTCAAATGCCCAGGGGGATGTTTTCCTAGAAAAGATATGAATACCCCCGCCCACCCACCCACACACCCATAGGAGTTCAGGCTTAAAATAAAAAGATGTTCTGGAAGGCTTTTGGCACCATTTAAAGCTGAGTGGTGCTTAAGGGGTTATTAAGGGAAGTCTTAGGACATATCTCCAGCTACTCAAATACAAGAGCACAGAGGAAGTGGTGACTCAATAGGCATCAAATTGCTTAGGTAAGGTCACAAACTGTGGCAATAACCAGATCTGTATCCAAGTCTTATCTGTGTCTCTATGAGCTGTGTGATCTGGGGGAGATAAGTTGCTTAAGCCTCGATTTCTTCACCTACAAAATGGGATCAATACTCGTGATTCCATAGGGTTAAAGGATGTGATGAGAAAATTAAAATAAAGCGTAAGCTTAAAGAATATAGCCCTCATTAATATTTATTGTGGAGCCATATTCAGAAACCAAGACAAAATATGTCTGCCCTAGGATACCACTCCCTGCTACGTTCCCCATTGCGAGTAGTTACAGCCGTTGCTACTCACCCAGGTGAATCCCAAGCAGTTGATGGCATCAGCCAGCATGTCTCCTAGCAGGGAGGGCCAAGAGGTGAGGGCTGGGTAGTAGGCGTGCATATGGGGGCTCTGCCAATGTACCACCTGGAGGCAGAGCATGCACAGAGTTGGCACCAGGAGGCATTTCCAGCAGGCTTTCTTTCTCCAGAGACCATCTCTGGCAAGGTGAAGTGTCACTCTAGAGATGGGCTGACACTTTTAAGCAGAAATAAGTGACATAACTCCATGAAAATCAGACTTGTTCACTGGTGTTCTTGTCACTAATGTGGCCCATGTCCTATGCTAGATCATCAGTGGAGCCTTTTCATATATGCAAAGTCCAGAAGGAAATATGCAAAAGGAAAATCACTACAGTAACCCAGTTGTGGGATTCTGGGTGGTATTCACATTAGTCCCCAGTACTTACCCCTCATGCCGCCCCTGCCCAGCAATAAAAGGAAGGGCAGGCCGGGTGCGGTGGCTCATGCCTATAATCCCAGCACTTTGGGAGGCCGAGGCAGGTGGATCACGAGATCAAGAGATTGAGACCATCCTGGCTAACATGGTGAAACCCCATCTCTACTAAAAATACCAAAAAAATTAGCCAGGCGGGGTGGCAGAAGCCTGTAGTCCCAGCTACTCAGGAGGCTGAGGCAGGAGAATGATGTGAACCCGGGAGGCTGAGCTTGCAGTGAGCCAAGATCGCTCCACTGCACTCCAGCCTGGGCGACAGAGCAAGACTCCGTCTCAAAAAAAAAAAAGGAAGGGCAGACTGTGAGCTCCAGAAAAGCAGACTACTTGTTTCATCCAGTTTCTTGCAAAAGGCACCTTTTGTTTTTGTTTTATGGAGCACTGAGCTCCCTGAGCATGCAACTCAGAGGGTCTGGGTGAATGGGTTCAAAGCTGTCCTTAAGCATCACATTGGGAATGTAGTGAGGAAAGGAGACGGTAGAGAGGAGAGCCCAGACCAAGCGTATGGGAGGCCGACCTCCAGGCTAAGCCCTGAGCCCACAATCAAAACCGGATGTAAGGAGGAGCTGAGTGGGCAGGAAGGGCCCCCCATCAGAACTCAGAAGCAGCCCTGGTGGTTCATCGGCCTCATGGATTATCTCATCTCTCCTCATCTCACTGCTCTGCAAGCATGCCCTGTTCCTTTCTGCATTTATGTCTTTGAGCAATGCTGTGTCCCCTGATAGAAAGGCACTCTCTATAAAGACATGACCTTCCAAAACCTGCCAGTTCTTAGAAAGCTACTAAATATTCATTTCCTCCTCGAACTCTCCCCCAGCTCCCACAGCTCCCTTCGATCCCTTCCCTGAGCGATAGAACTCTAGAATTCTAGATGTTTCACTCTACTGAGGACTCATTTGATAACATCTTAGGGCATCATCCTGTTCTTTACTGTCCACACATACTTAGAGTCCTTCAAGAGCAAGGACCTTGTCCTGGACAGTGTGTATAGTATAAGGAGCCTAAGAATTAAGTCCAAGGACACAAGTTCCCATCCCACCTCAGTCCCTAACCAGCTGTGTGACCGTGTAGATTTACCATGAAGCTAATGAACTTAAGCTCCAACATACCATTTGTGTGGGTCTCTTTTGAGATTCATTCTTTTTTTTTTTTTTTTGAGACAGATTCTCGCACTGTCACCAGGGCTGGAGTGCAGCAGCGCCATCTTGGCTCAGTGCAACCCCTGGCTCCCAGGTTCAAGAGATTCTCCTGCCTCAGCCTCCCAAGTAGCTGGGATTACAGGTGCCCACCACCATGCCTGGCTAATTTTTTGTATTTTTAATAGAGACAGTGTTTCACTATGTTGGCCAGGCTAGTCTCGAACTCCTGACCTCATGATCCACCCGCCTCAGCCTCCCAAAGTGCTGGGATTACAGGCATGCACCACTGTGTCCGGCCTCCTTCTTTTTTGTTTTTCAAAAGGAGGTCTCAAAAAGTGTTTACAGTACAGACCCCATAAGACCAGGAGCCTCTCCTGCACCTCCCTCAACCTCAGTTTCTCATCGTAAAATAAATCCTGTCTCCTAGGGTTGTTGTGTGGGTGGAGGCGTGGGCAAGAAATGTGTGAAATGTTAAGCTCTAACATTAACGGTAAACTAATCATGTGGGTGACAGACACATCACATATCCTGACTTGACTCAGAGAATCAAACCTCTTCCTCCAATTTTCACCATGTAAGAGTCATGATCGGTAATAACCACATCTCCTGCTCTCCAAGCCTTCTCTTACTTACTTCTCACAGGACCCTATGGGGTAGGACCTACACATTATCTCTGTTTTGCAGGCGAGAACTGGGGCTGACAGAGAGAGGCCACATCCCTGTGGTCACACATACCCCATAGGGACAGGTGACCGCAATGAGGCAGAAGCCCAGACACCCGAGCAGGGTGGTGTCCTGACTTTTCCCGTGGGGATGCTCTCTCTCTCTCATGAAAAGTAAATGAGGATTGTCTAACCAGGGTTGGAATTAAAGGGGAAAGAGAGTTTTTCTTCTCTTATTTTCTAGGTGGTGGCAGGAAGAGAAAAACTAATTCAGTTTTCAATGAGGCACTGAGCAAAATGAGTAAGCAAAGGGCCAACTGCTTTCAGGCCAGCTCTCAGAGGCTGGTGTGGCCTGAGAGATGAGTTGAGAGATTTGACCATCATTATCACTGTCCTTAGTGACAGTATTTTGGAAACCCCAGAGAAGGGCTTCTACCTCCTAGCTCTATCAAGAGACAATAGTCTGTTCTTGTAAGATAAATAAGATAAAATAGCCAGAAGAGCCCTTATCAAAAACAAACAGACCTCTTTCCAGAAATGAGCCTCACCGACCATACCCACAGCAACTGCTGGAATTCCTCTTGATCAAATGAATCAGCTCATTTCCACCTCTTCTGACAGTTGCTTTCAGTCTCACTCCCAGATTACAGTTAGCCCCTCAGCAGATTACATTTTACAGAATAAAATCCAGGAGATAATCTTATCAGGATCTAGCCTCCGTAAAGCCTTACTGATATTGACATTTTCAAAAAATGCTTGTGAAATAGGCTGAATGGTCAAAGAGATGAGTGGCTTTGTATGAAATTGCCCTCATGGCCAGGCGTAGTGGCTTAGGCCTCTCATCCCAACACTTTGGAAGGCCGAGGCAGGAGGATCACTTGAGCCCAGGAGTTGGAGACCAGCTTGGGCAACATAGCAAGACCTTGTCTCTATTGCTTCAAAAAAAAAAAAAAAAAAAAGTCAAAATTGCCATCACTTTCTGAGTTTGAATATTTTCCCACCCCTGCCTCTAGGCATATTTTTGTCACTTTTTTTTTTTTTTGAGATGGAGTTTCGCTCTTGTTGCCCAGGCTGGAGTGCAACGGCGCTATCTCAGCTCACCGCAACCTCCGCCTCCCGGGTTCAAGCGATTCTCCTACCTCAGCCTCCCAAGTAGCTGGGATTACAGGCATGTGCCACCATGCCCAGCTAATTTTGTATTTTTAGTAGAGACGGGGTTTCTCCATGTTGGTCAGGCTGGTCTTGAACTCCCGACCTCAGGTGATCCACCTGCCTTGGCCTCCCAAAGTGCTGGGATTACAGGTGTGAGCCCCCGCGCCTGGCCTTTTTGTCACATTGAAGTCAAAAGTTCTTTGGGAATGATGAAGGCAAACCTCAAGCTGGCCTCAGGAAGAGCCTCTAAACATGTGTGGTTCAGAACACAAATGCCCCAAGCAGGGAGAGGGAAGACACAGCTTGTGTGGGGGTGTGGAGCCAGACAGGCAATGCTAGGGGCCCAGGCTTAGCCAGGCACATTCAGGCACCCACCAGTAGAGGTGACAGAGGGTAGGAGAAACGGCACAGCCTGTGAAGTAAGACTGGTCTAGGGTAAAATCCTGGATCTACCAGGTACTAATTCTGTGACTTTGGGCAAGACAGTTAACTTCTCTGAGCATCAGCAGTTTCCTCATCTGTAAAACAGGGCCACTGGGAAGATTAAATTAGATAGCATGTCATGTGGCCAGCACAGAGCTGGCACATGGCAGGGAGCCCCGCCACAGGAAGGGAGTCGATGCCACTTTAGCATGAGCACCATGGCAGAGCTCCTCACCGCCAGTGGTCAGGGGTGTCCACCACCCATCAAGGCAGGCTCCAGCTCAAGCCCATGCATCAGCCAGCTTCCATCAGCTTCCTGGCCCCACCAGCACTATCCCAGGCTGCACCCTCCATCATGGAAAGTATCAATGATTCAGGGAAAGTCCCTTCTTGCTCTTGAAAAGCAGCTCAATCACCAGACCTCAGAGGGGACAGGAGGGGTTGCCAGGGCCCACTCAGTTTCCTGGGCCAACGCAACCTGGTCACCAGCGTGTCCTTGCCAGGATGTGTTCCCCACTTCCTTCCTTCTCTTTGGTGTGGTCTCAGACACTGTACAGAAGAGTCTCTGGCTCCGTCGTCAGGGCCAGGCACTACCACCAGCTTCCTCTCCCCTGTCTTACTATACACAGTTGTCCTTTCCCCTCAGACAAAATGTTCACTTCTCCACCCATCCCATTAGACTTCCACACTTCTGCCAGGCTGTGCTCTGGAATGCAGGTGTTCTGGCCAGCCCTGCCCTGGCATCAGAAACCTCATGCCATGGCACAACTGGGCAAAAAAAAAGAAAAAGAAACCTAATACCAGTCAAAGTCCTGCCCTCCACATGCCTAGCAGATGGGCTGGGGTGTTGGTGGCCAAGTGGCTGAAGGATGCATTCTCATCCCAAGCTGACCCAAAGCAGGTCTTTCTCCAGGCCACCACCCACCCTTCTGTGCCCTGAAATCCAGAACTGCCCTTGTGGTCACTGTGTCTCACCCCAGGCATGATGATTCGTTCAATGTCCCCAAAGATGCTGTCCCAGCTGTCGGGGTCCTCAGGAGCACTCTCAGGCAGCTGGGCTCGCAGGTAGCCAGGCTGCACGTCTGGCGTCACACGTCTCTCCCGCACAGTGCTCAGGTACTGGCAGATGTAATCCACCATCTCTCTCCCTAGAAGTGACATAGAGAAATCAGGCTGAAATCCCCTGACTGGGCCTGACCGATTTGTGCCCATCCCTCTCAGGTCCGGGCCAAGAGACTTGGTAAAGAAGGAGATGGATTTGGCCGGGCACAGTGGCTCATGCCTGTAATCCCAGCACTTTGGGAGGCTGAGGCAGGCGGATCACGAGGTCAGGAGATCAAGACCATCCTGACTAACATGGTCAAACCCCTCTCTACTAAAAATACAAAAAATTAGCCGGGCGTGGTGGCAGGCGCATGTAATCCCAGCTACTTGGGAGGCTGAGGCAGGAGAATCGCTTGAACCTGGGAGACGGAGGTTGCAGTGAGCCGAGATCGTGCCACTGCACTCCAGCCTGGACTCAAAAAAAAGAGAGAGACAGATTCATGGGCCGAGGGTAGGATCTGATCCCCTGCACGACCTTATCTTCAGAATTTAAAAAAAGAGTGAGGGAGTGAATGAATGATGGAGGGAGTTTCTAAGTGAGCAAATGAACAAAAAGGAAAATCTCCAAAGCACAAAACTCTAGCGCCAAAGTGAAACGTTTCATTTTCTTTCCCCTTCCTTTATCCACTTCAATTTTGATTGTCTCTCCTACCTTTCTTTCCTTCTCAGAAACAGAACATCTATTAACTATTTTATAGGTTCAATAGAAACTCTATAGCTCTTTGTATCCAAAAATTGTTACACACACACCCACCAGTTATATCTGTTAGCACAGATAGAAAGATTCCATGCCCAGTTCCGATAAAGGACAAAAAAATCTATTTTTTCACCATCCCCATTGAATCAGTTATTATTCATCTTTTTTGGACTCATATGAGGACTTAATTCAAGAATCTGATTAAAACTGTAGGCTTACATATACACAGAACTTTGTGTATAATTTCTGAGGCTCACAGAATCCCTAAAGCACAACCATGGATCCAGACCAAGCCCCCTGCCCTGGCCTGGGAAATGTGGCACCAAATCTTAATGACTTTCTCTCCCTCCTGCTGCCTCCATCAACACCTCAGTGCTTAGGATATTTTTTAGATGCTAAAAAAAAATGTATCAAGTGAATGAACATATGAGTAAGGAAGGAAAAAAAAGTCAAGTTGAACACTCTGAAACTATTGCAAATTATTTATTCTTTCAGATTGCAGTCTTCAGTGCCTCTGTTGCTGTGTGTGCATGTGTGTGTGTGTACATATCTCTTTGTCTGTCTCAACATCCATTCCTTAGTACTCCCTGGGCTGCTTTTACCTAGGAGAGGGGACTCAGTTTCTCCCCTCTGCATCAGCTTATGCAAAGTTCTTAAGAACAGAACCAACCCCAGACAAAACTTATGAGACAAAGGTAGATTTCCACACCATTCTATCTTCCTTCTGCTCCCCTTCAACCCTCTCACATCCTGGTTCTTCTCCAGCAGGGCCCCACCAGAGATCTGAGAGCTCTAGACCTAACCCTCCACTGATCCAGGAACAGTGCTAAATGTATTTGTGTTCCACTCAGAAGATAAATATCCACAGGAACTTGCTCTCAGCTGACAGTGCCTTAGGAAAGCAATGGAATAAGCTAACGCACACTAATTAGTGAGTAGGAGGATATAAAACATTATAGAAATAGACATTCAAGATTCTTTTTTAAGCAACTACCTACTTTCCTGCTAAGGGAGATCCATGCCTGAGAACTGGATAACCACTTGGTTTTGCCTGATACAGAGTAGGCACCTACTAAATATTTATGAAATGAATGACTAAATGAAAGAACACTGCTGATAGATTCACACATGAAGGAATGAATGTTAAGAAAGAAAGGATTTGCAGTGATTACAGAATATTGAGAAAATTTTTTTCTATTTCAGAATATGAACAATCCCCTTTTCCCATCTAGTGGCTCAGGGATCCAAATCCTCAATTTTGTGGGAAAGTGGGGAGGAAAAGCAAGGCACGGTAGTGTGGACATATGTGAGAGTGGGTATATGAGAGGGAGAATGAAAGAGTGGTTGAGAAAAGTTTTACACTCTGATCCCACATTCCTTTCGCAGAAAAAAAAATGTTGCTGGTGCCAACTCTCAGAAGGCAATTCTAATGCTCCCATCAAATGTCACCCCAGAATCTAAGGGCCACCCACCAGCAGCCGTTCCTGCAGGAGTAGCAGCAGGGAAGAGGGCCAGGGATGCCCGTTGCTCACCTCTCTCTCTGTACTCCTCAGGCTCCATCATCTCCCTTGGGCTCTGGCTCCTTCTCACAGATGGACACGCAGGAGGTGGAAGGCGTGAAAGGCGTGGAGCAGCCCGGCTTCCCTCTTGCCAGTCCTGCGCACTCCCTGGCAGCCAGTGTGGGCCCTTTATTTAAAGGGTTCTTTCTTTGACCTTAGCTCCGCCCTTCAAAGTCCCTTCCTCCAGGTTTAATTAATTCCACCCTTTCTTTCCCCAGTCCTTGTAGAAAACAGCGACCACAACTTTGACTGGTCAAGAGAGCCAGGATAAAAGGCGCTTCTAAATTAAGCAGTGCACTTAGCAACCCAAGCCTGCAGGCAGCCTCCAGGTGGATGCCGTAAAAGAGCCCTCAGTTCTTTCTGCCCCTGGATTCAGACAATAGAGCTCCAGCCTCAGACAAGCTCCCAGCTCAGTAGACCAGAATAAGGCCAAGGGTATGCAGAAAAAGTAGCACAAATTATTAGTATTATTCCTGCCCCTGTTTCCTTATCAGCAGTAGGGAGGGAGGAACAGGCACTAATAGTGATGCCCCCTGTGCCCAGGAACAGGCAGAAGTTATCATTGACCACAATGGATTTTTCTATTACAACATACTATCTGTTGTTGCAAAGAATGAAAAAACACAGTTATAAGCCAAAAAGAATAGAAATTAAAACATCACCCCAAATTAATCACTTTTAGCACTTAAAGAAGTAGAAGGGGGGCGTGTAAAGGGACCTGCAGAAACCCCTGTAGGGAGGGGAAACACTATCCTTGGGGTTTGATTTCTGAGTAAAAAGTAATCCAACGTTTTCACGTTGCTAAATGCAATAGTCTTTCTTGTTTATTTGTTTCCAGTCGTCCTTCTGGTTCTCTTGGTGGCATTTTATTTGTTACTACTTCATCCTTGCAGCTCACAGTTTCTCTGGGCTTTCCTCCTACATCTCTGGCTGTTTGTTTCCTCCAATGCTGGCACACCTCAGGGCATTGCCCTCCTTTCATCTTTCTGCTTTGGTGGCATTGCCCATTTCTAAGGCTTTTTTTGTTTTGTTTTGTTTAGACGGAGTCTTGCTCTGTCGCCCAGGCTGGAGTGCAGTGGCACAATCTTGGCTCACTGCAACCTCTGCCTCCCGGGTTCAAGCAATTCTCCCACCTCAACCTCCTGAGTAGCTGGGCCTACAGGTATGTGCCACCATGCCCCACTAATTTTTGTGTTTTTAGCAGAGATGGGGTTTCACCATGTTGGCTGGGTTTGTCTCGAACTCCTGACCTCAAGTGATCCACCCGCCTCAGCCTCCCAAAGTGCTGGGATTACAGGTGTGAGCCACTGCGCCCGGCCCATTTCTTAGGCTTGAAATGTTACCTATGTGATATCCGTATAGGTTTAAACATACCATCAGGCCCTCCCTGTCTTTTGAGCTTCAAAATCTTATATCCAACTGCCTTTCTGACAAATCCTCTCTTATGACTCTGAGGCACCTCAAACTTAACGTATTGCAAAACTGTCTTTCCCCAAAAATATGCCCCACTTCTAGTCTTCCCCATCTCAGTTCATCATCTCTCCATTTTCCATCCACCCATCTATTCACCCCTTGACCGTCCATTCATCCAACCACTCATCCATCCAACCACCATCCATGCATCCATCTATCCTTTCATCCATCCATTCATCCACCCAAATGCTGAAGGCATAAACCTGGTGTCTTCCTTCCCCTTCACTTTCCCTGCTCCCTGCCCAATTCAATCTGTTCAGATTCAGTTCTATTTCCAAAATAAATCTAGTCTGTCAAATTCTCCCCATTTCCATGACTACCACCCTATTCCGGTCCAAGCCACCATTATCCTTCACCTAGACTAATGCAGGAGGCTTCTCATTGGCCTGTTACTGACCATGGGTTCTTGGGCTCTCAATGTAATAGAAATTGAGAAGGCCAAAAGAGTTTTCCCAGACAGGGCATTATCAGAGCTTATGCCCAGGCATAAGGGAGACAGCACGAGAGAGAGAATTCTCTGGCAGGCTCCTTGAAGAGAGTCAGGAAAGTAATTTTAGGCTAAAATAGGTAGGAAATTTTTTAATTACTACTGAAAAAACTACAGTGAGAAATCACTTCATACAGACTATGATGACTATAATAAAAAAGATAGATAACAACAAGTATTGGTGAAGACAGGGAAAAATTAGAACCCTCATACTTTACTGGTGGGAATGTAAAATGGCACAGCCATTTTGGAAAATAATCTGGAAGCTCCCCAGAAAGCTAAACCTAGAGTTCTTTATGACTCAACAATTCTACTGCTAGGTGTATATCCAAGGAAAATGAAATCATGTCCACACAAAAACGTATACATGGGTGTTCATAGCAGAATTATTATAATAGACAAAAATGGAAATAATCCAAATGTTCAGATGAATGAATGAAACGTAGTATATCAATACAACAGAATATTATTCCATGATAAAAAGGAATGAAGTACTGATACATACCAAAACATGGATGAACTTGGAAACATACTAAGTGAAAGAAACTAGTCACAAGGAACCATATATTATATTATTTCATTCATATGAAATATCGAGAATAGACAAATCTACAAAATAGATTCATGGTTAGAAGTGGGTAGGGAGCTGAAGATTGATGGCTAAGGAGAACAGGGATTTTTGGCAGGGTGGTAAGATGAAAATGTTCAAAATTGTTGGGTTTTGGTTTTGTTTTATTTTGCTTCGTTTTATTTTGCTTTGTTTTGTTTTGTTTTGAGATGGAGTCTCACTCTGTGGCCCAGGCTGGATTGCAGTGGTGCAATCTCGGCTCACTGAAACCTCTGCCTCCTGGGTTCAAGCAATTCTCCTGCCTCAGCCTCCTGAGTAGCTGGGATTACAGGCGTGAGCCACTGCGCCCTGCTGAAAATGTTTTAAAATTTATTATGGTGATGGTTGCACACTTCTGTGGATATACTAAAAGCTATTAAACTGTACACTTCAAACGAGGAAATTTTATAGAATGGGAATTATATCTCAATAAAACTGTTGATTTAAGAAAAAAAAAAGCCCTAAGAAAATAAGGGCATTGGTGAAAAAATGGCCTAGAGGATTTAGATTCCAGTGATATTGTCAATAAATCCTTCATTAGGAGCCAGGGTGGGAAAAATAATAATATTGACAACGATATGGGAGGTAAAAAATTTGATCTCATGGAGGTAGAGAATAAAATGATAGTTACCAGAGACTGGAAAGGGTTGGTGGGAGCTGGGGGTGAGGAATAAGTAGAGATTGGTTAATTGGTACAAACATATAATTAGATGGAATTCAATAATATTCAATAGCACATTAGGATGACTATAGTTAATAATTTATTGTATATTTCAAAATAGCTAGATTTGGAATGTTCTGAACACAAAGAAAAATGTTTGAGATGATGGATATCTTAAATATCCTGATTTGATCATTACACACATTGTATGCATGTATCAAAATATCACATATACTCCATAAACAGGTACAAATATTATGTGTCAATTTTAGAAAGTGCCAAGCACCAAGTTAGGCATTTTTATTTTTATTTTTATTTTTATTTGTTGAGACAGGGTCTCACTCGTCAACCAGGCTGAAGTATAGTGATGCGATCACAGCTCATTGCAGCCTTGACTTCCAGGCCCTGGTAATTCTGCCACCCCCACCTCCTGAGTAGCAAGGACGACAGGCATGTGCTACCACACTCAGATGATTATTGTTTTTTATTTCTTGGAGTTTTTCTGTAGAGATGGGGTTTCGCCATGTTACCCAAGTTGGTCTTGAACTCCTGGGCTCAAATGATCCACCCATCTCAGCCTCCCAAAGTGTTGGGATTACAGGTGTCAGCCACCACACCCAGCCAAGTTAGGCACTTTAAATAAAAAAGTGTTCGTTATTTTTTCTCCAAGTGTTGCTATCTCCCCATTATCTCTCTTCTATTCTGCAAATGCAGTCCTATGTTAAACTTGTGTATTATATATACTATTATATATAAATATAAATAGCATTGTATTCTTTATTTTCCATCTTCTTGTTTCTGAGTTGGTTTGAAAATATTTTTCTTTTTTAGTTGTCTCTTCAAATGTAGCTAATATAATAAACCATTTATTGATTTCTTAATATCAGATATTATATTTTTTCAGTTGTAGAATTTGTATTTCTTCTGCCTTATGGGGGCAAAAAAAGAATTTTTATTTGGTTCCTTTTTATAGTTTTCAACTCCTTGCCAAATTTTTAAATCTGGCCTTTTATTTCATTGAACATAGTGGATGATTTTTTTAAATTGCTACTGAACAATATAAAAAAAGACCTGTACAGATGAAAAGACGTACCATGCTCTCTCATGGAGTAAGATTTAACATCATGAAATAATGGTTTTCCCCTAAGTTAACCCGAAAATTTAACATAATCCCAGTGGAAAAATCAACAGGTTTTTGGGTGTTCTATTTTGGAATTCAGTGCCAACTTTTAAAGTTCTTAGGAAAAATAAACCAGAATAAAGAAGAAAATTTTGTAAGAGTAACGAGAAGGTTCTGTTCCTACCCAGAAGTATTAAAATGTATCCTGAAGCTCGAATAATTAGAACAATGAGGTAGATACTGGTGTACAAAGAGACAAACAAAAGGAGCAAATAAATTTAAACATGTACAGAAATTTAGCATATAATAAAGATAGCATCTCAGATCAGAAAGAAAAAGATGGACTATTTAATAAATTGTCCTAGAACAAGGTATAGCCATCTGGAAAGAAAAATAAGCTGTATCTATCTTTCACATCGTGCACTTAGATAAATTCCAGAAAAGTCAGATCTAAATGTGAAAAATGGAAGCATAAAATTACAGGAAACCATCACCACCATCAGGTTAACTGATGGCTTCATGGGTGTGTACACATGTCCAAACTCATCAAATAGTAGTAAATATATGCTATTTTTGTATATCAATTATGCATCAATAGAGCTGTTTTTAAAAGATGAAAATTAAATTAAGAAAATTAGAAGATTCCCTGGACAACCTCAGAGTAAAGAATACATTTATAACTATGGTTCAATGCCAGAAACCATAAATCCAATCACATTTTTTTAAAACCATAAGAAAAATCAAGATAAATGACAAACTGAGAAAATATATTTGCAACATATTTGCACAATGGGCAAATTTGTCTAATCTATGAAGAATTTCACATCAAGAAGAAAAGAGGTCAGGCACAGTGGCTCATGCCTGTAATCCCAGAGCACTTTGGGAGGCCAAGACAGGTGGATCACCTGAACTCAGGAGTTTGAGACCAGCCTGGGTAACATCGCGAAACCCCATCTCTACCAAAAATAAATAAATAAATTAGCTGGGCATGGCGGCGTGTGCCTGTAGTCCCAGCTACTTGGGAGGCTGTGGCGGGAGGATCGCTTGAGCCTGGGAGGTTGAGGTTGCAGTGAGCCGTGATAGCGCCACTGCACCCCAGCCTGGGTGACAGAATGAGACCCTGTCTCAAAAAAAACAAAAAGTGATTTCCTTTTTTTGCACATAAAGGCAAATATATACTATATTCTAATTTTTCTCCTTTTCTTTCTTTTGTTAAACACAAAAGGGATAAGTACAGTACAATATTCTGTACTTTATTTGTTAATATATCTTGACACGTACTCCTTTTTTTCATAGAGCTGCATTGCGTGGACATACCAGAGAGTAATCAGTTCCCTAGCAGTGTACATTTCAGTTGTTTCCAGTCTTTTGCTATTACAAACATTTCTACAAAAAATTGCTTTGCACACATGAGTAAGGATATCCTGAAGTGGAACAGCTGGATCAAAAGGCATGTATATTTGCAGCTTTTATAGGAATTTTCAGGTGCACACCATTCCTCAACATATATTTAAGAATGTTAACTATGTCCTGAGCACTATGCCTTGCAATTTTCATGCACACTATTTGATTCAGTCTTTACAACAACCTGGTGAAAGCCATTTTCTACTTCATCTTCGAGAAACTGAGTCTCAAGGAAATTAAACACTTGGCTAAAATTACAGAAGATAATTACTGAAGAAGCCAGGATTTGAACCTAAGGCTATCGGATCCAATACCCATGTTCTTTCCACCACACCAAGCTGCCTCTCTCAACTTTGCTATTATTGACTCTTAAGATGCCAGATATGTAGGATCAGGGGGCTAGTGGAATTCTAATTTTTGGAGGCTGTGCTAAATGCTCCCAAACACTTTACTAAATATCATGTGCAATAATCCACTTAATCCTTTAAAATATAATTCAAAATACACAACTATAAAATATCAGAAGTTAGAGCAAGAATTAAAAACAAGTTAGGTAGCATATTACAGCTTTTAGAAATGCTAAAAGTGAAAATCAAATCTTTATCTCACTAATTATCTGGAAAGCATACATTCTAAAAAGGAGGAAGTACTGAACTAAAAAACAGAAGGATCAACTCGCAAATTAAAATTTCATTCCACCTTTAATTACAGGCACCCTGGGTGTCAGACTTATATAAAACTTCTTAGACTTCTCCCTCAGCTTGACATTAAGAATTGCACATAGAGGCTGAGCTCACTGGCTCATGCCTGTAATCCCTACACTTTGGAAGGCCGAGGCGGGTGGATCACCTGAGGTCAGGAGTTCGAGACCAACCTGGCCAACATGATGAAACCCCGTCTCTACTAAAAATACAAAAAATTAGCTGGTCATGGTAGCGGGCACCTGTAATCCCAGCTACTCAGGAGGCCTGAGGCAGGAGAATCACTTGAACCCGGGAGGTGAAGGTTGCAGTGAGCTTAGATCATGCCACTGCACTCCAGTCTGGGAAACAAGAGCGAAACTCCATCTCAAAAAAAAAAAAAAAAAAAAAAAAAGAATTGCACATAGAGGCATTCACTAAATATGTGCTAATTCAGACAATAAAAAGTTTTTAAAAAAATACAGTGGGAGAAGATATTTACAATTCACACAACTAGCAAAATATTAGTTTCCAGAAAAACATTAAACTTCAATAAATCAGTAAGAAAAACTACACCCCCAAAATGGCCATGAACTGGCAATTCACAGAATAAACTTTAATGGATAAGAAATGAGGGAAAAAATGTTTGACCTCACTAGTAATTAGTGAAATGCAAATAATGAGAAACAATTTCATACCCACATGGGTTGACAAAAAAAAATTTTTTTTTTCTTTGAGACGGAGTTTTGCTCTTGTTGCCAAGGCTGGAGTGCAATGGCATGTTCTTGGCTCACCGCAACCTCCGTCTCCTGGGTTCAAGTGATACTCCTGCCTCAGCCTCCTGAGTAGCTGGGATTACAGGCATGCACGACCATGCCCAACTAATTTTGTATTTTTAGTAGAGACGGGGTTTCTCCATGTTGGTCAGGCTGGTCTCGAACTCCTGACTTCAGGTGATCCACCTGCCTCAGCCTCCCAAAGTACTAGGATTACAGGCGTGAACCACCGGGCCAGGCCAACGACAAAAATGTTAAAAATGTGACATTAGGTGTTGGTGAGATGTGGTGAGATGAAAATTATCATTATTCACTCATTATACTTTAGAAAGCAATTTGACAATATCTAGAAAGGTTGACTACTGTAGACCTAACAATTTCATTACTAGGTACATGCCTCTGGGAAACTTAGCATATGCTATGTGGAGATAATATACAAGGATGTTCATTATAGCACTATTCACAATAGCAAGAAATTGGAAGTGATATTTCTATAAGAGAAAAATGACAAATTAGGATACATTTTTACTTAATTTTATATAACAATCAAAATGAATGACTTAGCTGTTCAAGTATAAATATGAATATCTAATATACTATTTAACTGAAAAAATCAATATGTAGAATGTTACTTATATAGTACAATAGCCTTAATAAAGTTTAAGAACCACACAAAACTCTACTATATATTTCTGAAATCCAGTCTATAATAAAAGCATAATGTAAAAATGTAGATAGAAACATCTCACACCTAGGATAGTGGTTGATATTGGTTACCTTTTAGGAGAGAGGAAGGGAATGGGTTATGGGAAGAACACAAAAGAACTTAAACTACATCTGTAACATTCTGATTCTTAAAAGAATTAAAGCAAAGAAGGCCACTTAGGATGTATTAAATTTGGGTGGTAGGTACATGGATGTTATATTATTCTCTGTGATCTTTCATGAAAACTTCAAAACATAGTAAATGAATGCAATTTAAACAATTCTTAAGAGTCATGATGAAGACGGTAAGTCTAGAATAATGAAAAATAGTAACGCAAAAACAAATGCTCTACTGACTGTTAACTGGCACACAAAAATATGTAGGAAAATTGTTTGCTTATAGAAAAAGCAGGAAGACATTTAAATAATCCATACAATTCAAAATTATAAACCATGTAATCAATCAGTAGTAAGATTGGAACTGTATTCGATAATATTACATATTTACAGATGTGAAAAACATTACATGTCAACCATGCACATGAGATCAAAACTATCCAAATTAAAAACTGAGGAAGCTAGGGCCAGGCCTGGTGGCTCATGCCTGGAATCCCAGCACTTTGTGAGGCTGAAGTGGGCGGATCACTTGAGGTCAGGAGTTTGAGACCAGCCTGCCAACATGGTGAACCCCAGCTCTAATAAAAATACAAAAATTAACCGAGTGTGGTGGTGCGTGCCTGTAGTCCCAGCTACTCAGGAGGCTGAGGCACGAGAATCACTTGAACTCGGGAGGTGGAGGTTGCAGTGAGCTGAGATTGCCCCACTGCACTCCAGCCTGGGCGACAGAGCGAGGCTTCGTCTCAAAAACACACACACAAACACAAAACTGAGGAAGCACTTAATAAAGCATAATGAACAGAATCTCAGAAACCAGGTCAAAATTTTTCCAAAAAGCAACTGGTGGCATTTGTGGGGTAGTTACAATATTTATCTGAAAATAAAGAGCCCCTAGAAATTGTATCCAAATTATGTTCAAAATTTGACTGTCATTGAAGTGAAAAAATTTAAAAGAGCTCAGTGTATCAAGAGGATCAAGACTATGTATCTGTGTATCTATATATTTGGAAAATAGTTTTAATAAGTTACACAAATATTGATATCAAAATTTTGATTTGGAACCAGAAGCGTATTTCCAATGATGATAGTATGTTTTCCATCGTAGGTTACGCAGAATAATCTGAGAATGAATATGGAGAGCTTACGTCAAACTGAGTCCATGTGCATCAGGTTTTCTCAACTAACAGAGGAAGCAAATAGCAGACATCATTCAAAACTACAACAGACTAGTTATCTATAATGAAATCCAAGCACGGTAAATATTATTTGATGAAATAACAAATCTATTAGTTAGTCCATTCCTAAGTTGATCTGACATAATGGAGGAGTTATTTATTCAATAGAAACCAGGTGAATGGAAAATATTTTTTTCTATTTGCTATATAAGCCTGAGTGCTAATGCCTTGGGAACCCATCCATATGGACATTAAGGTTCCTTTGTGATTTTATCTGAAAAGGCTTTTCTTCTTGCTCTATTTTATTCTGAGTCAGTTCTCAAGGTCTTTCAGGTATTAAAGCACAAATAAACTTTATAGACTTTACCAGGAAAAACTTTGTTATAGAGTAGTATGGAAAAAATCAGTAACACCAGAATAAGGTACTCATAAACATTTCTATCAACTCATCAATTCCTGTTATGAGCAAGGGTTTCTTCTAATTTTCAATAACATCATAAATGATCACGTTGAAGACATATATACTGGTGTAGACATTCATCAGTCACGTTTTGGACAAAGATATTTGTAAGCAGATCTTTTTATTACAAACAAGTACAGATGCTCTCTGGCTTGCAATGGGGTTATGTCCTGATAAACCCATCCTAAGTCAAAAATATCATAAATGTAAAATGCAATTAATACCCTGATAAACCCATTGTAAAGTCAAACAATCATAAATCAAAGCATCATAAATTGGGGACCATCTGTGTAGCTTTCATTACATGAGATTTCCCATTTATCCTCTTTTCTCTCTAATTGTCTTCCCAACCCTCCACCACCATAAAGAAATAGAGCAATCCAGTGACAGAGTAAAAGAACTCTTCTGCCATTCATATCACAAAAGATTGATGTTAAGAAAATAATTCCTAAAAGCCAACGAAAACAAATGACATCACAAGTCCTTTTGTGAAGTAATTAAGATATAAATAAAATAAATAACAATAAATGAAAATTAGTTGAGAAGCACAGTCCCTGCAGATACTACTTCTCAGATGAGGCTTTCTGAAAGCATCACAGATTCAGTCTAGAATTTATAATTCTAGAGGTCCAGGGACTATACAGAGGGAAGTGTTAAATCTGAATAAAGTAATTGGGCAGTCAAGATGCCTAACGAACTCAGTGTCTGGATAGTACGTAACAAGAACGATTCTAGGTGCACAGGAAAGAAAATAATTCATTACACCATAACACTAAATGGCTTGTCTTGCAGAACCCTGGTTGAGAAAGGTTGCTCCAGGTGTTTGTTCACACATATGTGGAAACAATTAACCAGTGATGTGGCAACCAGATGACTGCTAACTACAAATCCATCACTATGTAGTGGAAACAATTATGTGGATTTCTGAAAACTTTTATTTCATATACTTTTATTTTTGTCAGTTCTTTAAATCCTCTGTTCAGAGCACTATTGAGAATGACTAGAATGCAAAGCTTTTACAGCCCACCTGAAAACAGCATGAAATAAGTGAAGGGAAGAAGACACCCATTTTAAGTTTTAATTACAAATTCTTGTCTAAGTAGTGATTTTACAGAACAGTAAATCAGATGTAAATGATTGAGAAATTATGTTATGTAACAATGACTCTGAAAAAGGTGAGCTTCCTCCACAGATACCTGAGTACCTGATGCTATCATAGACTTACTCCTTTTAAGCACCAATTATTTTCTCCCATCTATGCCAGCTGTTGTTATTAGGAATCAAAATTATTTCTTGCACCAGGTAAAGTCTCCAGCAGGAGAGGAGACTGGAAGTCAAAGACGACATTAAGTTAGCTTTCACAAACTTGTTCCCAACACTGTCTTGAGTCTTTTCAGGGCCAGCCTGGTCTGAAAGCAAAACTCTACAGTGATTGCCCTCTGGGGTGAAGACACTGGCCCTTCTCTGCTCCAGCACCACATGTCAGGGTACCTGGCTGTGGTACCAGCACCCTGCCTAACATGACAAATTAATGTACCGAAGTAACCAGAAACAACATTCTCTATTGACTTTTCAGGACTGCAGAAAAAGTCACTTCATGCTATTGAAAATATGGCCTGGCATTTTTAAAAACTAGTTTTTGGATCACTTAAAATATGTCAAATTTAGTGGAAAATTGAAAAAGATCTTTTTCCTCTTCCTTACAGAGTTCTTCAATTTGCCCTAAACTCTTTTTTAAGTGCTTCCAATAGTAACCATCAGGCTGACAGACCATAGACCCCTTTATTACATTAACAAATATACTGGTAATTCCAGTGAAAGAGTTAACAAATTCTCAAGAGTTACCTCAGGAATTTTAAAGTCATGTTGTGGAGAGTATAAAATATTTTCATATGGTGGCTCAAATATGCAGTAGGATAACATTTTTAATGTGTTAATAAGATGTGATAAAAACATAAGTCTACAATGAACATATGTGAAAAAGATATTTAATTGCAAAATAGAAAAGTAGGCCAGAGTACAGTTTTAAGGGTAATTGCTTTTTTATACAGTATAGATAACCTAGAGGGATTTCAGGGTTAAACAGTTCATAAAGCAATAAAACACTGAAAAATAAAGCAAGAAAAAGGGGTTTGAAGTAATATTTTACCAAAAAAAAAAAAGAAAAAGTGAACAGTCTGCCAGTGTTTAATGTCCATACATTGTGGAATTCAACAATATTGTGATGAGAGCAAGTCATAGCACAGACACTGAGCTTTCAAAAGGAAAAGTAGAAGTTACATTAGACATGTCTATTGCATCACTGTAATACAAAAAGTTCCTGTTCTACATACAAAAGCAATTTTTTTCCGTAAGAATCATTTCCTGGGGAGAAATAAGTCCATAAAATATTTCAGAAACCCATATGCATTGGGTTTTCCAAAAACATTATCTTAAAATCAGTGCCTTAAAGTGCTTTCATGTGGAAATCATGATGGAAGGCACAGAATACAGTTTCACGTCCCCACTCTTAAATTTTCAAAAAAGCACAGATTTTGCAGAATTGGCAAATTCAAGTTATCTTGTAGGCTGCTCCTTCCGAGAACACTGTCATTCCAATAAAACCAGCTGCCAGCTTACTTCGTTTCAATGACCTACAGAGTAAAGGGGTTTTGTTTTTGTTTTTTTCTGGTCACTTTCATCATTTCTGTGGGAGAAATACCTATGTAAGTGATGCATTTTGAAATTATAAAACATGCAGAATATGTACAAACAGAAATTTTTAAAAATATTTGCTTCATATACATGTAAATCTACTTGGGTATAGCTGAAATTGAACAAATATAAAAATTTTGCTTTCTAAAAAATGTTTTCAGAGAATCTGACACAACTTAAAGCTGTACAAAGATTTCCTGGGAGAAATCTTCTCTTCATACAGAGGTTTATACCTACAGGAGTAATTCCAGCATCAGTCCACCATAATTATTACACAACATTTGGCCTAACCAACAACGATCACCCTTAAAACTGTTCCGTTTCTGAGAAATTAAGGTTTGTACTAAAATCAAAAAGAATTCACAAAAACAGTGGCTTATTCTGGTTTTGGATCTCTTCAACAATCTTTATCAACTCATTTGGAACTGTAAAAAAAAAAAAACTATTTACAGAATTCAGTTTTAAATACATTTCACAACTTCTAAAGTAAAGTTTTATGTTACAAGAACTCAGAGCTCATGGCTTAAGTCCAATTATCCATCTGTAGTCTCTTCTATCATTCTGTATTCCCATGGCTGTACCTTTGTTGTGTACAGTTCAAGATTGTATTCTTTCTTGACCAAAAGTAAAATCAAACTACATGTTCATTTCAATTAAACAGCTTCTTTATTAGTCTGAAGACGAGTCATAGCTTCCAACTTCTGTCTGTAGGCCTCTGCTTCCTGTTCTTTCTTTAGGAGCTGCTGTCGATATTTTTGTGCTTCTCGATTTGCTTCATCCAGCTGTTTCTGAAGAGCTTCTCTCTCCTAATTAAAAGAAGAGGGTTTTTTTTTTAATTTTTGCAAAAATACATTATTAATACATATAAGCATGCATCCTTCAAATTAAAAAAAAAAACCGTAGTAGCTAAAAGCAGCCACCTATTGAAATTTCCTAGACATCTTGCCTTTTCAATCAATTCACTAACATTTAAGTCCCTAATTTTGTGCTCCACATTATGAGATATGGATTAATTTCTGACTGCAAGGAAATTATTTTCCTATTTAGAAATAAGACTAACAGAAAGACTCCAAACTGGGCACCTGTACTTTTATATGTACTACAAAAACTAGTGAAGAGTTTTTAAGAGGGAAATATACAACCATACCTCTTTATATTTCCATTTGTGGTGCTCTTACCAAAAGGTAATAATTATAAAACAATTTTACTGAGCACCCACTATATGAGTAAACAGGGTGATTTCCAACAATAAGCATCTAAGACAGATATTATGCACAAGTTAAAGATGAGAAAAATGATGCTCAGGGATGATGTAGCTCTCCCAAGGTCACATAGTAAGAAGTTGGATTTATAGGGTTCTAACATTACTGCTTTTAAAACTATTTTCATTTACAATAGCAAGCAAGATAATTCACCTTTAAAATGAAGAGTGCTGATCAAGATCAGTATTTCCTAAATTATACTATTTCATAAACCAATAAAATACTAAATTATCAATGATTAAATTATATAGGTATAAAATATATGCATTAAATTCCTCAACAAATTGAGAGCTGAAACACAAATCCAATCCAATGAAAACGGTATTGTTTCTCCTCTTCCTCCTCACTCTGCCCCATTCAGTTATTGCAGGAAAAACAAGGAGAAACATTTCAACGAACCCATTCCCACACCTCTAAGTGAGCACAAGGACAAAAGCTCAACCTCCACAGACCAAAGCTCAAGGGTAGTTTCCAGGTCTTAGGAATGAGGCAACCTCATCACAGATGCCCAGGACCTCTGAGTGGGGTGAAGGCCAGGGGTCGGACTATCACAAGAATGATAGGTCCACAGTGGACAAGACACTTGGCCAGAGAGAACTAAAGGTAAGTGGTTGGCCGACCACTGGGGAGGCACAGTATGAGATTCTCTTTCTATATATCCTATTATGTATATCCTCTGCCTCCTTGACTCCTGCCCATTGTGAACACCAAAGGATTCCTCACCTTCTCTATTCATATGGTTGGTCCACAAGCAGGAGCATGTATAATCCTCCTGCCTTTCTGTGATTCCACTTCCTTCCCCACAATGGGAATGAAGCTAGATCCAACATTTCTTTTTCTCATGGGCCCACCAGATGTGGGAGTGATTCATTTGGAGACAAAAGATCTCCAAATCTTCCAATTACACAAAATGTACAAGTAGAAGAAAGGAATGTCCCTTACTCCCAGTTTAAGCAATGCCCAGGCCCTATCCTGCTGCCTCCCAACACTTCTTCTCCCCTCCTCTTATCCTAAATCCAGCCAAGATAGGAACAAGTCAGAAAAGACAACCTAGGATGAGTCCAAGGTAAGCAATCAATGCCAGTACCCTGGCTACAAACTGTGCAGGACTTTAAGGACACCAATGGAAGGGGTGAGGGGTGGAAGGTTGGATGTTACTTCCCAGGAGCTAGACCACAGCTCTGGCAGGAGTGTCCACAGCCATGCACGTGTTTTAAAATTTTACGTGTGGCTGGGCACAGTGACTCACACCTTAATGCCAGCACTTTGAGAGGCCAAGGCAGGCAGATCACTTAAGCCCAGGAATTTGAGACAAGCCTGGGCAACATGGCAAAACCCCTACAAAAAATACAAAACTTAGATGGGCATGGTGGTATGCGCCTGTAGTCCCAGCTACTTGGGAAGCTGAGGCAGGAGGATCACTTGAGCCCAGGAGGTTGAGGCTGCAGTGAGCAACTCCACCGCACTCCAGCCTGGGTGACAGAGCAAGACCTTGTCTCAAAAGAAAAAAAAAAGAAAAAAGAGAAAACAAACAAAAACTTACATTATGTGAAAAATAAGAGCAATCCTTTGGTAGCCAAAGTTTTGAATATGGGTATAAATTTACCTTGATTTAGCAGGAAATATTGGAAGAGGTTAACTCTAAAGCATCTTCTAGTATTACCTATTTATTAACATTTAGAGTCAGGAAAGGATTCACAATTATTGCAGAAGATGAAAGCAAACCGAGTGAGGTAGTCTAACAGTGAAAAGAACCTAATCCTATTTTCCATACTGCATATTTTAACTTCAAGAAGTACAATTTATCTTGATAAAAATGAAAAGATAGTTTCCTTCTGCCTACCAGGTGAAATAAAAAACTCATTTTCACAGCATTTTTTGGCTAATTCTATAAAACCTAGAAGACAAAGATCATTAGCACTGCATGCTGAATACATTTAATCTTTAAGATTGAAAGTATAATTAACACTATAATTTTTTTTTCTTTTTGAGACGGAGTCTTGCTCTGTTGCCCAGGCTGGAGTGCAGTGGCATTATCTCAGCTCACTGCAACCTCCACCTCCCGGATTCAAGCAATTCTCCTGCATCAGCCTCCTGAGTAGCTGGGACTATAGGCGCACGCCACCATGCTCAGCTAATTTTTTGTATTTTTAGTAGAGACGGGGTTTCACCATGTTAGCCAGGATGGTCTCAATCTCCTGACCTCGTGATCTGCCCGCCTTGGCCTCCCAAAGTGCTAGGATTACAGGCGTGAGCCACTGCGCCCGGCCTAAATGTTTTTTAAAAGAGAGAAACTGGGCAGGATATGTGAGCTATTTGCTTGTGTGTAAACATCAATTTTCTAACTGCCCTGAGCCAAATATGACAAGTATGATTTTGTTTTTATAAATAAAGTTTTATTGAAATACAGCCACACCCACCCATTTTCAAATTGTCTATGGCTGCTTTCACTACAATGGCAGAATTGAGTAGTTGACAGACTGTAGGGCCCACAAAGCCAAAAATATTTGGTACCTGGCCATTTATGAAAAAAAACTTTGCCTTCTCCAGCCTTAGAAAAAAGAGATATAGACTGGGTGCTGGGCATGCAGTGGCTCATGCCTGTAATCCTAGTATTTTGGAAGGCCAAGGCAGGTGGATTGCTTGAGCCTAGGAGTGAGAGACTAGCCTGGGCAACAGGGCAAAACCTCATCTCAAAATCCTGACCTCAAGTGATCCTCCCACTTCAGTCTCCCAAAGTGCTGGGATTACAGGCATGAATTACCATGCCCAGCCACAAAACCTTATCTCTACAAAAAAATACAAAAATTGGCTGGGCATGGTGGTGTAGCCTGTAGTCCCAGCTACTCAAGAGGCTGTGAGGTGGGAGGATTGCTTGAGCCCAGGGAGGTCAAGGCTGCAGTGAACTGTGATTGCACCACTGCACTCCAGCCTAGGCAACACAGTGAGACCCTGTCTCAAAAAATAAATAAATAAATACAAACATACATACATACATAAAAACACTAATTTAAAAAAAGAGAGAGAAGAGATATGACCTGGATATGGTGACTTATGCCAGTAATCTCAACTCTTCAGGAGGCTGAGGTGGGAGGATCACTTGAGGCCAGGAGTCCAAGACCAGCCTGGGCAACATAGCAAGACACCCTCTCTATGAAAATAAAAATAAAAATAAACTTAGCCGGGTATAGCGGTCCCAGCTGCTTGGGAGGCTGAGGTGGGAAGCTTGCTTGAGCCCAGGAGTTTGAGGTTGCAGTGAGCCATGATTGCACCACTGCACTTCTGCCTGGGTGACAAAGTGAGACCCTGCCTTAAAAAAGAAAAAAAAAAAAAAACAGAGACGGATGTGACTATAAACATTTTTAAATTGTGGCAGATCAGGAAAGATAGCCATAAAAAAAAAAGATTGAAAAGCTTTGCATCAAATAAAACATTTTATAAAGTTTACAGAAATCAGTTTTTAAGAGAGCACTAAGGATCTCAAATCTACCACCAGTTAAGGACACAAATATTTCATAAAAATAAAATTTACAGCCGTGCGCAGTGGCTCATGCCTATAATCCCAGCACTCTGGGGGGCTGAAGCGGATGGATCACCTGAGGTCAGGAGTTCGAGATCAGCCTGGCCAACCCGGTAAAACCCCGTCTCTACCAAAAATACAAGAATTACCCAGGCATGGTGATGCATGCCTGTAATCCCAGCTACTTAGGAGACTGAGGCAGGAGAATCACTTGAACCTAGGAGGCGGAGGTTGCAGTGAGCTGAGATCGCAGCACTGCATTCCAGCCTGAGCAACAGGGACTCTATCTAAAAAAATAAAATAAAATTTACTAATAAACATTTATCTCTAACCTCCATGGCAAAGAAAACATAAAGGTATTTCCTGAAGTCACACAATAAAGTAAGTAATAGAAATCTGTTACTCCTAATACACTAAATACATTTCTTACACATGTACAAAGATTAATTTCAATTCAGAATAGTCTAACGTTTATTTTTGGAAATCTGTAAATAACACTCTTCCTCCAAAAATATCTTCAATGCGGTAATAAATGGAAGATAAAATTATATACATTATTGCAATTTGGTATTTTATTCATACCTTTCCCTCCAAAAAAAAAAACCTATTTTATTTCCTATATTGCCATATGCAGATGTAAAGCCCCACAAAATTTACAATACACTTTCTACAATTTAAAGTAATTTTTCCAGAGACTCTTGGCAAACCTCTCCATTGTTAGTTGGGAAACTGTAAACATAAATTTTTAGCACCTTATTGTTTTTTTTTTTTCTTTTGTCTCACTCTGTCACCCAGGCTGGAGTGCAATGGCATAATCTCGGCTCACTGCAACCTCCATCTCCCGGGTTCAAGCAACTCTCCTGCCTCAACCTCCTGAGTAGCTGTGACTACAGGTGCGTGCCACCACACCCAGCTAATTTTTGTATTTTTTAGTAGAGATGGGGTTTTGCCATGTTGGCCAGGCTGGTCTCGAACTCCTGACCTCAGGTGATCCACCCACCTTGGCCTCCCAAAGTGCTGGGATTACAGGTGTAGGCCACCGCACCCAGCCAACTCTTAGCACTTTCTTTATGGACAGTCACTCTGGTCATTGCAGTCACAGATACATGGAGAAAACTCAAACATTAGATTTTGTATAGAGTTAATTTTTAAATTTCTTTAAGTTTCTCAATCTCAGCATCACTGATATTTTTGGGCCACACAGTTCTTTATTGTGGGAGGCTGTCTTGTGCATCGTAGGATGTCTACCCAGCCTCTACCCATTACATGTCAGTGGAATGCCACTAGTCATGACAACCAAATATATCTCCTGACGCTGCTTTAGAGAAACTTTGAAAGTTAATGGCCAAGCTGTCCCTTAGGAGTATAAAAGTCTCCCCCCAAGATAACCCCATTGGCCACCTAAGAAAATAAATGCAAAATAACGACTTCATGTATTATAAGGAAATTATTACCTGGTTTGGTGAAAACATTGGAGGTCATCTCTTCATTCTATATCTCCAGCCTACCACTACCTGTATACTCACTGTATGCTTCCAGGTTTCTCTGAAATAGCCCTAAGAGGTCATGCAACCTTGGCTTGAACATTTCTAGTGATGGAGAATAAGATTTCCATTACCAGAAAGCTCTAATTACTAAAATCAAAACAAAGCAAGCAAACAAAAATCACTGTTCTTCATACCAAGCTAAAACTGAATCTCCCTAAAGCTCCATCTCCTTGGCCCTAGTTACTTTATATACCTCTCAATTCATACTTCCCTGTTATTTGCAATTATTTTCCCTGGTCTCTCAAAAGACTGTAAGAAAGAAATCAGGCTGAACTTTGAGGGAAACAGCAATGCTTACTGGTCATTAGGTAAATAAAGGTATAGGCTGCACATTCACTGTTTAAAAATATAATCTGTTGAATTAAATAAGCTTACATTTAATAAAAATTCAAGTAATTTTAAAATAATACTTTATTAGATAGTTAAAGCGAAGTACATGACAATTTTTTTACCTTATGTGTCTGAAAAAGATCATCTGACATATCAGAAAAACAACAAAAATTATTAAATAATAAGTATACTGATACTATTCAATGGAAAAATTGTTAGTTTGTGAATAAGAACTTCAACATCCTACACATCACTTTAAATCTTGAAGAAATAAAACAACCCAACATCAATATTTAAAGTCATAATTTTACCAAATATTCCGGTTTAACCAATAACCAGATTTTTTAAACTCAATAATATATTTGTGGTGTGGTGAAAGATGTACCAGTCTTATATTTACATGAATTTAGGAAGGGTATTTTCTCATTGTCTTTAGTTTGACTTATGTTGTCTTTTAGTGACTTATTTTAAAAATCTCCTTTCTATAACAAGAACCTTTACAAAAAATTACTAAATATTCACCAAGTTTACTACAAACACGTATCAGATATAAATATTGTATGACTATGCTGACTTTTTCAATTCTCACAAAAACCCGAAAATGGAGACATTATTATTATTCTAAATTCCAGTTTGGGACACAATAAAACTGAAACTCAGAAAGATAAGATTCCTTGCCTCAATGCTAACAGAGCAAGAGGTGGGATTCCAACTCAGTTCATTTGATTTCAAGTTCAGTGGCTGCAGTTGTTCTTTCAAAGTTATTCAAGTATAACTTTGTTTTCATTTGATATAACTTATTATCAAGTTCATGGAACAAAATTTATTTACAGTCAGTCAAGAAAAAAACCTGTGAAGCAACTATGGTTTTGTTACACCTACAAACTGGTTTACGCTTACAAATTACTTTGGGAGAGGGGAAAAAATGATGAATCCTATGAACAGCTAGTCTAAATTCATTTACTTGCCTTGAAATAAGCAATTATCTACTGCTTTTAAAAAATAACCCATTTGACAAACATCAACCTCCTTTAAGAGGACCCCTAGCCCAATTAGGCATTTGAGTTTCAGTTTTGAACAACAAAAAAAAAATTTTAGCCAATATATACTGGTATTTTCCTTTAGTGACGTGTAAGAATGGTGTGTGTAAGTTTAAAACATAAAGGATGAAGTGGAAGAACCAAAGACATTCCAGTGTTATCAAGATGACAGACTGTTATAAACAAATTCTTCACTCACTCATTCATTCATTCAATATTTATTTATTGAGGGCTTGCTATATGTATAAGGCAAAAATAAACAAAATGAAAATACTACGCACTTTCATTCTGTATCAAAACAATACTGTCAGTAATAAATATAAAAGACAAAAAAAATTGAATTTATTTTGGATGACTGCGGCAAAGCACACCGGGTAAAAGACTCCTTACTTCTATTTCTGCAGATTCCACCCGGTTTTCAATTATTTCGATACATTGTCTCTTAGCTGGTGGTTCTTCACTTATAACAGTTTCTTCAGCAATGTCTGTTGCTGGTACTGTTAATACTAAAATGAAAAAAAAATTATGTATTACTTCATTTTCAGAGAGATTTATTAGAAATAAAACTAGTCTTGACATTGTTGATGCTACTCATCTAAAATAACTACATTCCAAAACAATAATTCCAAATCATTGATTTGCTTTTTATGAGACTATCCATATTTGTCTTTTTTATTACCTTCTTGCTTTTTTACTGAAATCTACTTATTAAAGTACCTACAAATATTTTTTTAATTATATAGATAATATATTCATTCATGACTCAAAACATCAAAATATTTAACGAGCATATTTTGAGAGGCCTCATGCCCACCCCTGCTAACAGATGATCATTTTATTAATTTATTATGTATTATCCTTATATTAATTTGTTTAAAAATTAGTATACATTCTCATTTTCCTTTCTTACATAAAAGGTAGCATCTATACAATAGATATATTGTTCTGCATCTGCTTTTTTCACTCCAAATACTTATAATATCTTACATCACTACATAGAGAGCTTCTGTTTATTTAGCTGCATAATATCCACTAAGTGCATATTCCATTATGAGCACTGATAGTTCATAAACATTGCTTGTTTTTGTATTGTACTGTTGGGCTTTTTCTCAATTTTTAGTAGCTCTTTATATAAATGCAATTATATAGAGAGGCTGTCCTTGCTTTGCACAGCACTACAGGAACATAAAAATGACTGTGCAAGCTGAAACCATGCGAAGCCATTTTAATAATCACAATGGGGAAAATTATAATTGTTCCACGGCCTTTAAAATTTTTTGCCAAAACATGAAAAACTCTCTTAGTGACAGTTATAAATGTAAATAAAAATTTAAAAATAGTAAAACTAATATTTATTTAGTACAATGTAATTTAAAACATTAGAAATATTGAGAATTTGGGTTTTACTTCTTTTTTATTCATGACATAAATTACCTCAGGAAAAAATGAGAATTTAAATCTGTTTATTAGACTGTCTGTAAAGTCTACATAATTCACATGTAAACTATATATTTTTAATTCAGGAAGGCTTTAGAAGTTTTTTTTAAATATTCAGTAGAACTTTCTCATGGTTATTCTTTTCCAGAGTTTTCCTTATTCTTCTTCCCTCTGCCCCATCAACATAAACTTTAGAAGCCATTTGGCTAATTACAGAAAAAAACTTGGTATTTGTTATGGGCTGAATGGCACTCCCACTCCCCAAATTCACATGTTGAAGTCCTAACCCCCAGTACCTCAAAGTGTGACTCTATTTGGAGATAGGGTCCTTAAACAGATAATTAAGGTAAAATGAGATAGGCCCTAATCCAGTACTACTGGTGTCCTTACAGGAAGAGGAGATTAGGACACAGATAACACAAATACTGAGGTAGACCATGTGAGGACAGGCCACAAGACGGCCATCTGCAAACCAAGGAGAGCAGCCTCAGAAGAAACCAAACCTGCCCAACACCTTGATCTCGCACTTTTAGCCTTCAGAGCTGTGAGAAATCATTAGTCTGTATAATGATACGGGTTTTGGAAACAATGTTATGTCTGCTTGATACAAATATTTTTAAAGTTTTCTTCTTTTCTGAAAATTAGAATTAGTTCTTTAATGCTTTGTGAAAGCATCTGACCCTAATCCAAATTTCAGACCAGCTATCAGCAGAAGATTTCAGCAGAGTGGGACAGAATGGCCTCCAGGCTTCAGAGGTCAAGGGTTTCCTCTCCTACTGCTACAGCAACAAACTCCTTTCTTGAAATCTGGTCTCTGTTCAATGCCATGCCTCCTCTGTCACTCAAAACCAAACCTGGTTTAGGCGAAGTTCTACCTCAAGCCCTGCCCTTCACTGGCCATGAAAGGCACACGCTCTACAATCCTACTCATTTTCTTTCTTTCTTTATTTTTATGGAGACAGGGTCTCGCTCTGTCATCCACACTGGAGTGCAATGGTGCAATCATAGTTCACTGCAGCCTCAAACTCCTGGGTCCAAGCGATCTTCCTGCCTCAGCCTTCCAAGTAGCTGGGACTACAGGCTCACACTATCATACCTGGCTAATTTCGTCATTTTTATTTTTGTAGAGATGAGTATCATTGTGTTGCTAAGACTGGTCTTGAACTCCTGGCCTCAAGCAATCATCCCACCTTAGCATTCCAAAGTGCTGGGATTATGGGCATGAGCCACCATACTACTAGCCCTAGTCATTTTCTCAAAGATTATGTGTGGACACTTCTTTTAGGGGGAGACAAGGTACAGGGCAATGCTTACTTAGGCACTTTCTACAGCTTCTCTCTGCCTCAGTATTCATGCCCTATTCTATCTCAGTCCTGCATGCAGCACTTCCTACTGAGTCTGGGGCCCTATCCTTCTGAGAGAGCATGTTTATTGCTGAGCTTAACCCCTTTTCTTTCCTTGATGCACCAGTGTGGATTTCTATGAGAGTCCTCTTGCCCTGGCTGTAATGGCTTCAGATGCTTTTGGCGGCACTTAAAAATGTGGAATTCTGAGGTTTTTCTCAGCCTTTTAGTTTCACTGAAAATGTAGCTGAGACTTTTGTTTCATCTTGTTAGCCTTTGTGGTTTCCAAAAGGAGAAAAATGTTAGAATTCACAATAAAGCTGCTAAAATGTGCTACCATATTCCTACTACAAGTCCTAAGTCCACCTTTTTTTTTTTCTTTTTCTGAGAAAGAGTTTCTCTCTGTTGCCCAGGCTGGAATGCAGTGGCATGATAATGGCTCACTGCAGCTTCAACCTCCTGGGCTCTAGCAATTCTCCCACTCCAGGCTCCCAAGTAGCTGCGACTATCAGCAAATGTCACCATGCCTAGCTAATTTTGAATATTTTTTTTAGACATGGGGTCTCACTATGTTGCCCAGGCTCCAACTTCTTTTTAAGTAGCTTTTTCTTATATGGTATTTTTAAAAGCTCACATGGTAATTGAATTGCATTAAATGATCTAGGAAACTACTGTCCAATGCTGATTTGAATTATTTATTTTGGATATTATTTGTGTTGACATTTAAGCTCATTTTTCAACCAGAATACTTTGGGGCCAATTTCTCTTTCCACCAGTATATACTCAGAGAAAGCAAGCTAATTTGAATTTTAATTAGCCTAAGCAAATAAAATTAGGTAATTAAGTCTATTGCAAAGGGTTATACAAATATAACTCAAGGCAAAAATACATTCTTTGGAACACATACCACAATTTCCTGAGAATTAAAAATAAACACAATCTTTTTGGACTGCAGGGAAGACTTAAAGAAAATAAAAATTAAAAAAAAAAAACATACAAACTTTATATAAATGTCTACTACTAACCTTGTTGTCCATCTGGCATGGTCACAATGATGGGCTGACCAATTCCACTGGTTGGAATAGAGTGCAAATTTCCAAGCTGAATTCCATCTGTAACTATTGTGATGACTTGCTGACCCCCTGAACTAACTACTTGCTGAATGGCACCATCCACAGATTCTGCAGTAACTACTTCTTCTGTGGCCACTACTGGAAAAAAAAAAAAGAAAACTCAGCAAACATATGTAACGGTATGAATAGAAACCTATTTTTGCTTTGTCTGCTACTTTTGCTTTCTATGCTTCTTTCTTTTCTTTTTTCTTTTTTAAATAGAGATAGGGTCTCACTCTGATGCCCAGGCTGGAGGGTAGTGGCACAATCATGGCTCACTGCATCCTTAACTCCTGCACTCACGTAATCCTCTTGAATCAGCCTCCCAAGTAGCTGAGACTGCAGGTATGTACCACCATACCTGACTAGTTTTATTTTTTTTAGGGATGGGGTCTTGCTATGTTGGCCAGGCTGGTCTCAAACTCCTGGCCTCAAGCAAGCCTCCTGCCTTGACCTCCCAAAGTGCTGAGAATTACAAACATGAGCCACCACACCTGGTCCCCTGCTTCTTTCTTACCCAGGAAAACTTGTACATGGTTTTAAAACTCAGTCGCCAGAGGTGTTGGAGATATCTATGTAACCAGTTGATTACAAGTCTCTCATAATTTACAATACATCAGTTCCAACTATCTTTACATGTGAGTGGTTAAACAATTTCTCATTTGGTTGTATGAGGTACAAAATTTAGATCTAATATCATGACAAAGGTTATATCTGTTTCGTAAAACCTCACAATTCAGTCGGGTGCTGGTGGCTCAGGTCTGTAATCCCAGCACTTTGAGAGGCTGAGGCGGGAGGATCACTTGAGGTCAGGAGTTCGGGACTAGCCTGGCCAACATGGCAAAACCCTGTCTCTACTAAAAATACAAAAATTAGCTGGGACTGGTGGTGCATGCCTATAACCCCAGCTACTCAGGAGGCTGAGGCAGGAGAATTATTTGAACCCAGGAGGCAGAGGTTGCAATGAGAAGAGATCATGCCACTGCCCTCTACACTGGGCAACAAAACAAGACCCTGTCTCAAAAAAAAAAAAAAATCCACAATTCATAAGATGAATTTGAATATGATTATACTCCATTTACATTTATGTGTGAGTTGACATACAGAATAAAGAGTATTCTCTTTTTGGATTAAGTGAGCAAGGATTTGCCTTGATAATAAGTGGCATACAGATGTGGTACTATGTGATAGTAAATAGTGTATGTTAACATTTCCACAAATAAAATCCCCAAATATGCTCTTAATAATTTATGAAAGCCTTAGAGAGGATTCTGGCAGCTCAAGCAGCACCTGTGGCCTTGTCTGGGTAGAGAAATCACAAGTTAATACTGCCAAAATCCTTTCTCACAGGCAATCCTACACCCAACTACTGATCCCAAAAGACATGTAGAAGAATATACATGGTAGCTTTATTCATACTAGTAAAAAACTACAAACAACGCAGATATTCTTTGATAATAAATTAACAATGGTAGAGTCAAACACAGCAATTTGACTATATGCAAAACATGGATGAACCTGACAAAAAACAAAACTGAGTGATGTAAACCAGACACAAAAGAATATGTACTGTCTACCTTCCATTTATGAACTGAGCAATGTTTACACAATGTTTACAATTATCCTATGTAAACCCTTTGTGATAATTCCTCAAACTGTACACTTATAATCTATAAACATTTCTGTACATTAAACCTCACTTCAATAAGAAAGCATCAAAAGGAATGATAGTAATGGATTACTATCCATTGAATTTTTTTTTTTTTTGAGACGAAATCTCACTCTGTCACCCAGGTTGGAGAGCAGTGGCGTGATCTCAGCTCACTGCAACATCCGCCTCCCGAGTTCAAGCGATTCTTCTGCCTCAGCCTCCCAAGTAACTGGGAATACAGGTGTGTGCCACCACGCCTGGTAATTTTTTTTTTTTTTTTGTATTTTTAGTAGAGACGGGTTACACCATATTGGCCAGGCTGGTCTTGAACTCCTGACCTTGTGATCCGCCTGCCTTGGCCTCCCAAAGTGCTAGGATTACAGGCGTAAGCCACCACGCCCAGCCTGAATTTTAAAAAATCTTTCTATCTGGCTCATGCCTATAATACCAGCACTCCAGGAGGCCGAGGCAGGATGATCACTTGAGCCCAGGAGTTCAAGACCAGCCTGGGTAACACAGTGAAAAACTGTCTACAAAAAATTTAAAAATTAGCCAGGTTTGGTGTTTTACACCTGTAGTCTCAGCTACTTGGGAGGCTAGGGTGGGAAGATCCCTTGAGCCTGGGAGGTTGAGGCTGCAGTGAGCAGTGATCACATCACTGCACTCCAGCCTGGGTGACAGAGTGAGACTCTGTCTCAAAAAAAAAAAAAAAAAATTCTATCTATAATAATACCTCATAAAAAGGAGAGAAAGGAGGAAATGGGAAAGATATTCCTGATAGAAAGACATCTAGTTAACATTTAAAAAATGACAAGTTAAGATAAATCATTGCGGCCGGGCGCGGTGGCTCATGCCTGTAATCCCAGCACTTTGGGAGGCCAAGGCGGGCGGGTCAGGAGATCGAGACCACATTGAAACCCCGTCTCTACTGAAAATACAAAAAATTAGCCGGGCGCGGTGGTGGGCGCCTCTAGTCCCAGCTACTCGGGAGGCTGAGGCAGGAGAACGGTGTGAACCCGGGAGGCGGAGCTTGCAAGTGAGCTGAGATCACGCCATTGCACTCCAGCCTGGGCGACAGAGTGAGACTCCATCTCAAAAAAAAAAAAAAAAAAAAAAAGATAAATCATTGTAACTTCTAATGTAATAATTCATTCAAGCAAGGATCGGTAGTGGGTGCTAAAAGCATTGATAAAATCTTTTGGGGAAACAGGATATTCAAATGTTCTCAAAGTATCCCACCAAAGATTACTATTAGTTGCAAAGGGGAAAATCTACCTGAAAAGACCCGGCAGTCATCATTCTACCAAGTGGTCATTATCAGGATGGGCTGATATTATGAGCCTCCTTACGTGATACACTGGGAGGTTACAAAAATTCACTGGTGTTCTTCCTGGAAATGTCTGAACTAAATCTGACTATACACGACATTTGGAGGACAACTTGAAAATGGACCATATGTCAGATAATTTTTTTTAATTAATGTTGATGTTTTTAGAAAATAAAATGGAGCTGTGGATATGTAGAAGGCCATCCTTATTCTTGAGAGATACATGCCAAAGTAAAGGTGAAGTATCATGATGTCTCCAGCCTACTTTCATATAACTTAGCAAAATAAAAGTGTGTATATGTGTGTGTGTGTGTGTGTGTGTACATGCACACATGTGTCAGAGAACATATGGGCATGCCAAGATGTTAACAGCTGGTGAATACAGGTGAAAGTTATACAGGTTCATCCTCCAATTTTTCTGTGGGTTTGAAAACTGTCTACATATAAAAAAAAAATTATAACTAGTTCAAAAAGAGGAATGACATTAAAAATTATTTCTAAATGGCATGGTTTTTAATGTATTTACACATTACAAAAGTGCAATTACAAAAAGTGTAATTTTACAAAAAGTGTAATTAAATAAAACCACTCTCTACTAAAATCAAGCTACCATCCATATACACAGTTGCTCTGAAATATGCTGAGTTTCTATCAACTCACAGTATGGCATCATGGATATCAGTGATCACAGGATTTACTAAGACAGAAAGGCCATAAATATAGGAACTGCTTTTTTTTTAAGGCAGGAAAAATACTAGGAAACTAGTTTTCAAGATGTACTCAACAGGCCTGGCTTCAACTCTGTTACTGTGTTACTTAGTAATCAAGGATCACAATACAAACCACAGAACACTCAAAATGCAAACAACCTTTGTTTTGAGCTCTCTTGTAATTTTTGTTTACCTTAAACTATAATTAGGTTTTATCACCAAGCACTTAAGAAAATTTCAGGAAGATAATTACAAAATGAAATGTAGGACATAAAATAGTAATATATTCAACAGAGCTACTACTAGGATTTTCAAACGCATTAAGTATTGCTTTGATTTTTTCAAAAACTATCCATATGAAAAAGAAATATTCACTTGAACTGAATGCTAACTACAGATAGTAAATATTTTAAAGCATAATCATATGTAAGAAATTTCTAAGATCACACACAAGGCACAATTCAAGAACTTTCATCTTTGCACTATTTGCAATGACTGTTATTAAAATAATAGAGTTCTTGCCTTTCATCTAAAAAGCTTTCTTTTTAAGTTGTGCTATGGTAAGATATTTAAGAAAAATTAAAAGGAAACAAATTACGTAAGACAAAGTGCCCCCCAGAAGCCTTAAGAACAATCTAACAGTAAAATGTTGAAACACTAAAAGAGAAAGCCTAAAAACTCTTAAAAGATTATTGATTTTAAAAAATAGATTTATATTCCAAAACATAAAGCTCCCTGGATAAAAAATAACTATAACATAAATATTCATTGATCTGATTCAAAAGTCAAGTTGTAATATTTAAAGAAAACCTAGATAATCTGCAGCACCTTTGACGACATCTGAGATCTCTTGTTCAATAAGAATTCTGAATTCAGATGCCATACAAATGAAATAAGGGAAGAAAACTGTCTTTGAAATGTCCTAAAAGATTGAAAATTCTACATAGAAACATTTAAATAATAAAATAGAAACTATGGACCGGGAGCAGTGCTCATGCCTGTAATCTCAGCACTTCAGGAGGCCAAGGCAGGTGGATCACAAGGTCAAGAGATCGAGACCATCCTGGCCAAGATGGTGAAACCCCGTCTCTACTAAAAATACAAAAATTAGCTGGGCGTGGTGGCACGTGCCTGTAGTCCCAGCTACTCAGGAGGCTGAGGCAGGAGAATGGTGTGAACCTGGGAGGAGGCAGAGCTTGCAGTGAGCCGAGATCATGCCACTGCACTCCAGCCTGGGCAACAGAGCAAGACTCCGCCTCAAAAATAAATAAATAAAATAAAATGGAAACTATATTCATTGAAGAAAAAATAAACTTTTCGAAGGTATTATGGTGGCAGTTTAACCTGAAATTAAAAACAAAAAAGCAAAAACAAAACAAAACAACCTCATGAGGCCCCATACATACCCCTTAAAGCCAATTGAGTTGTATCACCCTATTTTTGATATAGACCAAAAAACAATGTGCAAAACAGACCTGGTTCAAATTTCACTTTTAGGGAGAAAAAGAAGGAACTTTTTTATTTTTATTGTTTTTCTTTTTTTAACCCCTGTTTTGACACATAAGAAAAGAGGGAACTTTTAAAGCCACCAGATGCATTACACCTTTGGAAAAACCACTTTATTAGTAATTACCAGAAGTTGCTCTAAAGACAAAAAAGAAGGGTGGTCACTGATGTGTATTTAATCAAGGTATTATACAGTTGTACCACAAGGAAGAATAAAGCTAAGCAAAGGAAAGTTGCTATAGGACTACAGGCTAGAGCTACAAAATAAGAGACGTATGAAAAAATATTTTTAAAGGGCCAGATAACTACACTACAGATGTAAGGCCTACATCTTAACCAATCACAGCTTCTAATTCTATATCCCAAATAACCCTCGAATCTATTCAATTATTGTCTCTGTCAAATCTTCATTCATGCTATCATTATGATAACTCTTCCCTGGTTGACTGCATTAGATTCCAAACAAAACTCCCTTCCAAAGCATTCTTCTAAACCTGCCAAAGTGATCATTTTTAAAGTCCTATATAATCTCACCTTCAACCACCTTGAGTGACTCTTCCACTTACTGGGTTTAGATGCACTGGCCTCTGGGTCCCCTAAAAAGTCAAGCTCTTTCCTGCCTCAAAAGCTTCACATGTCCCTCTTGCTAAAATGTTCTTCCCCAAACTTTTCCCTACTAACGCCTACTTTAATTTTCAGTTTAAATGTTTCTTCCTCTAGGAAGATTCCATGACACTAGAGTGGCCTGTAAACCTTAGAAGAAAGACAGGAAAATGTGATTGCTTCTGTATACTAATAAATAATGTACTACATGGTGGTAGTTTTCCTCATAAGAAAATACATATCTGTAATTCCCAAAAAAAAAAAAAGCTTTCACTTTTTTGTCTATTCATTTTGGAATGACTTTCAAAATGAAAATCACACAAAATGGTATGAGTTGGAATGAGTTCCAAAAAATCTAAATCTTACCCATTCTTTAGGGCACAACTCAACACATTCCCCTCCACCACACCCACCCCCAACTCCAGCTAAAAGTAATCTCTTTCCAGTGAACAATAACAGTAATTCAATGAGCTATTTTAATCATCAAGCACTGACAACCTGCTGTTATATTTGCTTATAACATCAAGAAAAGACAGAGGTATCATTTGATTTCTCAATGAAAATATTATAATAGACATTGTAAGGTTCTCATAGGACTACCATTAAAATGTGTGGTATATGTCAAAAATGGTACTAACGTCATTTCCATTTTCTAATGGAAAGTCAATTCCATTAGACATGAAGGTGCTATTTAAAGCCATAATTCCTGAGTGAAATGGCATGGTACCCTGGACTATCACAATTGCCTTCTCTTTATATATAGGACCATGCCAACCAGCTAGTTTCCATTTAAAATATAGTCCATCTGCTGCTACATTCTGGCTGTTTTGTAACCAGGAAAAATGTGTATTGTACCACTTAGCTAGTAAAAGAAAAGAATATGAGCAGGAACAATGAGTGTACTGATGGAGCTTACACTATATTTTGGTCAACATCATTTAAAAAGGTCAAAAAAGTAGCAGAACACTTATTTCAACAGACTACCTATTACTAGAAAAAGCTATAGAAACAGATACATCCCAAAAGTAATAGCGACGCTCTTGCTTAAAATAAGATAAAATGAAAATTACACAAATAATTCAATATTGTGTAATTCAAATATCTCAAACCAAATTATAAACGTTCTAAAAGAGCCCAGAGATCATGTGAATAAACTGCATAGGAGAGATGGTACATTATAGAGGTCACAGACATATACCTTGGGAATCAGTCAGACTGACCAAATCCTCCTTTCTCTACTTAATAGCCATATGCCCTTTGATAAAATTATTCAACCTCCACAACCTCCAATTCAACCTGTTTCATTATATATAAAATGGAGGTCCCACTAATGTATTTTCCAGATTCTAACAAGCCCTTGAAAAGATATATATAAACATTTCGAGAATCAGGATGAGTCTGACGATAGATTTTAAAGAAACTGGACAGCCAGAAATCAGAGAAATAATCTGTGGTAGATTTAGCTTTGCCTGAGTATGTGCAAATTGAGCTTTAAGTTGTTTACTCTGGTGGTAACATACTTAAACTTTAACTTAATTCTTTTTTTTTTTTTTTTTTTTTTTGAGACAGAGTCTCCCTGTGTTGCCCAGGCTGGAGCACAGTGGCACAATCTTGGCTCACTGCAACCTCCACCTCTGAGGTTCAAGCGATTCTCCTGTCTCAGCCTCCCGAGTAGCTGGGATTACAGGCATACGCCACCACATCCGGCTAATGTTTGTATTTTTAGTAGAGATGGAGTTTCACCATGTTGGCCAGGCTTGTCTTGAACTCCTGACCCCAAATGATCCACCCACCTCGGCCTCCCAAAGTGCTGGGATTACAGGTGTGAGCCACTGAGCCCACCCATTACTTCTTTTTTTTTTTTGAGATGGAGTCTTGCTCTGTCACCCAGGCTGGGGTGCAGTGGCACAATCTCGGCTCACTGCAACCTCTGCCTCCCAGGTTCAAGCCATTCTCCTGCCTCAGCCTCCCCAGTAGCTGGGATTACAGGGGCACACCACCACACCCAGCTAATTTTTGTGTTTTTAGTAGAGACAGGGTTTCAGAAACATGTTGGCCAAGCTGGTCTTGAACTCCTGACCTCGTAACCTGCCCACCTCAGCCTCCCAAAGTACTGGTATTACAGGAGTGAGCCTGCGCTCCCGGCACTTCTTTTTAAGTAAGCTTTTAAAATATCTTCAAAAAGATTCCACTATGGGCCGGGTGCAGTGGCTCACACCTGTAACCTCAGCACTCTGAGAGGCCGAGATGGACAGATCAGAAGTTCGAGGCCAGCCTGGCCAACATGGCGAAACCCCATCTCTACTAAAAATACAAAAATTGGCTGAGAGTGGTGGCGTGTGCCTGTAATCCCAGCTACTCAGGAGGCTGAGGCAGGAGAATCGCTTGAACCCAGGAGGCGGAGGCTTCAGTGAGCCAAGATCACGTCACTGCACTCCAGCCTGGGGTGACAGAGTGAGACCCTGTCTCCAAAAAAAGATTCCACTGTGATGTCATATTGAAATGAAAAATTATTGTGCTCATAGAAGATTTTAAGTCACATGCAATAAAAACTAACTGAAATTACTAATTCTCTCAGACTAGACCAAAACATTTTCAAAGGTTAAGAGAAGTTAGAGAAATTGGTGTGGCCATTTCATGGAGTCACACATTTAAATGTCAAAATTTCCAGCTGACTTAGAAGAAAAGCCGTTTTACTTTCAGATATATGTGTTTTTGTTTTCGTTTTTGTTTTTTTGTTTTTGAGACAAGGTCTTGGTCTGTCACCCACGCTGGAGTATAGTGGCGCGATCACAGCTCACTGCTACCTCTGCTTCCAAGGCTCAAGTGATCCTCCCACCTCAGCCTCCCAAGTAGCTGTGAACACAGGCACCTGCCACCATGCCCAGCTAATTTTTTCTGTAGAGACAGGATTTTGCCACGTTGTCCAGGCTGGTTTTGAACTTCTGAACTCAAGTGATCTGCCACCCTTAGCCTCCCAAAGTACTAGAATTATAGGCATGAGCCACCACACCCGGCCAGAGGTAAGTTATTTAATTAAAGAAAAGAAATTTACAAGTTTAACCAAATAGAAACCACCAATGAAATCAGTTTTCTTTGCTATGCTTCTGCAATTACATAAGTATTAAATAGATCCAGGCATAGGTTATAAAAGCAGCATGTTAGTATGATGATGCATATAACTGCTAATGGCCAAAAGTGATTCATACAAATCTTAAGACTCCCAAATATAAAGGCTTGGATTCAAACTTAGATTATAATGCTACAGAAGCTAAAGAATGGATAAATGTTATTTTCAAAAAGAGGCTGGGCACAGTGGCTCATGCCTGTAATCCTAGCACCTTGGGAGGCCGAGGAAGGCAGATCACTGAGGTGAGGAGTTCGAGACCAGCTTGGCCAACATGGTGAAACCCCGTCCCTACTAAAAATACAAAAAATAGCTGGGTGTGGTGGTGCATGCCTGTAATCCCAGCTACTGGGGAGGCTGAGGCAGGAGAACTGCTTGAACCTGGGAGATGGAGGCTGCAGTGAGCCAAAACTGTACCACTGTACTCCAGCCTGTGTGACAAAATGAGACTCCATGTCAAAAAAAAAAAAAAAGAAAGAGAAAAGAAAAGAAAAAGAGAAAAGAAAAAGGTAGCATTCCCCCAACTCCTCCAAGTCAAGAATATTACAGTAATATCCACCTTAAAGCTTTCTGGTGAGGAATAAATGAGATTATAAGTAAAATATTTATCACAGTGCCTAGCAGAGAGAGTAAGCATTTGATGAAATGTTGTTATTATTGATCAAATTTTGAAAAAACACTAATTTAAAAAATGAATGACAAATTATTCTTTGCTTTTATAAGCACTGAACCAAATATAATGGCTTAAGCTACAGAAAAATATTTTCTTGGAATTTAAAAAATTTCCTAATTAAATTTTACCGACATAATAATTACATCAAGAAGTATTTTGGTTAAGTATAAAGGTAAATCTTGTATAAACCAAATGTTCATGAATACTGTTTGTCATCATTTAACAACAGGTAACCCTTTCATTTCTTTTTGAGACAGAGTTTTGCTCTTGTTGCCCAGGCTGGAGTGCAATGGCGTGATCTCGGCTCACCGCAACCTCCACCTCCCGGGTTCAAGCCATTCTCCTGCCTCAGCCTCCCGAGTAGCTGGGATTACAGGCATGGGCCACTACGCCTGGCTAATTTTGTATTTTTAGCAGAGACGGGATTTCTCCATATTGGTCAGGCTGGTCTCGAACTCCTGACCTCAGGTGATCCACCCGCCTCAGCCTCCCAAAGTGCTGGGCTTACAGGAGCAAGCCACCGCACCCAGCCAGGTAACCCTTTAACAGTGGTTTCTGTATACTATTTCCTAGTTCTATCAGTCATTAAGATTTTATAACACTCTAGTAGAGCTGCTAAAAATTAAAATTTATGAAAAAAGTGTTTTTTGGTTTTGGGTTTTTTTTTTGAGGCAGGGTCTCATTCAGTCGCCTAGGCTGGAATGCAGTGGCATGATCTTGGCTCATGGCAACCTCTGCCTCCCAGGTTCAAGCGATCCTCTGACCTCAGCCTCCTGAGCAGCTGGGACCACAGGAGTGGACCACCACACCTGACTAATTTTTATATTTTTTGGTAGAGATAGGGTTTCACCATGTTGCCCAGGGTTCTGGGCTCAAGCAATCCACCTATCTTGGCCTCTCAAAGTGTTAGGATTACAGGTGTGAGCTACCATGCCCAGCCAAAGTGAGTTGTTTAAACAAAAAGTCACAAACTAGTAAATCAAGAGCCAAATTAGAGACAGGGACATTTTTTTCTGTGAGCCACACAAGTTTTGTTTTTCAATTAGTTACCAAGATTTAATGTTCTTTTAAAATCCAGATTCACAGCTTCCTATTAAAAAACAGAATTTGGGAATACTGGACTGATGACTATAATCAGCTAGAGTTGAGTCACAGATGCCTCCCTGCCCTTGCCCCATTCTTCAGCCGGGTGTAATCTCAATCCTGCCCACTTTAGCCTTTTATTGTCTTCCTGGCCTTTGTAAATATTTGAATCTGCAACTGTTTTTGGTTTTTTTTTTTTTTTTTTTTTTTTGAGACAGAGTCTTGCTCTATCACCCAGGCTGGAGTGCAGTGGCACAAACTCAGCTCACTGCAGCCTTCACCTCCCGGGTTCAAGCAATCCTCCTGCCTCAGCCTCCCGAGTAGCTGGGATTACAGGCCATGTGCCACCACGCCTGGCTAATTTTCTGTATTTTTAGTAGAAACAGAGTTTCACTATGTTGTCCAGGCTGGTCTCAAACTCCTGAGCTCAGGCAATCCACCCGCCTCGCCCTCCCAAAGTGCTAGGATTACAGGTGTGAGCCACGGCACCCAGCCTGAATCTGCAATTTTAATGTACACATTAGACTCGTTTTTCTAACCTGGAGTTTCTGAAGAATTGGACAATGGAGCAGATGCTTCAGCTAAGGCAGCTAATGTAGCTAATACTGATGTAGAAGAGTTTCCAAACTGAACAGCAGATACACCCGTTTCATCTGTAAGAAAAAAGAAAATAGATTTGAATTTCTAAGGAGCTTAATCCAATGCATATTTCTGATATTCTATTTATCTTACTGACTCTTAAACAAAGCTTGGATAGCATTAGCTTTTGAAAGGTAATACTGCAGTAAATTTTGTAATATCACCTTTCTTCAGATTGTTTTGTCTCATAAAAATCTTTTTGCCAGTTATACCAAAGAAAACAAAGGTGGCTGATAGAATCTTACCCTCATTCTCCAACCGTCCTTTCTTACAAGGATGAATACCTACTAAAGCATAAAATCCCAAAGCCTATCCTATATGCATCTCAATACCTGTTGCCTTGGATGAATTTTCTGAAGATACCAGACCTGTTAGGTTCACCACCCCTCCAGGTCCAATGATAAACTGTGGTGTTGCAGCATGTATTGTCACAGTGTCAGGACTCTCTGGGTTTGTGTTGATTTGGTTCTGCATAGCAATCTAGGGAAAAAATGACCACAGTGTTTTCAGAATTATAACCAGAACATATAGCACAAATTCTCCATATAATACAAACACATATAAAGGAGTATTCTCTAAGAAGAATCACATAGTACAAGTGGAAATATTTGTCTAAGGTCCACTGACAGTGTAGGGGCACATCATGGGTATATATTTATATCCCAAGTCCCCCTCTTAGGTAAAGCAGCAAAATCCTGGGAGAGGAGAAACGAGTATCTAAAAGGTTTTTAACAGAACACAGAACAACTGGACATTAAGCTGGCTGAGGTGGCAGGTGCCTGTAATCCCAGCTATTCAGGGGGCTGAGGCAGAAGGAGTGGTTAAGCCCAGGAGTTCAAGACCAGCATGGGCAACATAGTGAGACCCCCATCTCAAAAAACAAAAACAAAAACAAAACAAACAAAAAATATTTCTGCCCTGTAGCTATAGGAATTTAATTATTTCTTCTACGTTTGGCAATACATAATACCACATATATAAAGCATGTCCTTCTCAATTAATTGTTCCCCATCTTCAACTCCAACCCCCAAACTGCACTCTTAGGAGTAAAAGGAATGAAAAGAGGCATGGTAGAATTCATTTTCCTGAACATAAAACATCTTTTAAGTAACTAGTGGAAGCTCAAAGGAGTCAGATAGTCTTAGAAAAGAAGAGTTCTACTGCTGGGATTGGGAACAAACAGGCAAGAAGAGGCAGTAATTAAAGAAGATAATTTATATTATGTCATCTGGCTGAAAATAAGAGAAGTAATGTTGGTTACTAGAAAAATCTTCCCAAAAGCCAAAAACAACAGATATTTTTGAGGATGCTGAAAGATAAAAGAAACAAATCAAACTGCATCACTCACTCAAGGAATGATATTATGGTTGCTAATATATATGTTTTTTAATTTTTATAAAGTCATTTATAGTAGACTTGGAAAAACCATATAGTATCAAAATGCAACAAAAATAATAGAATAAAATGTCTAGGGCCAGGCGCAGTGGCTCACGCCTGTAATCCCAGCACTTTGGGAGGCCGAGGCAGGCAGATCGCCTGAGCTCAAGAGTTCAACACCAGCCTGGGCAACATGATGAAACACCATCTCTACTTAAAACACAAAAAATTAGCCAGGCATGGCAGCATGCACCTGTAGTCCCAGCTATTTGAGAGGCTGGGGCAGGAGAATTGCTTGAACCCAGGAGGCAGAAGTTGCAGTGAGCCAAGATCGTGCCACTACACTCCAGCCTGGGGGACAGATCAAGACTCTGGCTCAAAAAAAAAAAAAAAAAAAAAAAAAAGGTCTAAAGGGAAATTCAGAAACTTAAAAAACAGAAAGTAATCACCTTATCTAATGTTAATGAAGAGACTGGCCTTATAATCAAGAAAATGAATAGTAATAAACAAAGAGGAAGTGAAAGAGAAAAAGGCCTATCCAAAATAACTAAGTCCAAAATGAAAGGCTACAAACAATAGTTTAAATCATGCACAATATAAGAGATCCCTCTACTGATAAGGCTTCTTTTTCTTTATTTTCTTAAATTAAAAGCCAAAAGTTACCTGTAATATCTCTGCTAAATCTTCATTTCCATTGTCTATTGAAATATCAAATGCAGTTTTACAAAATTTACTTTGCGTGTGTACATCAGCACCATATTTGATTAAAAGTTCCACCACCTCTTGATGATTGTGTTCTGTGGCCCAATGGAGAGCTGTCATCTTTAACATGTCCTTTGCATTGACATCAGCACCATGCTACAAAAATATTTCAAAGAGTTTACTAAAATATGAAATATCACATAAAAAATTCCTGATATGAAATTATTAGTTCTGTGCTTTAAAGCAAGAACAAATAATGTAGTCAATTATTTATATGTATATGTTAAATAGATGTTCCAGGCCAGGTGCAGTGGCTCACGCCTGTAATCCCAGCACTTTGGGAGGCCGAGGCGGTTGGATCAGCTGAGCTCAGGGGTTTGAAACTAGCCTGGGCAATATGGCAAAACCCCATCTCTACAATACAAAAAATTAAGGGCCGGACATGGTGGCTCACACCTGTAATCCCAGCACTTTGGGAGCCCAAGGCAGGCGGATCACAAGGTCAGGAGTTCGAGACCAGTCAAGCCAATATGGTGAAACCCCATCTCTACTAAAAATACAAAAATTAGCTGGGCATGGTGGTGGGCGCCTGTAGTCCCAGCTACTCGGGAGGCTGAGGCAGGAGAATCACTTGAACCCAGGAGGTGGAGGTTGCAGTGAGCTGAGATCGTGCCACTGCACTGCAGCCTGGGTGACAGAGATTCTGTCTCAAAAAAAAAAAAAAAACAAAAAGAAAAAATGCTGTAGTCCCTCATCATAAGATAGACCAAGGTCCAAGAAATCAATTAGCTGATTTAACTAAGAATATACCTAAATGAAGTTTTGTCCCTCATGAAATGAAAGCTATAAGACAATTTTCATTTAATGGGCTTATACACACAAAAAATGAAATACTATAGATAAAATACTAAGTAGGCATTTAACAAAAACTAGTTCCCTCTCCTTCTTATAAAACCGTAAAGTATTTTAAAAGCAAAGTGCAAAAAGAGAACACATACCTTAAGTAAAACCTCTACTATGCTGGCATGGCCCTCAGAAGCTGCCATATGTAATGGTGTTCGGTCCACTTTGGTTCTGGCATCTCTGCTCACACCAGCTCGCAGCAGTACCTCTGTGGTGGAATAATGACCATACTGTGCTGCTAGATGAAGTGGAGAAGTTCCCAGCTGTACCACAGAAAAAAAAAAAAATCCACATTTACATTATTGTTACTACACTTCTGTTTATATAGTAAACAGATTTTCTTTACATTATCTGTTTACATAGCAACTCAAAACTCAAAAGAAATGCCTAGATTCATGCTTATCACATCCTCTTCATAGACATCTTGAAGAATTCCCAAACACTCTCAATGAAGAAGAAAATCCAGTATTTCCTTTAATTCAAACTTTCTTTCTTCATTATTTTTTATCAGATAAACTGCCTGAACAAAATTAATTTCATTAGAAATTAAGATATAGAGGCCGAACGTGGTGGCTCACGCCTGTAATCCCAGCACTTTGGGAAGCCAAGGCGGGTGGATCACTTGAGGTCAGGAATTCAAGACCACCCTGGCCAACATGGTGAAACCCCATCTCTACTAAAAATACAGAAATTAGCCAGGCGTGGTGGCATGTGCCTGTAATCCCAGCTACTCAGGAGGCTAAGGCAGGAGAATCGCTTGAACCCAGGAGGCAGAGGTTGCAGTGAGCCGAGATCGCGCCACTGCACTCCAGCCTGGGTGACACAGCGAGATTTTGGTCTAAAGAAAAAAAAAAAAAAAAGAAATCAGAGATAGAGTTTGAGAAATTTTTCTGTGTATTAGAATGTATTCCTCATACCAATCACACAAAACTTGCTAAGTTAACTTCGTCTGTAAAATTCATCTCAAATAAATGTAACAGTGTACATTTTTACTTTAAGTGGATCAAAATTGTTTTGTAGGTCTTAAAAAATTCACGTATTGAAACATCTCAGTGATCTTTTTAAAGGGATTTTTTTCAAAGGAAAAATCTTAGGTGCATTTGCCAAAGTTGAATCAGGACAAAACCAAAACAGAGCCCAATTCTCCTGAAATTGGTTCCATGTGGTCTAGTCATTAAATTGACATCCACAATACACAGAGGGAGTACTAAAATGTGAGGGAAGGAAGATTAAGTTCTATCACATGCATTTAAAGGCACAGAAAATCCCTATAACCCTCTGATTACCACATCACTTGATATTCCAAAGAACTAAGATATTTGGACTAAGGAAATTTACACATATAAACAGTTTATTATGTTATGAAGAGATTAAGTGAGATATATGTATAAAGGTCCTTAGTCCTATCTCTCTATCTATCTATCTATAGATAGAGAGATAGATATATTTTTTGTTTGTTTGTTTGTTTAATTGTTGTTTGTTTAATTAGAGACAGGGCCTCACTGTGTTGCCCAGGCTGGGGTGCAATGGATATTCATAGGTACAATTATCACACACTACAGCTTTGAACTGCTGGGCTCAAGCAATCTGTCCACCTCAGCCTCCAGAGTAGCTGGGACTACAGGCACACACCAACAAACCCAGCTAAACCTTACATTTTTAAGAGAAGGTCATCCCAGCAGATCAAAGAAGATCCTTAAACAATCCTTTCTTTCTCCATGCTTTGTCAATTTTTCTTTAACTAGCCTTTTCTATACTCTTAAATTTCAGTATTTAATGAAAATATCTCAACAGCCCATTTAGCAACCAGGAGCTTTGCTCAGTTTGACATTAGGATCTACTTTTTTATTTTTGTCTTCTGAGACTTTCCCTTCTTGGTTATTGACACAAAATATATATACATATATGCAGGGTTTTTTGTTTTTTTCTGAGACAGGGTCTCACTCTGTCACTCAGGCTGGAGTCCAATGGGGTGATCACAGCTCACTGTACCTTCAAACTTCTGAGCTCAAGCGATCCTCCTCCCTCAGCCTCCCGAAGTGCTGGGATTATGGATATGAGCCACCACACCTGGCCATGTAGTTTTTGTAGCTTTTTGGGTTTTTTTTTATTCATTTTTTTAGAGTCAGCTTCTTGCTCTGTCGCCCAGGCTAGAATGCAGTGGAGCTATCGTAGCTCACTGTAACCTCTAACTCCTAGGCTCAAGCAATCCTCCCATCTCAGCCTCCAGAGTAGCTAGGACTACAGGCTGAGCCACCATGCCTGACTAATTTTTTTCTTTTTGTTTGAGATGGGGTCTATGTTGCCCATGCTGGTCTTGAACTTCTGGCCTCAAATAATCTGCCACCTCAGTCTCCCAAAGTGCTGGGATTACAAGCGTAAGCCACTGTGCTCAGCCAATATATGTAGTTTAAGGCAAACACCTGTGAATCAACACCATAGTCTAGAAATAAAACACTGCCAGTAATTTAAAATCTGGCCAGGCGCAGTGGCTCACGCCTGTAATCCCAACACTTTGGGTGGCCAAGGCAGGTGGATTGCCTGAGGTCAGGAGTTCGAGACCAGCCTGGCCAACATGGTGAAACCTCATCTACTAAAAATAAAAAATTAGCTGGGTGTGAGGGTGGGCGCCTGTTATCCCAGCTACTTCGGTGCCTGAGGCAGGAGAATCACTTGAACCCGGGAGGCAGAGGCTTCAGTGAGCCAAGATCATGCCACTGCACTCCAGCCTGGGCAACAGAGCGAAACTCTGTCTCAAAAAAAAAAAAAAAAAAATCTTCCCACATGCCACTCCCTGATCACAAGCCCCTCCCCCAGCCCCAGAGGTAACTAATATTTTGAATTTTGTGACAAGCATTACTTAGTTTTCTTTGTATCACTTATCCCTAAAAAATATACTTTGGTTTTGCCTGTTTTGAGTTTTATTTAAACAGAATTATACTGCATGTATTTCTCTGTGACTTGCCTTCTTTTGCTTGACACTGTATTCATGAGATTCACCATGTTAATAACTGTAAGTATAGCTTACTAATTTTCTGTGTTCTATAATATTCCATTGAATGAGTAAACCACAATTAATTTAACCAATCTACTGATGAACATTTAGATTGTTTCCAGTTTTTGTGTTATTATGAATAATGTTGCTGCTAAATACAGTAGTCTTGTATATGTTTCAGGCACATGAACAAGTCTTCTCTCGGGAATAGTCTTAGAAGCCCAACTGCTACATCATATACTATGCACATCTCCAAATTTACTATGTGCTGCCAAACTGTCTTCCATAACGATTATACCAATTCCATACTTCCACCAAAAATATTTGAGAGTTCCCACCATCTCCTCACCAAGCCTTGGTACTGCTCAACTGTTTTTGCTAATCTGGTGGATATATAATAGTATTTCATGATTTTACTTTGCATTTGCCCCAATTTTAATGTAGTTGAGTATCTTTTCATGTTTATTGATCAAACTTTCTCCTTGGTAAAGCACCATATCCAGTCAGTCTTCTATTGCCTTGTCTTTTTATTGCTAACCCATGGGAATTCCTTATGTATTATGGATACTAATCCTTCTTAAGATCTTTCTGTCTTTGGGAGGCCGAGGCGGGCTGATCACGGGGTCAGGAGTTCAAGACCAGCTGGCCAACATATTGAAACCCCATCTCTACTAAAAATACAAAACATTAGCTGGGCTTGGTGGTGGGTGCCTGTAATCTCAGCTACTTGGGAGGCTGAGGCAGGAGAATCACTTGAACCCGGCAGGCGGAGGTTGCAGTGAGCCGAGACTGAACCATTGCACTCCAGCCCAGGCAACAGTGTGAGACTCCATCTCAAAAAAAAAAAAAAAGATCTTTTTGTCTTGAGGTACTACAGCATCACTATGATATATCTAGATATAGATTAGTTTTTAAATTGATCCTGCTGGAGATTTGTTAGGCTACTCAAATCTGTGGGCTGCCATCTTTCATCAGTTCTGGAAAATTCTCAGCAATTACCTCTTTGAATTATTTCATCCCTATTTTTGCTCTTTTTGTGGATCTATGATCAGATGTTAGACTTTCTCACATGATCCTTCATGATTCCTAACATCTCTTTTACATTTTCTATCTATTTTTATCTGTGACATAGTCTGGATCATTTTTTTTTTCATACCTTTCAGTTTACTAATTTTCTCTTTAGCTGTTTCTAATCTGTTACTAAAATTTTATCTCAAGTCCTTATAGGTCTGCTTCTGTTGACAGTTGTTTTAGCAGATTACTGTCCAAATTGGCATGTGTTCATGTGTTTAGTTATTTCTGACTGCTCACTTTCCTTTGAATTTCATTTGTGGATATGAAGCCTGGGATGAAGGCAGGTTCCTCCAGAGCAGATATTCATTTGCTTCTGTCAAGAGCCTGGGGTAATCCCTAGTCCAAAGATCACTTCAAATTCATTTCTCAGTTTACAGTTTTTTAGACTACACAAGTATTTATGAGTTCAGGCTGCAAGTGTGTAAAAAGGATGCCTTGTGATTCCAAATTCTCACCATCAGATTGTTTTCCTCTCTCCATTTGATGTCTTGGTTCACATCAGCTTATTATCTTTGCAGCATCACGGCAACAGGGGCAAGGGCAGGAGCAGACAGGAGGAGGGACAGGGTATTCCTGCTTTATCCCTACACTGAAGGTGCAGCTCTTTGGGATTCCAGAATTATGAGATAAGATCTCCTATCAGACTTCTCTCCATGAACACTCTCAGGTCTTTAGCTTTAGTACCCCAAGCCAGTGAGGTGGAAAAACCACCAGACAAGTGTGAGTTCACCTAATGTTCTTTAGGGTAAAATTTCTCTGGGTTCTTGCCTTCACTTAGTTTTTCAGGTTGATAATCTCTTTCTTTCTAATTCAGCAGTGTACTTAAGAAGACTTTCTTTAAAATATTTCATCAAAAAGTCTTTATTCTTTAAAGATTTATTTATTCTTTAAAGAAACATTTATGGATAAAATGATATGGTCCCTGGAATTTGCTTTAAAATAATACAGAACAAAAAATAATACAGTAGACAGAGTTATAGAGGAAACAATATTCATCATGATTTGATAATTTTTGAAGTTGGGTAAAGGGTATTACAGGGATATCGTTGATATATATTTGAAATTTTCTATAATAAAAAATTTTGTTTTTTCATGAAAAATGTAAAAAGAGAAAGAAAGGCAAAAACGGCAAAATCAAAAATCTGGAATTTTTAGTTGTTACCAATGGGCAGGTTAATTCAGATTCCTAGCATTCCATATCCACAAGACAATACTTTTTTATTTGCCCCCAGAATTAAAGAGTTATTTTTTTTTGCCTTCCCCACAACTACCTTCTTTCCATAGTTGTCAAGATCTCATTCCCATTCCTTTCTTCCTCTTTCGTCATGTCTGCAACAGTTTTACAAGTAATAATTGAAACATAAACTTGTTTTTCTTTTAGGAGTGACTATTAACACTAACTCCAATCTTTATCAGTATCTTTCTGAATTATAAATTCTACCTGTGCTATTTATAAGGCCTTTAAATTAAATCCCAAGCAGATACATTTTTATATTCATGCCACATTAATGCACTCCACAGTTTGAAAGAAAAACTCTTTGTGGATGAAATATTTGGATAAGGTTGTCCAATATCAAAGAAAATAATATAAACCACTTCTTTTAGGACAGTTATAATTCTAAAATAATAAACACATTTGCAAAAATAATAACTTTTTACCACTTATAAACACAATACTGACTACATTTTTCTCTGCAAAAACTCAAAAATGAGAAGGAAAAAGAACACACAATATTAAAATCATTCTTTACCCAGTCTGTAGTAAAGGGAGCTCCATTTGCCATCAAAATACGAACTTCATCATCTTGACCTGCTCGTGCCGCTTCTAAAAGCTTCTTTCCCAAATCTACCAGGGACATCTAAACAAAACATAGATGAACTGAACATCAAAATCTCCATTTATACACTATGACATGACATTTTCCCTTCCTGTCTTTATTAATAAGTCAGTTCTCAATTATCCCTTCAAAAGAGTGTGCTATGGTTAATTTAAAATTACAGATCATACAAAAGCAATTTATATTTGGATTTTAGAATCCATTTTCCTTTCTCATTAAGTTTTTACTTAGAATAAAAGTAGTTTAAATTCTCCAAATACATCTGGTAAAAGATAGAAGAGGTAAGTAGCAGAGAAAAGCTGGCCTAAATTTTTATTTATTTATTTTTTTCTTGACACAGAGTCTCGGCCTGTCACCCAGGCTGGAGTGCAGTGGCACGATGTTGGCTCACTGCAACCTCCGCCTCCTGGGTTCATGTGATTCTCCTGCCTCAGCCTCCCAAGTAGCTTGGACTACAGGCATGCACCACCACACCCAGCTAATTTTTCTATTTTCAGTAGAGACAGGGTTTCACCATGTTAGCCAGGCTGGTCTCAAACTCCTGACCTCAAATGATCTGCCCGCCTTGGCCTCCCAAAGTGATGGGATTACAGGCATGAGCCACCCCACCCAGCCAAGCTGGTCTAAAATTTAAAACTGGCAACTAATTGTTTTTACTGGAGGGTTTGCAGCAATAAAATTTTTCATAAAAGTAAATAAAGTGCAAGATATTGTCATCTGTTGTTGGTGCAAATTAAACTAAACTTAGCATAAATTTTTTTGCAATAGTAAATGTGTTCAAAATTTTAAAAAACAAATTTTCTGCCCTCCTACATGCAATGTATATTTAAGTTCTTGCAGAAAGTAAACAATTCACATTCTATGAAAATACTAAAAACAGTAATAGTATTACGAATAGACTGTCTCATTAGAGGCTAGAGGCCAGGTGCGATGGCACATCCCTGTAATCCCAGCAGTCTGGGAGGCTGAGGCAGGTGGATCCTTGAGGCCAGGAGTTCGAGACCAGCCTGGACAACATGGTGAAACCCTATCTCTACTAAAAATAAAAAATTGGCTGGGCATGGGGGCTCACACCTAGGGTCCCAGCTACTCAGGAGGCTGAGGCACAAGAATCACTTGAACCCAGGAGGCGGAGGTTGCAGTGAGCCGAGATCATGCCACTGCACTCTAGCCTGGGCAACAAAGTAAACTCTGTCTCAAAAAAAAAAAAAAAAACCAGGAAAGAATATCTTGTGCCTTGAATTTAATATATCTGAAAAGGCTAATGTCCCAGCCTGGGATGTGAGGTGTGCATGGGTGTGTATGTATTTGTGTCTTCTTGAATAAGAAATATTGAAATATATGTCAGAAAAAAGATTATGACAGTAGAATATAGGTAAATTAAGATTTGAATGTATCACAAACATTCAAATTCAAGGGATGACAGTTCTGAGAAGAAAGTTTCCAAACCCAGAAAGACTATCCAGCTGGAAGATTACTCAATTATGTCATACAGTATCCTAAGTAAGGAAAAGCAGAATTTTAGGCCCATGGGGAAGGGAATATATGGAATCCCTGAGATTTACAATGAAAAAATGTGCCTGGGGTATAAATTTATCTCAAAAAAAGTATATACTCTGAGGGTTAGGTAAGTAGTCAAGAGAAAATAAATTATAAAGAGAGTAATGGCAGGTTGATTAGTGTATCTCTACCTGGTATGAACAACTATTACAGGTTGAGTATCCCTAATCCAAAAATCTGAAATCTGAAACTTTTTAAGCATCAAAGGAAATACTCATTAGAGCATTTCAGATTTTGCATTTTTGCATTAGGGATGCTGAACCAGTAAGTATTAATGCAAATATTCCAAAATCTGAAAAAACCCAAAATCGGAAACATTATGGACCTAAGTATTTCAGATAAGGGATACTCAACTTGCACTCAATAAGGAAGAGAAAGGAGCGTATGTGTGAGAAGGAAGTTGGCAAATGGGGCTTGAAAAAGTTATTTCTGCCAGAAAGAAACAAAATGTTCTACATCATTAAAAGGGATAAGAAATCTAAAAGGGGTAATTATAAGAAAAGCTGTCCATGAAAATAAACAGAATTATGCCTATAATTTTTAGTAGATTAGCTACGATGGGAATAACCAAGCACAGAAGAGGTAACCAGGGACAGATACTAATACTTGGAGGCTTGCACAATAATTAGGTGAGATATACATATCCCAAACAGGCCTTCGTCACAAGGCAAGAAAGAATTTCTTAGAATTGTTTCATTTGTAAGGATAAAAATAATCTATATTATGGCAAGGCGCAGCAGCTTACACCTGTAATCCCACCACTCTGGGAGGCCGAGGTGGGTGAATCACTTGAGGTCAGGTGTTCGAGACCAGCCCGGCCAACAGGGTGAAACCCTGTCTCTACTAAAAATTCAATCCAGCCTGGGCAAGAGTGAGACTCCATCTCAAAAAAAAAAAATAATCTATATTATATCCTGTAGTAAAGAATAGGAAAAACAACCACATGTACTTGTGGGATTTATATGGGTTTTTTAAATACACTTCTCTGTGACACTCGCAACATTTTCATCCTTGAATTTCTGATTTCCTTTCCTTTTTTTCTCCTATTCTCTCATACCTTGATGGAGTCACTGAAAGCCAAGATACTCCTCAATCCTGCTTAAAGACGCTAAGATCTATAGAGATTACTGATCTCCAATGAGGCATTTTTTCCTAGATAATATGTAACTGCTGGACAGTAAAAATTAACATCATATTCAACAGGGAAGAAACCTGCAAAAATAATTTCCTATTAAAGGCAGGATAAAGCAAAAAGAAACCGACCTCTCTCCTACAGAAGTACGGTAAAATCTAAACTGGTCACACTAACAAATACAGCATTTATACTCTGAATGATATAAATTTGGCTTTACGATGAAATTTATCTTTCCAAAAATCTACATTTTTAAATAGGTTTTACACAGGTAATATAAAATCAGTTTGCATTCATTCAGCATACATACTGCCAAATGGTTTAGATATCTGAGTATCTTTTGTGAAGTGAGAGTTTAGGGCTTTTCCCCACCTTTTGAAACTGGGTTGTCTGTCTTTTTTTTATTGATTTGTAAGCGTTCTGACATATGTTCTGGATATGAGTCCTTTGTCAAATATAACAAGTATTATAAATATCTCTGTCCAGAACCCTGAATTTTGACTGTCTTATGTTCTTTCTTTGATAACACATAGTATTTTCTATGGGTAGATAACTGTTGAGTCTCATAAAAATGTGCAACTTCTACATATTAAAATAATCAAAATAAGAAATGGCAAAGAAATATATTTACCACAAAAATGACTAGAAGAAACATTCATGTTTTACTTATTTAAAAGGTCTGACTCAAAATGAAAAGGTGGGGGAAAAGTAAACAGCAAGGACCCAACACATCAATAGTTAAAAGACAGGACCATATGTTTTACAGAAAAGAAAATAGAAATAATTCACAAGGGCAAAAAATGCTCAGTGTCACTGTTAATCAGGTTAACATAAAGTAAATAATTTTAAAGTAATTCCTGATGCAGCCAAGAATTAAGTGAAACTGATGCTTTGATATATTGACAACTCAGATATGCTGATAGTAATATAAGTGGATCAGCTTTATTTTTTAGTCAACTGGGCAAATTTAACAAGTTACAAAAATATCCAAGTCCATTGACCCAATAAGTGATCCCACTTCTAAGAATCTATTCTAAAGGAAAAATATATTGAAACAGATTTATCAGTAAAGATTATATATGCATACACATATATATTATATATAACTCTTCTAATGTGACCAATCTAAAGGTAAGAAAATGATTGAATTGTAGAATCTAAAGGAAAAAAATGCAGTAATTTAACCTAATAGTTTTGAAGCTATATAAACAACAAAAAATTTATGCCACATTATGAAAAGATATAAATCTTTTTAACGTCAAAATATGCATATAAAGTATAAAATACTGAAAAATATTAACAATTGTTTAGGATGGTATGATTATGGGAAATTTTGTCATTTTACAAAGTTTCTAATGTTACTATATTACCTAATTTAAAAAATTTTTTTTCAAAGGGACAAATTACATTGTATGACTGTCAACTAAGCAAATGATAACATTAAGGAAAGTTTTATGTTCCTGACTTACTAGAGAGGATGAGCGGAAAAAACAAAGAAAATGTATAATGTTGGGAACTTAAAATATCAATCATAGATCTGCTTACATGAATTATAATAAAATCATGAAGCATTTGAACAAATCGACTTTTACCATAATTATTCAATTGTCTTAATTATTCAAAACATATCACAGTTTAGGACCTAATATACTTAAGTTACTCTGGTTTTAAAATTCCATGAGCAATACAGCCATACGGTAGATTTATTTATTTATTTATTTATTTATTTTTTGAGACGGAGTCTCGCTCTGTTGCCCAGGCTGGAGTGCAGTGGCGTGATCTCGGCTCACTGCAAGCTCCACCTCCCAGGTTCACACCATTCTCCTGCCTCAGCCTCCCGAGTAGCTGGGAGTACAGGCGCCAGCCACCACGCCCGGCTAATTTTTTGTATTTTTAGTAGAGACAGGGTTTCACCGTGTTAGCCAGGATGGTCTCGATCTCCTCACCTCGTGATCTGCCCGCCTCGGCCTCCCATAGTGCTGGGATTACAGGCGTGAGCCACCGCGCCCGGCCGCCATATGGTAGATTAATGTAGATGGATTCTTGGAAATCAGTGGTTCTCATTGGTAGCAGCACTGCCCCCTTCAGGGCCCTTTGTATGTTTATAGAGGCATTTTGGAGACTGAAGGTGAGGATGCTCTGCTAGCATTTAATGGGCAAGTGCCATGGATACTAGAGGTCCAGCAAAGGAGGGAATAATCCTGTAGGACAAAGAATTGTCACATGTTCTAGATAATTTTCAAAGATTCCATTGAAAATATATCTACGGCTGGAATATAACATGTAAACAAAACGTATTTTTCCACAGTGTTAATGTATTCCAAATATTCTAGAATGCAGCCATACTATAAATCTATTTTGTTTTGTTCAGAAATTTACTAAGAGTTGTTTACCATTTTGGAAATCATGTCAATGCCACTTTGGCATCTGCATCACCAATATCACGTATCAATCAGCTTGTCCAGCTATCACATTCACAGTGATTTTATGTGCTGGTATAAGTATTTTACTACCTCACTGTGACATCTAATGTAGTGTGCTCAAGTATTTACATATTTTAATACACAATTTATTATAAATTGCTTATTTTCAAATTATCCTTTATATTATAATCAAAACATGATTTTTTTGAAATTATGCAGATCAGTAACATTAACTATGATTTTCTTTCTTTTCTTTTGAGATAGAGTCTCTCTCTGTAGCCCAGGCTGGAGTACAGCGGTGAGATCATAGTTCACCACAGCCTCGACCTCCCAGGCTCAACCGATCCTCCCGCCTCAGTCTCCCGAGTAGCTGCAACTACAAGAGTACACCACTAAACCCGGCTGATTTTTGTATTTTTTGTAGAAATGGGTTTTTGCCATGTTGCCCAGGCTGGTCTTGAACTCCTGTGCTCAAGCAATCTGCCTACTGCAGCCTCCCAAAGTGCTGGGACTATAGGCATGAGCCACTGCACCCAGCAACTATGATTTTCATTTAAAGTTAGCGGAAGGGGCAATACAAAATATTTATCATAAAAAGGTGGCAATGGGGCTAATAAGATTGAAATCAATGGAAGAAAATACACATGAGATCAAGCAAGACAAAAATCAAAGGTCCTCTGATTTTCTTGTCAAGATAATTAGTAAAGTTTTAAATAATGAAAACAAAATCGTAGCATTTTCACTTCTGATTCTCACCTGACAGGGACCACACACACTCATCGTAGTTTTTGACCCTTAGAAGAACTCAGTTGTAATAAGACAACTACATTGACCAAGGGGAGCATAGCTCCAGGTCAAGTCACTAATTTACTCAGTTCAATATCTATATATTAAAATTCTGGACGGGTGCAGTGACTCAAGCCTGTAATCCTAGCACTTTGGGAGGCCGAGAAGGGAAGATCACTTGAGGCCAGGAGTTTGAGACCAGCCTAGCCAACATGGTGAAACCCCGCCCATCTCTGCTAAAAAATACAAAAATTAGCTGGGTGTGGTCCCAGCTACTCAGGTGGCTGAAGCAGGAGAATCCCTGAACCCAGGAGGCAGAGGCTGTAGTGAGCCAAGATTGCTCCACTGCACTCCAGCCTGGGCAACAGAGCAAGACTGTCTCAAAAACAAACAAAAATCCTCAGACATAAAGTGCTAGATTTTTAAAAAATCATTTAGTTTAACAACAAAAATATATTGCTTTTCTGCTGTGGCAAATAAGTTCTTTACTCCAATTAAAATGTATGTTAATAATAAATCTATTATACAAACTAGCTACTTTTGCTCAAAGTACATGCCAAGATGGCCATCTAGTGGTAACAGGAATTACTACCAATAATTACATGTTAAAGCTTAGTCTATTTTGTTTTGAATTTCCGTAATTTACAGCTTATAGAGTTGTTGTGAGGATTATGGCATGTACTAGACAGGAAAACTCTATAAAAGCATAAAGTACTAGTTCCACGTGAATGGTTACTAGCACTCTTAAATAAGAATATGAATTTTTAAAATGTTTACACCTATTATATTTAATAAGCCTTTACTCACATTAAAAATTTAAAATAAACTTGCTATATAATTCTTATGCTCAATGAGTACAATTATAAATCCAATATAAATCTCCTAAAGATTTTCTCCACTCCAATTTTGTATTACACACACATCCCTACACACACCCAGTCTTTAAAATGTTCATACTCTTTGACCTAGTAATTCTACTCAAATAAACCCATCATAAGGAAACTATTCAAAAATCTAAATATATCAATACTAATGTTATTTAAAATAAGGAAAAAAACAACCACAAACAATGATTAAAGAAATTAAGATATGTCATAATGGAATACTGTAGTGATTTATTTCTTTTACATTATGAACAATTTGTAGTATATATAAACTAGACAGTCATATAATAAACTCCCACATAGCCATTTAGTTTAATATTATCAATTAATGGCTGACTCATTTCCCAACTCCACCCATTGTTTTCAATCAAGTGTTAGACATTATATAATATTATCTCTAATATTTCAGTACAGATCTCTAAAAGATAAAAATATTTTTAAAATAATACTATATATATTCATTTGAAAATATTTACAAACAGTATGTAACAGTTTAAGAATCAGGACTCTAAGTTGTATATATACCATGATCTTAATAGAAAAACACTTGGAGCCGAGTGTAGTGGCTCATGCCTGTAATCCCAGCACTTTGGGAGGCCGAGGCAGGTGGATCACCTGAGGTCAGGAGTTCAAGACCAGCCTCGCCAACACAGTGAAATCCCACCTTTACTAAAAATAAAAAAATTAAAAGAATTAGCTGGGTGTGGTGGCTGACGCCTGTAATCCCAGCTACTCCGGAGGCTGAGGCAGAGAATCGCTTGAACCCGGGAGGCAGAGGTTGCAGTGAGCCGAGATTCTGCCATTGCACTCCAGCCTGGGCAACAAGAGCAAAACTCCGTCTCAAAAAAAAAAAAGAAAGAAAAAAAAAAACCACTTGGAAACAATACACCATTGTAATGAAAACTATGAATTTTCCCTTTTTTCTACTTTTTTCTAAGTTTTAATTTTTTTATAGCAAGCATATATTACTAATATAATATTAAAACTTTTATTTAAAAGCTTTTTTTCAAAATTAGGTTACAGATAAGCTTAATAAAGCCTTTAATGCACCACATTAGATATTGAGGCTGGGCGCGGTGGCTCACGCCTGTAATCCCAGCACTTTGGGAGGCCGAGGCGGGTGGATCACGAGGTCAGGAGATTGACACCATCCTGGCTAACATGGTGAAACCCCGTCTCTACTGAAAATACAAAAAATTAGCTGAGCGTGGTGATGGGTGCCTGCAGTCCCAGCTACTCGGGAGGCTGAGGCAGGAGAATGGCGCGAACCCGGGAGGCGGAGCTTGCAGTGAGCCGAGATCGCGCCACCGCACTCCAGCCTGGGCGACAGAGCAAGACTCCGTATCAAAAAAAAAAAAAAAATTAGTTATTGAAAGCATTTTTCATAGTAAAAGTATGTAAAATATGACTCCAAGTAAAATTTAGCATACTATAATCATGTGTACGTGTATGAAAATATTCCAAATTTAGTTGCCTACAGTCTCATAAGAAAACAATTTCAATAATAATAAAAACAGTCCCTAGCATCTTGCTCTTTATCTACATTGTCTCATTTTATCTAAAGGGCCTTAACAAGATCATTATTGTCTCCACTTTGCAGAGGAAGCAAGTAAAAAGTAAAAAGATTTACCAAAGAACACTAGTTTTGATCTTAAAATCAGACCCTTATTCTCAATTCTTCCTGTGTTCTAAGTTGAAGAACACTAGGAATCTGCTGGGATATAAAGGGCATGTCCTCCAAGGATTTAAGTTTAGTGTCTCCCAGTGTAATTCCTTTGAAACGAAAAATCATCACATGAACTCTGGTATATTTGGATTTTTTCCTCCATGCCCATTTTACCTAATGGAGTTTTTTTCCCCTTTATTTTTAAAATAAATGATATTTTCAAATATTATATCCATATATGTATCTCCCATATACCCCTTTTTCAGAAAACCACTAGATGACGTGTTCCACCAAAACCAAAAGTAAACTAGAAAGAATAATCAAGGGCTTCAGGAAATAAAGATCCAACATAGAATAGGAGAGAGTACCCAAAATGATGGTGAAGGGAGACCCCAAGACAACAGCTGTGACACAGACCTAGAAGGCAAACCCAGATGGGAGCCAGAGAACAGAGTTCCAGGAAGGAGGTCTCCAAGGAAAAGACAGGCTGGTAAGTCTCCTAAGAAGAGAATGAATGTCAGTGGAGAGTTTGGGATGCGTTAATGACGGATACAAGAAAACTAAGAAAAGAAAAAACTAGACTATTTTTCAGAAGGGAGAAAAAAACTATACCATAAAGGTATACATGTCTCTTGTACAGTTTTTCCTTTACACACACACACACAGAGATATGCACACGCATTTCCTTTGTGGTATAGGCGTGGATTAGCTAAGAATAATAGTTCCTGGGGTGTAATGTAAAGCAAAATTTTCAGTGTAATCCTATTGAAAAGATAAATGGTGAGGGAAAATATGCATAGGAATAGCTTAAAACAGCTGAAGCCTCATCTTCCTAAGTAGAAAGTCAAAAGGTATCTAATGTGGAAAAAAATCAAGAAATAGCACACATTTGTTATTTAGAAATATGAAGAGCTAATCATAAAATGGAGACCTCTGGGAAAGAGGGTTCTGGGGTGGGAAGAAATAACACAACTGAGTGTAGGATTTTCATAAGAAGGCTTATTTTTTTACTTTTTCAACTATGTGCACATATAATTTTTTCTTCCTTAAAAAAAGTTTTTATTTTTATAGATTCAGCAGGTACAGGTGCAGTTTGTTACACGTATATATTGCATCGTGGTGAAGTCTGGGCTTTCAATGTGTCCATCACCTGAATAGTGAACACTGTACCCAACAGGGAATTTTTCAACCCTTGCCCCTCTGCCACCCTCCCCGCTTTTGGACTCCCTAGTGTCTATTATCCCCCTCCGTATGTCCATGTATAACCACTGTTTAGCTCCCACGTATAAGTCAGAACTGTGCATGTATACTTTCATAAAAATTACAGGGCTGGGCACAGTGGCTCATGCCTATAATCCCAGCACTTTGGGAGGCTGAGGCGGGCAAATCACGAGGTCAGGAGTTCGAGACCAGCCTGGCCAACATGATGAAACCCCGTCTCTACTAAAAATACAAAAAATTATCTAGGCATAGTGGCAGGCGCCTGTAATCCCAGCTACTCGGGAAGCTGAGGCAGGAGAATCGTTTTGAACCCAGGAGGCAGAGGTTGCAGTGAGCCGAGATCACACCACTGCACTCCAGCCCAGGCGACAGAGTGAGACTCCGTCTCAAAAATAAATAAATAAATAAATAAAATCACAATAAACAAACACATGTTTACTGTACATAAGAATTATACAGTTTAAAGTCATCTCAACACATCCTTGTGTTCTCAGAAGTAACCACTATCTAAATGTTTAGTGTGCATCCTTCCAGATCTTTTCTATGCATATTAGAAACACATACACACAATGCTTACTTCTTTTTAAACAAAAACACACAAAGGGGTCAGGCGGGTGGGCAAAAATAAAAAATTAAAATTAAAAAACACACAAAAAGGGGATCATACTAAATTGTTTGGCAACTTGCCTTTTTCCCCATTCACAAGCAATCCTCTTTTTTTCATTTTACTTTTTTGAGATGGAGTTTCGCTCTTGTTGCCCAGGCTAGAGTGCAATAGCACAATCTTGGCTCACTGCAACCTCCGCCTCCCTGGTTCAAGCAATTCTTCTGCCTCAGCCTCCCAAGTAGCTGGGATTACAGGCATGCACCACCAGGCCCGGCTAATTTTTGCATTTTTAGTAGAGATGGGGTTTCGGCATTTTGGTCAGGCTGGTCTCAAACTCCTGACCTCAGGTGATCCACCTGCCTTGGCCTCCCAAAGTGCTGGGATTACAGGCGTGAGCCACCACTCAAAGGCAATCCTCTTGTTTTTTCAGTGAAATCTTCCTGTCTCTGTACACACAGTCTTTTTAGTGGCTGCACAGTACTATGGAGTGTGACAGGCTGAATAATGCTCCCCCAAAGATGTCTAGATACTAATTCTCAGATCCTGTGAATATGCTACCTTACATGGCAAAAGGAACTCTGCAGAAATGATTAAATTAAGGATCCTGACTAGGGTGGTTATCCTGGATTATCCAAGTATGATGTAATCACAAGACTTCTTATAAGAGGGAGACAGGAGGATCAGAATAGGAGATGTGACATTGGGAGCAGAAGGTCACAGTCAGGGAGAAGGAAGCAGAGATCAGAGAGAGAATGAGAGAGATTTGAAGATACTATGCTGTTGGCCTTAAAGATGGAGGAAGGGGTCACAGGTCAAGAAATGCATGCCTTCTTTAGAAGCTAGAAAAGGAAAGAAAACAGATTATCTCCTAAAGCTTCCAGAAGGAACAGTCCTGCCGAAATCCTAATTTTAGGTCTTCGGACTTCCAGAACTATAAAATAATAAATTTATGTTGTTTTAAGGCACTAAGGTTGTAGTAATTTGTTATAGCAAATAGGAAATTATTACACGATAGGAATAGGAAACAAATACACACAGTATACTAATTATATGATCCTGTTTTAATTTTTCACCTTTACAAATAGTGCTGCAATACACACGAGTTAGCATTGTTCTAGAAATTATGGTGAGAAGCAGGATTGCTAGACTTGTTTAAAATCACATTTTAGTTGTAATTAGACACTGCCAAATTATCTACCAAAAGATTGTAGCAACTTATACTCCCACTATCAGTGTACAAGAATAACTGCTTCTCCATAAGGTCTCCACTCCCCACAGAGAGAACCTTGATCTCAGAGCTAGATCTTCCAAAAGTCAAGACCACTTCCAGTGAAATCATACTCACAAAGCTGATGAAAAACTTCCTTCTAGGATAACTTTCTTTCAGTAACCATAACCTGAGGACATCCCACCACATAAGGAGAGAAAGACTTAAGAAGTAAAAGATGCGGCAACCCTTTTATCGCTTTTAAAGTCTGCATTAAAAGGGCATTCTGTTAGCCAGGCATGGTGGCTGGCACCTGTAGTCCCAGCTACTCAGGAGGCTGAGGCAGGAGAATCACTTGAACTCAGGAGGCAGAGGTTGCAGCGAGCCGAGATTCCGCCATTGCACTCCAGCCTGGGCAATAGAGCAAGACTCCGTCTCAGAAAAAAAAAAAAAAAGCTCAATAAATATTAATCCATTGAATGAACAATATTTGGCACACAGTAGAAACTCCAGAAATACTTGGAACCAAAATCGTCATAATGTTTGCCTTTTTTAAATGTAATCTAAATTTCACAAACCCTAGGAAATATCATAATAGAATGCTTACTGAATTCCTAAGTCAGCCTTGTTGTAACAAAATTTCTTATAACTAAACAAGGCTGGAACTTGCCTGGATATTATCTTTTTATTGGCAGCAACTCAAATTAACAGATGTGACCAAAAAAAAAAAAAAAATCTGAGGTCAATTCGGTTTTCTAGTCAAAAGAAAAAATTGTGAACATAATAAATGTAGATATTGGCTTTGTCTGAGACCCTCAGAATTACTCTTGGACCTGCCCAGTTAGCATAGAAAAATCTAGGCAGGAAGCCAGAACTTGTCTAATAACTAGCAATAATATTACAAAGCAAAATCAGCTCAGGACCACCCTCAATGACAGTAGATCAAATCAGTACACCAAACTGAGTTCAAAGGTTTCAAATGGGTATATTCTAAAACTGAGGTGTCCAGGCTGGGCACAGTGACTCATACCTGTAATCCCAGCCCTTTGGGAAGCCAATGCCAGAGGATAACTTGAGGTCAGGAGTTTAAGACCACCCTGGCCAACATGGTGAAAAATACAAAAAAAAAAAAATTAGCCGGGCATGGTGGTGCATGCCTGTAGTCCCAGCTACTCAGGAGGCTAAGGCAGGAGAATCACTTGAATCAAGGAGATGGAGGTTGCAGTGACCCAAGATTGCGCCACTGCACTCCAGCTTGGGTGACAGAGCAAGACTCCATCTCAAAAAAAAAGAACTGATGTGTCCAGTACAGTAACCACTAGTTATACAAGGATACTGGGCATTGAAATGTGGCTAGTCCAAATTGAGATGTGCTATAAATATAACATACCAGATTTTGAAGACTTGCTATCAAGAAGGAATGTAAAATATTTCATTAATAACTTTTATACTGATTACCTGTTGAAACAATATTTTGGAAGGGCCAGGCACGGTGGCTCATGCCTGTAATTCCAACACTTTGGGAGGCTGAGGCGGGTGGATTGCTTGAGACCAGGAGTTCAAGACCACCCTGGGCAACATGGCAAAACCTGGTCTCTACAAAAAATACAAAAAAATCAACCAAGCATGGTGGCACATGCCTGTAGTCCCAACTACTTCGGAGGCTAAGATGACAGAATAACCTGAGCCTAGGAAGTCAAGGCTACAGTGAGCCATGATCGCACCACTGCACTCCTGTCTGGGCAACAGGAGTGAGACCCTGTCTCCAAAAATAATCATAATATTTTGGATGTAAGGGATTAAACTCTATTACGAAAATTAATTTTGCTGGGCACAGTGGTGTGCACCTGCAGTACCAGCTACTTGGGAGGCTAAGGCAGGGAGGTCACTTGAACCTAGGAGTTTGAGACTGTACTGCACAGCGGCTACTAGAAATTTTTAAATTAAATCTGTGGCTGCAGGCACCACTGCAGAGGAATGGGAAGCTGCTACCCTAGGATCAGGCCCATGGGGGAAATGGGAAACCTTGGTACTGCAGTAGTTCCTGCTAGCCCATCATTTTTAGGAGCCATGACAACAAAACCAATCATAATTAATAGAATGCACTACTCTCACTACAGGCCCCAGAAGACAACATACATGCCCTTTATTTATCCCTGCCTAAGGGAAAGAAAAAAAACACGTGCAGAGGCAAGAAGTGGCTGAGGACCCAGAGTGAGGCAGGGAGAGGTCACTCAGCCTTTCTACGCCTCAGTTTACACACCTGTAAAATGAGAGTAATAGCACAACCTCTCTCACAGGGTTGTTCTGAGGATTAGAGGCAATTAGCCAGGCACAGTTGCTTCCAGTATTTGGGGAGGCTGAGGCAGGAGCATCCCTTGAGCCCAGAAGCTCAAGACCAGCCTGGGCAACACACAGAGAGATAGCACCTTTCCCTAAAATAAAATAAAAAATTAGCTGTATGTGGTCCTGTCTTCCTGTAGTCCCAGCTACAGCTACTCAGGAGGCTGGGGCGGGAGGATCGCTTAAGCCCAGAAGTTTGAGGCTTCAGTGAGCCATGACTGTGCCACTGCACTCCAGCCTGGGCAACAGAGTCAGATCCTGTCATTAATTAATTAATTCATAAATAAATAAATAAAATTTAAATTTAAAAAAATGGCTGGGTGTGGTGCTCATGCCTGTAATCCTAGCACTTTGGGAAGCCAAGATGGGTGGATTGCTCGAACCCTGGAGTTGGAGACCTGCCTAGGCAACATGGCAAAACTCTATCTCTACAAAAAATACATAAAAATTAGCTGGGCGGGTGGCACACACCTGTGGTCCCAGCTACTCAGAAGGCTGAGATGGGAGGATCACCTGAGCCCAGCGAGGTCAAGGCTGCAGTGAGCTGTGATTGCACCACTGCATTCCAGTCTAGACTACAGAATAAGACCTCATCTCAAAAAAAAAAAAAATTTTTTTTAATGAGTTCATTGATGGCAAGCGCCAGGCCAACAGTAAGTGCTCAATAAATCTGAGTTACTATTGTCTCCCACTGTTAACGACCTGCATTCGTTGAGTGCTGTGTGACCAAGCACCATCTCCCTACACACAGTCCTAGAGAGGGGCTGTACTGCCTATACTCACTTTACAGATGGGAAAACCAAGGTTTGGAAAAGTCACCTGACCAAGGTCCCAAAGCTAGTAGGTGAGAAATTCAGCCTCAAAGGTGGGCTCCCCTGGCTTTGAAGCCCCTCCAGTGATCCAATGCCCTGAATGCTCCCAATGTCTCCGTGGCTTTTTTTTTTTTTTTTTTTTTTGAGACAGAGTCTCACTCTGTCGCCCAGGCTGGAGTGCAGTGGGGCAATCTCGGCTCACTGCAACCTCCGCCTCCCGAGTTCAAGCAATTCCCCTGCCTCAGCCTCCCAAGTAGCTCGGATTACAGGCGCATGCCACCACGCCCAGCTAATTTTTTTGTATTTTTAGTAGAGATGGGGTTTCACCATGTTGGCTAGACTGGTCTCAAACTCCTGACCTCAGGCAATTCGCCCGCCTTGGCCTCCCAAAGTGCTAGGATTACAGGTGTGAGCCACCCCGCCTGGCCTCTGTAGTTCTTTCTATGGGCACAAGTTAAGGTTATAGTACTTGCTGTTAAGAAAATAAAGGAGGTTAGCTAGACCCAAGAATCTCTGGCTCCTTGGGGAGACTGTGGGATTATGAGTAGGTTGTTTCTTGTCTCCACTTTTTAGAGGGCTGGCCCCACCAGACATGCATAGCTCCCTGAAAATACCATGCCCAAGGAAGGTGTTCAGTAATGTGTGTTCCTTTCTGACTCTAAATGTCAGGTCCTTTCTAAGTAAATTTTGTGATTTAAAAAAGGTGAAGTCAGTACAGGATGAAATGTGCTTTGAGAGTGTCAGGATGAAATTGTTTCCATGAGGAAGAGGGACAAGTGTACCCCATGGTAAGTGGGCCTAGATCAAGACTTGGCCTCCAATAGTCAGTAACTACAAACTGGACAAATAATATTTTGAGGGCACTAAGGCAATATGATGTTATGCCAAAAAAAAAAAAAAAAAAGGCACGGCTAAAAGCCAGAAGTTGAGACCCCACCTCTGCCACAGATCAGCTGTGTGACCCAGGTGCAAATCTCGTCACTCCCTGTCTGGTTCTGTTTCTGCTGATGTAGAATGGAGCAATCAATGACAAAAAAAAAAAATCATCATCATCTGTGGTTCACTATATTTCTACTGGAGAGAGCTGTTCTAGAATCACTGGTCAAACTTTTTTTTTTGTTTTTTTTTCTTGAGATGGAGTCTCGCTCTGTCGCCCAAGCTGGAGTGCAGTGGCACGATCTTGGCTCACTGCAAGCTCCGCCTCCGGGGTTCACACCATTCTCCTGCCTCAGCCTCCTGAGTAGCTGGGATTACAGGTGCACACCAGCACGCCCAGCTAATTTTTTGTATTTTTAGTAGAGATGGGGTATCACCCTGTTAGCCAGGATGGTCTCGATCTCCTAACCTCGTGATCTGCCTGCCTCGGCCTCCCAAAGTGCTGGGATTACAGGCGTGAGCCACTGCGCCCGGCCTGGTCAAACTTCTTGAAGCCACTAACTTCAGAATATGCAAGAAGTCATAACATTTTAAAATAAGATATAAGGGTTTTTTTTGTTTTTTTTTTTTTAAGACAGAGTCTGGCTCTGTCGCCCAGGCTGGAGTGCAATGGCACGATCTCAGCTCACTGCAACCTCTGCCTCCCAGGTTCAAGCGATTCTCCTGCCTCAGCCTCTCAAGTAGCTGGGAATATAGGCGCCCACCACCACGCCCAGCTAATTTTGTATTTTTAGTAGAGGCAGCGTTTCACCATGTTGGCCAGGCTAGTCTCGAACCCCTGACATCAGGTGATCCACCCACCTCGGCCTCCCAAAGTGCCAAAAGGCATGAGCCACCATGCCTAGCCAAGTGGATTCTTTTAGAAAAACTTCATCTAGGCCAGACATGGTGGTTCATGCCCATAATCCCAGCATTTTGGAAAGCCAAGGTGGGAAGATCGTTCAAGCCCAGGAGTTTGAGACCAGACTGAACAACATGGTGAAACCCTAATCTCTCCAAAAATTTTTAAAAATTAGCCAAGAGCCAGGTATGGTGGCTCACGCCTGTAATCCCAGCACTTTGGGAGGCTGAGGTGGGTGGATCACCTGAGGTCAGGAGTTTGAGACCAGCCTGGCCAACATGGTGAAACCCCGTCTCTACTAAACAATAAAAAAACAATTAGCTGGGCATGGTGGCATGCGCCTATAGTCCCAGCTGCTGGGGAGGCTGAGGCAGGAGAATCGCTAGAACCCGGAAGGCAGAGGTTGCAGTGAGCTGAGACGGCGCCATTGCACTCCAGCCTGGGCAACAGAGTGAGACTCCGTCTCAAAAAAAAAAATGAAAAACAAAAATTAGCCAGGGTTGGTGGCATGCTCCTGTGGTCCAGCTACTCAGGACGCTGAGGTGGGAGGACTGCTTGAGCCTGGGAGGTCAAGGCTGCACTGAGCCATGATCACACTCCTACACGCCAGCCTAGGCAAAAGAGCAAGACCCCCGTCTTTAAAAAAAAAAAAGAAAGAAAGAAAAACTGCACATGATGAATTGCCCCTGTTATGGTGCTGAATACGCTTTCCTTCTAAAAACCATACGAGGAGACAGCCTTTATCCTTGTAAGATTTCACAAATTCATTTGACAATGAAGGGGGCCCATGGATTTTACTAAATCCTCCTCATCTTTGCCACTGACTATGCCTTTGCCCAATTCAACTACCAGTTGTTTTTAAATCACATGAATGTATCCCAGGAAAAAAATGGAGGCTTGAAAAGAGTGCAAGTAGAAGATAAAGAAAAGGCTTTTTAGAACTCTACTGGAATTAGCCAGTAGATGCCTTTGATTTAATCAGGGAAGTATAACTTACCTGCTTCCTACAAAATGAAGCCAATAAACTGCTGGTTCTTGTAAGTCACAAAAATGAACCATCAATATTCTGCTCAAAAAAAGAATGCATACATTCTGATCCTTTCTTCTCAGAAGTTCTCATACACATCCCCTCCTCTCTACTACCTCTGGTCTTACACACTCATTGCCTCATACCTTACACATCACAATGGTCTCTCAGCTGATTTAACTCTAGTTTCTCCATCCTGCTGCCAGGCAATCCCCCTAAAATACAATTGTATTCAATCAAACATTTCTATATTTGAACCTCTACATAGTACCTGCCCTTAAAGAATTCACCATCTGGTAGGGAAGACATACGTCTCATGATTCCCTTGTCCAAAATCCCCACCAATACAATCATTCTGAAGAACAATTTATCAACTTCTAGTAGAGTTTAAGATGGGATGACCGGGCGTGGTGGCTCATGCCTGTAATCCCAGCACTTTGGGAGGCCTAGGTGGGCAGATTGAGGTCAGGAGTTTGAGACTAGCCTGACCAACATGGAGAAACCCCATCTCTACTAAAAATACAAAATTAGCTGGGCGTGGTGGTGCATGCCTGTAATCCCAGCTACTTGGGAGGCTGAGGCAGGAGAATCGCTTGAACCCGGGAGGTGGAGGTTGCAGTGAGCCGAGATCGTGGCATTATACTCCAGTCTGGCAACAGAGCGAGACTCCATCTCAAAAGAAAAAAAAAAGATGCGCCTACTCTTTGACCTAGGGATTCCACTGCTAGCTACCCTATCTTGGTATACTCTTAAACACATAAACAAGGAAAGAAATATGTTTATAAAAACATTATTGTAACAGGAAAAAAAAAAGAAATTCCAAATAACCTAAGTGTCTATAAACGAAAAAATTAAATTTTCATTATACAAATTTTCAAATATAGAAAATATACATGCATATATATAATATATACTGTATATGTGTGTTTGTGTGTTTGATTATACACATACCTATATACCCATCATTGACATTCTAAATTAAAAGCTGGTCATCTTGCTTCATCCTATTCCTTTCTAAAAAAAAAAAAAATTGTACTTTACAGCTTACACATGTTGTATTTGGTTACTCTATCTCTAAATCAAGTTTATTCTAGGACACTTTCCCTTTCTCCCATCTACCTCTCCCGTTTTTCTCCCTCATGACATTGATTTGTTGAAAAGAATGGTCGGTTCATCTGTACCTCATACTGAGTTTTTTTTATTGCTTCCTCAAGATAGCATGTAATTTCTTGATCTTCCATATGTCTTACAAACTAAGTCTCTGAAGTTAATTAAAATTCGGATTTAATATTTTAGACAAAAAATGTCAATAGCAACATGCTTGATATTGAAGCACATCAGGAAGCACATCTTTTTTGGATCACTTTTAATGATACTAAGAATAATAGCTAGGTTAGTGATAGTCTAATCCTTCCAATGTAAAGTTATATTCTTTTAGCTTGAGGCCAACTAGAAATCTGTGGCATCATACTTTGGCTCCATGGGAATATCCAATTCCCAAACATTTTTGTCTGACAGTTTTAGCACCCATTAATGATCCTGGCCCAAATCAATTATTCATAACAGGTTGTAACAAATTGTCACTTTCAAATTCTTTATTTCCTTCTACATTACTTGGCATCCCTCACTAAATATAAAATGGTGCCCACTCAAAAGGCAGTTCAAATATATTATCGTTTTTCATTACCAATTTTCAGAGTAAAGAATAATAGCCACCTAGCCACCTCCATTTGTTCTATTTATTGTTATATAATCATTTTCTCAAGAAATTATTCTCCTTATTTCTTCTGATGTTCAAATTGTCCCAATTTTGGCCAAGGAGAGCCTTTTCGATTTGGCTTTTCCATCTTTGAAAGCTTTCTTGGTTTTGGCACAAGAATGTTCCAGGTTACGCATGTCCCCTGCTCCAGACCCAGAATCAGTCATTTCTTCAAGGAGTCCTGGATTCTTTCAAGTACAAGTATTTAAAGACCAAAATTAGGGTTTTAGAAGAGCTCACATCTACCAAGATGACAAAGTGTTTCTAGGTCCTCTCAGTGGACAGAGCTAAGGAACAAATTTATATGGATTGAATTAAGAAATGTATATTATAAATGATGAATTCATATTGACATTTATAATTCAGGTTCAAAATTATAGGTTTTGTGCTTAGCTTCTTTGATTTTATACTTGTATCTCTATTGATTCGTAATCATTCACATAAAGACTTACTGCCTTTATCCTACAATACATATCATATGGTGTCAAAATTAAAATACCAATATTACAACTAGCAATAAAATGAATAAAGGTGGGGGTTTTTTTGCAGTTCTTTTATCCTTAGCGTATATGCCATTTAGTATTAAGCTCCAAAGTCACCTGAAATAGTTTTTCTCCATGTATTTAAATAACTATTTTGATATAAACATGGATACCATTGTTCAAGTTTGTCTTCAATTTTAAGGATTTAAAAAAATTTACTATAATTTTTGAATGTGTATTTACATAATTCAAAAGTCAGAGCTAAATAATAAAAAGACACACTCAGAAATCACATTTCCATCCCTACTTCATGTATTTCCCATACCTTCTACCATAGGGTAACAATTTTATTAGTTTCTAATTTGTCTTTTAAGTGTTTCTCTTTGCAACATAAACAAATTTGCATATATTCATATTCTTATTCTCCACCCTTCCACTCTTACTTTTTTTTTTTTTCCCTGAAGGCAGGGTCTCATTCTGTCACCCAGGCTGGAATGCAGTGGCGTGATCATGGCTCACTGCAGCCTCGACCTCTCAGATTCAGGTGATCCTCCCACCTCAGCCTCCGAAGTAGCTGGGACTACAGGCACGCATCACCACACCTGACTAATTCTAATTTTTGGAGAGACGAGGTTTTGACATGTTGCCCAGGCTGGTCTCAAACTCCGGGGCTCAAGCAATCCTCCCACCTCAGCCTCCCAAAGTGCAGGGATTACAGGCATGAGTCACCATGCCCAGCCACCATTCCCTACTTCTCACACCAAAGGAACATACTAAACACACATTGTTCTGTACTTTGCTTTTTTTCCCATTTAATATATATCCTGGAAAATACTGCATAGAGATTTTTCTCATTCTGTTTTACAGCTGCATAGTACTCGGCTATGTGAAAATACCATTGTATACTTTTAATTAAAAAAAAACTAGTTATCTCTTACTCTAGCAATCACAAGATCTCACCTTGCAATTTGAGTCCCTCTATCAACTGCCTCACACATTTACTTCATCCATTTTTCTCTGAATATAGGGCCCTGACAGTCATCCGATTTTAAACAATTCTCCTTCCTCATCTCATACACACTTACCTTATTCCAGACCCAATTCTCCTTCCTCATCCCATACACACTTACCTTATTCCAGACCCAATGTCTCCCCTCATGCTATTTTCCCAGTTTAGAATGGTTACATCCTTTCTCTCCAAATGCTATACTTCAATCAAAGCCCATTTTTAAAAGATCTTTTCTCCAACAAAACTTTCTAAGATGAGCTCTTAAATTTCCTCAGCAATATATAGCATAATCTCTATGTTTCTCTTCATTCAACAAACAAATGTTTACTGAGTAAATGAAGAGCAAAGAGCTTATGTTCTGGGATAAGAACTTCACAATAAAGAAGTAAATAAGTAGTAGTAGTAGTGGTGGTTGTGGCAGTGATAAACGGTATGAAGAAAAAGTAAGGCAGAGTAAGAAACAGAGTACTAGATTAGGGATAGGGAATTGCCATTTTGGAGAAAGTGATTACAAAAGGCCTCTCTGAGGAGGTGACAACTGAGTAGAAACAGGAATGAAAGGGAAAGCAAACCTAGGGAGGATCCAAAGGAAGCATCATGATGCACAAGTCATTCTCTTGGTTGCTTAGCATCAAAACACCTTCTTGTCCTTGGGGAATTCCCTTCCATATGCATCTTGAAAGAAGGCAGAAACCTCTGCCTACTACTGAATATTTGCTTTCCTTGCTTCCCATAAGGCAAGGGTACAGTCATATGACCTCCACTCCACAAGAGAAGCATCTGTGCTGGACCTTAATGTAGAAGATAGTGCATTTAAAAAGCCGAGAGTGTGTAGAACCCTTAGTGGCAAACGTGGCAGCAGATTCCAATAACAGTAGTGGTAGCAGCTTCCTCCTGTGATAAATTCCTTTTCTGTTAAATTAACCAGAGATTATTTGACTACTTAGAACTAAGAATTCTGGCTGACCCTGGTGATCCAGGGAAATGGAACAGCATATGTTAAGCGCCCTGAGCTACAGTGAAGAAGTATAACAGGAAATGCAATCATAGAAATACAAATGGGCTGGATCACATAGAACCTTATAGGCACTAGAAAGAGTGAATTTTATTGAGATTACTAGCAAGTTGTCAGAAAGTTTTAAACAGGAGAGTGTTGTGATGTGATTTACATTGTTAAGAGGCTACTCCTGTTATCATTTGGTTAATACATAGTGGAAAGCAAGAACTGAAACAAGCGTACTAGTTAGAAAATTATTCCAGGCAAGAGCTGCTGGCACCTCAGGCCTGGATGATACCTGTGTGGTTATTAGACAATTTACCTTTAATTGCTATATATTTAAGTTAAATCTAACATCATATTTTATGCTTTCCATTTGTCCCGTTCAGTTTTTTTTTTTGTTTTTTGTTTTTTGTTTTTTTTGAAATAGAGTCTCGCTCTGTCGCCCAGGCTGGAGTGCAGTTGCATGATCTCTGCTCACTGCAACCTCCACCTCCTGGGTTCAAGCGATTCTCCCGTCTCAGTCTCCCAAGTAGCTGGGATTACAGGCATGCACCATCACACTCTGCTGATTTTTGTATTTTTAGTAGAGACGGGGTTTCACCATGTTGATCATGCTGGTCTCGAACTCCTGACCTCAAGCAATCCACCTGCCTCGGCCTCCCAAAGTGCTGAGATTATAGGTATGAGCCACCGTGCCCAGCCCCCTGTCCAGTTTCTTTTCTCTCCTTTGTTGTTGCTGCCTTCTTTCCCCTCAATTCTTTTTAGCATTCTATTTATTTCCTCTACTGATTTGGAAGTTATACCCTCTGTTTCTGTTCTTTTGTTGGTTTTCTAGAAATTATACCATGCAGTAAAGTCTAATCAAAATCTTTATTCTCTCTTTTCCCAAAAAATCTATAGATTTTAAAAGACATAAGCAACACATCAACAAAATGCAATATGTAGACCCTGTTTGGATTCCAGTTTGAAGAAACCAAATATAATTTTTTAAATCTTTTTTTAGATAATTGGGAAAATGTGAATACTAACTACATAATGCTAAGAAATTATTGATTTTTTTCTGTATATGATACTGGTATTATACTTTAAGCCCATATCTTTTATAAGAACAATATATTTATGGGTTAAATAATGTGATTGTTAGGACTTACTTTAAAATACTTGGGATATATATAAAAACACTTTAGTCATGAATTCATAACTGTTGAAGGTGGGTAATAAATACATAAGGATTCATTATACTCTTCTCTTTTACATATTTAAAATTTTCCATAAGAGGTTTTTTTTAAATTACTATCCTTCTAGGTAAGACAAGGACCTTAAATCCTAGACTCTACCTATCCTACTTGTTATACCCTTGTTTTTAATCCATTAGACATTTTTACTATGTTTAATGCAATCCATATTCATTTTCATTCTCTAAATATGTATCATTTTCTTTACCTTTAATTTACTCTTCATACATTTCATTTTGTGATTTGAGATCAATTTCATCCTGTCCTAAGTATATCCTTTAAAAACATACTGTCCAATATGGTGCATGTGGATATTTAATAAAAATTAAGTTTATTGGCTTAATAACTTATTAATAACTTAATAACTTATTAAGCCAATAAACTTAAAAATTCAGTTTATTGAATTTTCAAGTACTCAATAGCCCTATGTAGCTTATGACTACAATATTGGACAGCACAGAAAAAGAACATTTCCAGGCCAAACATGGTGGCTCACACCTACAATCCCAGCAGTCTGTAGGACTGAGGTGGGAGAATCACTTGAGCACAGGAGTTTGAGCCTGAGCAACACAGCGAGACCTCGTCTCTACAAATAATTTTAAAAATTAGACAGGTCGAGGTTGTGTGCATCTGTGGTCCCAGGTACTCAGGAGGCTGAGGTGGGAGGATTGCCTGAGTGATCACATTATCATTATATTATCACATTACTTCATCCATAAATATATTATTTTTAGCTCAGTGAGCCATGATTGCACCACACTCCAGCCTGGGTGACAGAGTGAGACCTGTCTCAAGAAAAAAATAAATAACATTCCCAATTCCACAGAAACTTCCATTGAACACTGCTGCTTTAAATGATCTTTCATAGGTGAGATGTTCGTGACAAGTTGTTTTTATCTGAAAATATCCTTATTTTACCATCATTCTTTAAATATATTTTCACTGGGCATAAAATTCTAGATTGACAGGTAGTTTTCATTCCATATAGTAGACATTTCACTGTCTGCTGATTTCCACTGTTGCTGCTGAAAAGTCATCTAGCCAGGCGTGGTGGCTCACGCCTGTAATGCCAACACTTTGGGAGGCTGAGGCATATGGATCACCTGAGGTCAGGAGTTCGAGACCAGCCTGGCCAACATAGTAAAACCCCATCTCTACTAAAAATACAAAAAATTAGCTGCATTTGGTGGTGGGCACCTGTAATCTCAGCTATTAGGGAGGCTGAGGCAGGAGAATTGCTTGAACCCAGAAGGCGGAGGTTGCAGTGAGCCCAGATTGCACCATTGCACTCCAGCCTGGGCAACAAGAGTGAAACTCGATCTCAAAAAAAAAAAAAAGAAAAAGAAAAAAAGAAAAGAAAAGTCATCTATTACTCTAATTCTTGCTCGTTTGATGGTTTTCTTTTTCTCCAGCTACTTTTGGTTTTCTGTGACTTTATTACAATGTGTTTAGGTGTGGACTTACTATTATCCTAATTAGGATTCATTGAAATTCTTGAATTCTGGTTTGGTATCTTTCCTTGGTTCTGGAAAATATCAGCCATCATCTCTTCAAATGTCCCATTCTCTCTTCCTTTCCTTCTGGAATTCCAATTAAGACTCTCTCACTCTATCCCCATATCTCTTACACTGTCTTCTATATTTCCCAACTTTTTGCCTCTAGCCATCATCTATGCTACATTCTGGATGGTTTTATCTGATCTATATTCCAGTTTGATAATTTTTCTGATGTGTCCAATCTGCTGCAAATTGCATCATTAAGTTTTTAATTCAGTTACTTTATCTTTTTCTTTTTTTCCTTTTTTTTTTTTTTTTTTTTTTGAGACAGTCTCATTCTGTCACCCAGGCTGCAGCATGGTGGTACAACCTTGGCTCACTATAACTTTGACTTCCTGGACTCAAGTGATCCTCCCACATCAGCCTCCGGAGTAGCTGGGACTACAGGTGCATGCCACTACACCCAGCTAATTTTTTTGTATTTTCTGTACAGACAAGGTTTCACCATGTTGCCCAGGCTGGCCTCAAACTCCTGAGTCAGTTTTTATTCCAAAAATTCGATTTGGTTTTTTCAAAACTATAATGCCACTTAAAAACAATCATTTCCTGTTCCCTATTCTCAAATTTGTCACTTATTTCTGTAAACACAGTAAGCTTGGTTGTTTTATTATATATCTTTTAATTCTATTATATGATGTTTATCTTTTTCTGCTGTCTGTTGTTTCTACTGGTTCATGCCTATGGTTCCTTGTCTCCTCGTACGTCTAGTTATCTTTGACTATGTGCTGATTACTGTCCTTAAAAAATTGTGGGGAGGCCTAAGATGAAGGAGCCTTCCTTTGAAGAACATTTGCATTTGCTTCTGACAAGCACCTGGAGTCAGGAACCAACCTAAATTAAGTATGGCTTACGGTTCCCTTTCCCACCTATGCTTTGTAAAGACTTTTGTTTGCTTGTTTCCTTTCTCTTTTTTCCTCCTGCTCTGCTCAGTACCAACACAACTTGTCTTGAAATTCCTTGATATTTGATTGGGAGGTAGGTGATGAAAAGCGGTTAGTTCTGGTTCATCCTTACCTCTCAGCTGTAGATATATGGAGCCCAAGCCTAATTAGGCAAGAATATCTCATAAGACTTTACATGTCCACATGTTGGGTGGGCTCTGCATCTTAATTTCTGTCCACCTCACCCCATAAGACTGATGAACAGAAACCTAAATTTCTTGATATTGGCAAACATATTGAAAGCAAAAGTGGCTTCAGTTCGCCAGATAGTCTGTTAACTTCCTGCTTTAGGCTTTCTTCCAGAATTTGGCTTAACAGATTCCCTTTTCTTCCCAGTTCTTCAAAGCTACTAAGGTAATGTTCTATATATTTTATCCAACATTTTCAATTGTCTTCAAAAAGAAGACTGGTCGGCCGGGTGCAGTGGCTCACACCTGTAATCCCAGCACTTTGGGAGGCCAAGGCGGGTGGATCATGAGGTCAGGAGTTCAAGATCAGCCTGGCCAACATGGTGAAACCCCATCTCTATTAAAAATACAAAATTAGCCAGGCGTGGTGGCATGCGCCTGTAATCCCAGCTACTCAGAAGGCTGAGGCAGGAGAATCACTTGAACCCAAGAAGCAGAGGTTGCAGTGAGCCGAGATCATGGTGCTGCACTCCAGCCTGGGTGAGACAGCAAGACTCCGACTCAAAAAAAAAAAAAAAAAAAAAAGAAGACTGGTCTAATCTAGGCCACTATTATCCAGAAACAAGATATATTTGGAAGTGACCTTCCTGATGTACAGCTGACCCTTTAACAACCCAGATTTGAATTGCACAGTCCACTCACACACTTTTTTTAATATATTAGAAAATGATTTTGAGGCTTGGCATGGTGGCTCACGCCTGTAATCCCAGCACTTTGGGAGGCCAAGGCAGGTGGATCACCTGAGGTCAGGAGCTCAAGACAAGTCTGGCCAATATGGCGAAAACCCATCTCTATTAAAATAACACAAAAATTAGCCAGGCATGGGGGCAAGTGCCTGTAATTCTAGCTACTCGGGAGGCTGAGGCAGGGAGAACTGCTTGAACCCAGGAGGCAGAGGTTGCAGTAAGCCAAGATCACACCACTGCACTCCAGCGTGGGCAACAGAGCGAGACTCTGTCCCAAAAAAAAAAAAAAAAAAATTATTTTGAGATCTTTGACAATTAAAAAAAACCTCACAAGCCTAGGTACAGTGTCTCACACCTGTAATCCCAGCACTTCAGGAAGCCGAGGCAGGCGGATTGCTTAAGCCCAGGAGCTTAAGACTCCATCTCTACAAAAAAATTTAAAAAAATTTTTTTAATTAGCCAGGCATGGTGGCACACAGCTGTGGTCCCAGCTACTCAGGAGGCTGAAGAAGGAGGATCACTTGAGCCCAGGAGGTCAAAGTTGCAGTGAGCCATGTTCATGCCACTGCACTCCATCCTGGGCAACAGAACAAGACACTGTCTCAAAAGCAAAACTCACAAACTGCATATTTAAAAACTTAAGAAAAAGTTAGGTATGTCAAGAATGCATAAAATATATATCGATATTGGTCTATTTTATGGTTTACTACCATTAAATATACACAAATCTATTATAAGAAGTTAAATGTAGCCAGGCATGGTGGTACATGACTGAGAGGATGAGGCAGGGGGATCTCTTAAGCTCAGGAGCTTCAGGCCAGCCAGGCATGGTGGTGTGTGCCTGTAGTCCCAGCTACTCAGGAAGCTGAAGTGGGAGGATCACTTGAGCCCAAGAGGTTGAGGCTGCAGGGGGCCATGATCGCACCACTGCACTCCAGCCTGGACAAAAGAGTGAGACCTTGCCTCAAAAAGAAAAAATTACATGTATATGTGTGTGTATATATATATATATATATATATATATATATATATATATATATATATATATATAATATGAAGAGGTCAGAGCCCATCCAAAACTCTAGCCCAGCCCAATCCAGCATTTCTCAATTTGTGTTTCCCAAAGCTCCAGACTTCAGTAGCAAGAAGGACAGTGGCTAAAGAGGTAAGCACACGTTGGAGGTGACAGAACAGCAAGTTTCAGACCCTTTTCACTCTCACATAAACAAGACCACCTCCAACTGTTATGAGATTCTGTAATATTATTTGTAATTTTTAAAGCATTTTTTGAAAGACTAAGCCAGCAATAAAAGAATCTTAAAAAGTAAACTTTTACTAGTAAACTCTCTTCTCTTCAGACATAAATGGTTAAAAGTTTTGAATCTCAAGCAAAAAGTACTGGCTGAGTGCAGTGGTTCACGCCTGTAGTAATCCCAGCACTTTGGGAGGCTGAGGCAAGCAGATCACTTGAGCTCAGGAGTTCAAGACCAGCCTGGACAACATGAAGGAACCTCATCTCCACCAAAAAATACAAAAAATTAGCCAGGTGTGGTGGTGCGATCATGTGGTCCCAGCTACTTGGGAGGCTGAAGTGAGAGGATCACCAGAGCCCAAGAAGTAGAGGCCTGCAGTGAGCTGAGATTGCCCCACTGCACTCCAGCCTGGGTGTCAGAGACAGACCCCGTCTCAACTGAAAAAGAAAAAAAAAGAATTACTTAGTTCTTTTTCATTACTGTTCCATACCCAAATCCTTACTAACTTAAATCCAGAAAAAAACTACTACATTTATTTGCAAGTATGTGCTTTATCTGTGCTCCTCTTTTACTTAATTTTAGACTCTGGCCAAATAAAACTCAGGTAAAAGTAGTATGGATAAATGAGAACCTCAAAAATCAGATTCTGAAATATAATTCATTCAAAAAAAAATTTAAACTCTAAATTATATAGCAAAAGCTTAGTTTTTTTGGTTTTTGTGTTTTGAGACAGAGTCTCACTCTGTGGCCCAGGATGTAATGTAGTGGTGAGATCTTGGCTCACTGCAACCTCTGCCTCCCAGGTTCAAGTGATTCTCCTGCCTCAGCCTCCCGAGTAGCTGGGATTACAGGCACGTGCCACCACACCCAGCTAATTTTTGTATTTTTAGTACAGACGGGGTTTCACCATGTTGGTCAGGCTGGTCTCGAACTCCTAACCTCAGGCGATCTGCCCACCTCGACCTCCCAAAGTGCTGGGATTACAGGTATGAGCCACCACACCCGGCCAAGAGCTTGTTTTAAGTAGCACCCAACATGTTATGACTCCTTGTCTCCATTAGGTTAAACTTCTTTGTCTTATATACAGTTACTCCCAAACATACTACATAAAAAAATATTTCTGTGCTGTTATAAACTTCCCTAAACTTCAAAGAGATTTGTTTTTGTTTCAGAGCTCTGTCTCCCAGGCTGGAGTGTAGTGGTGCAATGTCAGCTCACTGCAACCTACACCTCCTGGGCTCAAGAGATCCTCCCACCTCAGCCTCCCGAGTAGCTGGGGCTACAGGCAAACACCACCATGCCCAACTAATTTTTCTATTTTTTGTAGAGACGGGGCTTCACCATGTTACACAGGCTGGTCTTGAACTCCTGGACTTAAGTGATCCACCCGGGCCTTGAAAAGTGCCAGGATTACAGGCGTGAGCCACCACACCCGGCCTAAACCTCCGTTTTAAATATTACAGTATAAGCTATCTACCACGATCACTTCCTTATTCAAATCTATTTTTGTTTCTTTGAATTTCAGACATCAAAAGATGTCATTAAATTGGAACCATAGGCCAAACACAGTGGCTCATGTCTCACTTTGGGAGGCCAAGGCGGGCAGATCACCTGAGGTCTGGAGTTCAAGACCAGCCTAGCCAACATAGTGAAACCCCATCTCTACTAAAAACACAAAAATTAACCAGCAGCTGGTTGTGGTGTTTCCCACCTGTAATCCCAGCACTTTGGGAGGCCAAGACGGGCAGATCACTCAGGTGACCCTGACCTCAGGGTCAGGAGTTCGAAACCAGTCTGGTCAACATGGTGAAACCCTGTCTGTACTAAAAATACAAAACTAGCCAGGCATGGTGGTGCGTGCCTGTAGTCCCAGTTACTCAGGAGGCTGAGGTGGGAGCACTGCTTGAGCCTGGTAGGCAGAGGTTGCAGTGAGCCAAGATCACACTGCTGCACTCCAGTCTGGGCAACAAAGTGAGACTCCATCTCAAAAAACAAAAAAACAAATAAATAACCAGTAATTAACCAGGTATGGTGGAAGGCACCTGTAATCCCAGCTATCTGGTAGGCTGAGGCGGGAGAATCACTTGAACCTGGGAAGCAGAGGTTGCAGTGAGTCAAGACTGTGCCACTGCACTCCAGCCTGGGCAACAGAGTAAGACTCCACCTTGGAAAAAAAAAAAAAAACTTCTTGAAACCATGTTAATAAATAAAATTCTTACTTTCCACCTAAGCTATATATTTATCAGATATACATTCTCTATTTCTCTATCTACATTCTATCTGTGCTTATCAGTGTCCCTATTATGACTATAAAATTAGTCATAATTTTCTAAAAATTAACTCAGAATATAAATGTCTACAGATAAAAAATATTTATTGATGACTACTTAATATTCATGTTTAAGATAAGCTCGAAAGTTCCATATCTAAAGTACATAAATTATACCCATACACACTAAACTAAGAAGTAGTAAGGATTTGTCAGTTAGCATGTCCAGAACTTCCCAGGCACATGACAAAACCTAATCTTCCTTCTGCATTACCTGATAATATTATCACCCTCTTTACTTCCCAATTTAGAAATCTGGGAGTTATCTTCCACTCTTCCCTCTGCCTCATCTTCTATACACAGCTGGTCTCAATGTTTGTGTCCCCACAAAATTAACATGTTGAAATCCTAACCCCAAGGTGATGGTATTAGTAGATGGGGACTTTGAGTGATGATTAGCTCATGAGGGCAAACCTTATCATTCCATTCATAATTTCATGGATGGAATTATTGCCAGATAACTGCTTTGTCCCTTCACCATATGAGGGCACAGCAAGGTGGCTCCATCTATAAAGCAGGAAATGGGCCCTCACCAGCCATGGAATCTGCCACCACCTTGATCTTGAACTTCCCAGCGTCCAGAACTCTGAGAAATAAATTTCTATTGTTTATAAGTCACTAGTTTATATTTTGTTATAGTACCCCAAATGGACTAAGACAGTTGGTCAAGTTCTATGAAGTCTTCTTCACATATTTTTCCTTTTTCAATAGGCAATACTTTCATATAGCTCAAAAGCCCAAACACAGAAATGTATACATTGAAAATCCTCAATGGAAGTATTTACACTGCTCACTGCTCCTCCTTGGCCCACCCTGGACCCACAACCCCAACAAGTTATTACCTTTACTAGTTTCATGAGTATCCTTCCAGTATTTCTATAATCACCAAAAAAAAAAAAAAAAAAAAAAAACATTACCACATAACACTGCTCTCCACTTGCTTTTCTTGCTTAACACATGAGATCTTTTCCTATTAGTTCACAGAAAGAACTTCCTCATTTTTTTATACAGCTGCATAGTATGCTATTATTGTGTTTTAATATGCATTTCTCAAACTCCTAATGAGACCATGCATCTTTATCAAATGTTTGTTGGCCACTATGTTTCCTCTTCCGAAACTGCCTATTCATATTCTTTACCTATTTTACCATTTCATTCTCTTTGTAGGAGTGCAATATGTATATTTCTGGTTTATTACATATGGTTTATTACCATATGTAATATTACATATTACATATGGTTTATTACCATATGTAATATTACATATTACATATGGTTTATTACCATATGTAATATTACATATTACATATGGTTTATTACCATATGTAATATTACATATTACATATGGTTTATTACATATTACATATGGTTTATTACATACTCCTCTCAGTCTGTTTTAAATTTGTATATATTTTTTTCTTTAAAATTTGTATATTTTAAATGTTAATGTTGTCATAAAGTCTTAAATTGTGGTTTGGCCAAATTTATCAAAATATCTTTCCAAAATGAATATAGATATAATTATGCATTCCAATCACCTACAGAATACAGTGGCACTGACCATATGTATATTTAACTTGAAAATGATTTAGGCCAGGCACGGTGGCTCACACCTGTAATCCCAGCACTTTGGGAGGCCAAAGCAGGTGGATCACCTGAGGTCGGAGTTCGAGACGAGCCTGACCAACATGGAGAAACCCCGTCTCTACTAAAAATACAAAATTAGCCAGGCATGGCGGTGCATGCCTGTAATTCCAGCTACCCCGGGAGGCTGAGGCAGGAGAATCACTTGAACCTGGGAGGTGAAGGTTGCAGTGAGCCGAGATCGCGCCATTGCACTCCAGCCTGGGCAACAAGAGTGAAACCCCATCTCAAAAAAAAAAAGAAAATGATTTAAACAGTTGGCTACTCACCATTCTACTTAATAAACATAAGTCCCAGCATGAGCCTGAAATATGAATCTATTTCCTCAGTAGGTCTCAGTTCTCAAATGCATCTTATGGAATGAACTTCTCATTGCAATGGATAAGTTAACGTTTTATAAGATTTTATTTTGTACAACATAGCCCACAAATGTAAACCGTCTTCCTCTAGGGCACAATTGAGGAAACAGTGATATATTTCATCACTAGAGGAAAAACTGACTGTTTTGGAATTATTGAGAGATGGTACCTTACTTCCCAAATGGCAACTTCCTACAAGTTAATTCTGACTATACAGTATTTTCCCCTAATATGCATAATCATTAAATAAGTGGTAACTCCAACGCGTCTCAGACCTTTAAGGATATGACCTGTGCCTCACTGCAGCCTCATCACTCACCACTTACCCCTTGGATTTATATTTTAATACAGGGTTATTTACAATACCCTCATGTGCTATTCTGTCTCATGATTCTACTCCTTTATATGTTATCCAGCCTAAGACGTCTTCCCCTCCCGAACTTACCTAAGTAGTCCTATTCTCCCTCCAAACGCAGTTCAGACATTACCTCCTCCGATAAGTTTCCCTTGACCTCAGCAAAATGAATTAATCACTTCTTTATTCTCTCATTGTGGCCTTAACACACTTCCATTATTAGATAGATTCCATCACATTACAAATGATTTATTTATAAGCTTTCCTCTCCCATAAGCCTTAGGAATTCAGACAAGGATTGATCTCTTTTTTTTTTTTAACCCTTATAGGAGTAAAGGCTAATGGTTTATCTTATTCTTATGTGTATTTTAGTATCTAGCAGCTTCTAATATACCACTCAACAGATGTTTGCTAAATTAAACAAGTCCTTTCTATTCAGCATTATTATAAACACTGTAAACCTACACACAAAAATTAAAGGCAAGATCTTTAACCAAAAATATTTCACAAACTGAAAAAATTTGTAGATTATAACAAAAGTAGTTTGTAGTTCAGTGTTTTGTTTAAGTGGGTATAGACACCATAGATCAGTGCTCTTCAAACTGTTGGTCATGACCTATTAACAGACTGTGAAATCACTTTAGTAGGTTAAAGCCAATGTTTTTGAAAATATCAGCATATATCAAATGTAGTTATCACACATGCACATAGTAACATATATAGATAATTACCATGTAAGATATATTTTTTATTGGGAGTCAGAATAAACAATCATCTGAGAGCTACTTCTATAGTTGTTAGATAGGTTTCAAGGTTTATATTAACAAGTTGTAGTAGTCAAAGAAGGCCTCTTCAATGAAGGACTTAACATTTGTTTTTGTTTGTTTGTTTGTTTGTTTTGAGATGGAGTCTCGCTCTGTCGCCCAGGCTGGAGTGCAGTGGCACGATCTTGGCTCACTGCAAGTCCGCCTCCCGGGTTCACGCCATTCTCCTGCCTCAGCGTCCCGAGTAGCTGGGACTACAGGCGCCCACCACCACACCCGGCTAATTTTTTGTATTTTTAGTAGAGACGGGGTTTCACCATGTTAGCCAGGATGGTCTCGATCTCCTGACTTCGTGATCCACCCGCCTCGGCCTCCCAAAGTGCTGGGATTACAGGCGTGAGCCACCGTGCCCCGCAGGACTTAACATTTGAAGCATAATCTGTCTCCCCATCATCTCTTCTCAGCTCATCTATCAATCTCCCCATCATCTCTTCTCAGCTCATCTATCAATCTCCCCATCATCTCTTCTCAGCTCATCTATCATTCTCCCCCTTAGTCACTGTGCTCTAGCCACAAAAGTCAGCAATTCTTTGAACAAGGCAAATGTGTTCGCACTTTAGGGTCTAGCACAAGTTGGTTCTGCTGTCTAGAACTCTTCACTTAGATACTGTATGGCTTGCTCCTGCACTCTAGGACACCCAGGGAGCAGCTTTCCCAGACCACCTAAGATAGCTACCACATCCCACCAATCTATCCCCTCACCTCTTTTTTTTTTAGATGGAGTCTCGCTCTGTCACCAGGCTGGAGGTGCAGTGGTGCCATCTCGGCTCACTGCAGCCTCCACCTCCCAGGTTCAAGCGATTCTCCTGCCTCAGCCTCCCGAGTGGCTGGGACTACAGGCACACACCACCACGCCTAGCTAGTTTTTGTATTTTTAGTAGAGATGAGGTTTCACCATGTCGGCCAGGATGGTCTTGATCTCCTGACCTCATGATCTGCCCGCCTCGGCCTCCCAAAGTGCTGGGATTACAGGCATGAGCCACCACACCTGGCCAATCAAATGTAGTTACCACACATGCACATAGTAACATATATAATTACCATGTAAGATATATTTTTTATTGGAAGTCAGAATAAACAATCATCTTTTATTACCTACTTTTATTCCTTTTCATTTTACTCATTACCACCTAACATCACGTATTTGTTTACTATGTGTCCCTCCCCACAAACGTCAGCTCCAAGAAAACGGGACTTTGTCTTCTCTTTTGTTCATTACTATAACATCAGAGATTAGAACAGTGCCAGCCGCAGGGCAAACATCCCTGAGTAGGCTCTGACAGGCAAGGAAAGGAAGAATGCATGGAGTTGTGCTTAAGCAAGGTATATTACAGAGTAAACACCAGCTTGATAATGTTAAACAGTAAGGAATAAGGCTGAAGAAGAATATAAAAAGGTTTGAAAGTCAGAAAGTAGAATTTGGACTTTATCTTGTAAACAACTGGGAGTCATTCAAATTTTTGAGCAAATGGTGACCCTTTCAAACATTTATTCAGCAAGGTTCAATTCACTTTGTTTGACAGAATAGACAGTGCAAAGGTCAATAGCACATGTTCTCTCCTCAGGCTTATATGTTTAGCAATGGGTTCAAAATATTTTCAGGAAAATCATTCTGGCAGCCATATGCAAAAAGGATGCAAGGAAGGAAAATCTAAAGTTTAAAGGAAGCAAATAATAGGCAATGCAGAATTCCAAGACAAACTGGGAGCCAATAAAGAGTAAAAAACTGTGCTCACGCCTGTAACGCCTGCACTTTGGGAGGCCGAGGAGGGCGGCACCTGAGGTTGGGAGTTTGAGACCAGCCTGACCAACATGGAGAAATCCCATCTCTACTAAAAATACAAAATTAGCCAGGCATGGTGGTGCACGCCTGAAATCCCAGCTACTCAGGAGGCTGAGGCAGGACAATCGCTTGAACCTAGGAGGCAGAGGTTGCAGTGAGCCAAGATTGCGCCATTGCACTCCAGCTTGGGCAACAAGAATGAAACTCCGTCTCAAAAAAACAAAAAATAATAAATAAATAAAGCAAAAGTATGCATCGCAGACTACTTCAAAATTTAAGTATGATAAAATTAAAAGAAATGGTGAAAGCAGGTGAGAGGCTGAATAATAATAAATCTAAAAGTGATGGAAATTCCTTGAGCGTTCCAACAGAAATATCCAGTAAACTACTGGAGCATCAAACATGGATGGGACACACATTTGGGAGTCATCAGCATATAAAACATCTAAGAGGGGAATAATCAAGTACTGATGAGACTAACAGTGCTAAGAGGCTCATGAAACAACAAAGAAAACAGAATAGTCAGAAGGGAAAACCAGGATGGCAAACTAACACAAACGGCAAGGAGAGAACATTAAAAAGCCTCAGTGGAAATAGTAACACATATATACTAGCTGAAAAGAGTCAGGATGAAGCCAATATTATTGACAAAAAAGATGTCCTCTGAAGCGACAATCTGAATTATGCTATTCCAAAACTGCGTAAGTTAGGAAAGTAGTAGTAAAAGAACTCAGGAGTTGACTAGCCTGGCCAACACAGTGAGACCTTGTCTCTACCAGGAAAATACAAAAATTAGCCAGGCATGGTGACACATGCGTGTAGTCCCAGCTACTCGGGAAACTGAGGTAGGAGGATCACCTGAGCCTGGGGAGGTCAAGGCTGCAGTGAGCTGCAATTGTACTCCAGCCTGGGCAACACAGTGAGACCCTGTCTTCGAAAAAAAAGTAAAAACTCACGGCAGCAATTGTAATTCAATTCTTAAAATTTTTGAAATGAAGAGAAATGCAGCAGATAGCTAGAAAGAACAGTAGCAGCAGTTCATCAAAATTGATTTTTTTTCCTCCCAAAGTACAGATGTCTGTACATTTTTTTTTGTTTTTTTTTTAGATGGAGTCTCGCTCTGTCGCCTAGTCTGGAGTGCAGTGGTGCGATCTCGGCTCACTGCAAGCTCCGCCTCCCGGGTACACGCCATTCTCCTGCCTCAGCCTCCCGAGTAGCTGGAACTACAGGCGCTCGCCACCACGCCCAGCTAATTTTTTTTATTTTTAGTAGAGACGGGGTTTCACTGTGTTAGCCAGGATCGTCTCGATCTCCTGACCTCGTGATCCACCCGCCCTGGCCTCCCAAAGTGCTGGGTTTACAGGCATGAGCCACCACGCCCGGTGAGAAGTCTGTACATATTTTAAGGTAGGGAAGAAAAAACATTGCAAATAACAATCAAAGTGACCAGAGAGGTAAAGTTAACTGTGGCAGCAGGATTCTTCTTCCGTTCAATTTACAAAATAAGATGAAAGAACAGTGATTTGTCATGGTTACAATGAAAAAAAAATGTGCAAGCTTGTACCCTGTTTTCCTTTTTCACTTATATAGAAGTAAATGGCATCTATTAAGAGTTAAAGAGGAAGAAGGAATATGAGACAACAGAAAAATGCAATTAATAAGATGATTGCCAAGAAGTAGGAGGGGCCTATTTGGAATTGTTCAGCGTAAATTTATAGTGGCCAAGAAATCTTCATAATTACTCACCTTCCTCCACAAATATGCTGTGACCTGTGAGGGAAAACAGAAGAAATCGATGGTGGAAAAATCTGACAACAGGAGTCCAGTAAAATATAAAATAAGTGATTGATGTCAAAGTGCAGACTGTATCTAGTGCATACAGGAGTTAAGCTAAACGTCTCAGACTGTTTGGGTTGCTGTAACAAAATACCATAAACTGGGTAGCTTACAAACAACAGAAAGTTTTTTTTTTTTTTTTTTTGTAGAGATGGGAGTCTCACTATGGTGCCAAGGCTGGTAGTGAACCACCTCACCCAGCCCAGGAGGCTGAGAAGTCCAAAATAAGGCACTGGCAGATTCAGTATCTGGTAAGGGCCAGCTTCTAGACATCTGTCTTTTTGCTGTAACCTCATGTGGAAGAAAGAGCTAACAAGCTGTCTGGAGTCTTTTTTTTTTTTTTTGAGACAGAGTCTCACTCTGTCGCCCAGGCTGGAGTGCAGTGGCGCCATCTCGGCTCACTGCAACCTCCGCCCCCCCCAGGTTCAAGCGATTCTCCTGCCTCCACCTCCTGAGTAGCTGGGATTACAGGCACCTGCCACTGTGCCCGGCTAATTTTTGTATTTTTAGTAGAGATGGGGTTTCACCATCTTGGCCAAACTGGTCTTGTACTCCTGACCTCCTGATCCACCCACCTCAGCCTCCCAAAGTGCTGGGATTACAAGCATGACCCACTGCACCCGGTCTGGAGTCTCTTTTTTAAGAGCACTAATCCCACTCCTGAGGGCTCTACCCACCTGAGCTAATCACCTCCCAAAGGCCCCATCTCCTAATGCCATCATCTTGGAGGTTAAGATTTCAACATGAATTATGGGGAGACACAAGCTTTTAGACCATAGCACTTAGGGCAAGAAACTGAGGGTCACTATGAATGGAACAAGTAAAGGAACACAGGAAGAATAATCACATTGGCAAAGATCACAGAGTTCACACAAGTCATTTAGGGCACAAAGGAAATTTTTTAGATCATTCACTTACACACCATACAAATTTTTTTTATTTTTTATTATTAAAAATAATAATAAATATGGAACACATCATAAATTTATGTGTCATCCTTGTGCAGGGACCATGAAAATCTTCTCTGCATCGTTCCAATTTTAGTATATGTGCTGCTGAAGCAAGCACTATACTACTAATTATTTTTTCCTCTGTTTGGATACATGGGAAGTGCTGTGGAAATAAAGGATTCCAGGAGTCAGAAGGGGCTATACATCCAAAACCGTTATCATAATGAGAAGAATTGACCTAATTCCAAAGTTCAGTACTGTAATTTTACAACCACCTCAGTCTCTACATGCACAGAATGGGTGCATTAAAGACAGGTATCACAGTGTCATCTACCCACCTCCTTTAAAGAATCACTACTATAGGCTGGGCGCAGTGGCTTATACCTGTAATCTCAGCACTTTGGGAGGCCAAGGTGGGCAGATCACTTGAAGTCAGAAGTTGGAGACCAGCCTAGCCAACATGGCTAAACCCCGTCTCTACTAAAAATACAAAAATTAGCTGGGCATGGTGGCGGGCACCTGTAACTGCAGCTACTTGGGAGAATCACTTGAACCCGGGAGGCAGAGGTTACAGTGAGCCTAGATCACACCACTGCACTCCAGCCTGGGTGACAGAGTGAAACTCCATCTGGAAAAAAAAAAAAAGAATCACTACTATAGTAAACCACCATAGTAAAAGTATCTTATCCCTCAAGTGTAATGAGACATAAACAAGCTAATTGGGTTATAGGAATGCTCAAGCCTCTTTCAGAAAAAGATTCTACATTATGTAATATAATCACAGCATTAGTGGGTTTAAGATATTCTTTAAAATAGAATCACAGTCAGGACCAACAGGAGTAGTTTTTTAAATTTTTTTTGGAGACAGAATCTTGCTCTGTCACCCAGGCTGCAGTACAGTGGCACAATCTCCGCTCACTACAACCTCCGCCTCCCAGACTAAAGGAATACTCCCACCTCGGCCTCCCGAGTAGCCGAGACACAAGCACACACCACGTCTGGCTAATTTTTGTATTTTTAGTAGGGACGGCGTTTCACCATGTTGGCCAGGCTGGTCTCGAATTCTTGACCTCAAGTGATCCGCCCGCCTCGGCCTCCCAAAGTGCTGGGATTACAGGCATGAGACACTGAGCCCGGCCATTTTTTTTTTTTTAAACTTTGAAACTTTTTGGCTGGGCACAGTGGCTCACACCTGTAATTGCTGCACTTTGGGAGGCCGAGGCAGGCAGATCACAAGGTCAAGAGATCAAGACCATCCTGACCAACATGGTGAAACCACGTTTCTACTAAAAATGCAAAAATTAGCTGGGCGTCGTGGCGCGCACCTGTAGTCCCAGCTACTCGGGAGGCTGAGGCAGAAGAATCGCTTGAACCCAGGAGGCGCAGATTGCACTGAGCTAAGATCGTGCCACTGCATTCCAGCTTGGCGACAGAGTGAGACTCCATCTCAAAAAAAAAATTTTTTTTAAATCATAGTATCAGTATGCTGAGTATTTTTTAAATCAAAGGAGATGGAGGTGGACATTTTCCATTATTTCATTTTAATTGACTTTAATTTACCATGCACTATAAAACTATAAAATACCATGAAAAGATGTTTTAATATTATAAAATAGGACTCAAAATTAATATTTTATAGGTTCCTTATCTTCAATTCCAAAAATCCAAAAAACTTCTGAAACCCAAAATAACTCATCTTGTGGTAAACCTTACCCAAACTGATATGAAGCTATTTACAGTCTTTATCCTATTTAGTGCGAACATTCATACATTTTGTTGCAGAAACAGTAACACTTTTGAAGGGGGATATTGCACTGGACTCTATTGGAAGGCTACACATTACTACCTTGCCCATATAAAAAAAAAATTCCTAATTCCATAACCTATTAGACCCTAAGAGTTTGAATGGTGGACTGTGATCCTATAATTGCTAACATTTATTGAGCTATTAACTGTTATGTTTCAGGTACTGTTCTGTTCACTTTATATGAAATAACATTTAATCTTTCCAATCATCATGAGCTAAGTATTATAATAATCCACATTTTACAAAGAAGGAAACTGAGCCACGGAGAGATTAAGTAAACTGCCTAAAATCACACAGCTAGAGTATGACTAACTGGGATGACACTGGGATGAATATTTAAAATATTACACATAAGAGTAACAACACACAACAAAATAATTGATTATGGTAGGGTGGTAGGAGTGATATGTTTCTCTACTCAATTGATATTACTTCTAGAATAAGGAATCAAACAAAAAATTACAAAACACTACATGCATTTACAAATTCTCATGTACAATTTCTACAAACTTGCTTAAAATGCAGAGTATAAAACCCAAATTTCTCAGCTTATGCTAACACATTTAATTTTTTATTGAAAAGTTACATCTTAATATCTTAATTACAACATGATAGATAATTTATATTCATTGTAGAAGTTAGAAAATTTGGATAAGCAAAAAGAAAACAATCACCTGTAAAACTACACTCAGAAATAACCATTTAACAATTTGGCACATATCCTTCCAGACATAATATATTTTTGGGTTTTTTTACCAAAATGGAATCATGTTTTTAAATTTATTTTTTCTCACTTACATATACCAAGACATCCTTTCATGTCTTTATATTATTCTATCATCATTTTCATGGCTGAGAAGGCAGTACCCCACTGTAGGGATGGACCCTAACAATCACTGTGAAACATTTAGGTTGTTTACAATTTTACCATATAATGATCAATAGTACTGGCTCTAGAGTCACACTGGTTGGATTCAAGTCCTGGCCCTAACACTTAACTAACTCAGGTACCTTGAGCAAGCAACCTCATTTCTCTATGCCTGTTTTTTCTTCTGAAAAGCAGAAATAGTACTACCCACTTCATATGATTACCGTGGGGCTTAAAGGCATTAATACACAGCTTTTATAATCAACAATACTGCATCTAGTATGCTCACAATTAAATATTCACACACATCTTTACTACATCAAAAAAAAAATTCTTTAAAGGGAATTTCCATGTCAGAAGGTATGCCAATTTTTAAAGCTGCTGAATCTACCAAATTACAGTGTGGTTTAAAGCCCTTCATTAAATAGCCTTCTCACTTAATACTCATTTCTCTTTATCCAGGAAGGCAAAAACTATTATCAAGTTAACCAGTTTGTTTCACTCAATTAGCTTTTTGTTCTTCCACCTGTAAACCTCGGCATATTTAATAAAACCTCAAAGTTTATAGGTAACTTGAAGACACCTAGCTCAAATTCTCCTTCAGTACGATTCCTCTACTCTAGAATCCCCAATTTGTCAGTGAACAGGAACAGCCTACCACCCAAAACAACTCATTCTATTTTCACAATTTTGAGGAAATTTATCTTGAAAGAGAATTGAAATCTGCTTCTTTTAAACTTCCACCCACTGACCCTAGTTCCTTCTGGTCAAGTCAAATCTGATCCTTCTGCATGACAGAACTCCAAATCCTTAAAAGTGGCTGTTACTTCTTAAAAGAAGCTCCTCTTCTTTAGGTCAAACATCCCATTTTTTCAACTTTTTCTCATTTCCATTTCTCTCATGATCAAGGTCCTCGTTTATGCTCTACAGATAAGTGATTTTGACACTTAGGTGTCTACCACCTTGGAAATGAGAAAAATTAAGGTCCGTTCCTACCCTACTTAAGTTTGGGCCTCTGTGTGGCTTTTTATTAGCTCTCCAGATGATTCTGATAAAGTCTGAGAATGAATACAAGGTCTCACTTATGATAGTATGCTACCCAAAAAGCCAACACAATACCCCAAATATAATATAACTAGTACACAGTAAAGTGGGGCTAACACCTTGCTCTGTCAATAAGCTGTTCTACCAACTTCAGAATTATTCACAGATGGGTGTGTTGGCTGACGCCTATAATCCCAACACTTGGGAGGCCAAGGTGGGAGGATCACTTGAGTCCAGAAGTTTGAGACCAGCCTGGGCAACACAGTGAGATCTCGTCTCTACAAAAAATTAAAAAATTAGCCAGACATGTTGGCAGGTACCTGTAGTCCCAACTACTCAGGAGGCTGAGGCAGAGGCAGGATCGCTCGAGCCTGAAAGGTGGAGCTTGCAGTGAAGTATAATCGCACCACTGCACTAAGCCTGGGTAACAGAGAAAGCAAGACCCTGTCAAAGAAAGAAGAGGTGCAAAGGGGAAAACAGGGAGGGAAGGAGAGAGAGGGAGAGGGACAGAGGGAGAAGGAGAGAGGAAAGAGGGAGGGAGGGAGGGAGGGAGGGAGGGAGACAGAAAGGTGCACTAGCCCACCAACTGAACTGACAGCTGATTGCACCAAAGCATCTTCTTTGTATAGAGCACTGTGATGTCAACACTGAGAAAAAACACAGGCCCTAATACTGATCTCATCTAGTGCTAGATTTACCTTCTAGAAAGCATGATGGAACAAACATCTTCAGAAAACTATAATACTAATTGTAGCTATCCCAATGTAGGCACATCAGAGCTATAGAAACATTGTGATTACTAGCTGGAAACCATACTAGTTGTTGGGGAGGAGAGGGGAGCAGAGGGATGACACTAAGGAAACTAAGTTGCTCTCAACTTCAAGATTTTGTGTGGGTTTGTTTTTCAACGTTTGCAAAGTCAGAAGAGATGGAGGCCATCAGTGAGTTCATCTGAACTCAGGCTACTTGCAAACAGAGACTGGGTAACTGCCTCGTGCACCCTCAAAAATAAATTCATGATGCAAAACTTCATGTAATTTCTGAATTTCTGAATTCCTCATGACGTGCACTTTACCTGTTACCTGTTAATATTTCTGGTACTGAGGGGCAAAAGAAAAAAGTAAAAAAAAATTCATGGTACAGGAGATGTGGTCCATTACAATGACACAATGTTATGGGAAAAAACACACTAAAACCAAGCATACTTTTTTTTTTTTTTTTGAGACAGAGTTTCGCTCCTGTTGCCCAAGCTGGAATGCAATGGCGCTATCTTGGCTTATTGCAACCTTTGCCTCTCTGGCTCAAGCGATTCTCCTGCCTCAGCCTCCCGAGTAGCTGGGATTACAAGCGCGCACCACCACGCCCAGCTAATTTTTTGTATTTTTAGTAGAAATGGGGTTTCACCGCGTTAGCCAGGCTGGTCTCAAACTCTTGACCTCAGGTGATCGGCCCGCCTCCACCTCCCCAAGTGCTGGGACTGCAGGCGTGAGCCACTGTGCCTGGCCAAACCAAGTGAACTTAACCAAGATCCAATCTATTTTCGTTTGAACAGCAAACATTAAAAGTACACCTGGTATTTTCTAACAATTACACGAAGAATGACCAGATGCTTCCTGTTGATGGAACAGTAGAGAACTATAGACTGACAGATTCAGACTACAGTTCACAGAAACAACTGGAAACAAACTTAGCTTCCTTTCAAAGCCATTAAAATACGGCCTTAAATTTTTATGCATTAATCAATTAAGTATAATTGTCTCCCAATAAGTATAATTGTCTCCCAACCTAGAAAACCCAGAATGATTCAGAGAGACAAAGAACTCTAAGGATATGTCTCTGCAAACTGTTCGTTTCACCAAAGGATTCACTGCAGAATTAATTTTCTGTAAAATCTGTACCTCCTATAATTTTCAACATGTTCTATCTTTAAAGATAACATTTACACAAGTGTTGATAGCATATGTGGAATTCACGTGTTACTTGTGTAAATCATTATAAATATGTAATAGAATTAAATGTTTTAATCACTTAAGAATATCTTCGAATGTTCCTGAGTCTCCGAGATCATAGGCAGATTATGCAGTCTTCATCTGTGATTTTGTTTAGTCACCTAAATTCCAACTTTTAAAAAAGTTAGAGCCCAGTAAAAAAAGTATGGGAATCAATCTTATTCAGTCTTGTTAAAATGTGTCTTGCATAACAGCTTGATTTGACTTGTATGGTGAAAGCACGGTAAGAATGACACATTTCTGTTTTTTGGTTTTTTTTTTAAAAAAGTATGAGTGTACAGTGGAGTGTTCCAGAGGTTACATGGTGTGCTAACCACAACAGTCTGACGTAGATCTGAGAATCTTCTATTAAACCAGGCATTAAAAAGATTTGCAAAAATGCAAGATGTCACTCTTATCATCTATGTTAACATGTAATGGATTTATTTTTTGTTTTTGGAAAAAAAAAACCAAGAGAAAAGAAAATAAAGTCATCTTTAGTTTCCTTAAATTCAAAGTCTGAGCCTGAAAATGGAAGTATCAAAGCTGATGGTTATACGTCAGTGAGAAAAAAATTTAAACCAAGCTGGGTGGGTCTTTACATGAGATAAACTATCTACAGGAAAGAATGACCACTAACTTCTGCATAATAAATGAGAGTGGATCTTTTAATTCTGAGATGGCAATGTACTTTACAAGGACCATTTACAGACTACATCAAACCTTTTTCTAGATAAAAAACGTACTTCAGTAACTTGCCTGAATTGAGAGAGCAAAACAGTCCGGAGAGAAAACTTAAAATGTTTCCACATTATCAAGCCCCCTTCAGAAGTACTGTGGTCTCGGCCCCTCCTTTGAACAGATGTCCGCTCGCCACAGTCCAATCAGGTTTAAAGCAAGAGTATTTGTACTGAAAACAAGCTTAAAGTGGGAAGACACACACAAAGCAGGCCTGTATCATTCCTTTGGTTTCAGTTTTCACGATGCACCCTTGAGGCTAGGCACGCTGATTCAACACACTTGGAGAGCTTCACCGAAACACACTAAACACACAGTGATGAACTGTGCCCTGGCAGAGATGACCTGGCAAAATTCTCAACTTCTTCCCTGAGGCAGTGCACCCGCAGTTCTCGGCGGCGAAGTCTTTGGGGCAGAAGTCCCGAGCCTTCAGAACGGCAGGCTTCTCCCCCTCAGGACTCCAGTCCCCGCGGCCAAGGCTGTCGCTGCGGGGGCCCCGCGCGGGACTGGCCAGGCTCTTCCATTAACCCTGTCTGGTCCGGCCGATCCCGCCGCGACCCGAGCGCCTCTCGGCCCCGCAGCACAGGGCGCCCAGGACCCGCCACCCTCGCCGCCCGTTCCCCTCTCCGGAGAGCCCGGCGGGGCCGTCAGGCTGCCGAGACAAAGGGTACCGCGGCGCCAGAGGCCGAGGCCCAGCCGCGCCTGCCTTCCTCTTTCTCCCGCCCACTGCCAACCTCCAGTCGCCCGCAGAACCTCCGCTGCCTCGGCGCGACCCCATCGCCACCCCGGGGCTGCCGCTCGGGACCGGCAAGCCGGGTAGCCGCGAGGCGGCCGCGGCATGCTAGGGCCGAGGAGGGGGCGGCGGCCGCCACCATGTCTGCCCGCCCCTCCCAGAAGCAGTGTGCCCAGCGGACAAAGCGCAGCGGCGGCGCGGGCGCCCAGGCCGACCCCGCCGACCCCCGCGGAATAAGCGGGGCCAGGAGCCCCGGAAACCCGGCGCCTTAATGCAATAAACAGGAAATCGCGGGGATGATCTGGGTTCCGGGGGAAGTGGAATTATTTTTTACCAGCGAAGAGATCAACTTCCACATCCGGTGGTAACAGGGCCCTACACAGACCCGCACTGACCTGGAAAAGCTTCGGGAGCGGCGACGGGAAGGCAGCAGGAGGTGGTGCGGGGACCCGAGGCGCCTCGTACCCGGCCGGGCTGACGCGGCCCCGCTACACACAAAGCGCTTCAGCTGCACAGGGCGCTATTTTCCGAAAATGCCGCGTCTGGTCGGCGCCCAAAATCCCCACCGAAAAGTCCCCCGTGCTGCGCGCGGAGGGACACATGGTGTGCGAGTGAGTCAAGCTCCCAGCATCCCTCCCGGACCCGGCCCTCTTCAGCTCATCGCCCGAGGATTTTCCGCCTCTGCCCTCGTCGGCAGATCCTGCTCCTACCCACTCCCTAGCTGTGTTCCCGCGGGGAGAGAGGGGAAAGAGGGTCTGATTTTTTAACGAAGGGAAAGAAAATATGCCATTTCTAGCGCTTCAGCCACACAAAGAAAGCGGCGGAATGATCCGCTCTCGGCGACCGCAAGTCCCGGCTCGCCCGGCGCCTGCGCGGCAGCGGGGGTGGGAGCTGCGGACGGCCATGTGCGCGGCGGAGAGGCCGGGTGGCCACCGAACCTTCCCGCCTGTTCTGCGGTGGGTAGGAGTTTGGAAACTAATGTTCCTGTGCTAACCTTCGTGTCTCTGTGACATGACTGTTGAAAGACGGAGAGTGCGGAATCTTTGGAGTTTTAAGCTTGCCAACTGTGCGGCCTAGCAGAATCCTGGGAGACGGAAGGACAGCCAAGAGGCTAGGATTTACCTTTAAGTGTCCCTAGATTCAACTAGGCAGACTGGGACGGGAGACGCTGTGAAGGTACCAGGGAAGGAACGAGTGAGGTTCCTTTTCCACTTTTTCATAAACTCAACAGTCAGGTTCATGACGAAGATATAGATATTTCTGTAGATTTTTTCCCCAACATTCTAATTATGCCTCATGTTTCGTAGATCCTAGTAACTGCTTGGATTACTGCCACCTCAGAGGTAGAGATCTGTTTTTCCGTGGCTGGAATGCCAAAAATTTTGTTGTATTTTATTAAGAAAGTAGCAAAAGTTTGGAGATTTGCAAAGTTAAAAAAAAAAAAAGCATTATGAACTTAATCTAGATGTGATTTGCTAAGGAACTTAATATATTGATATGTTTTTCACAGGGGCGTCTGGGCATGGCTTTCCCAACCTAGTAACTGCAACTTTTAGCATCCTACATGTAGGACTTGGGAATATGTGAGACAGCGCCAAGAATTTAATCCAGGAGAATTGACAAGCTTAAATGAAATCCATATTGCCCACTGATTTTGTGCAGCTTCAGATAAGTAATCTTTCTCCACTTAGCCTTTTGTAACAATTGATGTAATAAAGGTTTGTAGTCTTTGTGTAATTTATTAAAGCATTGTGCCTAAAATAGAAAAAAAGCATAGGAACCATAGGCTGTGTTTTCTTTTGATTTAATATTTTCATTTCTTCAGTTAATAGAAATTTGCCAAATTCTGATGTTTTTCTGTAGCATTATTTGAATGAGCATTGTTTATTTGAGTGAACATTCAGCTAATTGTTACAGAATCGTTGCCCCCATTAATCTTAGGCTGTAGAATGTAGACAAGTAAATAGGCATCATCAGTATGATGAGAGTGAAGCTACTTAATACTGTGGAATCAAATAAAGGAGGAACCCCTTACTAAACCAAGAGGGAGGAATAAAATGGAATGGGACTAGAGAAGCAATTAGCTTTAATAAGGGTATTATGGAAGACTTTCTAGATGAGAAGCAGTAAGTACAGATGTTTGGAGGCAAACACTAGAGAGATTGTTGGGTAAAGAAGACAATGCTGGAGGTCTACTTGTGAAGGCCTTGAATGCTATGTGCAGAAGTCAGCTTCTGAGAACCAGGAAGAAGATATTGAAAGATTTTAAGTAGAAGAATCATAGGATTGAATTCATTTTAGACAGATCACTGTTACACAAAAATTTGAGGCAAACAGAAGAGTTTGGAGTAAACAGTAGGCTGTGAGCCAGTAATGACTTGGACTGAGTTGGTAGCAGGTAGGTGTGAAGAAAATAAAGTGGTTATTGGGAGATTTGGTTAACTGAAAATGACTGAGGGAGATAGATGTCAGGTGACTCCCAAGTGAGTTGGTGGAGCAGCTAGGAGGATAGTAATGTCTTCACTGAGATTAGAAACAAAATAAGAGAATATATGTTAGGGAAGGAAGAAGTCTTTGTTTTGACCATGTAAAATTTGAAGTGCATGTGAGCCAACCAGTCATATATGTGTAGTGTGCAATTAGATATTCATTCAACACTGTTGGAAGAGCACCTACTCTGTGCCTGGTACTGTTCTACACACTGAAATAGGTAAAGCAGCAGCAAAACAAATGGTTCCTACTCCTGTTTTTTAGAGGGAAACAGCATATAAACAAGTTTTAAAAATAAGAGGAGAGAGAATATCCCATAAATTCGTGAAGAAGGCTGGGTGCAGTGGCTCATGCCAGTAATCCCAGCAGTTTGGGAGGCCGAGGTGGGTGGATCTCCTGAGTTCAGGAGTTAAAGAGCAGCCTGGCCAACATGGCAAAACCCCGTCTCTACTGAAAAAAATTAGCTGGGCATGGTGGCACGCTCCTGTAATTCCAGCTACTCCGGAGGCTGAGGCAGGAGAGTAGCTTGAACCCAGGACACGGAGGCTGCAGTGAGCCGAGATTGCGCCACTGCACTCCAGCCTGGGCGACTGAACGAGACTCCGCCTCAAAAAAAAAGAGTTTGTGAGGAAAATTAAAAGCTGATTGGATAAAGTGTTACTCTGGGGAAAAGAGAGCAAACTTTTGGTGGTTGGTTGATCAGAGATGGCCTCACTGAGAAGGTATTAGAAAGGACAAGAACAGTGTGAGACCAAAGGGAATAGCTGGGCAAAGGCCCTAAGGTGAAAAATTTGTTGTGTTTAGGGAATAGCAAGGTCAGTGTATCCGAAATCTAGTGACCAAAAGAAGGAATGATAGGAGGTGAAGTCTTCAGCCTCAATAAGAAGGTGAAGTGCACTGGAAGCCATTGAAGGATTTAAGAAATGGAGTATCTGGCCGGGCGCGGTGGCTCACGCCTGTAATCCCAGCACTTTGGGAGGCCGAGGTGGGAGGATCAAGAGGTCAGGAGATGGAGACCATCCTGGCTAACATGGTGAAACCCCGTCTCTATTCAAAATAAAAAATTTTTTTAAAAATTAGCCAGGCGTGGTGGCGGGCGCCTGTAGTCCCAGCTACTCGGGAGGCTGAGGCAGGATAATGGCGTGAACCCAGGAGGCAGGGCTTGCAGTGAGCCGAGATCGTGCCACTGCACTCCAGCCTGGGCGACAGAGCGAGACTCCGTCTCAAAAAAAAAAAAAAAAAAAAAAGAAATGGAGTATCATGGACTAGGATAGTAGCAGTAGAGATGAGGGAAGTGGATGGATCCAAAAAGCTGACCTATCTTGCTTACCAATTAAATGAGGAAAGGGAGGAATCAATAGTGATGCCTAGGTTTGGGGCATGTTGTCTAGGTGGAATTAATTTTAATTACACTTTTAACCCCTAGCATATCCAAATATTATTTCACATGTGATCAACATAAAAAATTACTAAATATTAAAAATATTTTACATTATCTTTCTCATAACTAAGCATTTGAAATCTGGTGTGTATTTTATACTTATAGCATATCTCAGTACTTGATTTCATAAAATTTCCAGCTGAAAAAATAGATTCACGTACCCAAGTCGTTCCAAGCATACTTAAAAGTTTTACGGTAATCGAATCGTGTATATTTTTAAATTTTATTTTAAATTAAAGTTAGGATTATGAATTCAGTTCCTAAATTAGCCTCATTTCACTTCTGCATTTCAAGTGGGACAAGTTATTACCATATTGGACAATGCAGTCTAGTGAAGTAGAGGATAGTGGAAAGTCAGACTTAAAAAGTTGTTTAGAACCAGCTCTGGAAGGCCTTGGATGTCAGATTAAAGGACTGAGATTTTACCCTTGAGTCAGGCAGAATAATGGATGGTTTTTGAACTAAGGAGTGACACAAGGTTGTGCTTATGACTAGAAGGAGGCCACTAGGTGGCCAGCTGGTGAGTCAGGACACCCTTCAGTTGCTTTGACTTCAGCCCTGTGGATTCAAAGTCTGATTTTTGTCAGCGCTCTAGAGCAGTCTCACCAAAAGTGTGGTCCACAAGGCAGTGCCAGTCTGTAAGCCCTTTGTTACACATCCATGTCAAGGCATTTACAGAAAGTAAGAATTTAGAAACTTATAGCAGTTTAACAGACTAATTTTATTTCTGTGGGTCTAATAAAAATTTGAGGGATTGTACTTTGCATATTCTTTATTTCCCTTTTTTTGTTTGTTTTTTGTGTTCGAGATGGGAGTCTTTTTCTGTCGCCAGGCTGGAGTGCAGTGGTGCAGTCTCGGCTCACTGCAACCTCTGCCTCCTGGGTTCAAGCGATTCTCCTGCCTCAGCCTCCCAAATAGCTGGGATTACAGGTGTGCACCACCACATCCAGCTAATTTTTGTATTTTCAGTAGAGACGGGGTTTCACCATGTTGGCCAGGATGGTCTTCATTGCCTGACCTTGTGATCCGCCTGCCTCAGCCTCCCAAAGTGCTGGGATTACAGGCGTAAGCCACCGTGCCCGGCCCTTTTTTCCTTTTTAGTTTATTTTTTTCTTTTTTGAGACAGAGTTTCGCTCTTATTGCCCAGGCTGGAGTGCAATGGTGCGATCTTGGCTCACCGCAACCTCTGCCTCCTGAGTTGAAGCGATACTCCTACCTCAGCCTCCCAAGTAGCTGGGATTACAAGCATGCACCACCATACCCTGCTAATTTTGTATTTTTAGTAGAGACGGGTTTCTCCATGTTGGTCAGGCTGGTCTCGAACTCCCAACCTCAGGTGATCTACCTGCCTTGGCCTCCCAAAGCGCTGGGATTACAGGTGTGAGCCACTGCACCCGGCCGTTTTTTTCTTTTTCTAATAATTTTTATCATATTACATAAAAGTACCTATGGTCTCACAGATGAAGGGAGTCAGAAGAACCAAACTCCCAGAAGACATATAAATCTAAATGCCTTTTTTACTTTAGAGTGAAAACTGTAATAGCTAAATTATAATGGACATCTGCTCATTTTCTCCCTCCATGTAGACATGGAAAGCTACACGGAAATAACCGAGTTTATAGTAGCTACCATATATTAAACGTTTCCTGTATGCCAGCCACTGTGCAAAGCATATTATATATATTGTCTCATTTAATCCTCACAACTCTGTAAAATAAGTATTGTTTGCCCCATTTTTCCAATGAAGAAACCGAGGCTAAAATAGGTTGAATAACTTACCTAAATTCACCATCCTCAAAGGTGTTAAAGACAGGATTCCAGTACAGGTCTCTCATTTCCTTCATGATTAGGAATACTACTTTGAAATGAGAGACCTGTACTGTATCTGTTAATTCCAAATTCCCTGGCATAAAGACTCAGTACATTGTTTAAAGAGAATGCATGAAGTTAACTGCATTACCTTTTGGAGGGTTCATTTGTGAATTTGGGGCCAAAGTAAGGGGAGTTACTGGTATTCTAATAGCATCAAACAAATGAATTCATTTCATCTTTTGGGGAGGTGGAGGGAATAAGGTCTCACCTTGTCGCCCATGCAGGCTGGAAGGCCGTGATGTGATCTCAGCTCACTGCAGCCTCAACCTGGGCTCAAGCGATCCTCCCACCTCAGCCTCCTGAGTAGCTGGGACTACAGGTGCACACCACCACGCCCAGCTCATTTTTGTATGTTTTGTAGAGACTGTGTTTTGCCACGTTGCCCAGGCTATTCTCAAACTCCTGAGCTCAAGTGATCCTCCCACCTCAGCCTCCCAAAGTGCTGGGATTACAGATGTAATCCACCACACCCAGCCAAATGCATTCATGTCTACAATAGAAATACATCTCTTTGCTGCTATCTTGAATTTGTAGACTCCCACAAATCAATAAAAAAGAAGACATCCAATAAAAAAATGGGTAGAGGCCAGGCAGTGGCTAACACCTGTAATCCAAGCACTTTAGGAGGCCCAGGCAGGCAGATCACTTGAGGTCAGAAGTTCAAGACCAGCCTGGCCAACATGACAAAACCCTGTCTCTACTAAAAATATAAAAATTAGCCAGACGTAGTGGCACGTACCTGTAATCACAACTACTCGGGAGGCTGAGACAGGAGAATTGCTTGAACCCAGGAGGCAGAAGTTGCAGTGAGCCAAGATCGTGCCACTGCACTCCAGCCTGGGCGACAAAGCAAGACTCCATCTCAAAAAAAAAAAAAAAAAAAAAGGTAGAAACTTAAACAGTCACCTCACAAAAAAGGGTATCTAAATATTAGTTTCTTAAAAAATATAAAAGGGGCGTGTAGATGGCCGATAAACATGTAAAAGATACTCAACTAATTTAATCATTAGAGAAATGCAAATTAAAACCTAAATGATATTTTAATCTCACATCCAACAGAATGGCTAAAATGGAAAACCCAGAAAATGCCAGATGTTGGTCAAGAGTTGGAGTAACTGAAACTACACAGCTGCTGGAAATGTATATTGGTATAACCACTTTGGAAAATGGGAAGTTCAACAAACAGGCAAACCAATCTAGATTTAGGGATATATGTTTAGGTAGTAAAAGTATAAAGAAAAGAAATAGTTAGCTTTGCAGGGAGTAGTGCTTGGGAGGTAATAGGTGCTTCTGGAGTGCTGTTGATGTTCTGTTCCTAAGTAGGGTGCTATGGCTTGAGTTTGGTTTGTCTGACCCTACCAAGTCTCATGTTAAAATTTCATCCCCAGTGTTGGAGGTGAGGCCTGGTGGGAAGGGTTGTGGGAGTGGATTTCTCATGAGTGGCTTCGTATTCTGTAAGGAGTGAGTTCATTAAGAGACTGGCACCTCCTCTCTCCTTTCTCTCGCCATGTGATCTCTGCATATGTCATCTCCTGTCTGCCTTCCACCGTGAGCAGCCTGAAGCCCTCACTGGAAGCAGATACTGCTACCATGCTTCTTGTACAGCCTGCAAAACCGTGAGCCAAATAAGCCGAACATTCTAAGACACTGGGATTACATGAGTGTTAGCACTCTATGACTTAATGAGAAGTAGGTTTTTTGGAGAAAAATGTACTTTCAGTATGTATATTATATATTTCATGGTTATTTTTAAAACTCGTGAGCAATGCTGGATACACACTACCAACTATTACTTCCCTGACTGAGCCAATTTTTCTGTAAATGCATCACAAATGTGAAAGATAAGGTAGGCCTGAATTCTGGGGAATGACAATGGTGAAGGAAAGGCGAGACAGGTGCAAAAGACACTGCAGAACTCAGGCTCAAAATCTCATCCTTAACTCCTTCCCTCATCCCACCATGTTGAATCAGATGTCAATAGCAATTTTATATGGCATTTTTTAAGCTTGCAAAAAGTTATAAACAGAAAATGTTCATTTTATCACTCCATCACAGACGAAAAACATGAAATTAAGCTAGGAAACATGTTCAGGTGATTAGAGTAGATAGAACATAGACTAAAAACCAGTGAACTTATAAAAAAAAATCCCATGATGTGGACAAAAAAAAAGAACTTGTGGCTCCTCACTCCAACTCCTGTGACTCTCTCACCTTACCCCCACTGCCTTCAAGTTTTTTGTAGAAAGAGAAATTTTGTATGGATTGAGTTTAAGATGATGCCAGAATATCAAGGTAGAATTATTAAACACACAAAAGCTAAGGTTTGGTACTCTGAAAAAAGGTCAGAATTGGTGATAGAAAATTAGAAGTTACCCATCCATAGAAGGGTAATAAAGCCATGAGAGTGAAGGAAACCAGTGAGAGAGAATATTGAGAAAAGTACTGAAGGACAGAGAAGGAGAAGCGAAGGAGGAAAGCAAATCAGCATTTATTGAGCATCTGTTAAACTGTATGGCAGCTGCTCTACATTTACTATCTCATTTATTCCTTTCCATTTCCAAGGTAGCCAATTTTAGCCTCACTTGATAGACTGGCTTTGTAGACTCAAAAAGCAGTAAAAAGAACCAGCATTCAAAACCAGCTTGACTCCAGTTTATTCTGTGTACTACACCATTCCTGGAGAGGCTAAGTGTGTGTTACAGAAGACCATGGGGAGAATTTAGCTCAAGTAAAGATAAGCCCTGGGAAAAGACCATTGGATTTTTGTGTTTTTTGACTAAGGGGTTCCCATAACATAGCAGCACCTGCACTCCTGTCTTAACGCGTCTGTGAATGTGGGTAATCCAGACAAATGTAAACGCCTGTCAATAAGGGGGGAAAAAGTCAAGATAGTAAATGTAAAAATTAGTATAATGAAAACAAACCAGTTATTAAATTCTATCTAGATACTCTTGCCAACCAAGCACTTCGAATCTCAAGGCTTGAATGAAGAATAGCTTTTTTTTTCTCTGAGACACGGTCTTACTCTGTTGCCCAAGCTGGCGTGCAGTGGCAAGATCTCAGCTCACTGCAGCCTGGATTTCCCATGCTCAGGTGATTCTCCCACCTCAGCCTCCTTAGCAGCTAGAACTACAAGCGCAGCCACCATGCCTGGCTAATTCTGTGTATTTCTGGTAGAGATGGGGTTTTGCCATGTTGCCCAGGCTAGTCTTGAACTCCTGAGCTCAAGCGAGACACCCACCTTGACCTCCCAAAGTGTTGGGATTACAGACATTAGCCACCACGCCTGGCCTGTAAACAGGAATAACTTTCTTGCTGTGTGATTCAATGTTATTTACTGCTTTGTTCATGTACTGCCTATGTTGATTATCACCAGTGGTATGGATCCTGCACATTGGGAAACACTGCAGTGTTATTTAATTTTGTTCACTGTGTTTACAGTGCAGTTTTAGTCACCTGAAATTCTAAGAGAAAAGATCAATATGGTTTTGCCAATCAAAGGTCATTAATACTTGGAATGAAAGATAACTTATCCTGGTGATGAACACATGCCTTTTGAAAAGCATCAGTATCTCCTTAAAATGTATAAACTACTGTAATCAATGAGGAAGACTTTTTCTTATCAGATTTATTAAACTCATTTACCATACAAATAGCATTATAACATTAAAGAAAATTTTTTAAAAATTCTGTACCATAAAACAATTACTGGTTCCTTCCTACCTGTTTTTAGGTTTGCAGATGAATAATGTGTGGATTTTTGGCAGACACACTGCTGAAAATTTTTCACTTTGTTGGGTGAGCATCTCACCCTATCTCCATTTGTCTCCCTGCTCGTGAGTTCTAGAGAAGACCACCAGTAAGCAAGTGAAATTCTTTGGCCAAGTCACTGATATCAGAATTCCCCAGAGGCACCAAGAACTTTGATTTCCAGAAATTGTTTAGGCACAGCCACTCATTCAACCTTATATTTTGTATCTCAGAGTTAAGGTTGCATTTGGGCTACCTAGCCTGTAGACTCTATTTTAAGACAAGCAGGCATTTAATAGTTGTTGGTTGGTTGATTAGAGCTTCTAGCCAATTTTTAAAAATTATTTGAATAGATAAGGCATTCACTGGTTCAAAAAAAATTTTTTAATCATCACTTCCACCCATCCAGTTATCACTACTGAAGTAACCTCTACTTTTTGTTTCTTGCATATTCTTTCTTTCTTTTTTTTTTTTTTTTTTTTTTTTGAGACATAGTCTCGATCTGTCGCCCAGGCTGGGGTGCAGTGGCGTGATATTGGGTCACTGCAACCTCCGTCTCCCGAGTTCAAGCAATTCTCCTGCCTCAGCCTCCCATGTAGCTGGGACTACAGGCGCGTGCTACCACGCCCGGCTAATTTTTATATTTTTAGTAGAGACGGGGTTTCACCATGTTGGCCAGGCTGGTCTTGAACTCCTGACCTCAGGTGATCGCTTGCCTCGGCCTCCCAAAGTGGAGTTACAGGCATGAATCACAGTGCCCAGCCTCTTGTATATTTTTCCACATACACATTTTTTCATACATACATATGTGAGAATAAATGTTCTTATTCCCCCTCCCCCATTTTTATGTAGGAGAAAATACCGTACAAACCCTTCTGCACATTGGACTTGAGATGGCTTTTCCATCTCAGTGCAAAAAGGCGACATTTTTTCTTAACCACTGCACATTATTTGGTTATCACCCAGTTTAGGGACATTGAGTTTCTTTTGTACTCTAGTGCTTGAATGATTATCCTTGGATGTACATCTTTCCTTGTATATTTAAATATGTCTCATCTCAGTTTCCACAGGTGGAATTGCTCTGCAAAAAGGCATATATGTATTTTTAATTTGCCCTCTATGTACTAAATGTTTTCACCCCAGCATTGCTGATGGATTAGAGTGCTGCCAAGTTTTTGGATTTTTACCTACCAGCTTTTGAAGGGCAGATTATTTCAAGTCTTAATTAATATTTTCAGGAACAGTAACAATATCATTTGGTTAAATTGAGAGAAATGGGGTTCAGTTGACAGAATTTGTTCAGGATATAGAATTTTTCTGCTGCTGCTCCTGCAGCTACACACCTACAACTAGTAAAAACATGGTTGCTTAGGTTGTCAAATGACCAGCAAACCTGGAGAGGAACCTGGAATGACTATAAACAGCTCCACCCACACTTTTTTTGGGCAAATGTGCAAGCTTAGTAGAATCTAAAAGGATACTTCAGCCTTTGTTTGAGTTGCAGAAAATTAACATGGTAAGGAGGAAAAAATCACTAATTTTTTTAAAAAGTTCCCTGATACAGGAACTGAAAATGATTTTTGACCAACCTGGGCAATAGAGCAAAATCCCATCTCTACAAAAAAATACAAAAATTAGTCGGGCATGGTGGTGCTGCCTGTAGTGACGGCTACTCATCCTGAGGTGGGAAGATTGCTTGAGGCCAGGAGGTTGAGGCTGCAGTGAGCCAGGATCACACCACTGCACCAGCCTGGGCTACAGAGTAAGACTCAAGAAAAAAAAAAGATGTTTAATTAATCTTGCTTCAGTGCTGAGGTGGTACAGGGAGGGAGAAAGGGATATTGGGCTATGAATTCCATCTAAACTGGGGATTTTTATCAGGGTGTGAAGAAAGATTTTCAGGAATAATTATCTGAGTTACTTGGAGTAAAAGTAGCAGGAGGAGGAAAAGAGATATGGCCTGTGGGTCTCTGACTTGCCAAACTTCTTATTCATTTTACAAATCATGATTTCTAGAGCATCTTAATCTTTGAGGCCCAGCTGCTTGGAAGTTGCATAATCTCTATACTTCAGTTCCCCCCTATAAAATGGGGAATATGATAGAATCTACCTTGTATTTGAGAGGACTAAATAAATATAAAGTGCTTAGAAAAGTAAGGACTCAACTACTAGTAATAATTATTTTGACATGTTTAAGTAATCAGTACTATCTGGAAAACTGTGCTAATAGTGCCTGATCTACACAAATTTAAGTGACTATACCCCTTTTTTGAGTCAGAGTCTCACTACGTTACCCAGGCTGGAGTACAGTGGTACGATCTCTGCTCAGTGCAGCCTCCGCCTCCTGGGTTCAAGAGATTCTCCAGCCTCAGCCTCCCAAGTAGCTGGGATTACAGGCGCCTACCACCACACCTGGCTAATTTTTGTATTTTTAGTAGAGATGGGGTTTTACCATGTTGGCCAGGCTGGCCTCAAACTCTGGACTTCAAGTGATCACCTGCCTCAGCCTTCTAAGGTGCTAGGATTATAGGCTTGAGCCACTGCAGCCACCACTCTGTATATCTCTTTTGAAAGTCATAAGCAATATCTTTGGAAAAAACACTTAAGGTTATTTATTTAGAGGTAGTGTCTCTCTGTACCCCAGCTGGAGTACAGTGGCACAGTATCACAGCTTGCTGCAGCATCAAATTCCTAGGCTCAAGCCATCCTTCCACCGGACATGTTGGCGTGCACCTCCTGAGTAGCTGGGACTACAGTTGTGCTCTACCACACCGGGCTAATTTTTGTATTTTTTAGTAGAGACAGGGTTTTGCCATGTTAGACAGGCTGGTCTGGAACACCTGACCTCCGGTGATCTGCCCACCTCAGTCTCCCAAAGGGCTGGGATTAAAGGCATGAGCCACCGCACTCAGCCACTTAAGGCTTTTAAAAAATCAATTAATTTCTAAATGGTTTTGGACTTTTGACTCCTTATAAGTGTTAAGATATTTTGGTATCACTTTTTTCCTTCCAAAAAAAAAAAAAAAACCAACTAGGTGATATCTATTCCTCAGTCAAAGTTAATTAAAACTATTTTGGATCCCAGCACTTTGGGAAGCCAAAGGCAGGCAGATCACCTGAGGTCAGGAGTTCAAGACCAGCCTTGCCAACATGGTGAAACCCTGTCTCTACTAAAAATACAAAAATTAGCAGAGCATGGTGGCAGGCGCCTGTAATCCCAGCTACTCAGGAGGCTGAGGCAGGAGAATTGCTTGAACCCGGGAGGCGGAGTTTGCAGTGAGCCAAGATAGTGCCATCGCACTCCAGCCTGGACAACAGAGCGAGACTCCATCTAAAAAAAAAAAAAAAAAAAAAAAAAACTCAGTTTTTGGTTTTGAAAATGTCATGATACCTGTTGAGATAACTGCTGAATAGATGGGTAATACACAGTCTAGGGCATGGTATCAAAAGAACTTGTCACTGTACATATCGGAAATGGTAAAAATATGTTTTGCCGTTTTCACGAATTCATTCATTTTTCATGTTTCATGAATTCATTCTTTTTAAAAAAAAAAAATCCTGCTAATTCTCTGTTTCTCTTGCTTTTCTCCTTTATGACTAAGTTTTCCTCATTATGGGTTACCCCACATTACTGCTTACGAAGACATCTCTTTAGTCAGAAAACAGTAGCTTGGTTCAGTTCTAGCTTCATTGTTAAGCTCATAGGTAAATCTGGCAAATGGCTAGAAACAGTCACATGTTTGCTTGTCCTTAATGCTCTCACCTTTTCCCAGCTATTTGGATGTATATACTTTTGCTTACTTTGTAGTGTACCAACTTAATATATGTTATAGACTAAATGTTTATGTCCTCCCAAACTTCATATTTTGGAAGCCAGACATGGTAACTCACACCTGTAAACCTAACACTTTGGGAGGCCTAGGTGGGAGGATTGCTTGAGTCCGGGAGTTCAGAACCAGCCTGGACAACATAGTGAGACCCCGTCTCTACAAAAAAAAAAAAAATTTTTAATTAGCCAGGTGTGGTGGCATACACCTGTAGTCCCAGCTACTCAGGAGGCTTGCCTGAGCCCAGAAGTTTGAGACTGCAGTGAGCCATGATATTGCCAGCCTGGGTGACAGAGCAAGACCTTGTCTCAAGAAAAAAAAAAAAAATTGCCAATTGCGATGGCTCACGCCTGTAATCCCAGCACTAGGAGGCCGAGGTGGGTGAATCACCTGAGGTCAGGAGTTTTGAGACCAGCCTGGCCAACGTGGCAAAACCCCGTCTCTACTAAAAATGCAAAAATTACCGGGACGTGTTGGTGAGCACCTGTAATCCCTGCTACTCGGGAGGCTGAGGCAAGAGAATCTCTTGAACCCAGGGGGTGGAGGTTGCACTGAGCCGAGATCATGCCATTGTACTTCACCTGGGCAACAAGAGGGAAACTGTCTCCAAAAAAAAAAAATTTGGAGGGCTGGGCACGGTGGCTCACACCTGTAATCCCAGCACTTTGGGAGGCCAAGGCGGTGGATCACAAAGTCAGGAGTTCAAGACCAGCCTGGCCAACATAGTGAAACCCTGTCTCTACTAAAAATACAAAAATTAGCCAGGCATGGTGGCACACGCCTGTAGTCCCAGCTACTGGGGAGGCTGAGGCAGGAGAATTGCTTTGAACCCGGGAGGCAGAGGTTGTGAGCTGAGATCGCGTCAGTACACTCCAGCCTGGGCAACAATGCGAGATTGCATCTCAAAAAAATAAATAAATATTTGGAGTCCCATAATAAATAAATATTTGGAGTCCAATGTGATAGTATCTGGAGATGGGGCCTTTGGAGGTAATATGGGTTAGATAGGTCATGACGGTAGGGCCCTCATTATGGGATTAGTGGCGTTATAAGAAGAAGAGAGAAATCTTCCTCCTCAAGAGCAGAGGAAAAGCCATATAAGAATACAGTGAGACGGCCACTTCCAAACCAGAAAGGGAGCCCCCACCAGGAACCAAATTGGCTGGCACCTTGATCTTGGACTTCCCATGCTCCAGAACTGTGAGAAATAAATTTCTATTATTTAAGCCCATGGTAGTTTTATGGCATCCTAAGCTAAGACAGCGCGTCTCTAGTTTCCCACAGATTCATAAAGGTCCATACAAAAATGTTATAACTGTTAATAGTGTCCTGTCCTTGAATTTAACAGCAACCAACATATTGTTTGCATAGTTCTTGCACCATTTGGAAACAGTGACCTTTAGGTGTTGCAGGTAACTATTGGGAAATCCTTCAATTTGTTTAACATTTCCATATTTTGATTTGCATCTTGGGAGTTGCTTGGAATTTGGGATCCTCTTCTGTCTCTTGAGTTGAAATCAGAGGCTGCTTGCCGGGCAAGGTGGCTCACGCCTGTAATCCCAGCACTTTGGGAGGCCCAGGCAGACAGATCACCAGATGTCGGGAGTTAGAAACCAGCCTGGCCAACATGGCAAAACCCCGTCTCTACTAAAAATACAAAAATTAGTCGGGCGTGCTGGTGCATGCCTGTAATCCTAGCTGCTTGGGTGCTGAGTTAGGAGAATTGCTTGAATCCGGGAGGTGGAGGTTGCAGTGAGCCAAGATCGTGTCACTGCACTCCAGCCGGGGCAACAGAGCAAGACTCTGCCTCAAAAAAAAGAAAAAAGAAATCAGAGGCTGGGCATAGTGGCTCATGCCTATAAGCCCAGCACTTTGGGAGGCCAAGGCAGGTGGATCACTTGAGGCCAGGAGTTCAAGACCAGCCTGGGCAACATGGCAAAAGCCTATCTCTACTAGAGATACAAAAGATTAGCTGGACGTGATGGTGTGTGCCTGTAATCCCAGCTACTCAAGAGGCTGAGGCACAAGAGAATTGCTTGAACACAGGAGGTGGAGGTTGCAGTGAGCCAAGATCACGCCACTGCACTCCAACCTGGGGCAACAGAGTGAGACTCTGTCTCAAAAAAAAAAAAAAGAAATCAGAGATAATATAAATGCAGGTGTAAACTCATACACTTAATGGGCTATAAGTTTTGGAACTGGCTGTGATAATATAACAAAAGTAATAATGGGCTGTAAGTGGTATTAAATGTGGGATTAACTGGATATTTAATGATACCAAGGAATCATTAATTTTGTTTGGCTGTGATGTTTTATTATTAGAATGATGTTATGATTAAATTTTATTTTTGTCTGGATACAGTGGCTCACACCTGTAATCCCAGTGCTTTGGGAGGCCGAGGCAGATGGATCACTTGAGGCCAGGAGTTCCAGACCAGCCTGGCCAACACGGCGAAACCCCATCTCTACTAAAAATACAAAAAATTAGCCAGGCCTGGTGGTGCACGCTTGTAATCCCAGGTACTTGGGAGGCTAAGGCAGGAGGATCACTTGAACCCAGGGGAGGCTGCAGTGAGCTGAGATCGTGCCACTGCACTCCAGCTTGGGCAACAGAGCAAGACTCCATCTTAAAAAGAAGAAAGAAAGAACTTCTATTTTTTAAATGTTTTTTCCTTTCATTGAACTCCATTTATAGCCTTTCCATTCAGAGCATAAAGATTAAATTTTAAAACAAGGCTTGGCACCCTGGCTTATGCCTGTAATCCCAGCACTTTGTGAGGCCAAGGTGGGCGGATCACCTGAGCTCAGAAGTTTGAGTCCAGCCTGGCTAACATGGTGAAACCCCATCTCTAAAAGAGTACACAGTCCTAGAGCAGTGGTGTGCGCCTGTAGTCCTAGCTACCTGGGAGGCTGAACCAGGAGAATTGCTTGAGCCTGGGAGGCAGAGGTTGCAGTGAGCCAAGATCGCACCATTACACTCCAGCCTGGGTGACAGAGAGAGACCCTGTGCCCCTCAAAAAAATGTTTTTTTTAAACAAGAATCTCTCAGGCATACTGAAATGTTGAAGAGGAAATTATATTAATATCTGGGACTTGTTTCCAAATTTGGAATTGGGGCAGGGTGTAAATTGTTGGCAATATCAAAGAAACGAGGAGTTGGAATGATAATTGTAGAAGCTGCATGATAGATACACATTCTTTATACTTCTGTATATGTTGAAATTTTTTATCAAATTATAATTGTGTATAATGACTAATTATGCTTTCATTGTCTATTCTGTGTGGTTATGTTACTTGCTGAAATTAATACATAAAGAGTCTTCAACTTAAATGACTTATCAAGCATAAATATTAAAATACTGGATGTTACTACACATTTGACTCCACTTATGCATTTATTCATCAACTATTAAATGCTTTCATGTAGATTTCTCATTTAATCTCTGCAAGGTAGGTGTTACCCCTGGTTTTACAAATGAGAAAATGTAGATTCAAGATAAGTAATATGCAGGTCAAGAATAGCAAAATCGGTCGGGTGCGGTACCTCACGCCTGTAATCCCAACACTTTGAGAGGCCGAAGTGGGTGGATCACCTGAGGTCAGGAGTTCAATCCCAGCCTAGCCAATACAGTGAAACCCCATCTCTACTAAAAATACAAAAATTAGCCAGGCATGATGGCAGGTGCCTGTAATACCAACTACTCGGGGGGTTGAGGGAGGAGAATCGTTTGAACCCGGGAGGTGGAGGTTGCAGTGGCCCGAGATTGTGTCACTGCACTCCAGCCTGGGCGACAGAGCTAGACTCCATCTAAAAAAAATGAAAATAGCAAAATTACAACTTTTCCCCCATTTGGTCTTCCACCTGGAAACTCATGTTTTATTTCTACTGTTACCATGCTGCTTCTCAGACATGCCTGACTGTTTCTTCCCGTGCTGTTTTCCTTTAGGAGTGAAAGCTTGGCACAACATGTACAATAAAATTTAGGGAAGATTTTTGGGGTCTTTGTCCTCTTCTTTCCTGTTAAAGCAGCTAGAGTCAGTAGGCAGGACCTAAGGTGTACTACACCATAAGGAAGCCATGGAACGGTGAACTGGCAAAATTCTAGACCCAACTCATGAAATTTTGGTTCTTCAAGAATTTCTTTGACTGCTATTACCTGTATTTGTGTTGATTACTGTTCAATATACTGGGTCTCATCTCACTTTCAGAACATAAACGAAGAGCTTAATCCCAACGCACTTGTCTTTGTCCTCCTTCCTGTCTATGTGTTATGCATCTTCTCAATTAGAAGGCATGTCTGTACAGCTCAGCAGCTCAGGAGTAAATGCAAGGTACAAACATTCCCAACGCTGAGCAGCCACCCCAGCCATTCAGTCATTGCTTTCTCATTCTTCTCAAGGACATTCCAAGTTTGCAATATAGGGAAGCTTGAGACAACCCCTATGCCCAAACTGATTGTAATAGTGGAGCTTTATGAATTACGTATAGTATAGCAGAGGTTAACTAAATTCTCACCCTGAAGTGTGTGAAGAGACCAGATTTTGTAAGCACTTGTGGTTAGAGACCCAAGAAAGGATCCACCTATTGAGGTCTTAACATGGGTTCTATGTATTTATACTCACTTAATTCCTTCTAACTTGCCCCCACCTCAGAAAAAAAGACACCATACTTAGGCAAATCTAGACCCAACTATGCTTAAAGCAGTCCTTTGCTGACTAGCCCATAGAGTTGCTTATATGAGATAGACTTGCAGCTGTATGGTACACTTTCCCTGCCTCTAGCTTTCTGCATCTCCAGGCTAGAGAGAATTAATGACAACAAAAGTACAGACTCCAGTTTTACCCACAGAGATACCCTTTGACCAGACAAAAACACAGGATCGGCCTTGAGTGGTGGCTCATGCCTGTAATCCCAGCACTTTGGGAGGCTGAGGCAGGCGGATCACGAGGTCAGGAGTTAAAGACCAGCCTGGCCAACAGCGTGGAACCCCGTCTCTACTAAAAATACAAAAATTAGCTGGGCATGGTGGCGTGTGCCTGTAATCGCAGCTACTCGGGAGGCTGAGGCAGAATTGAACTGGGACCTGGGAGGCGAAGGTTGCAGTGAGCTGAGATTGCACCACTGCACTCCAGCCTCGGCTACAGAGCGAGACTCCATCTAGAAAAAAAAAAATCACTGAAGAAGCTATACTATTATTGATTCTGACTCAAATCAGAGGTCATTGAAAAAATTGATCAAATCAACTATGTAAAAATCAAAAACAGGCAGGGCACGGTGGCTCACGCCTGTAATCCCAGCACTTCGGGAGGCCGAGGTGGGCCGGATCATGAGATCAAGAGATTGAGACCATCCTGGCCAACACGGTGAAACCCCATCTCTACTAAAAATACAAAAAAAATTTGCTGGGTGTGGTGGTGTGCGCCTGTAGTCCCAGCTACTCAGGAGGCTGAGGCAGGAGAATCCCTCGAACCTGGGAGGCAGAGGTTGCAGTGAGCCAAGATCACACTACTGCACTCCAGCCTGGTGACAGAGTGACACTTGGTCTCAAAAAAGAAAAAAATCTGCATGACCCCCCCCTCCCCCCCGCAAAAAAAAAATAGACAAGTCAAAGGACAGATTAACAACCTAGGAAAAAATATAAGGAACATTGATAAGTACTCATAGGGAAATATTTTCTGCTTAATATAAACTTAATGATAGATTAAATTTAAAAAGGAAGGTGCAGAAAGTGTATATATTGTGCTACCTTTGAATAAAAGAAGAAGATTACTGATAATCAAGGCTAGTGTTAGGTACACTGAAACTTTTGGCCTGCCTGCTGTTAATAACCCATGGATTCCCTTCTATCCTGCCTCTGCAATGAAATCACTCTGGGTTTTCCAGGGCCTTTTAGAAAAGACTCGACCCTGGCACCCTGTCTCCTATTCCCACCAACAGACTGCTATGCAAGACTCAGTGTCTTAAAGGCAGGAGCCGTTAGTTTCTTTGCATTCCTCACACCTGCCACAGTCCCCAGAATACTTCATGTTACTTAGCTGAACTGAATAGAACATATCTAGGGCCCAGTATACTTAAGATCCAAATGTGTCCCCTCCAATGTGTATTCTGTTAGAGTGAGTTTCTGTTGATTTCCAATCTGTTTTAAAGTTTCTGATACCCAGCTACAAATCCTGTAGCTCCCATTCCCTTTCCCCACAATCATAACTGCTATCTTTTCTCCATCCCTTCTGGAAATGTACATTAACCCTAGCTTTTTTGGGAAGCAGGCATTATCCTGGTGCTCAAGATAAAACTTGGCAAGTTGATTTTTGTTCCTTAAGGATTTCCTCAATACATATTTGGTGCAAGCTTGACCCTTTGTTCTGGCAGGTTATGATTCAAGGTTTCTCCAGTGTTTTCTCCAGAAACGTTCTGAGTGTGTTGCATGACAAGGTGGAAAAGAGCTTATGTTTTAAACTCACACATAATTGCTTTCAAGTTTGATTCTGTCACTCGTCAGCTCTATGATATTGAATAAGTCACTAAAGCACTCTGAGCATCATTTTCCTTATCTATAAATTTAGGATAATAGTGCTCATCTAATAATGTTGTTGTGGGGAGTTGGAGATAATGTATGTGAAAATCCCTGGCATAAAGTAACTGCTCTAAATGCATCCCCCTTCTTCTCCACAAAGTGATTTATGAATTGATGAAGAAACAAATGAATAGCTTTCCCAGGCAGCAATGCTTACCTTATTTGTAGAAACCTGTATTACAAGTTTCTGGCTGGGCACAGTGGCCCACAGCTGTAATCCCAGAACTTTGGGAGGCCAAGGCGGGCAGATCACGAGGTCAGGAGATCGAGACCATCCTGGCTAACACGGTGAAACCCCGTCTCTACTAAAAATACAAAAAAATTAGCTGGGCATGATGGCGGGCGCCTATAGTCCCAGCTACTCGGCTGAGGCAGGAGAATGGCGTGAACCCAGGAGGCAGAGCTTGCAGTGAGCCGAATTCGCGCCACTGCACTCCAGCCTGGGTGACAGAGTGAGACTCCATCTCTGAAAAAAAAAAAAGAAAGAAACCTGTATTAAAAGTTTCTGAATACAGGGGCAAACTAGGTCTCTTAGTAGTTTGCCTTGGCCTATACTACTGAAGTGATAGGTCCCTCCCTATCACTTTAGTTTTTGAATTTTGTGCTCTTGAGGGATGTCCGTATGTCCTGATCAAAGTCAAATCTAGGTGTGACAATGATGTAGGGAGCCTATATAGTAAGGGCCCTCTTACTAGCCTCCTTGAGGCTGTCAGATGGTAAGGCAAAGTCTCTGGCCTTTAGGGGATAACCATCCATCAGGGTACATAAATAACAATTACATATGGTAGAAAATGATATGACGTGAGATGTACAGAGAAAACGCTATGGCAATTTAATAAAGACAATTTACTTTTTTTTTTTTCTTTGAGATGGAGTCTCACTCTGTTGCCCAGGCTGGAGTACAATGGTGTGATCTCGGCTCACTGCAACCTCCGCCTCCCGGGTTCAAGTGAAACTCCTGCCTCAGCATCCCAAGTAGTTGGGATAACAGGCACGTGCCACCACGCTTGGCTAATTTTTGTATTTTTAGTAGAGAAGGGGTTTTGCCATGTTGGCCAGACTGGTCTTAAACTCCCGACCTCAGGTGATCCACCTGCCTTAGCCTCCCAAAGTGCTGGGATTACAGGCATGAGCCACCATGCCCAGCCGACAATTTACTTTTAGCTAGAGAAGATCAAAAATGGATTCACTCATTTCAGTCAATAAAGATTTATCATAGATGTTTCTTTTTTTTTTTTTTTTTTTTTGGTCTTGAGACGGAATCTTGCTCTTGTCTTCCAGGCTGGAGTGCAATGGTGCAATCTCGGCTCACTGCAATGTCTGCCTCACAGGTTCAAGTGATTCTCCTGCCTCAGCCTCCTGAGTAGCTGGGATTACAGGCACCCACCAGCACGCCTGGCTAATTTTTTGTATTTTTAGTAGAGACGGAGTTTCACCATGTTGGCCACGCTGGTCTCAAACTCCCGACCTCAGGTGATCCACCTTCCTTGGCCTCCCAAAGTGCTGGGATTAAGGCGTGAGCCACCATGCCCAGTCTATCATGGATGTTTCTGGGCAAGGTGTTATGCTGGACATTAGGGATGCAGAGATTAAAATTATCTTCTGGGCCAGGCACTGTGGCTCACGCCTATAATCCAGCACTTTGGGAGGCCAAGGTGGGCGGATCACCTGAGGTTAGGAGCTGGAGACCAGCCTGACCAACATGGAGAAACCCCATCTCTACTAAAAATACAAAATTAGCTGGGCATAGTGGCACATGCCTGTAATCCCAGCTACTCAGGAGGCTGAGGCAGGAGAATCGCTTGAACCTGGGAGGCGGAGGTTGCAGTGAGCTGAGATCGTGTCATTGCACTCCAGCCTGGCCAACAAGAGTGAAACTCCGCCTCAAAAAAAAAAGCTATCTTCCACTTACTTTTGTGCTTGTTTTGTTTGTTTTGTTGTTGTTGTTGTTTGAAACGAGTCTCACCGTGTTGCTCAGGCCTGATTACAGTGGTGCAATCACAGCTCACTGAAGCCTCAATCTCCCGGGCTCAAGTGATCCTCCTGCCTCAGCCTCCTAAGTAGCTGGGACTACAGGTGTGTGCCACCACACCCAGCTAATTTTTTAATTTTTTGTAGGGATGGAGTCTTACTGTATTGCCCAGGCTAGTCTTGAACTCGTGGGCTCAGCTGATCCTCCCGCCTTGGCCTCCCAAAGTGCTGGGATTACAGGCCTGAGCCACCACGTCCGGCCTCTTTTGCTTTTTTTATTATTATTATTTTTTATTTATTTATTTATTTATTGAGATGGACTCTCACTCTGTCACCCAGGCTGGAGTGCAATGGGGCGATCTCGGCTCACTGCAACCTCTGCCTTCCAGGTTCAAGCGATTCCCCTGCCTCAGCCTCCTGAGTAGCTGGGATTACAGGCACCTGCCACCATGTCCAGCTAATTTAGTATTTTTAGTAGAGAAGGGGTTTCACCGTGTTGGTCAGGCTGGTGTTGAATTCCTGACCTCAAGTGATCCACCTGCCTTGGCCTCCCAAAGTGCTGGGATTACAGGCATAAGCCACCTCGCCCAGCCTCTTTTTTTTTTTTTTTTTTTTTTTTTTTTTAGAGATGAGGTCTTGACATGTTGCTTAGGCTGGATTCAAACTCCTGGGTTCAGGTGATCCTCCTGCCTGAGCCTTCTGAGTAACTGGGACTACAGCCATGAGCCACCATGCCCGGTTTTTACTCTTTTGAGAAGCTGAGAGATTAGTAGGGAGACAGTTACAGAAAAAAATAATTACAGTATAACATGGTAGGAATTGTTTTTATAATAGTATGTCAATGTGCTTTGGAAGCAGAAATCAAGAGTGATTAAGTTTACAAACATTGTAGAGAAGAAATTATGTTTGAGTCTTGCAGGATAAAGAGGAGTCTACCAGATAGAGAAGACAGGAAAAGGTATTAAGTAGTCAGCCTTTGTAGTCAGCCTTTTATCTTGAAAATTCAGAAGAATTTAGATATTCGCAAGTGGCGGGGGGATCTATGAAGAGGGAACTGCATAATAAAGGTGGGGAAATTATAATAAAGCATGAAGTGAAGTGGTTCTTACTCCAGTATGTGTAAGTAAAAAGAATTCATGAATTGGGTCCAGTTTGTGTTGGGACTAAAGACAATGGGAAAAAAAAAATTAAAGATCTTCATAATAGGACATGATAAGATTAGAACTTTGAATTTAGAAGATTAAGTTTGTAGTCTTGTTCAGGATAGGTTGGATTAGGACACACCAGGAACAAGAAGGGCAATTAAGAGATCATTAAAATAGCTACAAAGTAAGAGGTAATGAGATGATACAGAATATGGCAGGAGGAATGGAAGGGAAGGGCCAAATGGAAGAAACGTCGCAGGCAGGTATGTATTGTTTTTGGCAACCTGAGTGTCTGGGAGGATGGTGTACCATTAACAAGTAAGAAACATAAGAGATAAGGCTTGGGGGAAGTGAAAAAAATTCAGTTTGGACACACTAATTCTGAGAGTCTTCAAGAGAGCAGTTTCTGTAGATTGGTAAGACAATTGACAAGATGGGTTAAGTGGCTAAGAAGTGGGAAGTGAGAAAGTGGAGAGCAAATATGACTACTCTGTTCTGACCTTTGACAATGAGAAAAACAGTGGAGGGTTTTAACTGTTGGATAAATTGGGGAGATTGAGCTTGTTTCAGGTTGAAAGGGAAAATGGAGAAAACTGAAGGTGAAGGAAAGGATAAGTGACAGAGCAAGGTCATAGTATCAGAGGTATTGGTGGAGCAGTTACCCTTGGAAAGATATTTCTATGACAAGAACTTTCAGAAATAGGAGGTAAAGAATCTCAGATTCTACTTTAAATGATCTCACTGCATTTTTTTCTTTCCTGTGTGGAAAATCTCACCCTGTTTTATTTTATTTTATTTTCTAGTCCCTTGGCAATCAAACCAATTTCTGACTGGCTTGCAACATGGCCTACTTAGTAAGGGACACTTTGCTGAAAAGTAGAGTGGGAGTTGTGTAACTGCATTTCCTAGTGTTCCTGCTGCAGAGAGCTGCTCGTTCAACTACTTCAGATTTGAGATCACAATACTCTGTGACTGGTTCTTTAAAAATCACTGTTTAATTTGGATAGATGTTGATTTTTACAACTCTAACTCAGACATTTTTAAAGTCATCAGTAAAACAATAAAACCTCTAGAAGAAAACAAGAGAATAGTTTCCTGATCTTAGGCAAATATTTTTAAAAATAGGACACAAAAAATACCAATCATAAAGGGGGGGAATGGTATAAATTGGGGCTATTAAACAATTACAAGCCAAGTGCAGTGGCTCTCATCTGAAATCTCAGCACTTTGAGAGTCTGAGGCAGGACAGCACTTAAGCCCAGGAGTACAAGAACAGCCTGGGCAACATAGTGAGACCCTGTCTCTACTAAAAATAAAGTTAGCATGTGACATGTGCCTGTAGTCTCAGCTACTTGGGAGACTGAGGTGGGAGGATAGCTTGAGACCAGGAGTTCAAGGTTGCAATAAGCTATGATTGCACACTACTGCACTCTAGCCTGGGCAACAGAGTTAGACTCTCTCAAAAAAAAAAAAAAAAATTTTTTTTTTGAAGCCGCAGAGTGAAAGAAGACATTTTAATACATAAATTTTTTGGCTGGGGGCAGCAGCTCACGCCTATAATCCCAGCACTTTGGGAGGCCGAGGTGGGTGGATCACCTGAGGTCAGGAGTTCAAGACTAGCCTGGCCAACATGGTCACACTTTGTCTCTACTAAAAATACAAAAATTAGCCAGACATGATAGTGGGCACCTGTAATCCCAGCTACTTGGGAGGCTGAGGCAGGAGAATCACTTGAACCCTAAAGGCAGAGATTGCAGTGCGCCAAGATCGTGCCACTGCACTCCAGCCTGGTCAACAGAGCAAGACCCCATATCGAGAAAAAGAAAAGAAAAGAAAAGAAAAGCCCTGTGAGCTTTTGAGATTGCAAAGAAAGAATAAAATAAAATAAAATAAAATAAAAATCATAAAATGGGCAAATAGCATGAATAGGCGTTTTATAAAAGACTATCCAGGCCAGGCACAGTGGCTCACGCCTGTAATCCCAGCAGTTTGGGAGGCTGAGGCAGGTGGATCACCTGAGGTCGGGAGACCGAGACCAGCCTGACCAACATGGTGAAACCCCATCTCTACTAAAAATACAAAAAATTAGCTGGGCATGGTGGCAGGTGCCTGTAATCCAAGCTACCTGGGAGGCTGGGGCAGGAAATAAACTTTTTTTTTTTTTATTTTGAGATGGAGTTTTGCTCTTGTCACCCAGACTGGAGTGCAATGGCGTGATCTCAGCTCACCGCAATCTCAGCCTCCTGGGTTCAAGAAATTCCCCTGCCTCAGCCTCCTAAGTAGCTGGGATTACAGGCATCTGCCACCATGCCTGGCTAATTTTGTATTTTTAGTAGAGACGGGGTTTCTCCATGTTGGTCAGGCTGGTCTCGAACTCTCGACCTCAGGTGATCCACCCTCCTCGGCCTCCCAAAGTGCTGGGATTACAGGCTTGAAGCATGGTGCCTGGCCCCCCAATAAACATTTTTAAGGCTACTCAAGAGTCTTTAGTCATCAAAGAAGTGTACATTACAAACACAATGAAATATCACTACATACCCATCAAAATGGCAAAAATGAAAACGACAGAAAATACCAAGAGTTGGCAAGGATTTGGATTTGTTCCAACTCCTTGCTAACTCTTGGTATTTTCTGTCCTTTTCAGCTGAACAAGTACATACCCTATGACTCAGCAGTTCCAATCTTAGGATATAACTAGTAGAAACAACTGGATTCTATTTAAATATCCTACAGTAAAATGAATGAATAAATTGTGGTATAATCATACAGTGTAATACTACTCTACAATAAGAATGAAAGAACCACAGCTACACACAACAATATGGATAAATTATACAATAGAATGATGAAGCCAGAGACAAAATAATTAATATTGTATGATTCCACTTATATAAAGGTCAAAAACAAGTAAAGTATCTATTTTGTTAGAAAAGAGGATATTTCTGGCCAGCTGTGGTGACTCACGCCTGTAATCCCAGCACTTTGGGAGGCCGAGGCGGGCGGATCACGAGTTCAGGAGATCGAAACCATCCTGGCTAACACGGTGAAACCCCGTCTCTACTAAAAATACAAAAAAATTAGCCAGGTGTGGTGGCAGGCGCCTGTAGTCCCAGCTACTCGGGAGGCTGAGGCAGGAGAATGGCGTGAACCCAGGAGGCGGAGCTTACAGTGAGCTGAGATCGCGCCACTGCACTCCAGCCTGGGCGACAGAGCGAGACTCTGTCTCAAAAAAAAAAAAGAAAAGAAAAGAGGGTATTTCTGGTAGTCCAGTGGTTAGGAAAAGGAGAGAAAAGAGGATAATTGTTATCCTTGGTGTGTGTGGGGAAGGGTGTACAATGTAGCAACTGGAAAGAGACAGGAGGAAGATTTCTGGTGTAGAGGTGTTGTTATCTTTCTTGATCTGATAATAGTTACACAGGTATGTTCAATTTATGAAAATGCATTGAAATATACATTTACGATTTGTGCCCTTACTCTATGTGCAAATTATACTACAGGATTTTTTTTAAGTCGGAGGTCTCAAATCTGCCATTATTCTCATAATAGGTTTGAATCAAAACTGTAATTTGTCATTTTTCCTCTGATTTATCTATTTATTAAAATTATCCATGCTTCACATTAGTTTCTTCCTTCGAAAGCTCTAAGTGCCCAGTTGTCCACATCTTGAAATGTTCTAATCATTTCCACAGAACAGAATATTACACTAAGTTCTGGGCTCTGTGGACCCTCTAGTTGTTATAGAATATAGCTTATCTCCCTTAAAATACACAACACTAATGAAGTTGCTCAAATAACCACATGGATAATAACATCCATTTAGTTTGGAGTCCACAACCATAAACAAAGTCTAGCACAACTACAACTATGGATATCCTCAGTTTGGTAGTGCCTTGGTGACTCTTGTTGCCACATTCTAGTCTTCTAGTCTCCTTGAGAACATTTGGATGTTAACATCATGTTCAGGAGGAAATAATGTTAATGGAGGGGGACGGATGTCAGGAATTCCTTGGTTTTGGCAGCTTCATTATTCATAAGTTATTCACCATTCAGGAGAGGTGACTATACAAAAATGTCTTCAATACAGTAATCTAAATGCTAGAGAAAAAGAAATGAACTAAGTTTTTTTTTAAATTTTTTTTTTACAGGCAGTCCCTGAAATTAAATAGGTCTAGAGAGACTCCCTGCACTAAGCTTTAAAAGTAAAACTAGGCTTAATATTAGAGATTCCTGATATTTAAAATAATACATTGCTGGTTCAGAGAATGTGCACTTTTGTTTTGTTTGAGACGGAGTCTCCTTCTGTCACCCCGAGGCTGGAATACAGTGGTGCCACCTTGACTCACTGCAACCTCCACCTCCCAAGTTCAAGCGATTCTCCTGCCTCAGCCTCCCAAGTAGCTGGGATTACAGGCGTGAGCACCATGCCTGACCGAGTGTGCACGTTTTTATTGGAATTACATTTCACCCAAAATGTGATTTGGAGGGAGAGGACATTTTAAATAATGTTCCAATTTGTAATCCAAGAACATGATGTGTCTTTCCATTTATTCTCCTGGTTTTTAATGGAAAGTTTTGAAGATGTCTCCTTTAGCCCCTGCCCATTTCTTATTTGGTTAATTAATTTCTAAATAAACATAAGTGGACTTTAAGACTCCTGGGACTCAGGGGTTCCAAAGGAACCCACGTGATCTTTTTCTTCTTTAAGCTGTACATCTAATATAATTGATATGGTTTGGATTTGTTTCCCTGCCCAAATCTCATGTCAAATTGTAATCCCTCCCAGTGTTGGAGGAGGGGCCTGGCGGGAGGTAGTTGGATTATGCCGGTGGATTTTCCCCCTTGCTGCTCTCATGATAGTGAGTGAGTTCTCATGAAATCCAGTTGTTTAGAAGTGTGTAGTATTTCCCCCTTCTCTCTTTGTATCCTGCTCTCGCCATGTGAAGATATGCCTACTTCCCCTTTACCTTCATGATTGAAAATTTCCTGAGGCCTCCCAGCCACAGCCTGCAGAACCTGAGCCAATTAAACCTCTTTTCTTTTTTTTTGAGACAGAGTCTTGCTCTGTCGCCAGGCTGGAGTGCAGTGGTGCGATCTCAGCTCACTGCAACCTCCACCTCCTGAGTTCAAGCTATTCTCCTGCCTCAGCCTCCTGAGTGGCTGGGATCACAGGTGTGTGCCACCATGCCCAACTAATTTTTTTTTTTTTTTGAGATGGAGTCTCGCTCTGTCACCCGGGCGATCTCAATTCCTGGGTTCAAGTAATTCTCTTGCCTCAGCCTCCCAAGTAGCTGGGATTACAGCGTGTGCCAACACGCCCGGCTAATTTTTGTAATTTTAGTAGAGACAGGGTTTCACCATGTTGGTCAGGCTGGTCTCGAACTCCTGACCTCATGATCCGCTTGCCTTGGCCTCCCAAAGTGCTGGGATTACAGGCATGAGCCACCTCGCCCGGCTACCTCTTCTCTTTATAAATTACCTAGTCTCAGGCCAGGCATAGTGGCTCATGCCTGTAATCCCAGCATTTTGGGAGGCTGAGGGGGGCAGATTGCTTGAGGTCAGGAGTTCAAGACCAGCCTGGCCAATATGATGAAACCCTGTCTCTACTAAAAATACAAGAAAAAAATTAGCCGGGTGTGGTGGTGAAGGCCTGTAATCCCAGCTACTGGGGAGGCTAAGGCAGGAGAATCACTTGAACCTGGGAGGCAGAGGTTGCAGTGAGCCAAGATCATGCCATTGCACTCCAGCTTAGGCAAAAAGAGTGAAACTCAGTCTCAAAAAAAGTAAAACATAAAAAAATAAAAGAACACAGAAGTCTGTGTGTGGTGGCTCACACCTGTAATCCCAGCATTTTGAGAGGCTGAGGCAGGAGGATAGCTTGAGCCAGATGTTCAAGACCAGCCTGGGCAAGATAGCAAGACCCGTCTCTGCAAAAGAGTTTTAAAAATTAGCCAGCCATGGTGATGTACATCTGTAGTCCCAGCTACTCAGGAGAGTGAGGGAGAAGGATTGCTTGAGCCCAGCAGTTTGAGGCTGCCATAAGCTATGATCATAACACTGCATACATACTGTTGCCTGGGCAACAGAACAGGACCCTGTCTATAACAAATAACAACAAAAACAAAAACAAAATAACAGGGTCAGACGCGGTGGCTCACACCTGTAATCCCAGTACTTTGGGAGGCTAAGGTGGGTGGATTACGTGAGATCGGGAGATTGAGACCAATCTGGCCAACATGGTGAAACCTTGTCTCTACTAAAAATACAAAAAAATTAGCTGACCATGGTGGCGGGTGCCCGTAATCCCAACTACTCAGGAGACTGAGGCAGGAGAATTGCTTGAACCCAGGAGGCAGATGTTGTGGTGAGCCGAGATCATGCCACTGCACTCCAGCCTGGGCCACAGAGCAAGGCTCCATCTCAAAAAATAAGACAAAAATAAAAATGAGGGCCCACAATAGAATGAAATGACAAGTCAGCCTGGGAGAAAATATTTGCAAAAGACATATCTGATAAAGGAATGTTATCTAAAATATACAAAGAACTCTTTGGCCGGGTGCGGTGGCTCACACCTGTAATTCCAGCGCTTTAGGAGGCCAAAGCAGGTGAATCACTTGAGGCCAGGAGTTCAATACCAGCCTGGCCAACATAGTGAAACCCTGTCTCTACTAAAAATAAAAAATAAAAAAATGCAAATAACTTAAAATGCAACAATTTTTTAAAAAATCTGATTTAAAAATTGAGCTAAAGACCTGGAAAGACACCTCACTAAAGAAAATATACAGGGGCCGGGTGCAGTGGCTCACACCTGTAATCCCAGCACTTTGGGAGGCCGAGGCGGGCAGATCACAAGGTCAGGAGATCGAGACCATTCTGGCTAACACAGTGAAACCCCATCTCTACTAAAAATATTTTAAAAATTAGCTGGGTGTGGTGGTGTGTGCCTGTAGTCCCAGCAACTCAGGAGGCTGAGGCAGGAGAATGTCATGAACCCAGGAGGCAGAGGTTGCAGTGAGCTGAGATCGCGCCACTGCACTCCAGCCTGGGCAACAGAGTGAGACTCCCATCTCAAAAAAAAAAAAAAAAAAGAAAACAGAAAAAAAAAGAAAATATACAGGGAGCTGGGCATGGTGGCTCACACCTGTAATCCCAGCACTTTGGGAGGCCAAGGCAGGTGGATCACTTGAGGTCAGAAGTTCGAGACCAGCCTGGCCAACATGGTGAAACCCCATCTCTACTAAAAATACAAAAATTAGCCAGTCGTGGTGGTGTGCACCTATAACCCCAAGTACTAGGGAGGCTGAGGCATGATAATTCCTTGAACCAGGGGGGCAGATGTTGCAGTGAGCCAAGATTGCGTCACTGCCCTCCAGCCTGGGTGACGGAGAGAGACTCCATCAAAAAAGAAAAAAACCCATGAAACAAAATAAAGAAAGCAAAGAAGATATATAGACAGAAAATAGGGGCCGGGTGTAGTGGCTCATGCCTGTAATCCCAACAGCACTTTGGGAGGCCAAGGTGGGCAGATCACTTAAGGTCAGGAGTTTGAGAACAAATGGAAAATAGACATATGAAAAGATATTCCACATCATATGTCATTAGGGAAAAGCAAATTAAAACAACAATGAGATACCACTATACACCTATTAAAATCACCAAAATTCAGAACAATGACGATACCAAAAGCTGGTGAGGATATGGACCAACAGGAATTCTCATTCATTACTGATAGGAATGCAAAATGATATAGCCAGTTTTGGTTTGTTTTTGTTTTTGTTTTTAACTATCCAGTTAAATTGACAAGGAATGATACAGCCACTTTGGAAGACAGTTTAGCAGCTTCTTACAAGAGTAAACATAATCTTACTTTGCAATCCATTATCAGTCATGCTCCTTGGTGTTTACCTAAAGCAGTTGAAAACATGTCTACACAGAAATCTGCATACAGATGTTTATAGCAACTTTATTCATAATTGCCAAAACTTGTTTTCTGGTTTTTTTTGGTTTTTTTTTTTTTTTTTTTGAGATGGAGTTTCACTCTTGTTGCCCAGGCTGGAGTGCAATGGCGCAATCTCTGCTCACCGCCACCTCCCCCTCCCAGGTTCAAGCAATTCTCCAGCCTCAGCCTCCCGAGTAGCTGGGATTACAGGCATGTGCCACCTCTCCTGGATAATTTTGTATTTTTGGTAGAGACAGGGTTTCTCCATGTTGGTCAGACTGGTCTCAAACTCCTGACCTCTGACCTCAGGTGATCGGCCCGCCTCGGCCTCCCAAACTGCTGGGATTACAGGCATGAGCCACTCCCGGCCAATTGCCAAAACTTGGAAGAAACCAAGATGTTTCTCAGTAGGTGAATGATAAACTGTGGTACATTCAGACAATGGAAAGACATGGAGGAAAGTTAAATGCATATTACTAAGTGAAAGAAGTCGATCTAGGCCAGGCACGGTGGCTCACATCTTGTAATCCCAGCACTTTGGGAGGCCAAGGCGGGTGGATCACCCGAAGTCAGGAGTTCAAGACCAGCCTGGCCAACATGGCAAGACCCTGTCTCTACTAAAAATACAAAAATTAGCTGGGCGTGGTGGCGGGCGCCTGTAATCCCAGCTACTCGGGAGGCTGAGGCAGGAGAACTGCTTGAACCCCAGAGGTGGAGGTTGCGGTGAGCCAAGATCACGCCATTGCACTCCAGCCTGGGCAACAAGAGTGAAACTCCGTCTCAAAAAAAAAAAAAAAGAAGAAGAAGAAGGAAGAAGAAGTCGATCTGAAAGACTCTGTACTTCATGATTCCAACTATATGACATTCTGGAAAAGGCAAAAATATAGAGACAGTAAAAAGATCAGTGGTGGCCAGGCGCAGTGGCTCACACCTGTAATCCCAGCACTTTGGGAGGCCGAGGTGGGCAGATCATGAGGTCAAGAGATCAAGACCATCCTGGCCAATATGGCGAAACCCTGTCTCTACTAAAAATATAAAAAATTAGCTGGGCATGGTGGCACACACCTGTAGCCCCAGCTACAGGTGAGACAGGATAATCGCTTGAACCTGGAGGTTGCAGTGAGCCAAGATTGCACAGAGTGAGACTCTGATCTCAAAAAAAAAAAAAAAAGATCAGTGGTACATAGGATTAGGAAGGAGAAAGAGATGTCCAGATGGAGCACAGAGGAGTTTTAGTGCAGTGAAATAGTCTGTATGACACTAAAATGATGGATACATGTAATTATACATTTATCCTAACCAACAGGGTGTACAACATCAAGAAAGAACCCTAATGTAAACTGTGGACTTTCATAATGATGTGTCAATGTAGGTTCATCAGTTCTAACAAATGTACCGCTCTGGTGGGGGATGAGATAATGGAGGAAGATATGTGTGTGGGTGAGCAGGGTGTATATGGGAAATCCGTGCATCTTTCTCTCTATTTTGCTGTGAACCTAAAATTGCTCTAGAAAAATAAAGTCTTTAAAAAAAAAAAGTAGGACCCTAAAGGGATTTTGTTTATGTAGTTTAAATCTATAGATACAGTTTTAAGCTTATGGCAAAATTGAGAGGAAAGTATAGAGATATCCCATTGCTGTGGTTTGAACATGTCCCCATAGTTTATGTGGCTCCCCAGTTTTTTTTGTTTTGGAAATTAAAGCTTTTTTTAATAAAAATATATTACTTATGTTAACATATATGATACAATAAGAAATATATATTTGGTCTTTGCCCCTGGTTTTTATTTTTATTTATTTATTTATTTATTTTTGAGACAGAGTTAGGCTCTTGTTGCCCAGGCTGGAGTGCAATGGCACGGTCTCGGCTCACTGCAACCTCTGCCTCCCGGGTTCAAGTGATTCTCCTGCCTCAGCCTCCTGAGTAGCTGGGATTACAGGTGCCCGCCATGACACCTGTTTAATTTTTGTATTTTTAGTAGAGATGGGTTTCTCCATGTTGGTCAGGCTGGTCTCGAACTCCCAACCTCAGGTGATCCGCCGGCCTCAGCCTCCCAAAGTGCTGGGATTACAGGCGTGAGCCACTGCACCCAGCAGAAACGTTGTTGTTGTTATTGTTGTTGTTGTTTGTTTGTTTTTGTTTGTTTGGCGAGATGGAGTCTCACTCTGTCGCCAGGCTGGAGTGCAGTGGCGCGATCTTAGCTCACTGCAACCTCTGCCTCCTGGGTTCAAGTGATTCTCCTGCTTCAGCCTCCCGAGTAGCTGGGACTACAGGCGCGTGCCACCATGCCCAGCTAATTTTTGTATTTTTTAGTAGAGACGGGGTTTCACCATGTTGACCAGAATGGTCTGGATCTCTTGACCTTGTGATTCGGCCTCCCAAAATGCTAGGATTACAGATGTAAGCCACCGCGACTGGCCACCAAAAATTTTTTTAAAGACTGAAGCCAGGGCACTGTGGCTCATGCCCGTAATTCCAGCACTTTGGGAGACCAACGCGGGAGGATCACTTGAGCCCAGGAGTTCGAGGCCAGACTGGGCAACATGGTGAAACCCTGTGTCTACAAAAAATACAAAAAAAAAAAAATTAGTTGCATGTGGTGGCATCCACCTGCTGTTCCAGCTACTTAGGAGGCTGTGTTGGGAGGATCACCTGAGCCAGGGTAGTAGAGGCTGCATTGAGCCATAATAGCCTCACTGCACTCCAGCCTAGGAGACACAATGAGACCTTGTCTTAAAATAAATAATAAAATAAAAAGATTGACAAAAGGGCCAGAGTCCTTTGACTCAGTCCTTGGCTAGGGACCCAAAACCTTCTGCAGAAGAGAGAGTAAAGTTATCTGGGGGTGGAGAAAAGAGGTTCTTGAAACTAGAATATCAAAATGTAAAGGTTGAAGGGATTATGAAGTTGGTATATTTGAACATACTTCATGTGAAGTGATTGCATCTCTTTAAGACTAAATAGGAACCAGTAAGATTGCTCGAGCCTACCTAGTGCAGAGTATAAGCTGGAATTCTGGTAGAGACAAATTCTCCACTGCATAACCCTCTGTGAAGTACTTCCTGGGGCTTACGGTGGAAGCCTCTGAGCACCTCCCAGAAAAAACTACTGGGTCTTTAGACTAGAGAATTTCCACTTGAGGGGCATTTAGTGCCTTGCTGTGAAACCTTAGCTGAAACTCTGCCTATGACACTTGAAATACCCATGCTGTCTTGGGTGATGTCAGAGAAACATTCTAATGTGGGTGGCAGTGCCCAAAAGAGCTCCATAATAAAATGGAAATGGTTTATAGAGGATCATGCTACCTAAGGAACGCAAGAAAGAGACACTCTTGAATAGGGAGTTTCTTTTCCCCTAGGACTGACTCTGGAACTGTGTGAGAAACTGTTGGATTCTGCAGTGCCCAATAAACAGCTCTCAGCTGACTAACCAAGAGCTGCTTGGTTCGTGAATAGCAATTCCTGGGAAAATGGATACCATCTTGTTTGGAAGGCTGATACTTTGATCCAAGAAGGTAAAACCAGGTCTGCTCAGTGGGCTGAATTGCATGCTGTTTTTCTAACACTGATGGAAGAGTTGAACACCTTGTACAAGCCCCTGTATTTGGGTTTTTACTGACTCATGGGCAGTGACCAATGTACCTGACCACACACTCAGGCAAGAGAGCCATGGAAACCTGGCCTATTAAAAGAATGCCCATATGGAGCAAGTCCTATGGAGATTTGAGAGGCGCGTTAAAAGTAGAACATGTCAATACCCATCAGAACTCCCTTTCAGGTTTGGAAGGTGACTGGAATTGACAAGCAGATATCCCCATGTGCTCCCTTGAGGTGGCCACCTGGCTCCATGAAATGAGTGGATATGGGGGTATTATAGCACTACAGAGATGGGCTGAATGTATTTTGTTTGTTTGTTTGTTTGTTTTTGTTGTTGTTGTTTTTGAGACAGTCTCGCTCTGTCACCCAGGCTGGAGTGCAGTGGTGTGATCTCGGCTCACTGCAAGCTCCACCTCCCGGGTTCATGCCATTCTCCTGCCTCAGCCTCCCGAGTAGCTGGGACTACAGGCGCCCACCACCACGGCCGGCTAATTTTTTTTTTTTTTTTTTTTTTTGGATTTTTAGTAGAGACAGGGTTTCACCGTGTTAGCCAGGATGGTCTCGATCTCCCGACCTCATGATCCACCTGTCTCAGGCTCCCAAAGTGCTGGGATTACAGGCGTGAGCCACTGCGCCCGGCCGGGCTGAATGTAGACATGTTCCTTTTGCACCCTCTGAGGCACAAAATGCCAGAAAGAACTGTTCTGTTTCTCAGCAAGAGAGACAGAGACTGCTCATGGCTATGGGGCAGATTTCCTGGTGGGAAGGCCCTGATCACAGCTGGCAAGTGAGACTGATGTTAATAGCCCTAGGGGGCTACAAATGGGTCTTGGACAGGAATAGACACTGACTCTGGAGTGGGCTTTGCTTATCCAGTGGAAAATGAAAATGCTCTGAGTGCCATTAAAAAAAAAGAAACAGAAGCCAGGGGCAGTGGCTCACACCTGTAATCTCAGCACTTTGGGAGGCTGAGGCGGGCAAATCATGAGGTCAGGAGTTCGAGACCAGTCTGACCAACATGGTGAAACCCCGTCTCTACTAAAAATAAAAAAATTAGCCAGGCGTGGTGGCACGTGCCTGTAATCCCAGTTACTCCTGAGGCTGAGGCAGGAGAATCGCTTGAACCCAGGAGGCAGAGGTTGCAGTGAGCCAAGATCGTGCCACTGCACTCCAGCCTGGGTGACAGAGCGAGACTCCGTCTCAAAAAAAAAAAATACATATATATATATATATATATATATAGCATGGACTTGGGTGGCTGACCATAATTTTTGAGACCAAGGAACACACTCACTGCACAGCTCATAACATCCAACAATGGGCAGAGAGATATCCTCCTTAGAGTAATAGTTTGATGTAGAAATAGAACAGGCAATTGAAGCATTGGTTGTCTAAAACAAGGGGTGATAAAAGCATACAGAGCTGGTTTACATGCCTTGCCTTCATGAGTGTGTACTCACACTTAACATGAATAGGACTAGAGTGTCCCTGCTAGATTTTTTCTGTTTCTCTGGTTGATCTGAGGAAGTGAGAGTGGGAAGGATGCTGCTATGACTATGCAGTTCTTGCCAAGGGAGGAATATGCTAGTATAAGGACTATAATATTTTCTTTCTTCCCCAAATCACCCCAGGGGAAAAAATCAACAACTATTTTTCCTCCCCTTCTGATGCACTGGTCCTAAGACCAACCACAGGGTTGCAACTGCAAGTGCTGGAACAGCAGGGATGATTTCTAAGCAAAAAACTATACGTTTTTAAGCCTTATGTCAAAATTCCTAAAGGCATGACAGTGGTGATTTGTGCCTTCACCCCAACGAGCAACATTGAGGCTAACAGTGAAGGCAGCTATATTGCCTAGAGGTAAAAATAGCTCATTTTGCACCTATGTAACCTTACCCTATCTGAATGGGAGTGGAATGAGGAGGAGCTACTTGTTAGACTTGTATTGCTACCTACAATCTAGGCCAGCGTGGTGGCAAGTCTAATGTCCCTTCCAAAGGTGAAAACGTTTGAGTATTAATGGAGAGAAGGAGAAATAGTAGCTAAGAGTAAAGAAATAAATAAATGGATTATTAATTGAGGAAAATTCAATATTATGTTAACAATTCAAAAGAGTCTCAGAGCAAGAGATGACATGGTCCCTTAGCTCAATTATCCCAGATGCCTGAAACGGTAAAGCTGTATATTTACCAAGGCTACTCCTGCTTTCGGGCAACCTGACAAGATTGAGAGGAAACCTGCAAACCTGAGTGACCTCATCCTGGGAGACATTCCTTACACTATGATGGACTGGATTAATTATAAATGATTGTGCATAATATATATTTTTGATGTAAAGGATCCATAATCAAAAACCAGGAAGTGGCCAATCATGTTATGATATTATTGGTTTTTGTCCACGGTTCCTGGTTCATAACTCCCATAGCCCTTGTTACAGTCTTTTGTTATAATGTTGGGTATGTTAGGCCTCAGGGGCAGGCCTCTGACCTTCTCCTGCCCTTCTTCTCTCTCTTAAGTTCCCCTGACTTTCTGGTCATGGATCTTAAGACCTACCATAAGTTGGTCCCACCCTATACCCTGGGGGAAGGAATGCTGATGTCATGAAGCTTCCATAAAAATCCAAGCGGGGCCAGGCACGGTAGATCATGCCTGTAATCCTAGCACTTTGGGAAGCCAAGGCAGGAAGATCACTTGAGGTCAGGAGTTTGAGACCAGCCTGGCCAACATGGTGAAACCTCGTCTCTACTAAAAATACAAAAATTAGCTGGAAATCGCTTGCACCCAGGAGGCAGGGGTTGTAGTGAGCCAAGATCGTGCCACTGCACTCCAGCCTGGGCAGCAGAGCGAGACTCTGTCTCAAAAAAAAAAAAAAAACCCAAGAAGACAGGGTTCAGTGAGCTGTCAGATAGCTCAACACACGGAGGCTGTGGAGAGTGGCACACGCAGAGAGGGCATGGAAGCTCTGTGCCTCTTCATACCTCGCCCTACGCATCTCTTCATCTATATCCTTTGTTGTATCCTTTATAATAAGCCAGTAAACGTAAAAAAAAAAATTGGCAGAAGACTGACATTGTTTTACATTTTTACAAATCTCTTCAATGTTTGGCTTAATAGAAAACAGATGGACTCTCATCTGCTTCTGCATTCGATTTGCTAGTACAGCCTCTGGAAAATTCCACTGTACATTTGTTTTGTTTTGTTTTGTTTTGTGACAGAGTCCTGCTCTGTTGCCCAGGCTGGAGTGCAGTGGTGCAATCTCGGCTCACTGCAACCTCCGCCTCCTGGGTTCAAGCGATTCTCCTGCCTCAGCCTCCTGAGTAGCTGGAATTACAGGTGCCCGCCACTACGCCCGACTAATTTTTGTATTTTTAGTAGAGACAAGGTTTCACTATGTTGTCCAGGCTGGTCTCAAAGTCCTGACCTCAAGTGATCTGCCCGCCTTGGCCTCCCAAAGTGCTGGGATTACAGGCTTCAGCCACCATACCCGGCCTTTTTTTTTTTTTTTTTTGAGACAGATTCTCGCTTTGTCACCCAGCTGGAGTGCTGTGGTGTGATCTCAGCTCACTACAACCTTCAGCCCACTACAACCTCTGCCTCCCAGGTTCAAGCAATTCTCCTGCCTCAGCCTCCCAAGTAGCTGGGATTACAGGCGCCCGCCACCACACCTGTATTTTTAGTAGAGACAGGGTTTCACCATGTTGGCCAGACTGGTCCTCAAATTCCTGACCTCAGGTGATCCACCCGACTCAGCCTCCCAAAGTGCTGGGATTACAGGCATGAGTCACCGTGTCTGGCCTCTAAAGATTTTTAATAAACTTCCACTCCTGGTCTGAAACTTGCCTTGGTCTCTTTTCTGCCTTATGCCCCTCAGTCAAATTCTTCTCTCTGAGGAGGGAAGAATTGAGATTGCTGCATATGGATTTGCCACTGGTATCTCAGATACCTTCTACCTGTAACAGTCCCAGTGACTCGTGAAGATTGCTTGAGCATAGGAGTTCGAGGCCAGCCTGGACAGCATAGCAGGATTCCATCTCTAAAAAAAAAAAAAAAAGTAATTGTAGACACACTGTATACTTTGAATGTATTTGCATAAAAATATAAATAAATAAATAAATGTAGGGAATTTAAAAATTAAGTGTGTTTTAAAAGTTACTTTTCTAGGATATTGAAAATTAGTAAAACAAAAGGCAAAATACAAATTATAAGAAATAAAAACTTCAATCAAACTTATTTGAATAAAGTTGAAAATTTTAATGTCTTGAAAATGTAAATCTTGTGAAAAATAAAACTATCCACTCTATGTATATATATGTGTATATATATGTGTATATATATGTGTATATATATGTGTATATATGTGTATATATCTGTATATATATGTGTATATATATGTGTGTGTGTGTGTGTGTGTGTATATATATATATATATATATTTTTTTTTTTTTTTTTTTTTGAGACAGAGTCTCGCTCTGTCACCCAGGCTGGAGTGCAGTGGCACGATCTCGGCTCACTGCAAGCTCCGCCTCCCAGGTTCATGCCATTCTCCTGCCTCAGCCTCCCGAGTAGCTGAGACTACAGGCGCCCGCTACCACGCCTGGCTGATTTTTTTGTATTTTTAGTAGACACGGGGTTTCACTGTGTTAGCCAGGATGGTTTCGATCTCCTGACCTCGTGATCCTCCCGCCTCGGCCTCCCAAAGTGCTGGGATTACAGGTGTAAGCCACCAGGCCCAGCCCACAATATATTTTTTTAAGAGATGGAGTCTCGGGCAGGTGCAAAACTCACACCTGTAATTCTAGCACTTTGGGAGGCTGAGGCAGGCAGATCACTTGAGGTCAAGGGTTCAAGACCAGCCTGGCCAACAGGGTGAAACTCTGTCTCTACTAAAAATACAAAAATTAGCCAGGCATGATGGCACATGACTGTAATCCCAGCTACTAGGGAGGCTGAAGCAGGAGAATCCCTTGAACCTGGGAGGTGGAGGTTGCAGTGAGCCAAGATCATGCCACTGCACTCCAGCCTGGATGACAGAGTGAGACTCCATCTCACAAAACCCTGTTATGTGGCAATGGTTTTCAAATTGTGGTCTGGGAATCCCAGGAGGCCCCCAGTTTCATTTTGGGGATTCAAAATATCAAAACTATCCTCTTAATATAGGTTGAGTATCTCTTATTCAAAATGTTTAGGACCAGCCGGGCGCCTGTAATCTCAGCACTTTGGGAGGCCAAGGCAGGCGGATCACTTGAGGTCAGGAGTTCAAGACCAGCCTGGCCAACATGGTGAAACCCCACCTCTACTAAAAATACAAAAAATTAGCTGGGCATGGCAGCGGGCACCTGTAATCCCAGCTACTCCAGGAGGCTGAGGCAGGAGAATCGCTTGAACCCAGAGGCAGAGGTTTCAGTGAGCTGAGATTGCACCATTGCATGCCAGCCTGGGCAACAAGAGCAAAACCCCATCTCAAAAGAAAAAAAATTGTTTAGGACCAGAAGTGTTTCAGATTTCAAATATTTTTGGATTTTGGAATATTTGTATTACTAATTGAGCTTCCAAATCTGAAAATATGAAATTCTCCAATGAGCATTTCTTTTTTAAAATTTTAAAAATAGGGTCGGGCACGGTGGCTCATGCCTGTAATCCCAGCATTTTGGGAGGCCGAGGTGGGTGGATCACCTGAGGACAGGGGTTCAAGAACCCGTCTCTACTAAAAATACAAAAATTAGCCATGCGTAGTGGCAGGCACCTGTAGTCCCATGGGAGGCTGAGGCAGGAGAATTGCTTGAACCAGGGAGGTGGAGGTTGCCCCAGTGAGCTGAGATTGTGCCACTGCACTCCAGCCTGGGCAACAAGAGGGAAACCCCATCTCAAAAAAAAGCAAAAGAAAGAAGAAAAAGCTTTAGAGTAGGAAAGAAAGGGAAGTACACTTGGAAGAAACCCAAGAAGGTAACTTGAAGGACAAGTGCAGCATTTGACAGGGTTTTTTGTTGTTGTTGTTTTTGGTTTTTTTGTTTTTCTTTTTGTTTGTTTGTTTGTTTGTTTGTTTTGAGACAGAGTTTCGCTCTTGTGGTCCAGGCTGAAGTGCAGTGGCGCAATCGCAGCTCACTGCAACCTCCGCCTCCCTGGTTCAAGCAATTCTCCTGCCTCAGCCTCCCGAGTAGCTGGGATTACAGGTGCTCGCCACCACACCCGGCTAATTTTTGTATTTTTGGTAGAGACGGGGTTTCACCATGTCGGCCAGGCTGGTCTCAAACTCCTGACCTCATTATCTGCCCTCCTCGGCCTCCCAAAGTGCTGGGATTACAGGTGTGAGCCACTGCGCCTGGCTCCATTTTGTCTCTTAATGCACTTGCTGGAGCTCACTCGCCCAATTCCTGCAACTGTATTGAGTTACCACTTTAGTGTGAAAGCTGTAGACCATCAGGAAATTGCCTCTCTCTGGTGCTGACTGCCAATTATCATTTTTACAGATGCAGTGTAATAACTGCCAAACTATCGCCTGATGGTCACCTGACCTTCCTGGTGGGGTGAGAGGGAAGCCCTCTTCTGCCCTGCTCATGCCTGAGTAACTACCTGTAACAGGACTACAGGCACACATCCTGGCTTACAATTACATTCCGTTTTTGTTTTTTTTTTTTGTTGAGACAGAGGCTGGCTCGGTCGCCCAGGCTGGAGTGCAGCGGCGCGATCTCGGCTCACTGCAAGCTCCGCCTCCCGGGTTCACACCATTCTCCTGCCTCAGCCTCCTGAGTTGCTGGGACCACAGGCGCCTGCCACCAGGCCCAGCTAATTTTTTTTGTATTTTTAGCAGAGATGGGGTTTCACCGTGTTAGCCAGGATGGTCTTGATCTCCTGACCTCATGATCCTCCCACCTCGGCCTCACAAAGTGCTGGGATTACAGGCGTGAGCCACTGCGCCCGGCCTACATTCCGATTTTAAATCCTGTATCATGACCCTCAAGAAAACACAAATTATAATTTTTGTAAAAAATCTTGATGATAACAATATGCTTAATGACTTTGCTGAAACGCAAATAAAATGAATTTAATGAAGTAAATATAAAATAATTTTATAATCGTATAGGCCTCCATTTTTATACCAATTCAGACTTTAATGGACTATCAACCAAACACTCAGACATACATGATGGTAATTAAATTCACTTGGTATTTTGCCAAGTTTCAGTTGTATAAATACCATGGCATAACACTCATTTTTTTAGGATTTTTTTTTTTTTTTTGGAAATAGAGTCTTGCTCTGTTGCTCAAGCTGGAGCACAGTGACCCAATCTCGGCTCACTGCAACCTCCATCTCCCGGGTTCAAGTGATTCTCCTGCCTCACCCTCCCGAGTAGCTGGGATTATAGGCAGCACCCACCACACCCAGCTAATTTTTGTATTTTTTTCATAGAGATTGGGTTTCTCCATGTTGGTCAGGCTGGTCTCGAACTCCTGACCTTAGGTGATCCACCCACCTCGGTCTCCCAAAGTGCTAGGATCACAGGCGTGAGCCATTGTGCCCGACTTTTTTTTTTTTTTTAATTATGAAAGTGTATTTATAAATGCAGGAAGATAGAACATATTTTTTGTAGGCGGGGCGCGGTGGTTCACGCCTGTAATCCCAGCACTTTGAGAGGCTGAGGCAGGCGGATCACGAGGTCAGGAGATCGAGACCATCCTGGCTAACATGGTGAAACTCTGTCTCTACTAAAAATACAAAAAAATTAGCCAGGCGTGGTGGCAGGTGCCTGTAGTCCCAGCTACTCGGCAGGCTGAGGCAGAAGAATGGCATGAACCTGGGTGGCGGAGCTTGCAGTGAGCCGAGATCGCGCCACTGCACTCCAGCCTGGGCAACAGAGCGAGACTCCGTCTCAAAAAAAAAAAAACATATATTTTGTAACAGTTTGTTAGTTTGTCTTATAACTTTTAAATATTTACATATATGGACTGGGTGTGGTGGCTCACGCCTGTAATCCCAGTACTTTAGGAGGTCGAGGCAGGCAGATCACCTGAGGCCAGGAGTTCGAGATCAGACTGGGCAACATGATGAAACCCCATCTTTACTAAAAATACAAAAAAAATTAGCTGAGTGTTGAGGCGCATGCCTGTAATCCCAGCTACTCAGGAGGCTGAGGCAGGAGAATCACTTGAACCTGGGAGGCAGAGGTTGTAGTGAGCCAAGATCGTGCCACTCTGCACTCCACCAGGAGTGACAGAGTGAGACTCTGTCTCAAAACATAAACAAAAAATGTACATATATGACTAAAGAAAATCCCAAAAGCCAATAAATAAATATTTACATATATGGTATATAAACCTTCATTTGTCCTTGTGTCCTGGTTCCCAAAAATATAAAGGGTAAGTCTGCTCCTCTAATTCACTCCAATCTCAGTCCGAACACTGAACTTGTGTCTACCACAGGCCCAATCCTGCTGTTTGGGTGGAGTGCCTGACAGTGGGGGGAGAGAGGGAAGTAAAGTTTTTGGTACCTCAAGCAAATGCCACCTTGTAATGAGGCTTTCTCCCTTTGGTCACCGGCCTGTACCCTATATTATTTGGAGTCTAGAAGGTCCAAGTTCTGAACAAGATTACGCCCAGCTAAATTACATTAAAAAAAGGTCTAGCCCTCAATTTGAGGGCATCTAGGTATAACAGGATACTTCCTCCTGCCCCTGTGGTGGCTGATGAACCCACTAGGGCCTGTAGTCATAGTCATTAGTCTCTCCCTCCCAGTCCCATCCACATGGAACACACAGGCTGCCAGGATCAATTCATGCCCCTTCTTTCAGCAAGCACTTTGCCTTGGGAGGAATGAGAGACATTGTTACTTTACTTTCCCTTGGGCAAGAGACTCTCCCTTTCCTTCTTACTGGGTCCAGGGATAACAAGAGTGGCATTAAAGTCTGAGTTCTGGCCAGGGGCCATGGCTCATGCCTGTAATCCCAGCACTTTGGAAGGCCAAGGCAGGAGGATCACTTGAGGCCAGGAGTTCCAGACCAGTCTGGGCAACATGGCGTGACCCCATCTCTATTTCTAAAAATTTTTAAAAAGGGCCAGGCATGGTGGCTCACACCTATAAATCCCAGCACTTCGGGAGGCCAAAGCAGGCAGATCACTTGAGGTCAGGACTTCAAGACCAGCCTGGCCAACATGGTGAAACCCTGTCACTAATAAAAATACAAAAATCAGCTGGGCGTGGTGATGTGCGCCTATAACCCCAGCTACTCGGGAGGCTGAGGCAGGAGAATTGCTTGAACCCAGGAGATGGAGTCTGCAGTGAGCCAAGATCGCACCACTGCACTCCAGCCTGGGCGACAGAGTGAGACTCTGTCTAAAAAAAAAAAAAAAAAAAAATATATATATATATATATATATAATGAGTTCTCTATAATCATCTTGGTTACAGCAAAAATATCTGTACTTTCAAACCTAGAAAATCAATCTTTTTGTTATGCTGAAACAATGACCCCACATGACCCCAAATTATTCCATGTTGCTCCAGATTTCTCCAAGGTTTGGCCAGAGGCCATTAATTATTGTTATAGTTATGCACTCAAGGGACTGAACCCTTCATTACTGTCAGATAGCAGGATCATTAGGGGAGAGAGGGTATTTAAACTAAAATTCAAAGAGCCAAATTATGCACCCATATGGCACAAATTTACAAATTAAAAACATCCTTAACCAGCTCTGGATGTTTCGTTTGCATTAGGGAGGCTTAAAATGGATGTCTTCACTGTGGACCCTGCCCTCTTTTTTTGTCCACTTCTCCTTCCCAAAGAGTAAAAACAGTGCACGCTTGTGTTATCTTGTGACTTAAACTTGTAGCTTGGCCGGGCGCGGTGGCTCACACCTGTAATCCCAGCACTTTGGGAAGCTGAGTCAGGCAGATCACTTGAGGTCAGGAGTTCATGACCAGCCCGGCCAACATGGTGAAACCCCATCTCTACCAAAATACAAAAATTAGCCTGGCACGGTGGTGGTCACCTGTGGTCCCAGATACTCAGGAGGCTGTGGTGGGAGGATCACTTGAACCCAGGAGGTAAAGGTTGCAGTGAGCCAAGATGGCTTCACCGTACTCCAGCCTGGGTGACAGAGTGAGAACCTGTCTCAAAAAAATCCAAAAAACAAAAAAACCTTGCAGCCATAAATGTAAGCAGCTGATAAAGGGCAACAGAGGAAAAAGAATGGCATGAGAGAAACAAAGTTTGTGAAGTATTTTAAGACCCTTGGAAAAATATGAAGTCATTTTCAGCCACAATATGTCCACACACCAAAACAGCAGCTTGAACCAGATGAAATGTCATTTTGATAAGTCAAACAGTCAGATAGTGGCAATTTCACATGGTTCAACCTAATATATGTCTCTTCCCTCAAAATATTCAGTACCAACAAACCAAATAAATATGCCTCAGCCAGCCGAGTGCAGTGGATCACGCCTGTAATCCCAGCACTTTGGGAGGCCGAGATGGGCATATCACAAGGTCAAGAGATTGAGACCATCCTGGCCAACAAGGTGAAACCCCGTCTCTACTAAAAATACAAAAATTAGCTGAGTGTGGTGGCACGCACCCGTAGTCCCAGCTACTTGGGAGGCTGAGGCAGGAGAGTCGCTTGAACCCGGGAGGCGGAGGTTACAGTGAGCCAAGATCACGCCACTGCACTCCAGCCTGGCGACAGAGCGAGACTCCATCTCAAAAAATATATATATATATGCCTCAGCCTCTCGAGTAGCTGGGATTACCGCCGCGTGCCACCACACCCAGCTAATTTTTTGTATTTTTAGTAGAAACGGCCAGGCTGGTCTTGAACTCCTGACCTTAGGTGATCTGCCCGCCTCGGCCTGCCAAAGTGCTGGTATTACAGGCGTAAGCCACCATGCCCAGCCAAATACTGACATCTCTTTAAATATGGTTATGTATTGCCTCTTCATAATTGCTTTCTGCTATAGTTTGAATGTTTGTGACCTTCCAAAATTTATGTTGAAACTTAATCTTCAATGCACCAGTATTAAGAGGTGGGGCCTTTAGGAGGCAATTAGGTCATGAGCACTCTTCCCTTGAGAATGGAATTAAGGCCTTTATAAAGAGGCTTCATGTATCATTTGGCCTTTTTGTCCTTCTGTCTCTTCTACCATGTGAGGACATAGTTTTCAAGGCACCATCTTGAAAGCAGAGAGCAGCCCTCGCCAAACACCAAACTTGCTGGCACCTTGATCTTGGACTTCCTAGTCTCCAGAACTCTGAGAAATATATTTCTGTTGTTTGTAACTTATCCAGTCTTAGGAATTTTGTTGTAGTAGCACAAATGGACTAAGACACCTTCTTATACTTTTAGTAATGTTTGGGTGGTGCAACAAATAATACTGAATAACTTCAAAAATATTTCTCAAATCAGAAAATATACCAGTAAAAAGTTGTAAAGGAATAATTAAGCATGACTAGCCAGGCGCAGTGGCTCACGCCTGTAATCCCAGCACTTTGGGAGGCTGAGGCAGGTGGATCACGAGGTCAGGAGATTGAGAACATCCTGGCTAACATGGTGAAACTCCTCTCTACTAAAAGTACAAAAAATTAGCCTGGCATGGTGGTGAGCACCTGTAGTCCCAGCTACTCGGGAGGCTGAGGCAGAATGGCATGAACCCAGGAGGCGGAGCTTATACACTTCATCTCACAAAAAAAAAAAAAAAAAAAAAAAGAATGACTAATATACATATAAAAGCATTTTCCACTTTAATAGTACTCAAAGAAACCCAAATAAATCAATATTGGGTATCTGTTTTCTTTTTCTTTTTTTTTCCTTCATACTTTAAATGCCCTCCCCCTTACAAATCTTTTTTTTTTCTCCTTTGGTACTGTTTCTTCTTCTACTTTTTTTTTTAGATGGAGTCTCGCTGTGTCGCCACACTGGAGTGCAGTGGCGCAGGGCTCACTGCAACCTCCGCCTCCCGGGTTCAAGTGATTCTCCTGCCTCAGCCTCCCAAGTAGCTGGGACTACAGGCATGCGCTACCATGCCCAGCTAAGTCTTGTATTTTTAGTAGAGACGGAGCTTCACCATGTTGGCCAGGATGCTCTCGATCTCTTGACCTCATGATCTGCCTGCCTCCGCCTCCCAAAGTGCTGGGATTATAGACATGAGCCACCTCGCCCGGCCCTTTTCGTTTTGTTTTGTTTTTCTTGAGATGGAGTCATGCCCAGACTGGAGTGCAGGGGTGTGATCGTGGCTCATTGCAACCTCCACCCCCCCGGGTTCAAGCGATTCTCCTGCCTCAGCCTCTCGAGGAGCTGGGATTACAGGCACCCGCCACCATGCCTGGCTAATTTTTGTATTTTTAGTATAGATGGGGTTTCACCATGTTAGCCAGGCTGGTCTCGAACTCCTGATCTCCGGTGATCCACCTGCCTTGGCCTTCTGAAGTGCTGGGATTACAGGCGTGAGCCACCTTGCCCGGCCAGTACTGTTTTTTCAATTGTCAAACCGACAAAGTGTTGTGTTTATTTCCTGTTTTTATTTTAAAAATACAAATCTGCATCTTTCATCAAATATTAATGTATTTTAAATATTATTCCATATCTTTCATCATCTAATGTTAGCAAGCTTTTGAGAACATGAGCAGTCTCCTGCCAAGCTGGCTAATGGGGTATGACCCTCACTGAAAGGCAGTTTTAGGTATTAAAAAGCTTGGAGTCTGCCATGACACCTGTCCCAGGAATTTTACTTCAGAAAATTTATTTTAAGGGGTTTACTGTGGATGTGCACCAACATTTACATTACAAACACATAAGAATATATATTACAATGATTGTATAATATTCACAAATCATAAATAATCTAAAAGTCCAACAGTAAAGTTAAATTAATTAGGGGATTATAACAGAATATTGTGGTCATTAAAATGATATTTTAGAATTCAATAATAACAAGGAAAAGTGTTTATAAGATATTAATTGAAACAGGAGATTATAAAACAGTATGTATAGTAATGATACCAACTATGTAAATGTATGTGTGCAGAAAAAGGAGACTAGAAGGCAGGGCTGCCATGTCTCCTGTGTATATTGAGTTCTTAGAGGGAAGCTTAGCTAGGGAAGAGTGAAAGCAGGAATCAAGTTCACATTCCACAAGCCAAGTTATGCACCCTGAGTTCAGGGTTGCATACATCCAAAGCAAGGAGCACTTTTTTCTGAATTGTTCAAAAGCACCAACTAGACTACTGTCAGCCCCACTGGATGGGCTGGAATTGTGACTGGTATGAATTTTCTTCTCCTAGTTAATCTGCCTTGCCTTTTTCATCTATAAATAAATATTACTTTTGCAAAGGAGAAAGTACCACTACTTTCAAAATACATCTTTTTACAAGTAGGCAATTGATAGTGGTTGAAGTGAGGCAATGGGAACATGGGGATTCACTGCACTATTCTCCTTTTTTGTGTTTGAGATTTTCTTATTTATTCATTTTTTTGAGATGGAGTTTTGCTCTTGTTGCCCAGGCTGGAGTGCAGTGGTACGATCTTGGCTCACTTCAACCTCCCCCTCCTGGGTTCAAGTGATTCTCCTGCCTCAGCCTCCCAAGTAGCTGGGATTACAGGTGCCTGCCACCACACCTGGCTAATTTTTTGCATTTTTAGTAGAGACAGGGTTTCATCATGTTGGCCAGGCTGGTCTCAAACCCCTGACCTCTGGTGATCCACCCTCCTTGGCCTCCCAAAGTGCTGGCATTACAGGTGTGAGCCACTGCATCCAGCCTGTGTTTGAGATTTTCTATAACAAAAGTATCTTTTCTGACATCCTCATGGACACAATATTTTATATAGCCTGCTTAATCTTGAAATATGAATCCATATCTTTCATCATAGCTGGAGCTTTGTTCAAAAGCTCTAAAAGACTTAGTCCAATGTCTGAAGAATCTCTACAAGATTAACTTCAAAGCTATGCTGCAGATATGAGGCTCTGATAATTTAACCTGGAATGTTTAAGCAAAATTAATAGAGATCTTTCAGACTCCAGAAAGCACTATATTTACCTTAAGTATCCACTTAAAATCTAAGCCTCTGGGAGTTTTTCAATTTGCAAAAGATTAGTTGTTCTTGGTTGATAGTTCTGATTTGCAGCAGAAAAGTGTTTCAAGACTAGACACAGAAACTCTCTGCTTGTCTCCTTTTCCCTTTCTTCAAGTAAAATATTTTTTACATTGATAAGTCTCTTATTTTTTTTTTTTTTTTGAGATGGAGTCTCGCTCTGTCGCCCAGGCTGGAGTGCAGTGGCACCATCTCGGCTCACTGCAAGCTCCGCCTCCTGGGTTCACACCATTCTCCTGCCTCAGCCTCCCAAGTAGCTGGGACTACAGGTGCACGCCACCATGCCTGGCTGATTTTTTGTATTTTTAGTAGAGCCAGGGTTTCACCGTGTTAGCCGGGATGGTCTTGATCTCCTGACCTCGTGATCCGCCCGCCTTGGCCTCCCAAAGTGCTGGGATTACAGGCGTGAGCCACCGCACCTGGCTGATAAGTTGTTTATTTGACAATTATCAAAGACTAAATTGTCACTTTCTGAAATGCTTGCTTGAAATCCAGTCTTTCTAAGCAGTCTATTTGTCCCTCATGCTCCAACCAATAGCCATGGGAAAGTTTTTCCTCTCTTAACCAAATGTTGACTTGTTTATTGATTACTGTTTTTTTGTTTGTTTGTTTTTGAGATGGAGTTTCACTCTTGTTGCCCAGGCTGGAGTACAATGGCGCAATCTTGGCTCACGGAAACCTCTGCCTCCCGGATTCAAGGGATTCTTCTGCCTCAACCTCTGAAGTAGCTGGGATTACAGGCATGCGCCACCACACCCAGCTAATTTTGTATTTTTAGTAGAGACGGAGTTTCACCATGTTGGTCAGGCTGGTCTCAAACTCCAGACCTGAGATGATCTGACCACCTCAGCTTCCCAAAGTGCTGGGATTACAGGCGTGAGCCACTGTGCCCGGCCTATTGATTACTGTTTTATCACTCGCTAACTGAAGTTGTCCTTTTCACCTTGACTGTGAATTTAAGAGCAGCCAAGTCAAATTTTGTCTCCAAGTCGTGGACCCATATATCCAATCTAACTCCATTTGGAGGTGTCCCAGCCATTTCAAATCCAACATATTCAATATAAGTCCTCTCCTTTTCTCCCACAACCTAATCCTTTTCTGATGGTCTCCATGTTGATGAATGGCTCAATCATCCACCCAGTGGCTCAAGTTAGAGACTAGCATCATTATGTTTTTTCCCTCCTCATACATGTTACACCCTCTCCTTGCCTCTAGCATCCAATCCTGTTCTAACTCATAAACGGTCAATTGCCGGGCGCAGTCACTCATGCCTGTAATCCCAGCACTTTGAGAGGCCGAGGCGGGCAGATCATGAAGTCAGGAGTTTGAGACCAGCCTGGCCAGCATGGTGAAACCCCATCTCTACTAAAAATACAAAAAATTAGCCGGGCATGGTGGCGTGCACCTGTAGTCCCAGCTACTCAGGAGGCTGAGGCAGGAGAATTGCTTGAACCTGGCAGGCAGAGGTTGCAGTGAGCCGAGATCGCACCACTGCGCTCCAGTCCGGGTGACAGGGCGAGACTCCATCTCAAAAAATATAATAATTAGATTTTAAAAAATGGCCTTTTGCCTTGTCCATTTCTATGTCTACTACTGCCAACTTGGTCAAAGGCAATACATTATCTTGACCTGACAACTACACCCACTTCTCACTGATCTCCCCGTATTTCCTCTTGCTTGCTTTCAAACTATTCTCTCCCACAGCAACAGGAGTTATCTTTAGAAAAGCAAATCAAATTATGTCATCTCCTTGCTAACAACCCTTCAAAGGCTTTTCATGGCTTTTAGGATGAAAACAAAATCCTATATATGGTCTACAAGGCCCTGAATGATCTCACCCCTGCCTACCTCACTAGCTACTATCAAGTTTTATCAGTTTCCCCATATTCTGCACCTCCTTCCTCCTTCAAGGACTCCACATAAAATATTTCCTTTACCTAAAAACCTTCTTCTCCCCATACTCCGCTGAACCCCTAATTAAGTCCCATTAGCCACCTAGAATTAAGCAGCAGTTAACTGTAGCTAATATTTGGGGGAACAGTTCTGTGCTAAGCACTTCTTAGGTAATAAATAACTTATTCCTCACAGCCACTCTATGAGGTACATACTATTATTAATATCTCTGTTTTATAAATGACAAAATGGAGGGGCAGAGAAGTGAAATAACTTGACCTAGGTCACATACCTATTAACTGGCAGAGCTAGGATTCAAAAAGGGGCATCTAGTTCCAGAGCCTGTGCTCTTCATTGTTACAGTATGCTATCTGCAGTTTCATCCAGGAAATTTTTGTTGTAGACTTTGGAATAGACTTTGTTTAATAAATGGAAGGAAGAAAGAAGGGAGAAAAAAAGAGGGAAGGAAAAGTGAAAAAAGATTCTTAGCCTGTGCATGTTAAGTTGCACACTCTGGTTAATTTCTTTGTTCTTATTTTGAGGTTTCCTCTTACAGTTGGCCAAAGATTTAGCTTCTTCAGTTTGACACCATTTGCCAGGAAAGATGTTTCCTGGTAGGCCCAAGAAAAGGGCATAAAAAGAAACACTGAGTATATAAGATTACTTTTATGTGCCAGGAGATAATTGGCAGGGACACATGAAATTTGAAGGCATTTTTAGTAAATGTTACGAAACTCCAGCAGACAATCTAGAGCACTTCTCTGTCCCAACAGGAAGGGACATGTACCTTGGGGTAAAACACTGACTGACATTATTAACGTAAGGGTCTAGTTCAAAGGCAATGTTTTCGAAGAGTTTTGGGGGGTTATCCATTAATGTTTATTAAAGATTACCAGATCATCTGGCTAATAGGCAGAGAGACGGAAATCACTTCCTTGGAGAGGATGAATTCACAAAGATCCATGAAGAGGAAAGGCCCTGGGGAAGGAGGGTAGGATGCTAGGGTGGGTGCAGGGGGAGGCTGGGAATGACAGTGGCAGCATGAAAGCCTAAAGTGCTGGTGGGAGGAGGAGTCTGTAGAAGGGGTACATTGTCAGAAGGAAGAAGTGATTTCATTTCCTTCATTGTCCCCCAATTTAAGTTTGGAGTTAGAATCTTTTTTTTTTTTTTTAGACGGAGTCTCATCTGTCGCACAGGCTGGAGTGCAGTGGCGCTTTATCGGCTCACTGCAACCTCCGCCTCCCAGGTCCAAGCGATTCTCCTGCCTCAGCCTCCTGAGTAGCTGGGAATACAGTCACGTGCCACCACGCCTGGCTAATTTTTGTATTTTTAGTAGAGACAGAGTTTCACCATGTTGGCCAGAATGGTCTCGATCTCCTGACCTCGTGATCCGCCTGCCTCGGCCTCCCAAAGTGCTGGGATTACAGGAGTGAGACACCACACCCGGCCTGGAGTTAGAATTTTTCAAAGACATCCATGTTTTTTTCATCTTTCTATATATGATTCCTTAGATTGCCGTTGTTTCTGAAATGCTGAATTGTTTCTGACATGAGAATTGTTTCTGAAACGCTGAAGCTTGCCAAACCTTGTTGGACCATTGCGAGATAATTAGCATTGTTGGAAAATGATATTTGCCGAGTAGTTTGTAAGCCAAACATCCCATCTTCAGAGTAACGGCCTACAAGACAGGAGTTGAGCAAACTGTATGGTAAGGGAATTGCTGTGCTTCCTCCTTTCACTCTTGGTGCCTCCCACCCCTCAGTTATATTCAAACGCACAAAACACAGTGGCAGCAGTGGGACTACATCTAGTCCTCAAGGAGCTGCAGAATAGGAGTGGGAAATAGGCCGTGATTTCTACTCTGCCGTTGGTAGACCAAAAGGCAAACAATTACACTAAGGATAATTACACAATGCTGAGGGAGCACAGCGGAAAGGGCAAGGAGGGGATGAAAATAGAGTTTGCAGGAAAGAGAAAACTTGAGATGAAGATTACAAGGTTAATGGAAATTGCCAAATGGTTTGAGGGGAGGGAGAATGTTCCAGGTGAACAAAGAGTACAGAAGTAAATGCAAGGAAGCTAAGCTTGTTGAGAGAACTGCAATAGTTCAGCATGGCTAGAAATTAGGGTGTTGTGGAGGCCTGACACGAGATGAAACTGGAGAAGGGAGCACAAAAACCCTGTATGTGCATTGAGGAGTCTATTGTATCTTAAAAGTGATAGGCAGCTATTTAATGTTTTAAGTAGGAAGTTTTATTTGCCTATTAATCAAACATTTATTGGTTTCCAATTGACCACCATGTGCCAGACTCTACACTAGATGTTAGAAAGTCAAACAAGATTTTTTTAAAGAGGAGAAGAAAAGGTTTATAAGTAATAATTCCATAAATATAACTAGTGCTTAAAGGAAGCATTTATGTACAAGGTGCAATAGGAATATAGAAGAAGGAGTTGCTTGTTCTGCCTGCCTCCTTCACAGAGCCTGGATAAAGTAAGAACTCTGTTCTGAAGGACAAAGTTTTCTAGGTGGATAGATAGTGCAAAAGGCACAGAGGTGCAAAAGAGATGAAAGAGCTCTGAGGCATATTCATAAATGAATCGGGGTCAAGTTATACAATATTTCTTGGCAGAATATAAATATTGATATATAAAAATCAGAGGGATCGGCCGGGCGCGGTGGCTCACACCTGTAATCCCAGCACTTTGGGAGGCCAAGGTGAGCAGATCATGAGGTCAAGAGATCAAGACCATCCTTGCCAACATGGTGAAACCCCGTCTCTACTAAAAATACAAAAATTAGCTGGGCGAGGTGGTGCATGCCTATAGTCCCAGCTACTCAGGAGGCTGAGGCAGGAGAATCACTTGAATCTGGGAGGTGGGTTCAAGTCGCCAGGAGGCCTGGCGACAGAGTGAGACTTCATCTCAAAAAAAAAAATCAAAGGGATCACTCACTTCTAGTTACAAAATTATTTGAATCAATGTCAATGATTATTAAGAAATGAATACAGCTTAAACATGTAATGTTTAAGTCTATAATAAAATAGTCTTGGCCAGGCAGGGTGGCTCATGTCTATAATCCCAGCACTTTGGGAGGCTGAGGCAGGAGGATTGCTTGAGCCCAGGAGTTCGAGACCAGCCTGGGCAACATGGTGAAATCCTGTCTCTACAAAAAATACAAAAATTAGCTGAGTGTGGTGGTGTGTGCCTGTGGTCCCAGCTACTAGGGAGACTGAGGTGGGAGGATTGCTTGAGCCTGGGAAGGGGAGGTTGCAGTGAGCAGAGATCATGCCACTGCACTCCAGCCTGGGCTACAGAGTGAGAACCGGTCTCAAAAATAAAAAAGGCCAGGCGTGGTGGCTCACACCTGTAATCCCAGCACTTTGGGAGGCTGAGGCAGACGGATCATGAGGTCGGGAGACTGGGACCATCCTGGCTAACATGGTGAAACCCCGTCTCTACTAAAAATACAAAAAAAATTAGCTGGGCGTGGTGGCGGGCGCCTGTAGTCTCAGGTACTCGGGAGGCTGAGGCAGGAGAATGGCATGAACCCGGGAGGCAGAGCTTGCAGTGAGCCGAGATCGCGCCACTGCACTCTAGCCTGGGCAACAGAGCAAGACTCCGTCTCAAAAAAAAAAAAAAAAAAAAAAAAAGTTTAAATTTACATTAAAATTTCAGTTTTGGAAAAAGATTCTATCCATGTCAGAGAAATTGTGCCCAAAATAATTGTGTATGAACATAGTTATTACTAGCAGAGTATAATTTTCCTGGATCAGTGGATGGAAAGATTAAACTATGAACCATATATATGTGATTTACAAAGTCCTTGTGGAGTTGGATTCTAGTCGAAATGGGGAAGCACATGGACCTTCTCTTTCGGACCTTGCGTCCTCCTCTAATTGGGAGGGTTTATATGTTCCAATTCCTCGTGAAGCCTCTCAGCTGCCCAAGGTCTCTCTGTGAAATTTTTGGCTCCCACAATACTTTCATCTTTGTTATCTTCACTTTGAAAGTGTAGATAATTTTGATAATCTTTTCAAAATTTACCTGTCATGTGTTTAACTCCCTCTCATTATTAATAGGCTGCCTGGTTTGGGAAAATAGTTAAATGCTAAGACAGAAGGTTGTCCCAGAGATGCTACCTTTTTTTTTCTTTTCTTTTCTTTTCTTTTCCAAAACTGGTTTTGCTGTGTTGCTCAGGCTGATCTCAAACTCCTGGTCTCAAGAGAAGATGCTACATTTTAATAGGAAGGAATGAATTTTTAATGGTGGCATAAGTCAGAGGAAGAGATTTGGAGACATAGGGATCTTAAATGACCTTGTGTCTCTGTCTACCTGATCTTGCTACTAAATAGAATAACAAATTTATTGTGAAAAATAAATTAATTGTGGAAAGAGAGCCAGATTATCTCAAAGGCAACATATATTAGTGAATCACAGTCATTGCCAGTTTCGGATTTTGTGTATAGTAAGGGCATAGGAACCCAATCAGGTTGGAAGGGCAGGCTTGAAGGTGCGTTTACATGGTAATTTACAACAAAATTGATAAAAGTATTCCCTGTCTCCATTAAAGAATAGGAGGGGGGGTTGCTGGTGGAGATTATTGAAGGGTACTAAACCACTCCTTAATTTTCCCTCCTTGGTGTCAGCTACATTAGCAGTCAGGTAGCATACATTGAGCACCTACTGTGTATATTTAATCCTTTTGTAACATGAATATGAGATTTTTTCATATACAAGATTCTATGAAAATTTTGTGTTTGTCCATATTGAAACATGAGTTGGAACAACAGAAATCATCAATATAATCTGCTAATCATATTTGACACTTTTCTCATAAAAAGAAGAAAATATAAATCACTTGATCTTTTCCATACAGTCCAATTATGAAACAATGAAAAAGTCTACTTAAGAATTTTCCCATAATCTAAATTATCACACTCCTAGACAGAGATATGTAAACAAGCTCATCCAGTCATCCCATTTTTCTCCATTCATATACAATACACAGACACTCCATTACATTCTGAAATATGCTCACCTATCTACAGAGGTACTGTGTAATCATAGAAATACCCAGTTCACACACTATTCTGACCCACAGAGAGGACACACATTCACACTTACTACATGTTTACATACCTAATATACTCGCACCTCTGTGACAAAACTTTTTTAACAGTTTTGTTATAATTTGTTATATAAATGTAGGAAAAACAACCAGAATGGTATCGCCCTTTCATACATTTCTATCACAAAAAGAACCATTAAAAGTGATTTATACATTGTACCTCTGTATTTGGCAGATTATAGAATGACATACTGGGAGATTTAGAATTTAAAAATATTACAGAGATAAGATTATAAACTCCCAGTAACTATATAAAGAATCTCATCATCTAGTTAAAATTTCAAAAATCTTCCGCAAGATTTCTCACAGCTATTTAAAAAGCAAATTCAGATTGAGGAGAATGTTGTCTCATGACTGAGTAAAGTAGTGTTTCTTTCTTCAGGGGCAATCTGTGACCACCAGCATGAGAGTCACCATGAGCATTTAAAAATGCTTCTTGGGACTGGTTGCAGTGGCTCACGCCTATAATCCCAGCACTTTGGGAGGCCGAGGCGGGTGGATTGCTTGAGGTCAGGAGTTGGAGACCAGCCTGGCCAACATGGCAAAATCCCATCTCTACTAAAAACACAAAAATTAGCTGGGCGTGGTGGCACACACCTGTAGTCGCAGCTACTCCAGAGGTTGAGGCAGGAGAATTGCTTAAACCCAAGAGGTGGAGGTTGCAGAAAGCTGAGATCGCTCCACTGCATTCTAGACTGGGCCACAGAGTGAGATTCTGTCTCAAAAAAAAAAATCTTCTTGGCTCCATCTCTTTACCTACTGAGTGAAAACACCAGGATGGCTGTTATGCATACTTGAGGAAAGACACACTCATCTGTCTGCTAGATAACACAGGTACTCTGGCTCTCATCGGGCAGCTTAGCAACAAGCTGGCTCAGCCTAAGGCAGAAACCAGGATTGATATGGAAAACTCCCCAGCTGATGGGTGTCTAAAAGCTTGTTACATATGGCCAGGCGCAGTGGCTCACGCCTGTAATCCCAGCACTTTGGGAGGCCGAGGTGGGCGGAACACCTGAGGTTGGGAGTTCGAGACCAGCCTGACCCACATGGAGAAACCCCATATCTACTAAAAATACAAAATTAGCCGGGCTTCGTGGCGCATGCCTGTAATCCCAGCTACTTGAGAATCGCTTGAACCTGGGAGGTGGAGGTTGCCGTGAGCCAAGATCGTGCCATTGCATTCCAGCCTGGGCAACAAGAGCAAAACTCTGTCTCAAAAAAAAAAAAAAAAAAAAAAAAAAAGCTATGTTACATACATAGACCAACACTATTTTAACCCCAATAGAAAAACTCCAAGTTTTCCAAATTGGCTGAGTGATCTCTGCTCCCTCCAAACTCCTTCATGGATAAGTGAAGTGGCAGTGAGTCTGATCTCTCTTCTGAAACACTTTCAAAGGTGCGTCCAGTCATATCAGCAGCGAACACAGCTTTCTATGGGTTGGTGAGAGACTAGGGGATCCCATGCATTTGTTTAGCCCTGAGTTTGCAAGTTTTTGTTTTGGGCCTACACTGGGTGTTGTTGTGCTGTTTATTCAAGCCATGTATTGCTTGATAACATGGAAGTTTGAAAACCACCAGGCATGTATTATTTAATACATTTGCCAATGATTTGGAAGAAGTAAACACTCCATAAAAACATCACATTTCTATTCCCATAGATGACCTCATATTACTTGTTAGTTAGGAGTCACATAAAGGAGAATAAATTGCAGAAATTTTTTTTAGAATTTTTTTCTCTTTTTAAAGACAAGATCTTGCTGTGTCGCCCACGCTGGAGTGCAGTGATGCAATCATGGCTCTCTGCAGCCTCAATCTCTTAGGCTCAAGCAGTCCTCCCACCCCAGCCTCCCATGTAGCTGAGACTACAGGCATGAGCCACTTCATACAACTTATTATTATTATTATTACCATTGAGGCAGGGTCTCACTATGTTGCCCAGGCTGGTCTCAAACTCCTGTCTTCAAGATATTATACTGATTTGGCTTCTCAAAGTGCTGGGATTACAGGTGTAAACCACTGTGCCCAGCCATAATTTTTTTAGAATTTTGACTTGAAGTATCTTCTTTAAATTATGTGCTTCCTTTAAAATATTACTACAGCTAAAACTTAATAGCTATTTTTTGTAAATATATAGAAAATACTTAAGTATGTGTGTTGATGTTATGATCTCAATTCAGTACATTTATAGCTCAACAGTTCCTATGGTTGTTGAATGGGATTCTCTTTTTGCCAGTTAATGTTAATATGACAAAATTGCAGAGACAATTCATAAGAAGTTTATTTTTATTTTTATTTCAATAGTTTTTGGGGTACAGGTGGTTTTCAGTTACCTGGATAAGTTATTTAGTAGTGATTTCTGAGATTCTGGTGCACCCATCACCTGAGCAGTGTAAGGTGTGCCCAAAAGACTGCTATATGTAGTCTTTTATCCCTCTCATCCCTCTCCCTTCTCCTCCCAAGTTTCCAGAGTATGTTATATCATTCTTATGCCTTTACATCCTCATAGTTTAGCTCCCACTTATAAGTGAGAACATATGATATTTGGTTTTTCATTTCTGAGTTACTTAGAATAATGGCCTCCAGCTCCAACCAAGTTGCTACAAAAGACATTATTTCATTCCTTTTTATGGCTGAGTTCATAAAAAGATTAAGTAAGACTGGCCGGGCACAGTGGCTCACGCCTATAATCCCAGCACTTTGGGAGGTCGAGGCAGGCTGATTGCTTGAAGTCAGGAGTTTGAGACCAGCCTGGCCAACATGGTGAAAACCCATTTCTACTAAAAATACAAAAAAGTAGCCAGGCGTGGTGGCACATGCCTGTAGTCCTAGCTACTCAGGAGGCTAAGGCAGGAGAATCGCTTGAACCTGGGAGGCAAAGGTTGCAGTGAGCCTACATGGCGCCACTTCACTCTAGCCTGGGTGACAGAGCAAGACTCCGTCTCAACAACAACAACAAAAAAAAAAAAAAAAAAAAAGAAGAAGAAGAAGAGGATTAAGTAAGTCTTTGCTGACCTCCATCAGTAGGTAAAAATTTTGTGTGATAGGCTCAAACACTGAAAACTTTCCCTTGTTGGGATAAAACCATGTGTATCTCCATTTCTAATACTGTATCCCAAGTATCACAACTGTGAGAAAGAGCTACTAAAAGCAGGGAAGGTTCAGAAGAAGACAAAGTAATCAGTGAAATGGGGAACCCCTCAATAACATACTAACCAGATTAAAACTCTAATTATCTTAAATGAAACAAACAAGGGCAGAGAGAAGACCTAACTGTAAAATTAAGAAGGGATAAAAAGTAAACAGAGTTGTTCATTAACTCATGAAATCATAGAATGAGAGGGCATCTCTTACCTTATTGAGGTAAGTTTAGTCCAGTTAGAGAGAAGTATAACTTCATATTAAAAAGTAAAACTCAGGCCAGGTGTGATAGCTCACGCCTTTAATCCCAGCACTTTGGGAGGCTGAGGTGGGTGGATTACCTGAGGTCAGGAGTTCGAGACCAGCCTGACCAATATGGTGAAACCCTGTCTCTACTAAAAATACAGAAGAAATTAGCTGGGGGTGGTGGCATGTGCCTATAGTCCCAGCAACTCAGGAGGCTGAGACAGGAGAATTGCTTGAACCCGGGAGGCGGAGGTTGCAGTGAGACGAGATCGCGCCAGTGCACTCCAGCCTGGGCAAAAGAGCAGGACTACATCTCAAAAAATAAAAATAAATAAATAAAACTCAGCCAATGTGGTGGCTCACACCTGTAATCCCAGCATTTTTGGAAGCCAAGGCAGGAGGACTGCTTGAACCCAGGAGTATTCAAGACCAGCCTGGGCAACATAGTGAGTTTCTACCAAAAAAAAAAAAATTTTTTTTTAATTAGTCTGGCGTGGTAGTGCACGTCTATAGTCCCAGCTACTTGGGTGGCTGAGGTGGGAGGATTGCTTGAGCCCAGGAGGTCAAGGCTGCAGTGAACTGTGATTTTGCCACTACAGTCCAGTCTGGGTGACACAACAAAACCCTGTCTCAAAAATATAAATAAATAAAAATCAATAAAATTTGTCCAGGTGTGGTGGCTCATGCCTGTAATCCCAGCATTTTGGGAGGCCGAGGTGGGTGGATTACCTGAGGTCAGGATTTTAAGAGCAGCCTGGCCAACATGGTGAAACCCCATCTCTACTAAAACTACAAAAATTAGTCAGCGTGGTGGTGCGCACCTGTAATCCCAGCTACTTGGGAGGCTGAGGCATGAGAAGTGCTTGAACCCGGGAGGCGGAGGTTGCAGTGAGCCGAGATGGAGCCACTGCACTCCAGCCTGGTTGGCACAGCAAAACTCTGTCTCAAAATAAATAAATAAATAAACATAAATAAATAAAATTCATATGACCCTAGGTGGGGAATTAATCAATTTTTTTTATAAGTTAAGATAAACCAGTGGCTGATAGAGTCCTAGTGAAGCGCAAAGAGTGGTAAGTACCTAACCTTTGATGTTGATATCTAGGAGGACAGCCAAGACTTGCCACCATTTTGTCTGGTGATGCATCCTCTAGAGATAAAGTGTTTAATGGGCCATGCAACTGGTCTGATATGGTGTTAAAGCAAAATAAGCAGAAGGCCATTAGCCTGGGGTTGTTTCTGCACCCAGAAACCTTACACAAGCAAACCAAAACTTAATTTAGAGGAATTCCTTGTAACTAATTAAAATTTTTTATCGACTTTCTCTCAACTCTGTAGAATGCAGTGGAGATGCATAGAAAAAGTCTGAGACTATTTACACCTACTTTCTAAAAACAATTATCTCATCTTCCTTTCTCTTTTCTTCTTTGTTCCTAATTCCCTTACTTCCTGACCTTTCTTACTTTTCCCCTCTTCCCTCTGTCACCATTTTCTTGCTAATGTAAACTTAGTTTATCATTGCCTGAAATCAGGAGTAAAGCCCAAATATTTAAAAAAAAAAAAAAAAAAAAGCTGGAAGAGGCCTGCTATGGTGCTCACACCTGTGATCCCAGGGCTTTGGGAGGCCAAGGTGGGAGGATCACTTGAAGCCAAGAGTTCAAGGCTGCAGTGAGGTCTGATTGTGCCATTGCACTATAGCCTGGGTGACAGACAGAGACCCTGTCTCTGGAAAAGAAAATCTGGAAGAGAATTGAAAAAAATTACTTGTGGGGCCAGGTGCGGTGGCTCACGCCTGTAATCCTAGCACTTAGGGAAGCCAAGGCAGGTGGATCACCTGAGGTCAGAAGTTTGAGACCAGCCTGGCCAACACATCTCTACTAAAAATACAAAAATTAGCCAGGCCTGATGGCGTGAGCCTGTAATCCCAGCTACTTAGGAGGCTGAGACAGGAGAATCGCTTGAGCCCAGGAGGTGGAGGTTGCAGTGAGCTGAGATCGCACCACTGCACTCCAGCCTAGGCAAAAAGAGTGAGATTCCGTCTCAAAAAAAAAAAAAAAAAGAAAAGAAAAGAAAAAGATTACTTATGATATGGGTGTATTATCTTTAGCTATTCATATGCATTGTCAAATCTCTGGGTCTTTAAATTCTAGCAAATGTTCCTCTTTTTCATAATGCTAATATCTTACATGTCTGTGAACTAGAGTTTTTTTTTTTTTTTTAGATTGTTGGACAATCGCGAGGGAGGAACTTTCTCTCCCATTTTTGATGTTTCTTCCTTGTGGAGGGAATGTAATTAGTGTAACTCCTGACCTTCCTGCACCTCTTTATTAGCTCTTCCCAGGGAAGTCATTTATTTGGTGGGTAAATTTGAGATGTAAATACTTGAGCATGTATGCTCTGCTTAGCTTCTCTTCGTCCTCTGGGAAACTGATTACATTTAAACATACACACACACACACACACACACACACACACACACCCCAAGCCATGCTTCAGCCAATCATAGAGCCAACTACCAGCCAATGACAAACAGCCAGCCAGCTGTTAGTTATATAACTAGGGACTTTCACTGGATCATACCTAAGCAAGGCAAATGCCTAGCTGTAGCCAATGAAGTAACTTCTTTACTTTTGCCTCCATGTTCAGCCTATAAGCATGCTGCTGCTCATGCTGTTAAAGTGGAGCTCTCTGAAGTTATTCTTTTTTTTTTTTTTTTTTTTGAGACAAAGTCTTGTGCTGTCACCCAGGCTGGAGGGCAGTGGCACAATCACACCTCACTGCAGACTTGACCCGGGTCCAAGCCATCCTCCCACCTCAGCCTCCCAAGTAACTGGGACTACAGGCATGCACCACCATGCTGGGCTATTTTTTTTTTTTTAACTTTTTGGTAGAGACAAGGTCTCACCATGTTGCCTAGGCTCGTTTTGAATTCCTAGGCTCAAGCGATCCTTCCACCTCAGTTTCCTAAAGTATTAGAATTACAGGCATGAGCCACTGCACCCAGCCTTGAACTTATTCCAATTTTGAGTGCTGCCTCATTCATGAATCCTTTATTGCTCAAATAAGCGTTAAATTTATTTTATGTGAAGGCTTTACCAGTGGTAATCATTGTCTTTAGGCAATAAAAAACAGATGGATAGAAAAGAATAAATGCTCAGTAAAGAAACCACAGGATACTTATGCTTTGGCTAAAAAAAAAAATTGGAATGAAAATTTTTATACAATGTTGCTAATTGTATCATATGAATAAAAGCTATGATTTTTAAATAAATTACTAACATTATTCACTTCTTGCATTATTCTGGATAAACATATTTTAGTGACCTACAAAGCCCTACGTAATCTCTGCTCCATTCCCTTCCCACCCATCTGAGATCATCTCTTATCATGATCCCACTCATTCACTCTATGCCAGCCATATGGCCTCCTTGCTGTTCCTCCAGCACACCCACCTTTTCCTGCCTCACTGCCTTCACCTGTGCTGCTCCCACTGCCTGGTTGCTCTTCTCCCACATGTATCCATGGCTTGTTCCCTCTCTTCACCAAAGGCTCTATGGAAATGTCACTTTCACAGGGAGTCCTTCCCTGACTATCCCATTACAAATACCACTGTTGCCCTGCCCAGTGCTGCCGGCCCTGTGCCTGTCCCCGGTTTGAGGCTTGGTCCCCTTTTCCCGTGTCCATCATTCTGTGCAGAAGCACCGCCAGAATGTCTCATTAACTACTCTACGAGGTTGCTGACATTGGTTTGGCCGCCTGGGGATGCAAGGCCCTGGACACTGAGGAGAACAAGAAGCCAGGCCTGATGCACGTGTAGGAGCTGTACTCAGCCTCCAAGCCACTGAAGAGCGTCCGCATCACTGGCTGCCTGCACATGACTGTGGAGACAGTCGTCCTCACTGAGACCCTCCTTGTCCTGGGTGCTGAAGTGCAGTGGTCCAGCTGCAACATCTTCTCCACCCAGGACCATGCAGCAGCTGCCATTGCCAAGGCTGGGATTCCAGTGAACGCCTGGAAGGGAGAAACGGAGGAGAAGTACCTTTGGTGCACCAAGCAGACACTGTACTTCAAGGACAAGCTCCTCAACATGATTCTGGACATCACTGGGGGCCTCACCAACCTCACTCACACTAAGTACCCACAGCTCTTGTCGGGCATCAGAGACATCTCCGAGGAGACCATGACTGAGGTCCACAACCTATACAAGATGATGGCCAATGGGATCCTGAAGGTGTCCACCATCAACGTTAATGATTCTGTCACCAAGAGCAAGTTTGACAACCTCTATGGCTGCCACCAGTCCCTCCCCAGATGGCATCAAGTAGGCCATAGGTGTGATGATTGCCAGCAAGGTAGCTGTGGTAGCGGTCTATGGTGATGTGGGCAAGGGCTGTGCCCAGGCCCTGCAGGGATTCGGGGCTCACGTCATTATCACCGAGATCGACCCCATCAATGCACTGCAGGCTGCCATGCAGCGCTATGAGGGGACCACCATGGACAAGGCCTGTCAGGAGGGCAACATCTTTGTCACCACCACAGGCTGTGTTGACATCATCCTTGGCTAGCTGCCCAACAGGCACTTTGAACAGATGAAGGATGATGCCATCGTGTGTAACACTGGACACTTTGACGTGAAAATCGATGTCAGGTGGCTCAACAAGAATGCTATGAAGAAGGTGAACATCAACTCCAGATGGACTAGTACTGGCTAAAGAATGGGCGTGGCACCATCCTGCTGGCTGAGTGTCAGCTGGTCTACCTGGGTTGTGCTATGGACCAACCCAGCTTTGTGATGAGTAACTCCTTCACCAACCATGTGATGGTGCAGATTGAGCTGTGGACCCACTCAGATAAGTACCCCATTGAGGTTCACTTCCTGCCCAGGAAGCTGGATGAGGCAGTGGCTGAAGCCCATCTGGGCAAGGTGAACATGAAACTGACCAAGCAGACTGAGAAGCAGGCCCAGTACCTGGGCATGTCCTGTGATAGTCTCTTCAAGCTGGATCACTACCACTACTGAGAGCCAGGCCTGTCCTTCACCTTCCAGCTGTCGTCCTTGCCCAGGCCCCGCCTCTCCTCCCTAAGAGCAAATGGCACCAACTTTGTGATTGGCTTGCCAGTATTCCCCATCGACTCCCTGGGGCTGGTCACTCATCCCTCATGCTTTTCCAAGTGTGGCAAAGGGAATTGAGAGGACCCTCCTCAAGCCCTGATCATGATGGAGGTACAAGGGAGGCAACCACAGGGAACCATAAGCTCAGTGGTCTTGGAACTGCTCACTAAGTCAGTCCTTCCTTAGCCTGGAAGTTGGTAGTGGAGTCACAAAACCCATGTATTAATACTTTACCATCTAGGCCTTCACCTGGTCTGTGGACTTATACCCCTGTGCTTGGTTTACAGGCTCAGTGGTTCCTCAGCCCATGACAGATGAGAAGGAGCTATATTGAAGGGCAAGGAGGAACTGTTTGAATTTTCCTGAGAGCCTGGCTTAGTGATGGGCCTTCTCTTAAACCTCATAACAATGAGGTTGGTACTTTTAGTCCTTGTTTTACAGGGGTTAGAATAGACTGTTAAGGCACAACTGAGAAAAGACAGAGAAGTAACAGCCAGAGGTTGAGAGGGGCCATTAAAACGTAAAAGCATAGATCTGCCACCACTTTGTAACAAGATGGTTTCTATCACAACCCCAGAAAATAATTTGGCTTATGTTTATATAATGTTTAAAGAAAGCAACAAGGTGGGTACATAAAAATCTTAGTGCCAAAACACACACACACACACACACACACAATCACTGTTGGCCAGGCACAGTGGCTCACACCTGTAATCCCAGCACTTTGGGAGGCCTAGGCAGGAGAATCACTTCAGCCAGGAGTTCAAGACCAGCCTGAATGACAAGGTGAAACCCCATCTCTACAAAAAATACAAAAATTAGTTGGGGATAGTGGTGCATGTGTATAGTCCCAGCTACTAGAGAGGCTGAGGTGGGACGGTCACTTGAGCCTGGGAGATTGAAGCTGCAATGAGCCATGAACATGCCACTGTACTCCAGCTTGGGCAACAGAGCAAGACCCTGTCTCAAAAACAACAATAACAACAACAACAACAAAACCCACAAACAAACAAAAACCACTGTCCTTGCTAGTCCTTTATCCTGTTTTATTTTTCTTCTAACACTTCTAGCACTTAACAACACCTGACATAGTCTACGTGTATTTGCTTATTGTATGTCTCCTCGACTAGAATGTAAGTCAGCTCCGTGTTGAGCAGGAATTTTATATTGTGAATCTAAAACAATGCCTGGCATAGAACATGCATTCAGTAAGTACTTGTTAAATGAATGGAAGATGAACCAGATTTTGGACTACTGCTTATGCTGGATGGCATGTAAATTGAAGCTGTGATCAAATACAGGCCATGCCTCTAAACAGCTGATGACCGCTTAGATTCTAGGTGCCATAGATACTGCTGCCTGGTTTGTTACAATACTTTTTTTTTTTTTTTTTTGCTTTTACTCTTTACTATTATTCATTACTGGATGGTGGGTGAGGGGAAAAATACAGAATACATGCCCTAGTCCAGTGCTGTCCATTAGAGCTTTCTTTAATAATGGAAGTAGCCTGTATCTGCTGGTCAATAAGGTAACCAATAGTTACCAGGGGCTGTTGAGCACTTGAAATATGGATATTTTGACTGAACTGAATTTTTAATTTTACAACTAGCTGTGGTTACTAGTTACTGTATTTAGCAGCCATACTCAACAATCCTATAGGTCTATCTTAATTACTTTTATAGGAATGAAGAGTATTATAATTATTTCTCAATTATATATATTTGGTTTTAATTTCTACAGAGGAAGAGGACAACAAAGTTTTGTGAACTATTATTCATATAAGTTTGTAGTTGTTTAAGGAAAAGACTTCACAGAGAACAGGGCAGAGAGTAACACAATATCTGATTTCCAAAAAATTCAATCAAACTTTGATATGGATTTGGTCAAATCATTGTTTAATGGCCTCCTTAACATTATTATTAAACTGATTTATATAATTTGCTTTTTACTAATCAAATACATTGTTTTAAATCTTAATTATTTTTTATTATAAAAGTAATACACATTCAGTGTAACAAGTTCAAATAATCTCTCAGGTGGATAAAATACGGACATCCACCACACTGTACCTACCAAGATGCCCATACCCCAAAGATGATTGCTGTTAAACATTTAGAGTGCCTTTCCTGACTTTTTTGTCTAAGCACCTTTAAAAACCAATACTTTTGGTTTTCAGTGATAGCTCTGAATCCCCTTTAGGCATAGAGTGTGGGAAATTATATTTCTGCAGCAAACTCAGGCTCTGCAACATCAAGTGTGGATTCACTGGAAATTATTTGAAGTAACACTTAGAGATCATAGTAGCCAAAAAATGTTGGGAAATTAAAAAGGGGTTTTTAAAAATTAATTATCGTTATTATTATTTTTTTCAAAGAGACAGGGTCTTCACTCCATCACCCAGGATGGAGTTCAGTGGCGGAATTACAGCTCACTGAAGCCTCAAACTCCTGGGTGCAACCAATCCTCCTGCCTCAGCCTCCCAAGTAGCTTGGACTACAGGCATGCACCAACTGTGCCAGGCTAATTTTTTAATATTTTGTAGGGATAGGGTCTTGCTATGTTGCCCAGGCTGATCTCAAACTCCTGACCTCAAGCAATCCACGCACCTCAGCCTCCCATAGTGCTGGGATTACAGGAGTGAGCTCCCACACCCAGCTGAAAAAGGTTTTTGTGGAGGGAGTATGATCAGGAGAAAAATCATGGAATGTGCTCGAAAGAGATCTAAAGGGCCATGGAAGTCAAAAGGTTGAACTCCATAGAACAAAACATGAAGTATGGAAAGATTCTTTAAAAAACACTTGACTTTGGAACAAAATCCAAATTGTTCCCATGATTTCATTCTTTGACATTATGTTCATTTTGGTTATCTTAGTCTTTTCTCAGAATTCCTCTTTAACAGAGAATTATCTAAAAGCCCCTGGCTAAGTTAATGCTTATGACTATGGTCACAAATGGATGGCTTGGATTTTATTTGTTTTGCAGTGTTTGTAAATTTTTTTATGTATACTGTTGTTGTCAACTAACATAATCCGTATGTATATGGGTTATATATATATATATATATATTCCCCAAATTTAAAAACCAGTTTGGAGATTTTTCCCACACACAGAAAATCAGAAAATTGGCAATACTCTGCCCCATTACCACATGGCAACAATGTAGACAGGCCATGAGTTCTCCACATGGCCCTAATCCCCACCACTCTTAAACAAATCTAATCAGTTTTATGTATATTATATATGTATATTGCTGTGCTTCTCCTTCCTGCCTGACCCTGCAAGACCCCTGTCTCAGTCTCTCTCAACATGTCTGAAGGACTCGAGGGCAGGTGTCAAAGGTGAAGGCCCTCATCTGGATTTAATGTCCTGGACCTTGAAACAGCAGCTAGTGTTTTGAGCTCTAAGCTAACACTTTGGACTTTCTTTTTTTTTTCGAGATGGAGTCTTGCTCTGTCGCCCAGGCTGGAGTGCAGTGGCACCATCTCGGCTCACTGCAAGCTCCACCTCTCGGGTTCACGCCATTCTCCTGCCTCAGCCTCCTGAGTAGCTGGGACTACAGGCGCCCTCCACCACGCCTGGCTAATTTTTTGTATTTTTAGCAGAGATGGGGTTTCACCGTGTTAGCCAGGATGGTCTCGATCTCCTGACCTCGTGATCCGTCCGCCTTGGCCTCCCAAAGTGCTGGGATTACAGGCATGAACCACCGCGCCTGGCCACATTTTGGACTTTCAGTCATGTTTTCTTTCCCCAATGAAATAGAAAAGTTTTATTTCAAAGAGGAAAAGGGTGCAACAGCTGCAACATACATAAAACCTATTTAGTTTTACTTGGGAGTGGGAATCAGGAAACCTGGGTTCTGTTTTTGACTTAGTTTGGATAAAGAAGGGTAGTTAAGCTGTCCTTATGTCTCTTACCAAATGGAGAAAATACTGCTGTAGTTCACAGCAATTTGGGGAGTTTTAGATTCTATGGAAAATGGAAATCCTATTTGTAACTTAGATTTTTTCTTTGGAGAAGGAGTCTCGCTCTGTTGCCCAGGCTGGAGTGCAGTGGCACGATCTCGGCTCACTGCAACCTCCACCTTCCAGGTTCAAGCGATTCACTGACTCAGCCTCCTCAGTAGCTGGGATTACAGGCACGCGCCACCATGCCCAGCTAATGTTTGTATTTTTAGTAGAGACCAGGTTTTGCCATTTTGGCCAGGCTGGTCTCAAACTCCTGACCTCAAGTGATCTGCCCACCTTGGCCTCCCAAAGTGCTGGGATTACAGGCGTGAGCTACCGCTCCCGGTCTAATTTTTAAATTTTTGTTTTGTAGAGATGAGGGTCTCCCTTTGTTGCTCAAGCTGGTCTCTGTCTCTTGGGATCAAGGGATCCTCCTGCCTCAGCCTCCCAAAGTGCTGGGATTACAGGCCTGGGCCACTGCAACCTGGCCTTCATCACAAATTCATTGAACACACTTTCTTTATTTTATCCTTTTTTATTTTTAAAAATTTTTATTTCAGTAGTTTTGGAGGAACAGGTTGCATGGAAAAGTTCTTTAGTGGTCATTTCTGAGATTTTGGTGCACCCATCACCCGAGCAGTGTACACTGTACCATGTGGCACACACTTTCACTTAAAGCATTTACTAGACCTCGCTAGCCAGATTTCCCATCCCTGAGACACCTGGAATGTTCCTGAGGACTTAGTGACTACTGCCTAAAGCTCCACCCAAGTCAATTTTATGTTTACAGGCAACCGGAGCATCCAATCACCTTTCTCTAAGAGAGTACAAAGATCAGCTCGCGAGAAAGTTCAGACGTCTCATTTCGTTTCTATTACACGGGGCCTTCGCCCAACCAGACGGAGTCTTGCTCTGCTGCCCAGGCTGGAGTGCAGTAGCGCGATCTCGGCTCATTGCAACCTTCGCTCCCCGGGTTTAAGCAATTCTCCTGCCTCAGCCACTGGAGTAGCTAGGATTACAGGCGCACGCCACCACGCCAAGCTAATTTTTTGTATTCTTAATAGAGACGGGGGTTTCACCATGTTGGCCAGGCTGGTCTCGAACTCCTGACCTCATCATTTGCCCGCCTCGGCCTCCCAAAGCGCTGGGATTACAGGCGTGAGCCACCGTGCCCAGCCTCGCCGGGGCCTTTTAAGTGACGTTAAAAATTGTACATAAAATATGTTTTAGGATAATACTTGTTTTTCTTTGACCAAAGGCTTGGCTTCAGAGAATGTTTAGCCAGAAATAGAGGGGCGTTAAATCCCCTTTTTTCTAATTTCCAATCTGAGGAGGAAAATAACGTAGTAAAGGGACGCAAGAGCAACCTTGCTTCTTCCACAACAAGGCCCAGGCGCCGCCTTGCAACCCGGAAATGCAGGGTGCAGTGCGGGGGGTAAGGGACCGGCCAACTATGTTGACCCGACTCAGAGAAACCCCGCCCTTGCCGCCACCGCCCACCCATAACGTCCTCCTCGACCCTCCCTCGACCATCCCTCGCCCCGCGGCCCTCACCGAAAAGGGGAGGGCGGTGGAAGAGAGAGGAGTCAAGGGAGCGCACGCGAAGCCCCGCCCCTGCCGTGACGTCTGGAGACGCGACGCGTCGCCTCGCAATGCAAATCGGGAAAAGGGGGTGAGCTGGGCTGGCTTCCGTCCTGGTAGCCAAGGCTAATTCTCCCTCGAGTTCTTGGGAGATGGGCATTTGGCGAGAAGGCTGGCGTTAGTGAAGCGCGCCCGGCGTCACGGTGAGTGCGGGTCTTGGGCCCTAGCACCTGTTCTCTGGGAAGTCGTCCGCTGTGAACGATGAACGCCTTTCCTTCCACCAGCTGCTGGTTACCCCGGAGACAAGCTCTGTCCGCGGAGAGGAGTGGGACAACTCCTAAAGGTAGAATCAGCTTGTGGAGAGGAAAGGCCCAACCTTGAGTCTTTTACGCCATCTACCTAGGATTGCCAAGCGAGTTTCGTGTGTTTTTTTGGTTTTAAAAGGTGGCTTTGACCAATCTTCCGTTCTCTTGGACACTTATACCCGACTTTGACCTCTTTCCTCTTGCTTCCGGTTTTTTTTTTTTTCTGCAATCTGCCTACAATCCCAGGCCTTACTGTAGCTCCTAAAACTGTTTCCCAGTTTCTCTTCTTCCCCAGTCACACTTGATTTTAGTGAAGTTTGAGTTTAAAGACCCTATAAGCTTGTCAGAGTTAAAACTATGACTTCCTCAAATAGAAGATTTTTTTTTTTTCCCCTAAAAAGTGCCTTCCATCCTAGAGTTGTGGGACAAGTTAATTTCACCGCCACTCCACCTTGGAAATTATCAGAATCCTTACTAGCAGTGATGTGCATTATAAAGCTGCAGACCACCCTCCTGGGTTTATTTCTTGCCTCCAGTTCATTCTGTGACCTTGAACAAGTCACTTAATCACTAACAAAAAATTTACCTGACACGGAGGTGTTGCAGAGCCTAAGGAATTTAGTATTTGTTAAGAGACCTGAGGGTTTCAGATGAAAGGGATTTATATCTAAAGGATGTTACCTTTTCTGAATCTGCAAAGCATCGTTAGTTTTGTAAATATCTTGCTGCAGCCATTAAAAATGCCAAGTGGTATTTGTTAAGGAAGTATTCCTGTTTTAGGCTTGCTCTGCTGCGGCTTTGCTATGTAAGCAGATTTTTGCATTTCAGCCGATTCTGTTTAAGATTCGTTGGTGAATGTCATTCATGATGGATTTGGGTAGTTTCTCCTTACAGCATATCCCTGGACTATTAAGCATATCTGGAAGGTGATATCGGTTGTGTTATGTCTTTATCATGTTGATATGGCTGCTTTGAAATATGTATTCCTTTTCTTGTGACACATTGGATGCATCTTTAATATTAGTGAAGACCCTGTAGTAGTTTAAAAAAAAAATACACCTCTCATTAATGAAATTTTGCACATAGACATCTGTTTTTTTAAGAAAACAATGTATAAGAAAAACTAACAAAAATGTTTTAAAGGTGCCTTTTTTAGCATTTCGTTTTTTAATATATTTACTTGGACTTTAATCTTTATGGGCATTTGTTTATTAATGTGGACGTGGCTGGGCGCAGTGGCTCACATCTGTAATCCTAGCACTTTGGGAGGCGGAGGTGGGCGGATCACTGAGGTCAGGAGTTCGAGATCAGCCTGGCCAACATGGCGAAACCCGGTCTCTACTAAAAATACAAAATTAGCTGGGCGTGGTGGTGCACGCCTGTAGTCCCAGCTACTCTGGAGGCTGAGGCAGGAGAATCGCTTGAACCTGGAAAGCGAAGGTTGCAGTGAGCCGAGATTGCGTCATTGCACTCCAGCCTGGGTGACAAGAGCAAAACTCCGTCTCAAAAAATAAAAAATAAAAAGCGTGGACATAATGGAAAATAATCAAAATGACTTTTGGGTAAGACAGTTGGAAAATAAAGCCAGTACATTAAATTTTTTTCATAAGTCTAGCACTATATTACGAACTTTTCTCCATGAAAATGCACTCATATTTATGGAAGTGAAAGGAAAAAAATGTCTTCAGGTATGTGTTGCTAATAAAATTAGATATAATTAAGGAAACATTTAAAAAATACCTTGTTGTTGTCCCAGTTACCTATTGCTGCATAACAAATCACTCCAAAACATAGTGACTTAAAACTGTAATTTAGTATCTCTCCTGTTTCTCTGGCCTGCCTGGACTTAGCTAAGTGGTTTTCACCTAGAGTTTAATGCGTTTGTATTCAGATAAGCAGCTGAGTTTGGAGTCAACCGAGAGCTCAGCTGGTCTGGACATCCAAAATGGCTAATTCACGTGAAGGCGTTTGATGTTGGCTAGGAGTTCAGCTGGAAATGTCAACTGGAATGCCCACACATAGCCTCTTCACGTGACTTGAACAGTATGGCGGCTAGGTTCCGAGAATACATGTTTGAGGAGTCAGGAAGTAGAAGCTGCCAGTCTCCCAAAAAGCCTGAGCCCAGAAATTCGCACAACATTACTTCCAACATACTCTGTTGGTTAGAGCAAAGACCAGCGTACAACCCTCACCTTTGAAAGGAAAAATGTCAAAGAATTTGTGGCCGTGCTTTGCCTACTATAATTTTGATGACAAAGTTGTATTGGACTCTTGTTTGCATTTATATAGCAGATGAAGAATCAGGTACACTTCCAATTTCCAGTTTCTTTCTTTCTTCTTCTTCTTTTTTTTTTTTTGAGATGGAGTCTTGCTCTGTTGTCAGCCTGGAGTGCAGTGTACGATCTCAGCTCACTGCAACCTCTGCCTCCTGGGTTCACGCCATTCTCCTGCCTCAGCCTCCCGAGTAGCATGTCACCAAGCCCAGCTAATTTTTGTATTTTTAGTAGAGATGGGGTTTCACCATGTTGGCCAGGATGATCTTGATCTCTTGACCTGTGATCCACCTGCCTCAACCTCCGAAAGTGCTGGAATTACAGGCGTGAGCCACCGCGCCTGACCCATTTCCAATTTCTTTAACCGTAATACTTTATGTTGTAATGGCATATTACAGTTTTCAAAGCATGTTTTTGTATATTTTTTCACTTGATACCTATGGTCACCCTATAGAAGCAGACAAATAGTTCCTATTTCATTTTGCAGATGAAAGTAAACTGAAGAGTGGTGGTGGTATTGGGAGTGATTTACGGAATTTGTTCAAAGTCATATGATTAATAAATGGAAAGTAAGGCCTGCAACAGTTCCATAATATTAAATTTATTAGTACTGAATGATGAAATATTATATTAAACTTATTTGGAATTCTACATTTATAGCCGTACTAATTTTTTTTTTTTTTTTTTTTTTGAGACGGAGTCTTGCTCTGTCTTCTAGGCTGGAGTGCAGTGGTGAGTTCTCGGCTCACTGAAATGTCCGCCTCCTGGGTTTAAGCAATTCTGCTTCAGCCTCCCGAGTAGCTGGGACTATAGGCACCTGCCACCATGCCCGGCTAATTTTTGTATTTTAGTAGAGATGGGGTTTTGCCATGTTGGCCAGGCTGGTCTTGAACTCCTGACCTCAGGTGATCTGCCCGCCTCAGCCTCCCAAAGTGCTGGGATTATAGCCGTGAGCCACCATACCTGGCCCTTTTTTTTTTTAAACTGAGACAAGGTCTTGCTCTGTCACCCAGGCTGGAGTGCAGTGGCATGACCTTGGCTCACTGTAACCTCTGCTTCCTGGGCTCAAGTGATCCTCCTGCCTCAGCCTCCCAAGTAGCTAGGACTGCAGGCACACGCCAGCACACCTGACTAATACCATACTAATTCAAGTAAAACAGTTCTCATGTATAGTGAATAAGGGTTAACTAAGCCTTGTCTCTTTTGACTAACACATTACAATTTAGTTTTTTGTTTGTTTGTTTTTGAGAGGGAGTCTTGCTCTGTCACCTAGGCTGGATGCAGTGGCATGATCTCGGCTCACTGCACCCTCCGTCTGATGGGTTCAAGCAATTCTCCTGCCTCAGCCTCCCAAGTAGCTGGGATCACAGGCATATGCCGCCACGCCCAGCTAATTTTTTGTGTTTTAGTAGAGATGGGGTTTCACTGTGTTGCCCAGGCTGGTCACGAACTCCTGAGCTCAGGCAATCCACCTGCCTCGGCCTCCCAAAGTGCTGGGATTACAGGCGTTAGCTACCACGCCGGGCCTACAATTTAGTTTTTAATAATGCAGCAGTCTTCCTCTTATCTGCAGGGGATATGTTTCAAGACCTCCAATGAATGCCTGAAACCACAGATAGTACTGAACCCTATATATACTATGTTTTCCCTATATATACATTTTTATGATAAAGTTTAACTTATAAATTAGTAACAAGAGATTAACAACAATAACTAATAATAAAATAGAATAATTACAACAATATAGTGTAATAAAAGTTATGCCCTGTGGCCATAACTTGTGCAACTTGAGGTGTGACAGCAAAACTAGCACAAATTTCTTTTTCCTTCATAATTTTGCAGATAAAAGATCTTACCATAGATCTTAGCAACCTCAGCATGAGGTTTTTGGTTTTTTTTCTTATTAGGTTGAGAACTTTCACCTTTTTGCTTAAAGGAAGCAGTTTACAACTTCTTTTTGACATACGTGAATCTCTGCTTTTACACTTTGAAGCCATGATTAAGTAAAATGAGGGTTACTTGAACACAAGCACTGTAATACTGCTATAGTCAGTCTGGTAACTGAGACGGCCACTTAGTGATTAACAGGCAGGTAGCATCTACAGTGTGGATACACTGGACAAAGGGATGATTCATGTCACAGACTGGGCGAAGTGAGGTGGTGCACAATTTAAAACTTATGAATTGTTTATTTCTGGAATTTTTTATTTAATATTCTTGGACTGTGGTTGACTGCAAGTAGCTGAAACCATGGAAAGCGAAACCATGGATAAGGGGGGACTACTACACTAAATTCTGAAACATACCAATAATGGTGTAAACCCACATGTCTTTTTAATAGAGTAAAATGAAATAATTACACATTATAATACCAATTTCAGAACAAGAGTTATGGGCATAAGCATCCTGGAGGTGTTTTTTTTTTTTTTTTTGGAGGTGTTATTTTAATTTCTCAATTACAGAGTTTTAAAAATGAAAATGATTTTTTAAAATTTTGGTAGGTTGAATGATTTAAGATGCTGATTTCAGCTGGAAACAAATTGTTGCCTTCATATTATTTTGTTGCTCCTAGCAGCATGTTTATATTCATTCTTATATTGATGGTTCCCAGTCTTGACTGGTGTTAGAATTCATTTGGGAAGCTTTTTAAAAATACCTATGTGGGCAAGGCGAGGTTGGCTCATGCCTGTAATCCCAGCACTTTGGGAGACCTAGGCAGGAGGATCACTTGAGCCCAAGAGTTTGAGACTATCCTGGACAACATAGTGAGACTCTGTATTTTTTTAAATATATAAATAAGAAAATAAATACCTGTGTGTATGTCTCATCCATAGAGATTCTGATTTAATTGTTTAGGAGTGGGATCTGAGCATCAATATTTTTTTAAAGTTCTCTAGGTAACTGATTCTAACATACAGCTGGGATTGAGAACTATGTTTTTGGTGCATGTTAAGTACGATCTGGCTCCCTACTTAATGATTTTGCATCTGTTAAAAAATTAATGAGGTAGAAGACAAAAGAAATGGATTAAAGTTATAAATGTAGATAGACATCTATTCTGGAAAACAGTTACCCTTTTGTTAGTTTCTGGGAATGGTCCTTAATAAAACAAACAGACATTGGCCTGGTTTGCTAAGTGCCTATATCACAGCATTAAGCCACACTTTACTTTGTTACCGTTATGTACTTAACTTTCATTTTAAGAGGCAGAAACTTTATTAAGAGTTGTATTTTTTTAGTATCCCCTGTATCACAACACTGCACCTTGTGTATAGTAGGTATCTATTGTTTACCTAATTGAAGCCAGTTTAGACAGTCACTCTTTAGAACTAGGGCTAGTTCAGCTCCTTGGGAGGCTGAGGCAAGAGAATCGCTTGAACCGGGGAGGTGGAGGTTTTGGTGAGCCGAGATTGCGCCACTGCTCTCCAGCCTGGACAGCAGAGTGAGACGTCATCTCAAAAAAATAAAGAACTAGGGCTAGTTTATTCTTTTCTTTTCTTTTTTTCTCATGGCATTCTAAGACTCCCCCAATTAGACAGGGTCTCCCTCTATTGCTCAGGCTGGAGTGCAATGGTGTAATCATGGTTCATTGCAAGCTCAACCTCCCAGGCTCAAGGAAGGCCTCAGCCTTCCGAGAAGCTGGGACCACAGGCGCATGCCACCATGCCCTGCTAATTTTTTATTTTTTTATTTTTTTTTTGTAGTGATAAGGTCTCACTGTGTTGCCCAGCAGTTCACCAAATCCTAGATAACATAATTTTGGTGTCAATACTTAATTATCTTCCAAAACAATAGGGATTATCAAAGTCAACATTGATGCCTTATTAGTTGATAAACAGATTTAATATCTGTCTGCTCTCACATATAACTGATTTCTAGTTAATATTTACATCTTAAGATGTTCCTTTGGCATACACTCAACATTTTCCACATCGAATTACCTACTTTGCTGTAAACCAGTGGTTCTTGTTGGGGGTAATTTTGCCTTCCAGGACACATTCGGCAATGACTGTAGACAGTTTTGGTTGTTACAACTGGAAGGGAAGGATGATAGTAAACTGGCGTCTAGTAGAGGTTAGGGATGCTGCTAAACATCCTGCAGTGCACATTGCACAGAGCAGCCTCTCACAACAAATGTTTATCTGGTCCAAAATGTGAGTGATGGCAAGGTTGAGAAACGCTGCTGTAAACTGATCAGTTTTAAACTGCAGTATTACTTTTTTTGTTAATAGCACTACTGCTCTTCATATTTTGCAGGGTACAGTGTGTGTGCCTCTGTGTGTGTGTGTGTGTGTGTGTGTAAGCAAGAGAAAATACTGTTTCGATCAACCAGTTACCAAAGCATGTTTCTACCATTTTGTGTTCTTTTCTGCAGTGACCTTGTAGTTACTCTTTTCCATAGTATCATTCCCTTGTTCTCATCTCCTTTCAATCTTACTTACATATCCCTAATTTGACCATCTTGAGATAATATTTTTCCCATCAGGAACTGGCTTTTATTGCCTGCTGAATCAAATATAAAGAATTCTGGATGGCTTCCAAAGTCTTCCATAATGTGACTCCATCTCCTACATAATATAATTTAGTTATTCTTGTTAGTCAACATTTTTTTTTCCTTTTAGTTAAATTCAGCTGACAGGGAGAAACATTTATTAAAGTGGTGACTATGTGAGGACTATTGAGATAGGTGCCAGGGATCCAAAGACATGTCAACATTTTCCCTCTATCCGATTGATTATTTCCCAATAACTTCTGTAATATTCCTTATTATTACTATTTTTTCCGAGATGGAGTTTCACTCTTGTTGCCCAGGCTGGAGTGCAGTGGTGCGATCTTGGCTCACTGCAACCTCTGCCCCCTGGGTTCAAGAGATTCTCCTGCCTCAGCCTCCTGAGTAGGTGGAATTACAGGCGTCCACCACCATGCCCAGCTAATTTGGTATTTTTAGTAGAGACGGGGTTTCTCCATATTGGTCAGGCTGGTCTTGAACTTCTGACCTCAGGTGATCTGCCTGCCTCAGCCTCCCAAAGTGCTGGGATTACAGGTGTCAGCCACCATGCCCAGCCAGATGTCCTCCTTTCTTACCCTGTTCTTAGCTAAATTCTGTCCTCAAGGCCAGGTTCTCTCTCTCATCACATCATCATGAGCACTGCGTGTGTATGAGGATTTTAAAGCCTTATAGTAATTGTCTGTTGATCCCATTACTGTATTTAAGGAATGATATAGATCACAAGCATTGTAGGATTCACATGAAGAAACAAATTCCAAGAACTGGGACCATAAAGGATGGAAGAGATGGAACTTAAGTTTGTTTCTTCTTGTAGCTGAGACCTCAGATGTGCACCACTACGCCCAGCTAATTTTTAAATTTTTTGTAAAATTTTTTGTCTTTACTTTGTTGCCCACTTTGTTGGCTACCTACCATTTCTCCCTATCTCTGCCCTTTAGGCAACAACAATACTCAACATAAATATCTGTTCTTGAACTCCTGGGCTCAAGCAGTCCTCCCACCTCAGTCTCCCAGAGTGTTGGGATTACAGCTGTGAGGCACCACGCCCAGTCAGTGCACTGCTTTTTGCATGGAGAAAGTCTTGCTGCTACTTTAAAAAGGTCAGTGTGCTTAATTGATCTACATTCTGTCACAAACTTCTTATTTTATCACAAACTGATAACAAACAGTTCCCCAATCAGCACTGGTCATTGGACCATACTTGGAGTTACATTGCTGTAGTGTGAGACTTTCATACTTTTTTTAAAATTGTCACCTGTATTAAGAAATACATTTTACATTTTCATCCAGTGTTATATCATATACACATGTACATAACTGAAACAATTTTACGAAGCAGTACCTAACCTTACTATGTGTGACATAGTCTGATGTTTGCTATTTTTTTAATGCTGATCATGACCTTCTAATGGATTTTAAAAACACTGCCCTCAAGCATTTAGCACAGTGCTAGAGACATAGTAGTTGCTCAGAAAATACCATACATTTTAGCAGTGATTAAATCTTGAGAGGGTTGAGCCTTCTTAATACTTGAGGATTACTTTAAAATGTTATTTCATTGGCCGGGCACGATGGCTCACGCCTGTAATCCCACCACTTTGGGAGGCCGAGGCGGGCGGATCACCTGAGGTCAGGAGTTCGAGACCAGCCTGGCCAACATGGAGAAACCCTGTCTCTACTAAAATACAAAAATTAGTGGGGCATGGTGGCGGGGCGCCTGTAATCTCAGTTACTTGGGAGGCTGAGGCTGCTTGAATCTGGGAAGTGGAGGTTGCAGTGAGCCAAGTTCATGCCACTGCACTCCAGCTTGGGCGACAGAGTGAGACTCCGTCTCCAAAAAAAAAAAAAGTTATTTAATCAATACTTAGTTGTTTGTGGCACCTTATACAGAACGAGTGTAGAGTGGATTATGAGATTTAAGACAGCGAGAAGATACTTATGTTGAGTATTGTTGCTGCCTAAGGGCAGAAATAGAGAGAGATGGTGGGTGACCAACAAAGACAACTTTTGCTTTCCTTTCAATATTGCCAAAGACCTTAGGAGTGGCTGGTGTGAATCCCTGCTTAAAATCAGGACCAGTTTGAATGACTGCAAACCTCATTTTTCACTTTTTACCTTTTAGTCTTCACTTTGTGGTTCCAGTCATCAAATCCCTACTCTTTGTCTTAGAAAGGAGCAGAAGGATGTCAGAGAAAGAACATTTTCTCTTTATTTATTTATTTTTTTTTGAGATGGAGTCTCTGTTGCCCAGGCTGCAGTGCAGTGGCGCGATCTCAGCTCACTGCAAGCTCCACCTCCCAGGTTCGTGCCATTCTCCTGCCTCAGCCTCCTGAGTAGCTGGGACTACAGGTGCCCGCCACCGTGCCCGGCTAATTTTTTGTCTTTTTAGTAGAGACGGGGTTTCACCGTGTTAGCCAGGATGGTCTTGATCTCCTGACCTCGTGATCCGCCCGCCTTGGCCTCCCAAAGTGTTGGGATTACAGGCGTGAGCCACTGTGCACGGCTGCATTTTCTCTTTGTTAACTCATTTTCAACACTTTTGGGTTTCACTTTTGGAGCACTGCTGTTTGACTAAGGCTGAAGTTCTTTGTCAGGTTTACACATCTTAAGAATTTTTATTTTTTGTTGTTAGAAGCATGTTAATTTTTCTTGCATATACTTAGTTATTTTTTTTTCACTTGCAATCCTTCTTGAAGCATAAGGTTTTTTGTTTTGTTTTGTTTTGTTTTGTTTTGTTTTAAAAGACAGAGTCTTGCTCTGTCGCCCAGACTCCGCTCACTGCAATCTTCACCTCCTGGGTTCAAGCGATTTTTCTGCCTCAGCCTCCTGAATAGCTGGGATTACAGGTGTGCGCCACCACGTCCGGCTAATTTTTGTATTTTTAGTAGAGATGAGGTTTCACCATGTTGGCCAGGCTGGTCTCAAACTCCCGACCTCAAGCAGTCCACCTGCCTCAGCCTCCCGAAGTGCTAGGATTACAGGCCTGAGCCACCACGCCCGGCTGCATTTTCTCTTTGTTAACTCATTTTCAACACTTTTGGATTTCACTTTTGGAGCACTGCTGTTTGACTAAGGCTGAAGTTCTTTATCTTTGTCAGGTTTACACGTCTTAAGAATTTTTATTTTTTGTTGTTAGAAGCACGTTAATTTTTCTTACATATACTTAGTTATTTTTTTTTTCCACTTGCAATCCTTTTTGAAGCATAAGTTTTGCTTTGTTTTGTTTTGTTTTAAAAGACAGGGTCTTGCTGTGTCGCCCAGGTTGAAGTTGTAGTGCTGCAATCTCCACTCACTGCAACCTCCACCTCCTGGGTTCAAGTGATTTTTCTGCCTCAGCCTCCTGAATAGCTGGAATTACAGGCATGTGCCACCACCACGCCTGGCTAATTTTTGTATTTTTAATAGAGATGAGGTTTCACCATGTTGGCCAGGCTGGTCTCAAACTCCCAACCTCAAGGAATCCACCTGCCTCGGCCTCCCAAAGTGCTAGGATTACAGGTGTGAGCCACTGCACCCGGCCACATAAGATAATTTCAATGTGTTGTATCTTATGGTTTGTCCTAGATCTAAACAAATAAATTCTGCAAATTATTTGACTTCTGTAGTTAATGAACACTTCTGTATAAGTATCAATGGGTTTGTTGTTGCTGCTGCTGTTTTATTTTTTTTAAACGATTGTAGCCAAAATAAGGCAATTGAGTTCATTCAGTCATTCTAGTCAATATATTTTATGTCAGTCTATTTTCAGATTTCTTTAATGGCAAAATGCAGCAGAATGACTTATCAAAAATGTAACATGTTAAATTCACATAGATTGAGGTTGGATACACAGTCAGCCTTCTGTATCTGTGAATTCAACCAATGGCCGATTGGGAATATTTTAAAAAAATAATTGGATCTGTACTGAACCATGTACAGAGTTTTTTCTTGTCTTTATTCCCTAACCAATACAATGTAACAACTGTTTATATAACATTTACATTGTATTAGGTATTATAAGTAATCTTGAGATGATTTAAAGTAAGGTTATATGCAAATCTTACACCATTTTATATCAGGGATTTGAACATCTGCAGATTTTTGGTACTTGTGGGAAAAGTCCTGGAACCACTCTCCTACAGATACTGAGGAATTACTATATATGTTTTGCTTTCTCACTTGATGAGCGGAAAATACCCTTTACCTTCTGTTTGACTTCTGCAGAAACGTGTGTGATTGTAGAGGCTCAAATAGCAATTAAAACAATACTGAAAGTATTTTTAACACTAGGCATCCTTAAGTGACGGTATAACTTACATGATTTTGTTAATAAAAATAGAAACAACTATGGTTTTTAATGGACTTTAGACATTATCAGAGAAGATTGTTACTTATTTGAACTGTTTCCAAAAATCAAATGGGGACAGAAAAGGAAGCTTTTAAAAAGTACAGTCTTTCTCCTAGAAACCCTTCCTAAAATCTTTGGTGACATCGTAATCTTATCCCTGTACTTTCCCTCCTTGTGTCTAATCATTTGCCAAGTCCTGTCATTCTACCTTTGCAGCATCTCTTATTATATCTGCTTCCTCTATTCCATCTCTACTGCCCTAGTTCTGACCTTTGTCATCTTTCCCTAGGATCATTATAATAGATAACTAGTGTTTTCCCTATCTAGTTTGTCACTTACCGCCTAACTTTATACTCTTCTTAGTTTTAATCACTTACCTCCCTACTTCAGAACCCTGCTACCTTTAGAAAACAAAGTAAATGCTTTAGTAACATTCAAGGCCTTCCCCGTTCCCTGTTCCAAGTCTGTTTTTTTTTCCACTGCCATGTAGATCTTTGTTCATTCTATGTAGTGGCTAATTCCTAAAGATGTTCTTTACTTTCTTTTCTTCATCCTGCTTTTCATCTCTTTGAAAAACCTTCCCCCACCAAGACTCAAATCAAATGTTGTCTCTTTGATGATGACTTCCAAGATCCTTCTAGTCATACTTAATCTTCTCTCTTAATTTTTCTTATACTGTAATATTTGTAACTCTATAGTTTGATATCATACTATGCTGTATTACTACTGCTTAAAACTTTCTCTTCCACATTAGTTTTTTAAACTTTGTTGGTTTTTTTGTTTTGTTTTTGAGACGGAATCTCACTTTGTTGCCCAGGCTGGAGTGCAGTGGTGCGATCTCGGCTCACTGCAACCTCACCTCCCGGGTTCAAGTGAGTCTCCTACTTCAGCCTCCTGAGTAGCTGGGATTACAGGTGCCTGACATCATGCCCAGCTAATTTTTTTTGTTTGTTTTTTGTTTTTTGAGACAGTCTTGTTCTGTCACCCAGGCTGGAGTGCAGGGTGTGATCTCAGCTCACTGCAACCTCCACCCTCTGGGTTCAAGCAATTCTCCTGCCTTAGCCTCCCAAGTAGCTGGGATTATAGGCATGCACTACCATGCCTGGCTAATTTTTGTATTTTTAGTAGAGATAGGGTTTCACCATGTTGACCAGGCTGGACTTGAACTCATGACCTCAAGTGATCTGTCCACTTTGGCCTCCCAAAGTGCTGGGATTACAGGTGTGAGCCACCATGCCCAGCCCCAATGTTCCAAGTCTTTTTTTTTTAAATCAATATGTTTTTTTAAATGTGTATTTTTTGTTACTTGCTTGTTTAACCCATAACTTCCTAACTTTTACATCTCTCTGGATACTCTCTTCATATTTATGTATGTTGCATTGCTTTACTCACGTTTGCGTTGTTATGCTCATATTATTTCTTTCCTTCCTTAAAACTTTAAGTACATTTCATATATTCTTTTATATGTTATAAAGCATGATACTAAAATGATCACCTGTGCACATACTACCCAATTTGAGAACTAGAACCTTGCTGTACCCCTGAAGCTCCTTATATGTATCTCCCTGATTACAACTCTCCCTCTCCCAAGAAATATAATGTTGCGTTTAACATTTTCTGCTTTCTTTATAGTTTTACCTCATTTATATCTTTAAGCAATATATTGTTCAATTCAATTTGATTTTTAAACTTTATATAGAGTATCGTATTACACATATTCTTGGTTTTTCATTCAACATTGCGGGGGATGGGCAGAAGATGATGAGGTGAGAAGGCGGGCAGGGTATGTTTTCTGGTTAAACTATTTATTCTTGGAGAATCAGAGACCATATCTTATATACCCCTTTAATAACCTCTGTTTAACACGAGGCCTACTGTTGCAAGCTAAGTCTCCTGATGATTTGCACTGACATTGAAACATTGCTGTTGTCTCTATAAGTATGAGGAAACCCAGGGGAACCCTGTCATACTCTTTCCTCAATGGATGCTTTTAGCAAGTTTGATGAATTGTTGATGAATTAGATACCTCGCTAGAAGGACATATTTGATATCAGTTGATCCATTTGGGAGTGATAGTGTGGTCTAGAGACCTTTTCTCCCCTATCACTACAGCTTTAGACACAGGACCCAGGGTGGATGGTAAAGTGTAGAAAATGTTTGTATATTAGATCGTTGTTTCTAAATGCATAGATCTGAAAGTACAAATTAAAGTGTTTGGTTCAACATGTGTTTATAGATACCTGGAGCAAGTATAGATAGAAAAAAAGTGAAAATGATAAAAATGAAATACTCAGAACAAAATGGTTTGGTGACTAAGACAGTGGACTAATGTGCACAGGGTTAGAAGGGATGAGTACCAATAAATCACAAAGTATTAATATTTAATATAAAATGTTACTAGAATTAAAGCAAATTGGGGTGCTTTTGGAATTTTCATAGGTGAGCAGCAGCCTTCCCATCCCCTGCTCCAAGTTGTACTTTACTTAGCTTTTTAGGATTAGATGTTCATTGATGTCCATTTGTTTAATGATAGTGAACTGGTAGAATGAAGATTATTAAGAGATTGGAAAGAAGTAGCCAGACGTGGTGGCTTACGCCTGTAATCCCAGCACTTTGGGAGGCCAAGGCAGGTGGATCACTTAAGGCCAGGAGTTTGAGACCAGCCTGGCCAATATGACGAAACCCCGTATCTACTGAAAACACAAAAACTAGCTGGGGGCATGGTGGCGAACGCCTGGAATTCCAGCTACTTGGAGGCTTAGGTAGGAGGATTGCTTGAGCTCGGGAGGTGAAGGTTACAGTAAGCCGAGATTGTGCCATTGCACTACAGCCAGGGTGACAGGGTGAGACCCTATCTCAAATAAATAAATAAATAAGAGGAAGAAGTCACTTAAAAAATAAATGGATATCAATGAGAAAAGAGAAATATTTCTAGATAAAAATTCCATCTACTTATGATCTAAACATTAATGCTATTTTAACAAAAGAAACATGTAAACGCTTTGATTATTCTTACTGCTAGTTCCTTTGACAGGTAAGATTCCCAACTCTTAAGGCAAAATGATACAAAAAGTAATTCATTTGGTTAATGAAAATTTGAAAAAAATTATTACATTCTTCACTCATATTCTGCATATCTTAAACTCCTGAAATAGATATTCTAAACAATTTAAAATTAACCCTGTTAGCAAAGGATATGGTTTAGGAATTTTTTTTTTTAAACTGCTCACTTGTTTTATTGTGAATGAGGAAAATTAGTATAATTATTTGTATTTGTTTCAGGAAAGAAGCACTTGTAAGGAAATATAGCATCCATTGTGAAAGTGGAAAAGTAAAGATAATTCATCATGCCTGCTGTGGCTTCAGTTCCTAAAGAACTCTACCTCAGTTCTTCACTAAAAGACCTTAATAAGAAGACAGAAGTTAAACCAGAGAAAATAAGCACTAAGAGGTATGATGTATCCTTCGCTAGTTTGATTGAATCAAATATTAATTTTTAGTTCGTTTCCATATTAAAGTTAGATGAATGTTAAAGTTTATTTGAAAAATAACACCATCACACGAATAAAGTAGGACCTCCTTAGAGAAAGTTGTAATGTAATCGTAGCACAATACATATATATTCTGCTCATATGCATATTATCTACTCTCCAGACAGATCATACAGATATGATCTCTAGGTCATAAAGTTTAAGAGGCAAAGATTATGAGGCTTCTAAAAAAAAATTCAGCCAGAAGTCATTGTCTTTTCATAAAACGATACAAAAATAATTCCTTTTTGGCCGGGTGCGGTGGCTCACGCTTGTAATCCCAGCACTTTGGGAGGCCAAGGTGGGCGGATCACCTAAGGTCAGGAGTTTGAGACAAGCCTGGCTAACATGGTGAAACCCCATTTCTACTAAAAATACAAAAAATTAGCCGGGCGTGGTGGCGCACATCTGTAATCCCAGCTACTCGGGAGGCTGAGGCAAGAGAATTGCTTGAACCCGGGAGGCGGAGGTTTCGGTGAGCCGAGATTGTGCGATTGCACTGCAGCTTGGGCAATAAGAGCGAAACTCTGTCTCAATAATAATAATAATAATAATAATAATAATAATAATAATTTTTTTTTTCCACTTTGGGAGGCCAAGGTGGGCGGATCACCTGAGGTCAGGAGTTCGATACCAGCCTCGGCAACATGGTGAAACCCCGTCTCTACTAAAAATACAAAAATTAACTTGGCATGGTGGCATAGGCCTATAATCCCAGCTAGTGGGGGGCTGAGGGATCCCTGAGTCCAGGAAGTGGAGGTTGCAGTGAGTCAAGATTGCACCGTTGCACTCCAGCCTGGGTGACAGAGTGAGACTCTGCCTCAAAATAAAATTAAAAAGATCTTTTGAAGGGCAGAAAGTAAGAGAGGGATTGGGCTATTTATCTTGCGAAGTTGGGAAGTTGATGAGGTGACAGAAAACAACTCTAACTCCTGTTGAATGATTTTCAGATGGGAAACAATGGGAAAGATAAAGCCACCTTTAGATAAGACAAGGTCAGGCCTAAGACCGTTTATTCCTTTCTAGTAATGTCTGGTTTACCTCTAGCACTACCCTTATCCCAGAGGAAGTGGTATATGTAAGTTGGTTGTATCCAAACTTGCATCTAACTTTGTATCAGTTCTGAAGTAGTGGAACCTAAATAATGAAATTTGCTTTATCAAGATCAGTGGTCCCCAGCCTTTTTGGCACCAGGGACTGGTTTTGTGGAAGACAGTTTTTCAATGGACCAGGGTTAGGGAGGATAGTTTTGGGATGAGTCAAGTGCACTACATTTATTGTGCACTTTATTTCTATTATTATTACTCTGTAATGTATAATGAAATTATTATATAACTCACCATAATGTAGAACCAGTGGTATCCCTGAGCTTGTTTTCCTGCAACTGGACCATCACATCTGGGGGTGATGGTCGACAGTGACAGATCATCAGGCCTTAGATTCTCATAAAGAATGCGCAACCTTGGCTAGGCGCGGTGGCTCATGCCTGTAATCCGAGCACTTTGGGAGGCTGAGATGGGAGGATCACTTGAGGTCAGGAGTTCAAGACCAGCCTGACTAACATGGTGAAACCTCGTCTCTACTAAAACTAAAAAATTAGCCAGGCATGGTGGTACACTCCTGTAATCCCAGCTACTTGGGAGGCTGAGGCAGGAGAATCACTTGAATCCGGGAGGCAGAGGTTGCAGTGAGCCAAGATAGCCCATTGCACTCCAGCCTGGGCAAGAAGAGCTAGACCCCATCTCAAAAAAAAAAAAAAGGAGTGCACAACCTAGATCCCTCACATGTGCAGTTCACAATAGGGTTCGTGCTCCTATGGGAATCTAATGCCACCATGATCTGACAGGAGGTGGAGCTCAGGTGGTAATGCGAGCAATGGGGAGTGACTGTAAATACAGATGACACTTTGCTGGCTAACCCACCACTCATCGTCTGCTGTGCGTCCTGGTTCATAACAGGCCGTGAACCAGTACCAATCTGTGGCCCTGGGGTTGGGGATCCCTGATAAAGATTATCTGTGGACTTTGTATATGACCTGTATTTTTTCCCAGATGTCAATTGCTTTAATTATTATTTTTTCTCTAATTTTAAGTTATGTGCACAGTGCCCTGAAGATCTTTAAGACAGCAGAAGAATGCAGATTAGATCGTGATGAGGAAAGGGCCTATGTACTATATATGAAATACGTGACTGTTTATAATCTTATCAAAAAAAGACCTGATTTCAAGCAACAGCAGGTACCTTTTATTTTTGCATTGTTATTTCCTAAGTTATTTTGCATAATGGAGCTATTGATTTTTTTCTAAAAATTTTAAGTAATAATGAAATGTAGCTCAAATTATATGCAGCATGATCTCATGTAGATAGAAAAAGGGAACTAAAGATACAGTGTTATTATTTACAAATGTGTATAATGTGTGAACTCGTACACATTCTTGGATTTGCCATGGATTAGTACAAGTTTATAGCAACATACAGATTCATAATTTTTTTCTGAGGTAATTAATAATTGCCAGGTCAAGTAGAAGGATTGAGTTTGCTCATTAAGTAAGAAAACATGACTGTGTTTTTTTTTATAGTACTTTTATTGCGCTTTCTTAAGAGTCAAGGTTTAGTCTCTTGTTTTTATGTGACAGCTTTTTATATATGACTGACATTGTACCCATATTACAAATGTCAGTTTGCAAAATTGATACTGATCACTCCCTAAATCTTTTTTTTTTTTTTTTTTTTTTTTGAGACGGAGTTTCACTCTTGTTGTCCAGGCTGGAGTGCAGTGGCGTGATATCGGCTCACTGCAACCTGTCTCCTGGGTTCAAGCAATTCTCCTGCCTCAGCCTCCCGAGTAACTGGGATTACAGGCATGTGCCACCAAGCCTGGCTAATTTTGTATTTTTGGTAGAGATGGGGTTTCTCCATGTTGGTCAGGCTGGTCTCAAACTCCCAGCCTCAGTTGATCTGCCTGCCTCGGCCTCCCAAAGTGCTGGGATTAGAGGCATAAGCCTCTGCATCCAGCCCACTCACCAAATCTTTAAACTTCTTTTTGCTTTTAATCCTTTGAACAGGTGCTTGTCTTCCATTTGATTGAAGCCATGGATAGGGAGGGCAGGGGCAATATAAATGAATAGAAAAAATTGATGACTAGGATAAGTGTTGATAGAGAAAATAGATGTATTTCAATTGTATTAGAAACTAGCAAAAGAATGCTGGGCACGGTGGTTCACACCTGTAATCCCAGCACTTTTAGGAGGCCAAGGTGGGTGGATCACCTGAGGTCAGGAGTTCGAGACCAGCCTGGCCAACATGGTGAAACCCCATCTGTACTAAAAGTAAAAAAAACTAGCTGGGCGTAGTGGCGGGCGCCTGTAATCCAAGCTGCTTGGGAGGCTGAGACAGGAGAACCACTTGAATCTGGGAGGCAGAGGTTGCAGTGAGCCGAGATTGCACCACTGCACTCCAGCTCCAGCCCAGGTGGGCGATAGACTCCATCTCAAAAAACAAACAAAAACAAACTAGCAAAAAAAGAATATGAAGAATGTAGAGGTTCATTAAACAAAAGTGAAGAATGTTGTGTTGCTGGGTTTACCTTTACTTAGAAACAATCTTATTACCTGTCAGTAGTAACAAAATACTGCCTATAGAATTTTCACCTGGTAGAGAAGCCACCCTCAATTAATAATGAGATTTTATTTTGTTCTCTGGTGGTAGAATTGGCTTCTATTGTTTAAATTGACTTACTGAAATAACAAAATTTCGTTTGTTCTTTGATGATCTTTTTAAATTTTTTTAATTTATTTACTTTGAGAGAGTCTCGCCCTGTCACCCAGGCTGGAGTGCGGTGGCACATTCTCAGCTCACTGCAACCTCCACCTTTCGGGTTCAAGCGATTCTCCTGCCTCAGCCTCCTGAGTAGGTGGGATTACAGGCTCTTGCCACCATGCCTAGCTAATTTTTTTGTATCTTTAGTAGAGACGGAGTTTCACCATGTTGGCCCAGCTGGTATCGAACTCCTGACCTTGTGATCCGCCCCTCTCGTTCTCCCAAAGTGCTGGGATTACAGGCGTGATCCTGTGAGCCACTGTGCCTGGCCACTTATTTTTATTTTTAGAGGAGTGTGACTTTTGGTTGTTAAGGAATGACTTTAATATTTTACTTAATGGTGATAAATCATTGCTGGTATTTCTTCTCATTAGCAAAGTTATTCTAATAATAGTTACTAGGTTTTTTTTGTTTTTTGTTTTTTTAAAGACGGAGTCTCACTCTGTCGCCCAGACTGGAGTGCGGTAGCTCAATCTCGGCTCACTGCAACCTCTGCCTCCCAGGTTCAAGCGGTTCTCCTGCCTCAGCCTCCCGAGTAGCTGGGACTACAGGTGTGCACCACCACGTCCAGCTAATTTTTGTGTTTTTAGTAGAGATGGGCTTTCACCATATTGGCCAGGCTGGTCTTGAACTCCTGACCTCATGATCCGCCTGCCTCTGCCTTCCAAAGTGCTGGGATTCCAGGCTTGAGCCATCATGCCTGGCCAATTACTAGGTTTTAAATCTGTCTTTGAAGAGGGGGCCCCTTGCATTTGGAGGTTCATTCATCTGTCCACAATGGATGAATTAGTCCTGCCCTGGGAAAAATACTGTTTAATATTTTTGGCCATACTTATCTGCAGGTAAGAGACAGAGGCCTTCCTAAATTCAAACAAGTTTTTGCACGCTCTGTGAAATATGTTAAAGTGGAATTGCTTAAAACGCAGTGTAAGTGGTGCTCACTAAAGTAAATATTTTTGAAAGTCTTAAAATTTGGATAACTTTGGTAGTTTTGTTGTTTGCTGTTTTGTTTGTGTGGTAGGTTTTTTTTTTTTTTTTTTTTTTTAAGGTGACAGTCTTGTTCTGTCACCCAGGCTGGAGCGCGATGGCATGATTTTGGCTCACTGCAACCTCCACCTCCCAAGTTCAAGTGATTCTCCTGCTTCAGCCTCCCGAGTAGCTGGGATTACAGGCACCCGCCACCACGCCTGGCCTAATTTTTGTATTTTTAGTAGAGACAGGGTTTCACCGTGTTGGTCAGGCTGATCTCGAACTCCTGACCCTCGGTGATCCACCTACCTTGGCCTCCCAAAGTGCTGGGATTACAGGCATGAGCCACCATGCCCAACCAGTTTTTTTTTTTTAATGGTCTTGTTTACTTTTTGCTTTATTTTGGAAGTTAATAGTTATTTTTTTTCTATGACAAAATTGGGAATATTTTTGTAGCCGCCTTTTTTTTTCTCTTCTTGAGAAGGTAGTGAGTACATTTAAACAGATGAGATTTTTCCATTTCCAGAGTCTCTATTGCATTTCCAAAGGGAGTATGTAGGCAGAGAAGTCCAGGCTGAGACGCTCCCTGCAAAGGCTCAGGTAACTTAGGCCATTATTTCATATGATTCAGTAGTTCATTTCCTGTTTTTCAGTAAAAGGATCATTTTCATTTGCTCTGTCCAGAGGATCTCATCTGCTTCTGTCTTAGAACTGTTTTTTGTTTGTTCTGAGACAGAATCTCACTTCCGTCACCCAGGTTGGAGTGCGGTGGGCACAGTCATGGTTCACTGCAGCCTCGACTTCCTGGGCTCAGCTGATTCTCTCACCTCAGCCTCCAGAGTAGCTGGGAGTACAGACACGCACCACCACACCTGGCTAATTTTTTAATTTTTAGTGGAAACGAGGTCTTACCCTGTTGCCCAGGTTAGTCTTGAACTCCTGGGCTCAGGTGGTCTGCCTGCCTCGGCCTCCCAAAGTGCTGGGATTACAGGTGTGAGCCACCTTGCCCAGTTGCAGAACTGTTTTCTGTTTTTTGTTATATTTTTCTGTAGCCCAGCCTCTCTAGTGTACTTCAGCTATGTGAGGTGCTAAATTTACTAACAAGATATTTTCTATTTTTTACCCTTTAGATGAGGTAGGGACTGAATGTATGTCATTGAACTTCCTTAGAAACTTGTATTTTCACTCTTATTTTATACTAGAAAATGTTAGAGATTTAGGCTGGGCGCAATGGCTCACCCCTGTAATCCCAGCACTTTGGGAGGCTGAGGCAGGTGGATCACTTGCGGTCAGGAGTTTGAGACCAGCCTGGCCAACATGGTGAAACCCCATCTCTACTAAAAATACAAAAATTAGCAGGGTGTGGTGGTATGCATCTGTAGTTCCAGCTACTCGGGAGGCTGAGGCAGGGGAATCGCTTGAACCTGGGAGGCGGAGGTTGCAGTGAGCCGAGATCGCACCACTGCACTCCAGCCTGGGCGACAGAGCAAGAGTCTGTCTCAAAAAAAAAAAAAAAAAAAAAAAAGCCTGGGCACAGTGGCTCACGCCTGTAGTCCCAGCACTTTGGGAGGCAGAGGCAGGTGGATCACAAGGTCAGGAGTTCAAGACCAGCCTGGCCAACATGGTGAAACCCCATCTCTACTAAAAATACGTAAAAAAAAAATTAGCTAGGTGTGGTGGCAGGCGCCTGTAATCCCAGCTACTTGGAAGGCCGAGGCAGGCGAATTGCTTGAACCTGAGAGGTGGAGGTTGCAGTGAGCTGAGATTGCACCACTGCACTCCAGCCTGGGCAACAGAGCAAGACTCCGTCTCAAAAAAAAAAAAAAAAATTGAGATTTAGATAAAACATTAATTTAGCAAGCTCTCTCAATAGTAGAGAAGGACACTACATTTTATTACTTATCAAAAAGTCATCTTATGAATAATTCTTTCAGGGTTATCTGAAAAAGTGGGGAAAGAAAATGTATTGAAAATATTAGTGTAGCGAATTCTAGATAAAATTAGAATTGTATTTTAAAATTTTTATGGTATTCTTGATAATTCTTCATTGGTAAACCTATTTTTGTTTAGGAAATCATGAAAGTTGTTTGAATTCATATATTCAGGAATCAGGAAAGTTCTGGTAAACCTCAGAAGCAAACATTTTTAGTTATGTAATAATTGGATGTTATCTTTTTCTTCTGTCAATTATCATACTATTGAAATTTTGGAAGTATTTATATTTACTTTAACTGTGCTCCTTTAAGAGCACAGAGATAAATAATTGACAGGAAATCTCACTAATATTAGGGGAATGTCTGATAGTGTGTAACAGACATGCCCAACCATAAACAATTTTTTGTGTTTAAATAGTTTAAGCTGGGCTTACAGGCTGGCTTTTTGGTGAGTTCATGTGTAAAAATGAATAAAACAAGTTATAGCATTTTTGGTTTTACTTTGTATTTTGTATTTATTCAGAATGATTACATTATGATTTCTGTTAAATGGTTCTGTTAATGTAATGATTACATTGTATTTTCTGTTGAGAGAATTGCATCAGTAGTCAGGACATGGTGTGCTAACTGAAATTATTGTAATGTTCAATTGATACGATATTGAACAAACTGTACACTTTTATTGGAATTACATAGTGAAGGGTCCTTCTAGTATATTTAGGCTTTAGAAGAATCAGCCAAACAAAGCATGATCTACTTTTAGGCTAGATAGACATATGATAACTCTTATCAACAGACTTTTTTTGAGACAGGGTCTCACTCTGTTGCTCAGGCTGAAGTACAGTGGCACTATCATGGCTCCCTAAAGCCTTGACCTCCTGGGTACAAGCTATCCACCTGCTTTGGCCTCCCAAAGTGCTGGGATTACAAGCGTGAGCCACCTGGCCTGGCCATCAACAGATTTTTCTTCTTAAAAATAAGTCTTATGTTAACTGGGACACAAAAATTAAATCTTTTGCTATATCACTCATATTCTGTTCTTGTGTTACCACATACTTTTTTGAAATTAAAAAGTGTTTAGAATGATAGATTATTGAGCACTGGTATATTGAATTAGAGCTCAGGTCCAGTTTTTCTAAGTTATTTATAATAATATTTGTAAATGTCTGGCAGTTTTCTTTAGAAAAATTTAATTCTTCATATGCTCCAGGTTGTATTGTGCTACTGGACGCTGGTCTTATGGGAATGAATTATTTACTGTTAGTTTTTGTTGTTGTTTTCAAACGGAGTCTTGCTCTGTTGCCCAGACTGGAGTTCAGTGGCACTGTCTCTGCTCACTGCAACCTCCACTTCTTGGGTTCAAGCAATTCTCTTGCCTCAGCCTTCCAAGTTGCTGGGACTACAGGCACGTGCCTCCACGCCTGGCTAATTTTCATATTTTTAGTAGAAACGGGGGTTTGCCATGTTGGCCAGGCTGGTCTTGAACTCCTGACCTCAGGTGATCCACCCACCTCAGCCTCCCAATGTGCTGGGATTACATGTGTGAGCCCCTGCACCCAGCCTACTGTTAGTTTTTTTTTTCTTTTCTTTTTTTCCCCTCCGAGACAGAGTTTGACTCTTGTTGCCCGGGGTAGAGTACAATGGCGTGATCTCAGCTCACTGCAACCTCTGCCTCCCGGGTTCAGGTGATTCTCCTGCCTCAGCCTCCCGAGTAGCTGGGATTACAGGCGCACGCCACCATGCCTGGCTAATTTTTGCATTTTTACGCTTATTTTTTTTTTTGTCTTTTTTTTTTCTTCCTTTTTGTGGGGAACGGGGTCTCACTATATGCCCAGGCAGGTCTCAAACTCCTGGGCTCAAGCTATCCTCCTGCCTCTGCCTCCCTGAGAGCTGGGATTACAGGCGTGAGCTACCGTGCCCAGCCTAATTTTTGCATTTTTAGTGGAGACAGGGTTTCACCATGTTGCTCAGGCTGGTGTCAAACTCCTGACATCAGATAGATGATCCACCCACCCCAGCCTCCCAAAGTGCTGGGATTACAGATGTGAGCCACCGCACATGGCCTACTGTTAGTTTTGATCTGCCTAGTTACAGAAGTTATGTTTGTTTATTTGTATCATCAGTAATCTAGAAGTTATATATATTTATATGGGCTGTTAGATATGTTTATATGGCTCCACCATTGCAGCTCTTCATGACTGAGAGCCAAAGATAGGTACTTCTGACCTACAACCCTTCTTTTTACAAATTATGATTATTATAATTTGTAATGAACTGTGCTAGTAGGCTCTATTTGCAAAGTCATATTGACATGTTGTGGCAAATTGGATCCAGTAATCATTTAACTGACTTAACTAACTACTGCAATGTCATACCAACCTTGATTTGAAAATATCTGATTGTAGTATCTAATGATTGACCTCTTGTATCTAATGATTGACCTCTTGGAGTAGTGATTTAAAAAACAACAACAACAACTTCATTGTACTTGTTAGTAAATTATATGCCAAATCTTTTACCTTTTGCATTTTTTAAAGGTGGAATTTTTTTTTTTTTTTTAAGACAGAGTTTCGTTCTGTCGCCCAGGCTGGAGTGCAGTGGCGCAATCTCGGCTCACTGCAACCTCCGCCTCCTGGGTTCAAGTGATTCTCCTGCGTCAGCTTCCTGAGTAGCTGGGATTACAGGCACATACCACCACACCCAGCTGGTTTTTCTATTTTTAGTAGACATGGGGTTTCACCATGTTGGCCGGGCTGGTCTTGACCTCCTGTCCTCAAGTGATGTGCCCGCCTCGGCCTCCCAAAGTTCTGGGATTACAGGTTTGAGCCACTGCACCCGGCCTAGATTATACTATTAATTATTTATTTTCTATCATTTGGTTTTTAGTTGCTTAGAGTTTCCTAATGTGTAAAACTTGTTTTATGTATCAAAAGTGTTTTGACTCCAGTTGGGATGTGAGTAGCTATTCTAAAGTACAGGTGGAAGCAAAAATATCTGTTTAGAACAAGTAAACAAAACACATTCCATGTTGTGTCTGTACACAATTTGCTTTATTGTGAGACTGGAGAAAAAACTAGGTACATATTTTTAATAAGAAAATATACTTTATTCTTGAAAGCTTTGCTCTTTGGCGCTTACTCAAAAATAACAATGTTATTTATACTTTTTAACAGAGACTTACAAATAAGTCAAATTTATGAACTAGTGGATCTTTTTAACTTACTAATGGTATGAAGACATACTTTTGAGACATTTGGAGAATAAATTATACATTTACATAGGTTAAAAGTTTTTAAAAATCTTCCATTGTAATAAAACAAACTTCCCTTTATATAAGCACCATGATTTTAATGATTTTAACACTAGTGTCACATGCAATGCCGAGAACTAACAATATGGGATGGTTTTCCTATAATTTTAGGATTATTTCCATTCAATACTTGGACCTGGAAACATCAAAAAAGCTGTCGAAGAAGCTGAAAGACTCTCTGAAAGCCTTAAATTAAGGTACAGATATTATGAAATATTTAAAATAATGTAAATTTAGAAGATAAAAATAATATTTAAGATTTACCGATTTATATCTGACGATTCATATAATATTCCAATTTTTTTTTGAGACAGAGTCTCGCGCTGTCTGTCGCCCATGCTGGAGTGCAGTGGCGCGATCTCGGCTCCCTGCAAGCTCCACTTCCTGGGTTCACGCCATTCTCCTGCCTCAACCTCCCAAGTAGCTGGGACTATAGGCACCCACCACCACGCCCGGCTAATTTTTTGTATTTTTAGTAGAGACAGGGTTTCACCATGTTAGCCAGGATGGTCTCGATCTCCTGACCTTCTGATCCTCCTGCCTCGGCCTCCCAAAGTGCTGGGATTACAGGTGTGGGCCACCATGCCTGGCCCCAATATTTCTTTTTTTTTTTTTTTTTTTTTCTGAGACGGAGTCTCACTGTTGCCCAGGCTGGAGTGCAGTGGCGCGATCTCAGCTCACTGCAGACTCCGCCCCTGGGGTTCACGCCATTCTCCTGCCTCAGCCTCCCGAGTAGCTGGGACTACAGGCGCCCGCCACCTCACCCGGCTAATTTTTTGTATTTTTAGTAGAGACGGGGTTTCACTGTGTTAGCCAGGATGGTCTCGAGCTCCTGACCTCAAGTGATCCGCCCGCCTCAGCCTCCCAAAGTGCTGAGATTACAGGCGTGAGCCACCCGGCCCCAATATTTCTAATTTATAATATTTGTAAGTTTCTGGCATTATTCTTTAGAAAAATTCAATTCTTCATATGTTCTTTGGTGGATTCTGCTCCTGGATACTGTGCGTATAGGAATGAAGTATTTACTGTTACTTTTGATCTGCTTAGTTACAGAAGTTATTTAAATTTGGAAAAAAAAACTGATTCTGGTATTTGCCATGACTTGCTTACCAGGTTTACAAAAATAATTACAAAACAAAAACAGTATGTTTCAGTTTTTAGTCGTTAGTCATTCTTTTTTTTTTTTTTTTTTTTTTTTGGAGACGGAGTTTTGCCTCTTGTTTCCCAGGCTGGAGTACAATGGCCTGATCTCAGCTCACTGCAACATTTGCCTCTCAGGTTCAAGTCATTCTCCTGCCTCAGCCTCCTGAGTAGCTGGTATTACAGGCATGTGCCACCATGCCTGGCTAATTTTGTATTTTTAGTCGAGACGGGGTTTCTCCATGTTGGTCAGGCTGGTCTTGAACTCCTGACCTCCGATGATCTGCCTGCCTCGGCCTCCCAAAGTGCTGGGATTATAGCCATGAGCCACTGTACCCGGCCATTAGTCATGCTTTAAAATTTAAATTGTTTCCCTTATCAACAACATAATGCTGTTATGTAGATCCTAGTAGATAAATTTCTGCCTGTATCTGTAGCATAAAAAATGTTAATAGATAAAACCAAAAGCATTCTCAGCAATATGATACAGAAGGAGAGAACAATGGAACTGGTTTTAAGTGATACAAGGTGCCAAAGCCTGGTTAGTGAAAAACAGCAAACTGAGAGCTGTTTGATGCAAATAATAAATAGAAGGAGGAAACTGAAAGATTTAACCAGGGTGACATATTTCTTTACTGGCTTGAATTTTTTTTTTTCACTAAGAATGTATCATGTTACTTGTATTTAAAAATATTCTGACCAGGAGCAATGGCTCAGTCCTGTAATGCCTGCACTTTGGTAGGCCCAGGCGGGCGGATTACTTGAGGCCAGGAGTTTGTGACCAGCCTGGCCAACATGGTAAAGCCCCGTCTCTACTGAAAATGCAAAAAAAGTTAGCCGGGTGGGGTGGCAGGCAGCTGTAGTCCCAGCTACTCAGGAGGCTGAGGCAGGAGAATCGCTTCAGCCTGGGAGGCAGAGGTTGCAGTGAACTGAGATCTTGCCACTGCACTCTAGCCTGGGCGACAGAGTGAGACTCTGTCTCAAAAAAAGAAAATAACTCTCAACTTATAAAGGAAGTCATTAAGAAAATGATTCATTATTTAGATATTTACTTCTTATGGCCTGATAGAATGGCCCATCTTTCAGTGTAATAAAGTCCCTGTTGCTAAATAACCTCTGGGTCCTTTCCAATTCTAAGGCTTTTTAAATGTACTTTGAATTTTCCTCTGTATAGGTTATTTTGCAGCTAGATGTGGAGAACCTTTTCACTGTTTTTCTCCCTGTCTGTCCTCTCCCAGCCTCCTGCCCCATGTTGGTGTCTTTCATGGACATTTAGAGCAACCCTGTGTGAACATATCTTCATATCTGTCCTGTCCTAATTCTGTAATAAGTCAACCACAAAGCTCTTTTCCTCCTTTAAGTCTCTGAAATCTGCATGACTAGAATTTCTCTTGTCAGGCCGGCAGTCTGAGAATGGGCATGAGGGAGGGTATATGCTCTCTAGGTTTGGAGAATAGATTATAACTTTAAAGTGAAAGCCCTTAACATCTTGGGGTAGATTTTCTGCTAAATTCTGCCTAATCATCTGATGTCATGGTCTATGACCACGGAGGCGTGTGTGCCGAGTGGGGTCCGTGGCCTGCTGGCCCCTGTCCTAGGGGTGGCCGCATGGTCCCAGGTGCGGCCGCTATAGACATAGCCCCAGATTCTGAAAAAAATGCTTTAGCAAAAAGACCTAGTGAGTGGCTAGAAAATAGATTTCAGTATCACCTGCCATTAAGGAATACTTGTTAAGCATTTATTTGCCTGTCCCGTTTCTTATTATTATCTTTTTTCATGGACACCTCTCATAACATAGACTTAATCCATTTCTGTTACATTCATGTTAGGGGAGGTCTTAGAGGTAATTTTGACCAAATCTGGAAGTATCAGAATCCTAGTAAAAGGGATTAAGTGGGTAAAAGGATCAGAAGTTAGTTTCAGAGAGCATGCCTCGCTCTCACTTCAGCTTACCAACTGAAATTGGAAAGTAGGAGAGACATCAGCTCTATTTAATTAGATTTATGGAGACTGTAGAACAAATCCAAGGTAGGGGGTAAGGTGTGGATAAGAGAAGAAAATAGGAAAAAAGAGAATCTTAAAGTTTTTTCATTTCTGCCCTCAAATTGGATTTAGGCTGACTGTGCTTACTTCTTAGGGCAGACAGTTCACATACTGTTCCAGCATAGAGCACTACTAGAGAAGAAATATAGAGCAGTAGGTAAGTGTACGGAGCCAGACTCCCTGGGTATGGATCCCAGTTTTTTTCTTATTAATTGTGTGAGCTTGGGCAAATTACTTAGCCTCCCTCTGCCTCAGTTTCCTCATCTGTAACTAGGATAATCATAAAACCTACCTCATAGTGCATTAAGAAAATTAACATTTACAAACACTTAGATGGTGTCTGGCACATACCAAATAATAAGTTTTTGTGCTATTATTTTCGTTGTTATTAACAGTGGAAGCATTCTTGTTCTGTAACACCTTTCGTCCTGGCACTCTAGTGATTTGCATTGAGGAGGCAAGGTAAAACAGTTGCATAATTTTGCTCTTGTTCCAAATCTTTCACTTCTGTTTCTAACAGTGAAATGATGCTAGCATATGAGATAGGCAGGAAAGTGGTGTTGATATTTCCATAGAGATAATAGGAATACATGCTTGCTATTCTGTGACCAAGTTCTTAACACAGTGCAGTAGAGAAGTGGGGGAAGTGAGCATACCAGTAAGCAAGGTCCTGCTGGAGATTTGAGAATCCATTATCCCTGGTTATTGCCTAAGCAGATGGAATATGATGAAACATCTGTTTTTGTAAAATTCTATCTGAAGTTACTCTGTTTTTCTTTTCTCCTCTCACATCTATTGATGGGTTCATCATTCACTTTTGTTCCATTTATTTTATTTTAACACACTGATTTTCATAAATCTATTGTTTTCCCAGTAGAACTTTATAATTTATTTTGAAATATTTTCTAATTTCCCTTTCTTCCTTGACCCATGGGTCATTTAGAAATGTGTTGTTTAATTTCCACATATGTGGGATTCTTCTTATATCTTATTGATTTCTAATTTAATTTCATTGTGGCTAAAGATGTTGCGTCCTTTTAAATGTATTCTTGTTTTATGGCTCAGCATATGGTCTCTTGGTGAACGTACCATGTGCACTTGCAAAGAAAATGTGGTTGTTGAATATACTGTTCTCTATATGTCATTTAGGTCAGAATGGCTGATAATGTTCAGATCTTCTTTATCTTTACTGACTGTGGGATGGGGGTTCAAGTTGTAACAATTACTGAGAGAGTCATGTTAAAATATTTAACTGTATCTATTTATGCCTTTAGTTCTCTCAGCTTTTGTTTCATGTATTTTGAAATTCTATTTTTAGGCACATAGTTACAGTTTCTTGATGAATTGACCTTTTTATCATTATGTCCCTCTTTACCTCTGGGAATATTCTTTTTTTTTTTTTTTTTTTTTTGAGACAGGGTCTCACTGTCCTGAAGGCTGGAGTGCAGTGGCATGATCTTGGCTCACTGCAACTCCCGCCCCCAGGTTCAAGCGATCCTCCCACCTCAGCCTCCCCAAGTAGCTGGGACTACAGGCGCACACCACCATGCCTGGCTAATTTTTGTATTTTTTGGTAGAGATGGGGTTTTACCATGTTGGCCAGGCTGGTCTTGAATTCCTGACTTCAGGTGATCCGCCTGCCTTGGCCTCCCAAAGTGCTGCGATCACAGGCGTGAGCTACCACACCCCGCCCTCATCTTCATTCTTAAGGGATTTTAACTAGATACAGGATTCTAGGTTGGCAGGTTTTAATTTTCCCTTTTGTCACTTCAGAGCTGCTATTCCACTGTCTTCTGGCCTCCATTGTTTCTGATATTAAGCATTTTTCTGCCTCATTTTTATTTTCTTGCTGGAACTCCAGCTCTACATACGATAGACTTTTTGATTTTGTCCAATGAATCCCTAAGGATTTGTTCTTTTTATTTTGTTTTGTTTTGTTTTAATCATTTTCTCTTTGTTTTTCAGATTGGATAATTTTCTTTTCTTTTTTTTTTTTTTCAGATGGAGTCTCACTCTGTCTCACCCAGGCTGGAGTGCAGTGGCACACGATCTTGGCTTGCTGCAGCCTCCACCTCCTGGGTTCAAGCAATTCTCCTATCTTAGCCTCCCAAGTAGCTGGTACTACAGGTGTGTGCCACCACACCTGGCTAATTTTGTATTTTTACTAGAGATAGGGGTTTACCATGTTGGCCAGGCTGGTCTCAAACTCCTGACCTCAGGTGATCCACCCACCTCGGCCTCCCAGAGTGCTGGGATTACAGATGTGAGCCACCACGCCCAGCCTGGATTGAATAATATTTATCACTCTTTCATCCTTTTTTTCTTTTGAGACAATGTCTCACTCTGTTGCCCAGGCCGAAGTGCAGTGGCATGATCCCAGCTCACTGCATCCTCAAACTCCTGGGCTCAAGCAATCCCACCTCAGCCTCCTGAGTAGGTGGGACTAAAGGCACACACCTCTGCTCCTGGCTAATTTTATTTTTTATAGAGATGGGGTCTTTCTGTGTTGCCCAGGATGGTTCTCCCTTCAAATACTGACTCTTTACTTTGTCATCTCCAATTTTGTGTTGAGTGAATTTTTTTCAGTTATATGTTTCAATTCTAGAATTTCTTCCTTTTTTTGAGACAGAGTCTCACTCTGTTGTCGAGGTTGGAGTACAGTGGCGTGATCACATCTCACTGCAACCTCAGCCTCCTGGCCTCAAGTGATTCTCCCGCCTTCACCTCCTGAACAACTGGAACTACAGATGCACACCACCAGGCCCAGTTAGTTTTTTTGTGTTTTTTTGTAGAGACAGGGTTTCACCATGTTGCCCAAACTGGTCTCAAGCTCTGGGCTCAAGCAGTCCTCCTACCAGGGCCTCCCAAAGAGTTAGGATTATAGGCATGAGCCACTGCGCCCAGCCCAATTCTAGAATTTCTGTGTGGTTCTTTTTTATAGCGTCTATTATTTTTTTACAGAGATTTCCTATTTGTTCATTTATTACAAGCACATTTTCATTTACGCCCTTGAGCATAGTTATAACAGCTGCTCTAAAATCTTTGTATGCTAAATGCATCATCTTAGAGTCAGTGTGCAGCACCTTTTCTCTTTTATTGTTGTCCTATTTTTCTTTTTTTGGTACTAGTAACTTTGGACATTGTGAACAATAAAATTATAGGCTCTGCATTCTTCTTTAGTCCTCTGAATAGTTTTGTTGTTGTTGTTGTTGTTGTTTTGTCCCACTAGGCAGTTAACTTGGCTATACTCAAACGTTAAGTTTTCTGTCTTGCCTATGGTAGGTGGCAACTGACATTCTTTTCAATTCTTCTAAACTTAGCTGGGCTCCTTAGTATCTGCTGCAGGTGTGCTTAATTCAGGTGTCAGGTGGCAATTTGGGCAAGTCTATACAAAGAATTTGGAACTCTGGTTCTCTGAGATTGGGGTCTTTATTGGAATTTTAGCTGTTTTCAGCAGTAAGGCCTGCCTTAGGTGTGAAACCATAAAAAATGGGAATCTTACTAATGCCCTTCCTTTCTTTCAAGTGTCAACCCCCATCTACTTTCTTCCTGATTATGGCAGTTTTCCAATGCCTTCAGGTAGTTATAGGTTACCCAGAGTTTATAGTTGTCTGTGAGAGGTTCAGAACAATGGAAACTACTAAGTCATTACCAGAATTAGAATTCTCTTTCCTACCTTTATTTTTTAAGGCGAAAGGATAGCATTTTTAAAGTAGAGTGTCGTGATCACCATGTTCCTGTCAATATTAGTGATCATTTCTGTCAATGGAATACATAATTCAGAAGGAATTGCTAAGCGTAAAGATAGAAACTGCTTAGGCCAGGCGGGGTGGCTCATGCCTGTAATCCCAGCACTTTGGGAGGCCGAGGCAGGTGGATCACAAGGTCAGGAGTTCAAGACCGGCCTAGCCAACATAGTGAAACCCCATCTCTACTAAAAATACAAAAATAAGTAGCTGGCCGTGGTGGTGGGAGCTTGTCATCCCAGCCACTCGAGAGGCGGAGGCAAGGAGAAACGCTTGAACCTGAGATGCAGAGGTTTCAGTGAGCCGAGATCCCACCACTGCTCTCCAGCCCAGGTGACAGTGTGAGACTCCGTCTCAAAAAAAAAAAAAAAAATTAACTGCTTAATGGCCGGGTGTGGTGGCTCGCCCCTGTAATCCCAGCACTTTGGGAGGCCGACGAGGGTGGATCACTTTAGACCAGGAGTTCGAGACCAGCCTGGCCAACATGGTGAGACCCCTTTTCTACTAAAAATGCAAAAATTAGCTGGGCACAATGGCATGCGCCTGTAATCCCAGCTACTCGGGAGGCTGAGGCAGGAGAATTGCTTGAACCTGGAAGGTGGAGGTTGCAGTGAGCTGAGATCATGCCTCTGCACTCCTGCCTGGGCAGCAGAGCGAGACTCTGTGAAAAAAAGAAAAAGAAAAAAAAGAAAAGAAATTAACTGCTTAAATATTTAGAGGAGAAGCACTGTTTTCCTTATATTTCTTCCACTTGAGGAATAGCACAGCTTTGTGTGACATGCTAATTTCTTCTCCAAGAGCTAAAGATGTAATTCTTGCTAAGTGCATGAATGATCTTATTGATAGATGGCACGTTTTTGGTCACTATTAACATGATGTTGAAAATGTGTGGTACAAAATAATTTTGAGTTCAGAAGTCATTTTTAAAGTAAACTTAAAATTTTAAATATGTGAAGCTGGCACAGTTATTTGAATAGTCACCATTTCTATTGTATAGTTTTATCTGTTTATTTAGAAATTTTTCATTTTGGAATATTCACTCAAAAGAGCATATAAGACCAGGTGCGGTGGCTCACACACCTGTAATCTCAGCCTTTTGGGAGGCCGAGGCAGGTGGATCACCTGAGGTCAGGAGTTCGAGACCAGCCTGGCCAACATAGTGAAACCCCACCTCTACTAAAAATACAAAAATTAGGTGGGTATGGTGGCACACACCGGTAGTCCCAGCTACTTGGGAGGTTGAGGCAGGAGAATCGCTTGAACCCAGGAGGCAGAGGTTGCAGTGAGCTGAGATCATGGGACTGTACCCCAGCCTGGGTGACAGAGTGAGACTCTGTCTCAAAAAAGAAAAAAAAAAAAAAACAGCCAGCCACGGTGGCTCACACCTATAATCCCAGCACTTTGGAAGGCTGAGGCAGGTGGGTCACCTGAGGTTAGGAGTTTGAGACAAGCCTGGCCACATGGTGAACCCTGTCTCTACTAAAAATACACAAATTAGCCAGGCATGGTGGTGTGTGCCTCTAGTCCCAGCTACTCAGGAGGCTGAGTCAGGAGAATTACTTGAACCTGGGAGATGGAGGTTGCAGTGAACCGAGATCATGCCAGTGCACTCCAGCCTGGGTGACAGAGCAAGACTCTGTCTCAAAAAAAAAAAGAAAAGAAAAGAAAAAAAAAAGAAAAAAAGAGCATATAAAATGTAAAGATACAATAAAGAGAATAATAAAATGGAAACTATTGATTCGTCTTTTACTAATTATTGACCCTAGTCAATTATTTATTTTTTTCCTTTACATCTGTTTTATCTTCTCTCTCTCTGTCTTTAAATTTGAAGCTCACAGACATTGCCAAGCATTGATAATTAGGGCAAACAAGATTGCAGGTCTATGATAACGTACAGTCTGTCCTGGCAATAATAGCAAACATTGCCATTCGTTCATTTATTTATTTATTTAGAGATGGAGTCTCACTCTGTTACCTAGGCTGGAGTGCAGTCACGTGATCTCGGCTCACTGCATCCTCCGCCTTCCCAGTTCAAGTGATTCTCCTGCCTCAGCTTCCCAAGTAGCTGGGATTACAGACATGCACCACCACGCCCAGCTAATTTTGTATATTTAGTAGAGATGGGATTTCACCATGTTGGTCAGGCTGGTCTCGAACTCCTGACCTCACATGATCCGCCTGCCTTGGCCTCCCAAAGTCCTGGATTACAGATGTGAGCCACCGCACCCAGCCACCTATAATTTAGTAGGGAATAGTTCTAAATTCCTCAGATATCTGCTAACTGTAGTTCAGATAGCTGTTTAACTGCCAACAAGTTGGAAATTTCAGTGAAGTCATCCTTTAAAAAAATGTAACTTGGGACCTTGGTAAGACTTTCCACAGCTTTTTGAATGTTTGTTTTCACATTTTTATTCTAAATTATCAACATAAGTGTGATATTTGGGCTGTTTCTTTTGCAGAAAAAATTAGGATTTTTCCTTTGAAAAGCAAATTGCAGCAGATTTGAATCAATATAAAAGGTTGAAATTAGTAGGAGAGAAAGAGCAAAAAGCACTAAATAATTTCAACTTGAGAACATACAGTTTCTTTTTAATAGTTCTGGGCAATTTGAAGTAAATCTACAGATGGCCTCAGGTGGCAGATGTGTGAATTGTGGTGGAGGGAGAAAGCATATAGCCATGAAATACCTCAAGGCAGGATACTAATTTTACAGAACTGAAACTCCTTTAATTTCCACGATTAACGCCAATAAAAGACAATCTTGACTTATTTTTTCAACTAGATATGAAGAAGCTGAAGTCCGGAAAAAACTTGAGGAAAAAGACAGGCAGGAGGAAGCACAGCGGCTACAACAAAAAAGGCAGGAAACAGGAAGAGAGGATGGTGGCACATTGGCTAAAGGCTCTTTGGAGAATGTTTTGGATTCCAAAGACAAAACCCAAAAGGTATTTCAAATTTAATGTGTGAGTTAAAAGACTGTTTCTGCTTGTTAGATGATTTGCTTAAAAAGAGTTGAGATACCACTATAAAGTTCTTTTAGGCAACAAGGATGAAATTTAATGTTTTAATTAGAAATTTATTTAAGGCTGGGCACGGTGGCTCACGCCTGTAATCCCAGCACTTTGGGAGGCCGAGGCGGGCAGATCACTTGAGGCCAGGAGCTCAAAACCAGCCCGGCCAACATAGCGAAACCCCGACTCTACTAAAAATACAAAAGTTAGCTGGATGTGGTGGTGCATGCCTGTAGTCCCAGCTACTCGAGAGGCTAAAGTAGGAGAATTGCTTGAACCCAGGAGGCAGAGGCTGCAGTGAGCTGAGATCGTACCACTCCACTCCAGCCTGGGCAACAGAGCAACACTCTTGTCTCAAAAAAAAAGAAAAGAATTTGAATTAAATATTCTAGCCTCAGTTGACTTCAGATTTTTCTGTGAATTTCTATGGCAATATTTTCTCTGCATTAATTCGTTTTTTAGCAGACATTATAAACTTAATTAGAGCAATAGAAAAATCATTTGAGCTGAGCTGTGATTTATTATATCTGCATTCTGGTCCTATGTCAAAACTTTTTTAACCACTCTGGGACTCAGTTTTCTTGTTTCCCAAATTATAGTCTTGAAATAGACAATTTTTAAGTTTCTTCTTTCTAATCATGTAATTTACATTAAAAGATTTAGTATACTACTTTGTTTGGTACCAAGCCTTTTATCTGTTTCTGAGGTCTCATTCTTTTTCCTTTGCTTTCTCCTTCTTTTTCTCCCCCAGTTCCCCCACCCCCCCCCTTTTTTTTTTTTTTTTTTGAGACAGAGTCTCATTCTTGTCGCCCAGGCTGGAATGCAATGGCGTGATCTCGGCTCACTGCAACCTCTGCCTCCCAGGTTCAAGCGATTCTCCTGCCTCAGCTTCCCAAGTAGCTGGGATTACAGGCGCCCGCCACCACACCCGGCTAATTTTTGTATTTTTAGTAGAGATGGGGTTTCACCATGTTGGCCAGGCTGGTCTCGAACTCCTGACCTCCAGTGATCTGCCTGCCTCAGCCTTCCAAAGTGCTGGGATTACAGGCATGAGCCACCACACCTGGCTCTTCTTTTTTTTTTTTTTTTTTTTTTTGAGACAGAGTTTTACTCTGTCGCTCAGGCTGGAGTGCAGTGGTGCGATTTCAGCTCGCTGCAACCTCTGCTTCCCGGGTTCAACTAATTCTCCTAGGCTTCAGCCTTTTGAGTAGCTGGGATTACAGGCACCCACCACCATGCCCAGCTAATTTTCGTATTTTTAGTAGAGATGGGGTTTCACCATATTGGCCAGGCTGTTCTTGAACTCCTGACCTCAAGCGATCTACCCACCTTGGCCTCCCAAAGTGTTGGGATTATAGGAGTGAGCCACCACTCCTGGCTTCTCCCATTTTTTCACATCTATTTAGTGACTACTTGTGGTCTTTTCAGCTACATCATCTCTTTGCTAAAAGCCATCAGTGACTTAGTCTGTAGCTGCCAGCTATCACCGTACCTCCCTTCCTTTACCTCCTCAGAAACTACTCTTCCTAAAATATAAGTTGAAATCCATGGGAAAATTTCTGCTTTGATTTTTTTCTTAGACATTTTGTAGCTTTCAGTTATCATTCTGTGTGGATCATCATTCCTTTCATTAAAAAGTCGTTGTTGGCTGGGTGTGGTGGCTCACACCTGTAATCCCAGCTCTTTGGGAGGCCAAGGTGGGCAGGTCATTTGAGTCCAGGAATTTGAGACCAGCCTGGGCAACATGGAAAAACCCTGTCTCTACAAACTTTTTTTTTTTTGAGATGCAGTTTCGCTTTTGTTGCCCAGGCTGGAGTGCAGTGGCGCGATCTCAGCTCACTGCAACCTCCACCTCCCAGGTTGAAGCAATTCTCCTCCCTCAGCCTTCCAAGTAACTGGAATTATAGGAATGCACCACCACGCCCGGCTAATTTTATATTTTTAGTAGAGACAAGGTTTCTCCATGTTGGTCAGGCTGGTCTTGAACTCCCAACCTCAGGTGACCCGCCCACTTTGGCCTCCCACAGTGCTGGGATTACAGGCGTCAGCCACCGTGCCTGGCCTCTACAAACATTTTTTAAAAAATTAGCCAGTCATGATAGTGCACACCTGTAGTCCCAGCTACTCAGGAGGCCAAGGTGGGAGGATCACTTGAGCCCAGGAGGTCCAGGCTGCAGTGATCATGCAACTGCACTCCAGCTTGAGCATTAGAGTGAGACCCTATCTCCAAAAAAAAAAAAAAAAAAAAGGTCTAAGTGGGTCCTTTGTTTCCCCATGGATAAAATGAGTTAGTACCATACAGGATTATCCCATGTTGTCTTGGTTAAAAAATGTAAACTACATAGGCCGGGCACAGCGGCTCATGCCTATAATCCCAGCACTTTGGGAGGCTGAGGCAGGCATATCACAAGGTCAAGAGATCAAGACCAGCCTGGCCAACATAGCAAAACCCCATCTCTACTAAAAATACAAAAATTAGCTGGGCGTGGTAGCACACGCCTGTAATCCCAGCTACTCAGGAGGCTGAGGCAGGAGAATTGCTTGAACCTGAGAGGCAGAGGTTGCAGTGTGCCAAGATGGCACCATTGCAATCCAGCCTGGCCACGGAGCAAGACTCCGTCTCAAAAAAAAAAAAAAAATGTAAACTACATAAGCAATACTTTGTATTAGTTCATTTTGCTTTAATTATGTGGTGGAGGACACTGAATGGGATAGCCAGAATTTTTGTTTGATTGTAAGAAGTACTTTCTAATCAAATTAAATATTAAATTTCTGTAGCAGTTTGTGCTGTTAAATTATATTTGGTCTTTAATTGAAGTAAATTTTGAGGAAATGTTCTATGATTCTGAAAGATTGCTAGTTATTTTAGCTGTTGTCTACTGCCAAAGAAACCTTTTAATATCATTATTATTCGTCTGCGTTTTTATAAAAGGCCAGTACTCTGCACAGTTCGTTTCTTAGAGTTTCCATTTAAGAGAAGTAAATGAAGTATTAAAGTTGAATTTTTTGTGTCTATGAAAGTTGAAACTTTTTTTTTTTCCTATGCAATAGAGCAATGGTGAAAAGAATGAAAAATGTGAGACCAAAGAGAAAGGTAAGTGTGTACAGAAGGAGGAAGTTGTTTTAGGTTCTGACTGAGATCTTTTAATCAGAATAAGCATCAGGTTTTATACAATGAGATTCTTAGCATTGTTGTCTAATCTCTATGTAAGCTTTATCATTTTTCCTAGTCTGTACAATTATATTGAAAATGTCTGAGGTTATTTTTATGTATTTATCATGGGGGGATATTTTATGAATAATTTTAACCTTACATGTTAAACTGGTCATATGCAGTTGAAAAATGTCAAAACCAAAGCTTGTACTTGTTTTCTTTTCAACATGCAGTTTAGCAATAATGGTTAAGAGCATGGACTCTCAGAAGTCAAACTGCCGGAGTTTGAATACTGGTTCCTCCTCTCCCTTTCCGCCTGGTTTTCAGAATGTTGCTTAAACATTCTACCTTTGTTTCCTTGTCTGTAAAGTGGAGATAATAATAGTACTTATTTCATAGGGTTGTTGTCAGGGTTGAATGAGCTAATATATGTAAATTCTTAGAATACATGGTAAACTTTAAGTAGGACTTATTATCATTTATGACTAGGTTGTAGATTTAATTTTTTCTCCCCCCATCCATCCTGTGGTCAAAGACTAAATTATTTAACAGTCATTTACATCCCCCATAAAAAAAAAATCGAGGCCAGGCGCAGTGGCTCATTCCTGTAATCCCAGCACTTTGGGAGGCTCAGGAAGGAGGATTGCTTGAGCCCAGGAGTTCAAGACCAGCCTAGGTAACATGGTGAAACCCCTGTCTCTACAAAAAATACAAAAATTAGCTGGGTGTGGTGGTGGATGCCCTTAGTCCCATCTGCTCAGGAGGTTGAGGTGGGAGAATTGTTCGAGCCCGGGAGGTTGAGGCTGCAGTGAGCCACGATCACACCACTGTACTGCAGCCTATGACAGTGAGACCCTGTCTCAAATCCAAACCAGTAATATGGAAATTATCCATAGGTGGCGTTGATGCTCTAGTGACAAATATGTGACCTAAACAAGACTTTGGAATTCCTCTTCATCTGCTAGAGACGTTTTCCTCTCTCAGAAAAGGTTTACCTTGTCTACAGCCATACCACCTAACGCGCCCGATCTCGGGAGCGAAGCAGGGTCAGGCCTGGTTAGTACTTGGATCAGAGAAAAGGTTGAACTTAAACATAATTATAGGTAACAGTAAAATAAATTCTCTACTTAAAATATTGCCATACAACAATTACAAAAGTAAACTGAGTGTGCTATAAGGTACTTCCCTAAAAGCTGTTACTGATTCATTCCAAGATTAGTTTTTATGCATTTGTTCCTTTGTATGTCATCCTGCTTAAATGTTGTCCTTCTCAGTGGTTTGTTAACAACTTTTTTAGTCTGTTTTGTTAGCATACACTTGATGGCTAGAGATGGAAGGAGGACGATTGTTAGCAGCTATAGGTCTTTTAGCATAGGAGCTACTGAGACTACTTTTCTTCTCACAGCTCACTGCTGAAACAGCTTATTATATAATCTCAACTCTCTTGTAGTGCCTTTTAATCTTTCACTTCAGTAGAGCTAAGGAAAAATAGTAACATAGGGAATATTTATTTTGACAGATTGCTGCCCTCCCCCAAAAGTAAATAAATTAAATATTGCATTAGCTTTACTTAGTTTCCTTTTTGTTAGCCTTCTTAGAAAACAAAATAATCTTTTTTCCTTCTGGCTGGGAGCTAACAAATGAACATCAAGTAGAATGACAATTGGCAAATTTTTCTTAAAGGGATAGATGGTAAACATTTTAGGCTTGGGGAACCTTATGGGCTTGGAGAGTCCTGTGGTCTCTGACACAACTATTGATCTCTGCTGTTGCAGTATGAAAAAATGTGTAAACAAACTAGTGTGGCAGTGATCCAGTAAAAACAGATGGCCATAGTTTTTCAACCTCTGATGTAGAATAGCAAGCTTTTGACTTGTTATTCTAAGAATACTTGGATATCTAAGTTTTTCAAAAAGCTACCGTAAGACTGCCATCAGAGACCTTTTGAATTTAGAACTTTTCCAGAATTTTAGAACCATAGATATTTCTTTCTTCCAGTTAGCATTTTTCTAATGTCTTAATTTTTGAAAACATACTATTTTCCTGAGACACATATATTAATGTTCTTTATTTTATGTTGGTAACAGAGTCAATACCAGGTGTAGCTGTAAACTCAACAGAAAGTTTTGATTTTTAAGTCTTTGTAAACAGAGCATCGAACTGGTTTCTTGATAAATGTTAAAAACACAAGGTCAGGTATGTGGTGGCTCACGCCTGTAATCCCAACACTTTGGGACGCCAAGGTGGGCAGATCGCTTGAGGTCAGGAGTTCCAGACCAGCCTAGTCAACATGGTGAAACCCCATCTCTACTAAAAATACAAAAATTAGCCAGGCGTGGTAACAGCCTGTGTTCCCAGCTACTCAGGAGGCTGAGGCAGGAGAATCACTTGAACCTGGGAGGTGGAGGTTGCAGTGAGCTGAGATCATGCCACTGCACTCCAGCCTGGGTTACAGAACGAGACCCTGTCTCAAGAAAAAAAACAAGTTGTATTTAATGTTAGTTTACAAGATAATAAATGGTATGATGGAGTAGTAAATATGTGGCATCCATATATATTCAGTATACTTTGCTCTTCTAGAAAAAGCGGTTTGTCCTGTGTTTTGTGATGTCAGCACATCTTGTGCTGTTTCTTGTCACTTACACTGTCTCTCTCAATTCCAAGGAGCAATCACAGCAAAGGAACTATACACAATGATGACGGATAAAAACATCAGCTTGATTATAATGGATGCTCGAAGAATGCAGGATTATCAGGATTCCTGTATTTTACATTCTCTCAGTGTTCCTGAAGAAGCCATCAGTCCAGGGTGGGTTATTGTGTAGTAAAGTAGTAAACTGTGTAGTAAGTAGTAAACTGTGGACCTTAGTAAATGTTACTACTTAGCATCCAAGCTAAATGTGATAAAGTAGTCTTTTCCTGGTAACTTTTTAAATCTTTGCCTCTTTTTATGTGTGTGGGTGGTGGGGGAGGGGAGGGGGAGGTACATTTTAGGAGCAGAGGTTTAATAGGCAAAAGAAAGAGAAAGAAGAACTGCTCTCTCACTTTTGAGAGTGAGGGGTGCCCAAGTGGGATTTCCCTAAATCTTTGCTTCTTAAAGACACACTCCACCCTTTTTGAAGGTTGAAGTTACGGATTTGCCAACTTTTGATTTGGCTGTTTTCTCCTATTGGTGGTATTTAGAATCTTATCAAAAGAGAAATGAAGTTGCCTTTTCCCTCTCTCCCCAGATGTTTGTTAACTGATTTTTCCTATTATTTTCTGTTTATAAGCATGTGAATCGTATGTACCAAATTGATTAAAATAATGAACTAATTGAATTGTTTTACATACTGAAATTCCCTATATTTACTGTGATACACGCTACACAAATACTTTGTGTGTGCTTAAGTTAAAAGAGTATAGTCTCTGATGCCAGACTCTATTCAAATAACTGTCACTTACTAGTTGCATTATTACTAGGTAGTGACCTAACATTTCTAAGCTCAGGTTTCCATCTGTAAAATGGGGATAATAGTAGAACATATCTTACAGAGGTTTCAGGAGATTTAAATGAGAAACATTATATACACATACACACTTTAGCACAGGTCCTGGCACGAGTAAGGACTTAATTTAAATTTTTTTCTTTCTTTTTTGGTAAGAAGGCCTTTAACCTATGAAATAATTTAAAGTGACTTGCATGGGTATATTGTATATTGGAAATCATGGCATAGTGGCAGAGCTAAACCTCCAGATAAAGGGCTATTTTCACTATTTCGAGCATTCTTATGCAGATCCTATTACCTCTCTTGGTCTTGGTTTAAAATTATATATTTTTAAAATTAGGTAATAAAATCTGTATAGTTCTTGGCATATTGCAGATGCTTGATAAATGTTTGACCTGAAGCGTAGAGTGCTTTGTAAATAAGCTATTTAAAAATTAGAGCTCTTAGGCCGGGCACACTGGCTCACACCTGTAATCCCAGCACTTGGGGAAGCCAAGGCAGGCGGATCACTTGAGGTCAGGAGTTCCAGACCAGCCTGGCCAACATGGTGAAACCCCATCTTTACTAAAAATACTTCAGCCAGGTGAGGTGGCGTATGCCTATAATCCCAGCTACTCGGGAGGCTGAGGCAGGAGAGTGGCATGAACCCGGGAGGCGGAGGTTGCAGTGAGCCGAGATCACGGCACTGCACTCCAGCCTGGGCTACAGAGGGAGACTCTGTCTCAAAAAAAAAAAAAAAAAAATTAGAGCTCTTTGAGGAAGACGCTGTTGAAGGTAGTGCTGAGCTGTGGTCAGCCCGCTCCTGCTCCTGCTGTACTGCTGTTGCTCTCGCAGAGGAACCGGTCGGTCAGGAAGCCGCACAGCAGCCGTGGCTTTTAAAGATGCTGGAAAAACACCCATGGAGCCGGAGATAGCAATTCACTGAATTCGAATCACTCTCTATGAGCCACAGCATAAAATCCCTGGAGAAGGTGTGTGCTGACTTGATCAGAGGAGCAAAGAAAAAGAATCTCAAAGTGAAAGGACCAGTTCAAATGCCTACTAAGACTTTGAGAATCGCTACAAGAAAAACTCCTTTTGGTGACGGTTCTAAGACATGGGATCATTTCCATATGAGAATCCACAAACAACTCATTGACTTGCACATCCTTTCTGAGATTGTTAAGCAGATTACTTCCATCAGTACTGAGCCAGGAGTTGAGGTGGAAGTCACCATTGGAGATGCTTAAGTCAACTATTTTAATAAATTGATTACTGGTTGTTAAAAATATATATATTAGAGTACTCAGTCTAATTAAACATGTGAATATATTCCCAGGATTTGAACAGACGAAGTTATAATTAGTCTTTGGGTAGTCTAGTCTGTATTAATAGAGAGCTGGTGGTCGTTATTACTGAGTTTACATGGAAGTTTCCCAAAATGTGAGATTTGGACTACTATGAAACTCAAGATGATTTTAGGTTGAAGATTAAAGAACAATGAAATGCATACTGAGAAAATTATTCTCTTTTAATTTATGTTACAGTCCTTTTGAGTTAGTTTAAAGGAGTTTCAGTTTGGTGCTAGTATATCTTTTAAATACTTGCTTATCTCTCTTAACTGAAGGGAACAGGTCTCAGAGCTTTCTGTAGGTTACAGTACCTACAACTAGCTGATAGTGATTACTGTATTTTTTCATTATCTATTTTTATTTATTTATTTTTGAGACAGGGTCTCACTCTGTGCCTGGGTTGGAGTGCAGTGGCATGATTACAGCTCACCGCAGCCTTGACCTCCTGGGTTTAGATGATCCTCTCACCTCAGCCTCCTGGGTAGCTGGGAATACAGGCACATGCCACCATGCCCAGCTGATTTTTGTATTTTTTTGTAGAGACGGGGTTTTGCCACATTGCCCAGACAGCTCTCAAACTCCTGGGCTCAAACAGTCCTCCCACCGTAGCCTCCCAGAGTGCTGGGATTATAGATGTGAGCCATTGCACCCGGCCTATCTGTTCTTAAAATTTTAAGCTTTTTATTTTATTGTATTTATTTTAATTTTTTAAATTTTAATTTAATTTATTTATTTTTATTTATTTATTTTTGAGACAGAGTCTTGCTCTGTCGCCCAGGCTGGAGTGCAATGGTGTGATCTCGGCCAACTGCAGCCTCCACCTCCCGGGTTCAAGAGATTTCTTCTGCCTCAGCCCCCTGAGTAGCTGGGATTACAGGCACGTGTCACCTTGCCCAGCTAATTTTTTAATTTTTACTAGACACTGGGTTTCACCATGTTGGCCAGGCTGGTCTCGAACTCCTGACCTCAAATGATCCACCTGCCTTGGCCTCCCAAAGTGCTGGGATTACAGGTGTGAGCCACTGTACCTGGCCTTTTTTTTTTTTTTTTTTGAGACAGGGTCTTGCTGTGTTGCTCAGGCTGGAGTGCAGTTGTACAATCTTGGCTCACTGCAACCTCTGCCTTCTGGGTTCAATTGATCCTCATGTCTCATGTCTCAGCCTCCCAAGTGGCTGGGATTATAGGTGTGCGCCACCACACCCGGCTAATTTTTGTATTTTTAGTAGACACAGGGTTTCACTATGTTGGCCAGGCTGGTCTTGAACTCCTGGCCTCAAGTGATCCACCGGCATCGGCTTCCCAAAGTGCTGGGATTACAGGTGTGAGCCACGGTGCCCAGCCTATTTCTTTTTTAAACTTTTATTTTAGGTTTGGTGGTACATGTGAAGGTTTGTTACATAGGTAAACGTTTTCACGGGGGTTTGTTGTACATACATATTTTATCACCGAGGTATTAAGCTCAGTACCCAATAGTTATCTTTTCTGCTCCTCTCCCTCCTCTTACACTCCCCCCTCAAGTAGACCCCAGTGTCTGTTGTTTCCTTCTTTGTGTTCATAAGTTCTTACCGTTTAGCTCCCATATTCTTAACTTTTAATACATTATAGTATATATACCGAAGTACTCCTGTCTTAAGTGTCTAGCCCAATGAATTTTCATTAACTGAATGCACCCACTTAATTGGCATCCAGACCAAGAAACAATGTTATCATCCCCCCTGAACCCGATATACCCCCTGTAAGTTACTACCCGTATCCCACTGCCCAAGGAAACCACCAGTTTCTGACAGAATATATTCTTTTTGTCTGCTTTTGTACTTTATATAAATGGAATTTATAATATGTAGTCTTTTATATCTGTCTTCTATACCCAACCTGTGTTTGTGACAGTCATCTTTGTTATTGTGTGTAGTTGTAGTTTGTTCATTCTCATTGCCATATGATGTTCTGTTGTGTGAATATAGCGCAATTTACTTAAATATTTTATTTATCTTCAGACATACCTTTTACTTACTGGATATGATTTCGTTTTTTCATGTATTTAGGGCTATACAATTTCCTATTAAATTTATTTAAGTAAAAAATTATTTTTAATTAAATTAATTAAATTTAATAAAAGACAAGTAGAGCAGAGTTGGAGCAGATTGTGAAGATGGTACATAAAAGACAGAAGTTTGAGAAATGTTGGCTGATACTGTTGTTTCCCAAAGTGTTTTCTGTAGAATACTAATCCTGAAAACAGTATTTAGGTAAATATACCCCTAGGGTTGGAAATAGTCTTTAAGAATATCACATTTTATTTTTTTTCCTTCTTTGTTGACCAAGCATCCTTCTGATCTGTGTACATCAGGAGAGGATATTAGTAGACAATATTTTATATTTCTTCTACTTCTTTACTTCCTGGAAGATACAGTAACCAACATTATTATATAGGAACTGGATTTCAAAATTAAAATGATCTTATTTGGTTTTACTTGTGGATAAAAGTTGTACCAGTCCGGCCCAGCTTGCCAGTATCATCAGTTAAATATTGAAATGCCACGATATACTAAGTGCTTTGCTAAGAATAATATGGAGCTCCTTACCCAGAGGTGTAAATCTGTATTATTCACTCATTCAATTATTAAATCCAATTTTTTTTTTTTTTTTTTTGAGACAGAGTCTCGCTCTTCACCCAGGCTGGAGTGCAGTGGCGTGATCTCGGCTCACTGCAACCCCCACCTCCCAGGTTCAAGCTATTCTCCTGCCTCAGCCTCCTGAGTAGCTGAGACTCCAGTCATGCACCACCACTTCCAGCTAATTTTTGTATTTTTAATTAGAGACAGGGTTTCGCCATGTTGGCCAGGCTGGTCTCGAACTCCTGACCTCAAGGGATCAGCCAGCCTTGGCCTCCCAAAGGGCTGGGATTACAGGTGTGAGCCACCGCGTCCAGCTGATTAAACCAATATTCACTGAACACTTTCTGTGGGCTGGGTTACTGTGTTCTAAGTGCTGGGCTAAGCCATTGAACAAACAAAAAATTGTCTTTGGAGCTTTTAACAGAGAGGTGAGATAGGTAAGACGTACAATAAAAGCTTGAAATGTTTAGTTTGTCTTATGTTGAGTGCCTTGGAAATGGGAATATCATGTGTGCGTGTGCATGTGTGTGTGTTTAGAAAGGCCTCACAGAGAAGTTATTAGCAAATCTTGAAGAAATAAGGGAAATGAGTGATGCAGCTATCTGAGGGAAGCAGATTCCAGACAGGGAAAAAGCCAGAGCAGAGGCCCTTAGGGAAGAGCATGCCTGGATGAACCAGGAATAACAAGCCAGTGGCTGGAGCGAGTGAAGGGGGCCAGTAGTTAGAGATGAGGACATTGAGGCTTGAGGGTGTATGTCTGTGGCAGGCCATTGTGAGGACTTTAGCTTTTTTTTTTTTTTTTTTGAGACAGAGTCTTGCTTTGTCGCCCAGGCTGGAGTGCAGTGGCATGATCTTGGCTCACTGCAGCCTCCGCCTCCCAGGTTCAAGCAATTCTGCCTCAGCCTCCTCAGTAGCTGGGATTACAGGCGCCTGCCACCATGCCCGGCTAATTTTTGTATTTAGTAGAGATGGGGTTTTACCATGTTGGCCAGGCTGGTCTTGAACTCCTGACCTCAGGTGATCCACCCGCCTCAGCCTCCCAAAGTGCTGGGATTACAGGCATGAGCCACCATGCCCAGCCGGACTTTAGTTTTTATGTGAGCAAACGATGATGTGAACATTGTGCTTTAATGGAGAGTTGGTGTTATTCACAGTTGACGGTTTTAAGAGGCAGCATAGCAAAGAACATGTACATGAGCCAGATTGCCTGAATTTTAATTCTGGCTCCACTTACCTTGAGCGAGTCACTTAATCTGTTCGTGCCTCAGTTTCCCCAAAATAGAAATAATAATGTTCGTCTTACAGGATTGTTGTGAAGACTCAATGAGTTCAATGAGAATAAAGCATTTAGAACAGTATCTGGCACATGGTAAATGCTATATGTGTTTGTTGAATAAACATCCTGGTATATGGTGGACTATTAATTATATAGGTATAAGAGAACTGAAATATGAATAATACTACCCAGGTGATTCCCCAGTTTATATTTGGCTGAAAGAGGAGCTCAGATAATTTTCTCTGTTTTCAGTTTTGCTCCCCCCTTGACTTTTTTTAAAAGGTCAGAATGAAAAGAATTCAGTCTTCTTTTATAGTCTCTAATAACTACTAAAACTATGTTCCAATATTATACAGTAGTGAAGGGGTTAAACATGTTAGGCTGTTTAATATCTTAATATATAACCTCACCTTAGAAAGGAATCTACTTAAAATTTGCTATGGTGTGGTAAAGACTGTGGAACAAAACTGAGTGTCTTCTGTTAGTATATTAGGACCTCTTGTTGACTTTTGCCCCAATTTAAATATTAATACATTTCAGAGTCACTGCTAGTTGGATTGAAGCACACCTGCCAGATGATTCTAAAGACACATGGAAGAAGAGGGGGAATGTGGAGTATGTGGTACTTCTTGACTGGTTTAGTTCTGCCAAAGATTTACAGATTGGAACAACTCTCCGGAGTCTGAAAGATGCACTTTTCAAGGTTTGCAAGTTTCATTGTTAGTTTATTGTAATTGCAGGGCATCTCTGGTTGTTAGAAAGGCATGTTAACTAGTTGTTTATCTTAAATACTAAAAGATTCATCATGCCTTTTTTTTTTTTTTTTGAGACTGAGTCTCACTCTGTTGCCCAAGCTAGAGTACAGTGGCGTGATCTCAGCTCACTGCAACCTCCGCGTCCCAGGTTCAAGCGATTCTCCTGCCTCAGCCTCCTGAGTAGCTGGGACTGCAGGCGTGAGCCACCACACCAGGCTAATTTTTGTATTTTTAGAAGAGAGGGGGTTTCACCATGTTGGCCAGGCTGGTCTCGAACTCCTGACCTCAGTTGATCCACCTGCCTTGGCATCCCAAAGTGCTGGGATTACAGGCTTGAGCAGCTGCGCCCAGCCCATCATGCTTTGATTGTAGAATTTTTTATAAATTCAGGTTTAAAAGATTTGTTTTGGCTGGGTGTGGTAAAATTAAAACTTAGGTGGAAAAAGATCTTATAAGATTACAAGATGGCCAGGCGCGGTGGCTCAAGCCTGTAACCCCAGCACTTTGGGAGGCTGAGGTGGGTGGATCACGAGGTCAGGAGATCGAGACCATCCTGGCTAACACAGTGAAACCCCATCTCTACTAAAAATTACAAAAAAATTAGCCGGGCGCAGTGGCGGGGGCCTGTAGTCCCAGCTACTCGGGAGGCTGAGGCAGGAGAATGGCAGGAACCCGGGAGGCAGAGTTTGCAGTGAGCAGAGATCGCACCACTGCACTCCAGCCTGGGAGACAGAGCGAGACTCTGTCTGGAAAAAAAAAAAAAAAAAATATTGCAAGGCAGGGCCAGGCGTGGTGGCCCATGCCTGTAATCCCAACACTTTGGGAAGCTGAGGCGGGCAGATCACCTGAGGTCAGGAGTTCAAGACCAGCTTGACCAACATGCAGAAACCTCGTCTCTGCTAAAAACAAAAAATTAGTCGGGCATGGTGGTGTGCACCTGTAATCCCAGCTACTCAGAAGGCTGAGGTAGGAGAATCGATTGAACCCGGGAGGTGGAGGTTGCGGTCAGCCAAGATCACACCATTGCACTCCAGCCTGGGCAGCAAGAGCAGAACTGTGTCTTACACACACACAAAAAAAGATTACAAGGCAGAAGACAGGCAGAAATATTTACAACACATATGGCAGTGGTTTAAAATACCTAAAATCCAAAGAGCTTCTACAAATAAGAAAAATACTTAAGATAAAATAGTAAAATAAGTCGTGGGCACAGATAGCCATGAACAGAAAGTGAAATGCAAGTGGACGTAACCATAAAAATGGCAACTTTACTAGTATCAGATAAATGCATATTAAAACGAGTGCCATTTTCACTGATCAAGTTAACAAAGGTTTAAAAAATAATACGGTTGTCCTCAGTATTTGTGGGGGATTGATGCTAGGACCCCCCACAAATAACAAAATCCATGGATATTCAAGTTTCTTACATAAAATGGTATAGTATTTGCATATAAACTACACATATTCTCTCATGTAATTTAAATCTTCTGTAGATTCCTTATAATAACTAATAAAAAGTAAGTGCTTTGTAAATAGTTGTTATACCATATTGTTTGGAGAATAGTGACAAGAAAAAAGTCTGTACATGCTCAGTACAGACATAACCATCATAGGCCTAACTATATATTTTTTAAATTTATTTGTTTTAATTTTAATTTTTATTTTTTTAAGAGACAAGGTTTTTCTCAGTCACCTAGACTTGAGTGCAGTGGCACAATCATAGCTCACTGCAGCCTTGAACTCCTGGCTCAAGTGATCCTACTGCCTCAGCCTCCTGAGTAGCTGGGACTACAGGTACGCACCATGCCTGGCTAATTTTTTAAAATTTTCTAGTAGAGACAAGGTATTGCTATGTTGCCCAGGCTAGTCTCAAACTCCTGGCCTCAAGCATTCCTCCCACCTTGGCCACCCAAAGTGTTGGGATTACAGGCGTGCACCACTGTGTTGGGCATCTAAGTATATATATATATATATTTTTTTAATTTAATTTAATTTTATTTATTTCGAGATGGAGTCTCACTCTGTCACCCAGGCTGGAGTGCAGTGGTGCAATCTTGGCCCACTGCAACCTCTGCCTCCCAGGTTCAAGCAATTCTCCTGCCTCGTCCTTTCCAAGTAGCTGGGATTACAGGCGCCCACCATCATGCACAGCTAATTTTTTACTTACTGTTTTTTGAAGACATATCTTACTCTGTTGCCCAGGCCAAAGTGCAGTGGTGCCTTCTCAGCTCACTGCAGCCTTGACATCCTGTGCTCAGGTAGTCCTCCCAACTCAGCCTCCTGAGTAGCTGAGGCGTGCGTCACCATCCTAGCTAATTTTATTTTATTTTATTTTTGTAGAGATGAGATTTCACTATGTTGCCCAGGCTGGTCTCAAAACTCCTGGGCTCAAACAAACTCCTGCCTCAGCCTCCCACAGTGCTGGTATTACAGGTGTGAGCCACCACACCCAGTCAATTTGTTAAATTATTAACAATGATAGCACTGAATGCTGGTGAGCATGTGGTGAGAAGAAAACTCATTCTGCTGGTAGGAGGGTCAGCTGATTGCCGTTGAGAAAGTCGGTCTTAAAAGCCTTAGAACAATTCATGCTATGACATAGGGAACCCAGAAATATACCTAAGTATGGGACAATTATATGAAACTGCCAGTATTCAACTGGCATTGACCTACAAATGGCAGTTTGGCAGTTTCATAAAGTTCAAACTAAGATATGTGAATGATTAGTGTATGATAAAGGTGACATAAATCAATGAAGAAAAGATGGATTGAAATGAATGGTTTGGGGACAACTGCCCAGCCAGTAAATAAAAGAGAATGGATCCCTACCTTATTTCTTAGACCAAGCTACATCTCAAATGAATAGACGATATAAATGTATAGATTGAAACAGCGAACTATTAGGAGAAAGCATTGGTATTTTTTAGTACCTTGATGTCAAATCAAGATGTCATAAAGGAAAATGAAGACTGTGTTTATGGCTGGCCGCGGTGGCTCACACCTGTGATCCCAGCACTTTGGGAGGCTGAGGCAGGTGGATCACTTGAGGTCAGAAGTTGGAGACCAGCCTGGCCAACATGGCGAAACCCCATCTCTACTAAAATTACAAAAATTTGCCGGGCATGATGGCGGGCGCCTGTGATCCCAGGTACTGAGGAGGCTGAGGCAGGAGAATTGCTGGAACCCAGTGGGCAGAGGTTGCAATGAGCCGAGATCGCACCACTTCACTCCAGCCTGGGCAAAAGAACAAAAGTCCATCTCAAAAAGAAAAGACATTTAACTATGTTTAAAAAACAAAAACATAAAGTAAAAATCAGGAAAAATGTTTGCAATATATATGACAAAGACCTGTTTTCCCTAATATTCAGAGTACATTCACTGTTTACTAAAAAAATTGCAAATAACTATAGAAAAAGGGGCAAAGGATACAATTATTAAATAGTTAAGTCATAGAACAATATAAATCCATAGTAAATAAATGAAAAAATGTCCAACTTCACCAATAAAGAAATGCTTATTAAAACAAGATACCATTTTATGTTCATCAGTTTTGTAAAAATTATAAAGATGTATAATGGGCATTCTCATATCCTGTTGGTTAAGTGTATAAATTGGTATAGCCTTTCTGAAGGGCAACTGGGCATCATATTAAACCAGCAATTCTACTCCTAGGTAATTATCCTAAAGAAATACATATATATACATGTATATATACACACACATATATGTACACACACACATATATATATATTTATTTACTTATTTATTTTTCGAGATGAAGTCTCACTCTTATCCCCCAGGCTGGAGTGCAGTGGCGCTATCTTGGCTCACTGCAACCTCCGCCTCTCGGGTTCAAGCGATTCTCTTGCCTCAGCCTCCCAAGTAGCTGGGATTATAGGCGCCTGCCACCACGCCTGGCTAATTTTTGTATGTTTAGTAGAGACGGGGTTTCACCATGTTGGTCAGGCTGGTCTCGAACTCCTGACCTCAGGTGATCCTCCCGCCTCGGCCTTCCAAAGTGCTGGGATTACAGGCATGAGCCACCGTGCCCGACCAATATATTTATATATATTTTTAAGTGATCATTTCTAAGATTAGCAATATATTGAAAACCTTAAAATGTTCGTGTACCTTAGCTTAAGCAACTCCCTTTCTGGGAGTTTTCCTTAAGGAGGTGACTAGGTATGTGCATGTATAAGGATCTTTTGTGTTTATTTCAGCATTGCTTATAATTAAATGGGGAAAAAACCCAAATGTTCAAACGATTGACTCAGTTTTGGGGTCTGTGTATAAAGTAGAATAGGCCATGTGCAGCGGCTCACGCCTATAAATCCCAGCACTTTGGGCTGAGCCAGGTCGATCACTTAAGCCCAGGAGTTCGAGACCAGCCTGGGCAACATGGCGAAACCCCAGCTCACGAAAAGTACAAAAATTAGCTGGCCGTGTTGGCGCGTGCTTGTAAGTCCCAGCTACTGGGAAGGCTGAGGTGGGAGGATCAATAGAGCCCAAGAGGTCAAGGCTGCAGTGAGTCGTGATTATGCCGTTGCATTCCAACTTGGGTGATAGAGTGAGACCTTGTCAATCAGTCAACCAGTAGTCGAATATTACCTAGCATTGCAAATGATGATATAGCTCTATAGTGATGAAAGATGTTCATAGAAAAGCAACATCATAAAGGTTTTATTGAAAACTCTCTATAAGAGTAAACTCCAGAATGTAAAGTGGTATTGGGGTGGTGAGGTTATGGGTCATTTTTGTTTTATATTTAGTAATTTATTTTCTAATTTTTCTTCTAAGATCATTGATTATTTGTATGGTTTTTAAAACCTCACCTATATAACCATTTCATTTAATGTTGAATTTTGAATTCAGTTCTCATTTTGTCATTATTTAGAAGATAAATTTTGTCCTTAAGGGAACAACTTTAAAATTTAGATTTGTTGTGTTTTTAGCTGTTGAAAGATTGCTGCCCTATTTAAAATATGATTTCCTTATTTATAGTGGGAAAGTAAAACTGTCCTGCGCAATGAGCCTTTGGTTTTAGAGGGAGGCTATGAAAACTGGCTCCTTTGTTATCCCCAGTATACAACAAATGCTAAGGTCACTCCACCCCCACGACGCCAGAATGAAGAGGTGTCTATCTCATGTATGTATGTGAAAATTTTTGTTTAAAATTGCTTTGGTAAAATATGGTTTAAAATTGTTTTCCCGGTAACATTCTTGGTTGTGTGTGTATTTGTCCTATTAGAGAGCAGTTTGTTTTCAGGCATAAAAATATAAGCCTGGAAGTTCACATTTTCTTTAAGACTGTTGTAATTGTTTTTTCACTTAGTTTACATTTAATTACTGCATTAACACGCATGAGAAATGTAAGTACTGTGTATGGGGTTTGCTATTCTAAAAAACATTTTTATTTTTGGAATTTTAGTGGATTTTACTTATCCCTCATTGGAAGAATCAATTCCTTCTAAACCTGCTGCCCAGACGCCACCTGCATCTATAGAAGTAGATGAAAATATAGAATTGATAAGTGGTCAAAATGAGAGAATGGGACCACTGAATATATCAACTCCAGTTGAACCAGTTGCTGCTTCTAAATCTGATGTTTCACCCATAATTCAGCCAGTGCCTAGTATAAAGAATGTTCCACAGGTATGTTCTTGATTTTAACATTATTCTCGCTTTTGTTTTAATATTAAATATATAGTATAGCTGGGCACAGTGCCTCACGCCTGTAATCCCAGCACTTTGGGAGGCTGAGAGGGGCAGATCACCTGAGGTCAGGAGTTTGAGACCAACCTGGCCAACATGGTGAAACCCCCCTCTCTACTAATAATACAAAAATTAGCTGGGCATGGTGGTGGGTGCCTATAAATCCAGCTGTTTGGGAGGCTGAGGCATGAGAATTGTCTGAACCCAGGAAGCGGAGGTTGCAGTGAGTCGAGATTGCACCACTGCACCCCAGCCTGGGTGACAGCAAGACTCTGTCTCAAAAAAAAAAAAAAGAATTAAATACATAGTATAGAAACGAAGTTTAATATATAACCTTTAACATCTTAGAAAAAAGTATCGATGAGAACAGTCTGTATGTTTTGATAAATTTTTTGTTTAAAAATTTTTCATCATAATTCAGCATTACCGCCACGCCTATATTAGAGTAGATAATTAAGGGGTTTCCAAGCCAGTTGGCGATCCATTTGCTACAAACAATGCCAATGAAAGATTGCATTATCACAGTGAATTAGAATAGCCCTTTTGGGATTTTTTGTATTATAATTTGACCCATATTATTTTCATAAATAGCTTGGCTTACATATGATAGGTATGTGATGTCAGTATTTTGGTTTTAAAACAGTGCTTTAGTTTCATTTCCTTAGAATTTGACACGCAAATAACAGGCATGTTTAACAATAATCATGTAAAAGTTTTTAAATAACCAAGACATTACAAATAAAAAAATTTTAGTTTTTATATCCTTCATTTGGCTTTATTTAAAGAAAGGTTAACTAATGTTCCCCCTCCATGCATTTCCCAATAACATTTTTTAGCATTCATTTTTAATTTTTTCCCCAGATATATTTAAAACAGTATTTCACATTTAAAGTGGATGACGTTTGATTTGTGGAGCAGGTATTGAATAGAAAATCTGGTAATTTTTTGTTATAAACTGAAGTGGTTCATTTCTTCATTTTTTTAAGGTCTTTTAGTATTGCAGAATAAATTGCAGACTAAATAGATGTGATTAAACAACTTTTCTTAAAGGGTGAATTTAGGAAAGTCTAAAAAGAGCTTCTCTATGTTATTGCATTTCCTTTCAACTTAATCTATTTAAACGCTAATCCTTTTGTGTCCCAACATAACTTTATGAGATACGTACAATTTTCAGACATATTTTGAAGATCTTCTATATAAAAAACAGCATGAGGGCTGGGTGCCATGGCTCGTGCCTGTAATCCCAACACTTTAGGAGGCGGAGGCAGGTGGGTCACCTGAGGTCAGGAGTTCCAGACCAGCCTGGTCAACATGGTGAAACCCCATCTCTACTGAAAATACCAAAATTAGCCAGGCGTGGTGGTGCGTGCCTGCAGTCCCAGCTACTCAGGAGGCTGAGGCAGGAGAATCACATGAACCCAGGAAGCAGAGTTGTAGTGAGCCGAGATCAGGCCACTGCACTCCAGCCTGGGTGAGAGTGAGACTCTGTCTCAAAAAAAAATAAAAATAAAAATAAGACAGCATGAAAGTTTGTATATACAAGAGATGGGTTCTTCTGATGTTTGGAAGGAGAGATCTGTATAAAATCAGCCACAGCATAAGGCAGAATATCATAATTGCTCTACAAGGCACTGGAGCACAGAGCAAGGAGAATATTCTAGCTGAGAAGATCAAGGACGTCTTCATGGAGGAGACAGTATTTTATCTGGGCTTTAAGAGTAGGATTGGAGGATAGAAGAAACAAGTAGAAAATTCTATGACCAAAGGCATAGGGCATGCTCTGGGGCCAGTGAACAGTTTTGGCATATGTGGGCGCTAGTCTCTGTTGGAGAGAGGAAGTTATGATAGTAGATAAGATTAGAAGGATGGACAAGAGTCATCAAGAGAGACTTGGATCAAATTTGAATTTTGTCCTGTAGGCACAAGGAACCATTAAAGAATTTTAAACTTGAGAGTAACATGATCATAACTATACTTTTAAAATTAGGGAAAAATAGATCAAGCCACCAAAATGTAAATGGAAACAACATTTATTTTTGTTTCTGTTCCACCTCTTATTGTTAACCTCATCCCCATAGTGGTTCTTCCTACTTTATTCTCAAATACATGCAAAAAAAAAGACAAAGGATTTTTTTTAAGAGGCAGAAAGAGAAGTGAACAGGAAAAAAATTATTTTTTCTACACTAACCTCGTTTTCTTTTTCTTTTCTTTTTTTTTTGAAAACGGTCTCACTCTCTCACCCAGGCTGGAGTGCAGTGGCGTGATCACAGCTCACTGCAGCCTCGACTTCCTGGGTTCAAGCAATCCTCCCACCTCAGCCTCCTGAGTAGCTGGGATTATAGGCACATGCCACCACGCCCAGCTAATTTTTGTATTTTTTTTGTAGAGATGGGGTTTTGCCATGTTGCCCAGGCTGGTCTCGAACTCCTGGCCTCAAGTGATCTATCCGGCTCGGCCTCCCAAAGTGCTGGTATTACAGGCGTGAGTCACTGCGCCTGGCAACTTCTTTTATTTTCTAGTAGAAAAACATAAATTCGTTTTGTAAGAACACTATGTAGATTGTTATTGGCACATGTTCTTATAAGTTTTTATTTTTCTTTCAGTACACAGTATTCTCAAGAAATGATGTTAGGGTCACTTCTCTAGTGTTAACATGCTGTTAAATTGAGGTAATAAACATTTAACTCATTAAATCAGGAACTTAGGTAGTTTATTACACAACCTGAAGGAAACTAGTTAGTATTTTACCTCATGTAAAAGTTTTTAGGGAAGATTGCATTTGTTCCCTCAGTAACATAGTTACTAACTGTGCCAGGCACAGTCTTTATCCTTTTAGAGCTTATATTCTAGGAGGGAAGAAAAATTTTAAATAAGTAATTATAGTTATTTGATCAGAATTCCGGTAGAGAAGAATAAAGTATTATAAGAGCATGTATCAGGGGACTTGGCTAGTTCTAGGAACCAGGGAAGTCTTTTCAGAGGGAGAGATGTGTAAGCCAAGACCTAATGTGGGCATTATCTAGATGAACAGCTGATAGACCTAAGTTGGGAAGGAGCATGGCATCTTGGAATAATTTTTTTTTTAAGGCAAGTATAGCTGGTATACACAGCCATATGACTGGAGAGGTAGGCAGATGTAAGACCATACAGGGCATTACAGACTATGGTAAAGATTTTAGGTGTACTGAGAGCATAGTGGGTAGCAAATCAAATTTGTTTTAAAATGAGTCCTCTGGCTATAATGTGGAGAAACAGATTGGGGGGCGGGGGCAAGAGAAGAGATGGGCAACTAGTTGAAAGCTATGCTGTAGTCCTGGTGAGAGAGGAGGTTGACATGGTCTTAGCCTGTGGTAGAAGAGATGGAGGGACAGATATAGGAGGAAAATTAACAGCGTGCAGAAGGATATGGGAAGAACATATCATGGGACTCAGGTTTTTGATTTGTGCAACTATTGGGAGAGTGAGAGTGGTTACATCCATGAGATTAGGACCATGTTTGTCGGGGTGGGGGGAATCGTGAATCCGTTTTGGCTGTATGGGGTTTGAGATACATGTGTTGACACTCAAATGGAAATATTGGGTAGGCATTTGGATACCTGGAAGTGGAACTTAAGTCTAAGTATGCCCAGGTCTAGGTTTTATGTTTTAGAATAAAGACATTTTTAACTCTTTTGTATACAAAACACTCAGGAAGAATTGAAAGTGTTGAATCAAGAGGATGTAAGTTCCAGTGATGTTTGAATATCTACCATTCAAGTTCTGTTTTATGAGAAATCTTGACACTGAGTAATTAACAAATAGATGTGCTGATAGATGTTGTCTCCACAAAGTGACACTTCTTTTATCACAACTTGATCTCAAGAACTGAGGTTATTTCCTGATTTTTGACAAAAATGTTTTGCTCTGGTTTTGTTGCTCTAGATTGATCGTACTAAAAAACCAGCAGTCAAATTGCCTGAAGAGCATAGAATAAAATCTGAAAGTACAAACCATGAGCAACAATCTCCTCAGAGTGGAAAAGTTATTCCTGATCGTTCCACCAAGCCAGTAGTTTTTTCTCCAACTCTCATGTTAACAGATGAAGAAAAGGCTCGTATTCATGCAGAAACTGCTCTTCTAATGGAAAAAAACAAACAAGAAAAAGAACTTCGGGAAAGGCAGCAAGAGGAACAGAAAGAGAAACTGAGGAAGGAAGAACAAGAACAAAAAGCCAAAAAGAAACAAGAAGCTGAAGAAAATGAAATTACAGAGAAGCAACAAAAAGCAAAAGAAGAAATGGAGAAGAAAGAAAGTGAACAGGCCAAGAAAGAAGATAAAGAAACCTCAGCAAAGAGGGGCAAAGAAATAACAGGAGTAAAAAGACAAAGTAAAAGTGAACATGAAACTTCTGATGCCAAGAAATCTGTAGAAGATAGGGGGAAAAGGTGTCCAACCCCAGAAATACAGAAAAAGTCAACAGGAGATGTGCCCCATACATCTGTGACAGGGGATTCAGGTTCAGGCAAGGTAAGCAGAAACAGTACAAATTGCCAACGAAGTGAAAGAAAATGTATATGAAAATGTGAAAACACCAGTGGCATTCCATAAAAGGGCAGGCATTTCAAATAGTCTTTTCAGGGGTGATAGAATGTACTGATCTATCCACATTTGCTCATCTATTCTCCTTTGAGGCCAGTGCCATACATTTATGAAATGATTGGTTGGGAATGAAATTGCTTTTTGTATATTACATCTATAAAATGCAATATATTTCAAATAATTGAGATAAATAGCTACATTCTTCATTTTTATGTTTGATGTATGATCATGGGAAGACTAGAGTGAAATATAATCTCCTTCTCAGTATGGGGAAACTAGATGCTAATATTTGTATGATAGAATTTATATCTGTTTAGAATATATCCAAAATCAGTGACATCTAAATGGCCTAACATTTATCTTTGCATATAGTGATTTTTTGGTCAGATCGGTGTCATTTTGTTTCTTGCTTTATCTATTTAAATAATATTGGCAAATAACCCAATTAATTTTGCCCTTGGCTACACACCCAAAATTGATAGCCGTAATTTTAGGGGACTTTTTTTGTTATTCTTTTTCAATCTCTAATAATGCTATGCTTTTCTTTTTTTCTTCATTATGTCATTAACAATGCCTTTTCCTTTTGAACACCAAGTATATGTTTATAATACCAAGAACAGTTATGGTCCTTTTTACATATGTATAAATGGAAAAAACATTTTTAGTAGTGTGGAAATGACTTCTAATGGAAGGCGGGATACCATCTTTACAGAATGTCAATTTCTATACTTCTCAAACACAATTCAGGCATGTTACCAAAATTAATTCATAGTCAAGCTGCTCTTATCCAGGGAACACTTATCTGGTAACCTCTGCTATTAAAAAAGATAGCTTCCATCCAAAAACCTTCTAAACACCCCAAATTGGGGATATGAAGCCCATGTACTAAAACTCTCTAATTTTATTCACAGGAGGAGCAAAACATGTGCACTCCAAGATACAATTTAAGTATTATTCATTGAGTAGCTACTATATGCCAAGTATTTTCACTGCATTGTCTTATTTACCCCTAATGATAACCCCATAAGGTATTTAATTTACAAGTGAAACTGAAGTTTAGAGGTTAAGTATTTGCCTAGGATCACATAGACAGTGAGATTCCAAAGCCACTTCTTTTCCATCTTGCTATACTAGAGGCATGCAGTCTTTAGAACTTAAATCATTCATATTTGTGGAGTCATTTAGTATATAGGTGCCAAATATTCCTACACATCTAAGATTGCATTCTTTGTGTGCTCCTTTTAAAAGTAGGAGAAATATGTAATTTATTCTAGAATAAATTTTGTTAAAATTATCACTAATTTTAAAAAGTTTTTAGTAGAGTTATTTTAAAATAAGATATAAAACAAAAATGAGTTTTTAAAAAGAATCTACGGGCCGGGCGCGTTGGCCCACGCCTATAATCCCAGCACTTTGGGAGGCCTAGACGAGCGGATCACTTGGTCAGGAGATCAAGATGATCCTGGCTAACACGGTAAAACCCTGTCTCCACTAAAAATATAAAAAATTAGCCAGGTGTGGTGGCGGGCGCCTGTAGTCCCAGCTGCTTGGGAGGCTGAAGCAGGAGAATCACTTGAACCCATGAGGCAGAGGTTGCAGTGAGCCAAGATCGTGCCACTGCACTCCAGCCTGGGTGACAGAGCGAGACTCGGTCTCCAAAAAAAAAAAAAGAATCTGTGATGTTATAAGAAGATATGAATATAGATTTTTGCATTTTTTACTATTGGTCTGTATCTTAATTTCTTCTTTCTCTTGAATACTTCAAATTTTTTGAAGCACAACTCCTTTCAAGATAACCAAAATCGTAATAGTATTTAAATAAAAGAATAATGTTCAAATTAGGTCATGGTGAATATACATTAATGATCAGCATTTTATACTTGGCCATGTAGTGTGAACCAGTGCTTCACAGTCCACTTTGATTTTCATCTTTTTTTTTTCTTCACTGATTCATCAGAGTTCTTTAGTTTTTTAAGTATTTTGAATGTGACAGTAAAATATAATAAAATTTTCAGAGGCCTTTTTTTTCTCCTTTTACATTTTCATTCTCATAGATTCGGTTGTGTTAGCTAGTAGCTTTATGTTGGGAGGAGAATTAAAGTTTTCTTTCACTTCTGTAATTTTAATAATTTTACAGCCATTTAAGATTAAAGGACAACCAGAAAGTGGAATTCTAAGGACAGGAACTTTTAGAGAGGATACAGACGATACCGAAAGAAATAAAGTAAGTAGTTTATTGCAGGAAAAAACTGGAAAAAAAAGCCAAACATGGATTATAACTATGTGATTATCTTACCACACTGCTATCTTTTATCATGAGATCTACAGTGTAAGGGGATCGTTGCCATCTTTGGTAGCTGGTGTTTTGCTTGTTTTTGCATGATCAATCCATTTATATGCTAAAGGAAATAGTTTGTCTTCCTGTTTAAAGTGTGACAGCGTATTCTATTTATTTTATGAAAGTAAAAAATGTTTAGGCCTTACCATATGATCCAGCAATTCTACTTCAGGGTATATACCCAAAAGAATTGCAAACAAGAAGTATTTGTACACCCATGTTCTTAGAGTATTATTCATAATAGCCAAAAAATGGAAGCAACCCAAATGTCCATCAGCAGGTGAATGCATAAACAAATATGGTATGTACATGTAATGGAATATTATTCAGCCTTAAAAAGGAAAGAAATTCTGACACGTTACAACATGGATGAATCTTGAGGTCATTTGCTAAGTGAAATAAGCCAGTTTCAGGATAAATACTGAATGATTCCATTTCTATGAGGTTTGTAAAGTAGGCAAATGTATAGAGACAGAAAGTAGAATGGTGGTTGTCAGAGCTGGAGAAAGGGGAAATGGGGAGTTATTGTTCAGTAGGTACAGAGTTTCAGTTTTACAAGATGAAAAGAGTTCTGGAGATTGTTGGCACAGCAATATACTTAGTATCACTAACCAGTGCACCTAAAAATGGTTAAGATGGTAAATTTTATGTTATGTGTATTTCATCACAATTTTTTAAATACATAGGCTTTGTATAAGACATCTTTGCTGGGAGCGGTGGCTCACGCTTGTAATCCCAGGCAGGCAGATCACGAGGTCAGGAGATCGAGATCATCCTGGCTAACATGGTGAAACGCCGTCTCTACTAAAAATACAAAAAAAAAAATTAGCCGGGCGTGGTGGCAGGCACCTGTAGTTCCAGCTACTCGGGAGGCTGAGGCAGGAGAATGGCATGAACCAGGGAGGCGGAGCTTGCAGTGAGTCGAGATCGGGCCACTGCACTCCAGCCTGGGCAACAGAGTGAGACTCCATTTCAAAAAAAAAAAAAGGCTTCTTTGCCTTTGTTTTTCCTTCAGAGCTTGAGATACAATTTGCATACCATAAAATTCACCCATTTTTAGCATGCAGTTTAGTGATTTTTTTTTTTTTTTTTTTTTTTTTTTTTTTTTAGTAATTTAGTGTTGTGAAACCATTAATACAATCCAATTTTAGAACATTGCCGTCACACCAAAATGACCCCATGCCCAATTTAGTCTACCCTAAAGCCCAGGCAACACTGAGTCTACTCTGTCTCCATAGATCTGCCTTCTCTGGGATATATATACAGTCTTCCCTTGGTATCTGTAGATGACTGGTTCCACTACCTCCCTCTCATACCAAAATCTGAGGATGCTCAAGTCCCTTATATAAAATGGTATAGTGTTTGCATATAACCTATACACATCCTCCTATATACTTTAAATCATCTCTAGATTACATACCTAACACAATGTAAATGCTATGAAAGTAGATGTTATCCTGTATTGTTTAGGGGATAATAAAAGCCTGCACATGTTCAGTACACCCAGAGTTATTTTTTTCAAGTATTTTCAATCTGTGGATGGTTGAATTCACAGATGCAGAACCGATGAATACAGAGGACTGACTCCATATCCAATCTAAATCTATGTGAATTTAACATGTTAAATTTTTGTTAGGTCATTCTGCTGTATTTTGCCATTAAAAAAATCTGAGACCAGCCTTGGCAACATAGCAAGACCCCATTTCTCCACAGAAAGAGGGGGAAAAAAGGGTATGGTTGCTCCTGCCTGTAATTCCAGCACTTTGGGAGGCTGAGGCAGGTGGATCGCTTGAGCCCCAGGAGTTCAAGACCAGCCTGGGCAACATGGCAAAACCCTGTCTCTAGAAAAAAATATTAAAAAATTAGCTGGGTTTGGTGGCGCCTGCCTGTAGTCCCAGCTAGTTGAGAGGCTGAGGTGGGAGGATCACCTGATCCTGGGAAGGTCAAGGATACAGTGAGCCATGATCATGCTACTGCATTCCAGCCTGGGCAACAAGGGTGAGACCCTGTCTCAAACAAAAGGGGAAAAAATGACATAAAATATATTAAGGCTAGAATGACTGACTGAATTCACAGTTTTCTTATTTTTGACTGCAACAGTTAAAGAGCCACAGCAACAACAAACCCATTGATATTTATACAAAAAAAGTTCATTAACTACAGAAGTCAAATAATTTATACAATTTATTTGTTTAGATCTAAGATTAACTAAACATAACACATAACCCATTAAAACCATGTTGTGTAAGAATGATACAATGGACTTTGGGGACTTGGGGGCAAGAGATAAAAGACTACAAATAGGGTGCAGTGTATACTGCTCAGGTGATGGGTGCACTAAAATCTCACAAATCACCACTAAAGAACTTACTAATGGCCGGGTGCGGTGGTTCACACCTGTAATCCCAACACTTTGGGAGGCTGAAGTGGGAGGATCATTTGAGTTCAGGAGTTCGAGACCAGCCTGGCCAACATGATGAAATTCTGTCTCAACAAAAAGTAGCCGGGTGTGGTGGCGTGTGCCTGTAGTCCCAGCTACTTGGGAGGCTGAGGCAGGAGAACCGCTTGAACCCAGGAGGCAGAGGTTGCAGTGAGCCTAGATCACGCTACTGCACTCCAGCCTGGGCAACAGAGCAAGACTCCATCTGGGGAAAAAAAAAAAACAACTTATTAATGTAACCAAATATCACCTGTACCCCAATAACCTATGGAAAAATAAAAACAGAAAAAAACACGTTTTATTAAAGTTCTTCTAAGAACGAAAAATAAAATTTCTTAAGATGTGTAAGCCTTACAAAAATTAAGAACTTAAGCCTTAGTCAAACAGCAGTGCTCCAAAAGTGAAACCCAAAGGAGCTGAAAATGAGTTAACAATAAGAGAAAATGAAGAGAGAGAGAGAGAGAGAGACACACACACATGCCTTCTCTTCTTCTGACATCCTTCTGTTCCTTTTAAAGAGAAAGAGTAGGGATTAGATGACTGGAACCACAAAGTGAAGACTAAAAAATAGAAAGTGAAAATTGAGGTTTGCAGTTACTCCCACTGGTCCTGACATTCTAAGCAGGGCTTCACACCAGCTACAGCCAAGGTCTTTGGCAACATTGAAAGGAAAACTAAAGTGTCTTTGTTGGCCACCCACCATCTTGCCCCATCTCTGCCCTTCAGGAAGCAAGGGTACTCAATATATCTTCTGGCTGTCTTAAATCTCATACTGTATGATCCACTCTACACTCATTCTGTGTAAAATGCCACAGACAACTAAGTATTGATGAAATAGCATTTTAAAGTAATTCTCACGCATTAAGAAGGCTCAATAAAACTTACTGTATTTGCTGAGCAACTACTATGTCTCTAGCACTGTGCTAAATGCTTGAGGGCAGTGTTTTTAAAATCCCTAAGGTCATAATCAGTATAAGTATAAGCCTAGGTGTGGTGGCACAAGCCTGCAGACCCAGCTACTTGTGAGAGTGAGGCAAGAGAATCATTTGTGCCAAGGGTTCAAGAACAGCCTCGGCAATGTAGTGAAACCCCATCTCTAAACTTTTTTTAAATGACATTTGCAAACATTTTCTCCCAATATGTGGCTTATCTTTTCGTTTTCTTGATGGAGTTTCTTGAAGCACAGAAGTTTTTGTGGAAGTCCATTCTGTCATATTTTTCACATGTGGATTGTGCTGTTGGTATTGTATCTAAGGAACATTTTTTCTGACCCAAAGTCCTAAAGTAATGAAGATGTTTTCTTCTTAAGGTTTCAGTTTTGGTGCTTAGATCTATGATCCATTTCAAGTTAATTTTTATATACAGTGTGGTAAGGATCTAAATCCATCTTTTTGCATGTGGATATTTAGTTGTGCCATTTGCCTTCATTTTGACAGAATTTTTTTCCAGCACACATATTCTATTTATTACATGTTTGTATTCAACAGAATTTGTCACCAGGCAGGAGTACAGTGGCATGATCATAGCTCACCTGACCACCTGGGCTCAAGCCTTGACCACTTGCCTCAAGCGATCCTCCCACCTCGGCTTCCTGAGTAGCTAGGACCACAGGTGCATGCCATCACATCAAGGTTGGCTTTTTTTTTTTTTTTTTTTTTTTTTTTTTGGAGATGGAGTCTCGCTCTGCCACCCAGGCGGGAGTGCAGTGACACAAACTCAGCTCACTGCAACCTCCGCCTCCCAGGTTCAAGCAATTCTCCTGCCACAGTCTCCCAAGTAGCTGGAATTATAGGTGCATACCACCATGGCTGGCTAATTTTTGGATTTTTTTTTTTTTAGTAGAGATGGGGTTTCACCATGTTGCCCAGGCTGGTCTCGAACTCCTGACCTCAGGTGATCCACCTGCCTCGGCCTCCCAAAGCGCTGGGATTACAGGCGTGAGCCACTGTGCCCGGCCAAACCTGGCTAATTTTAAAAATTTTTTTATAGAGACGGGGTCTGTGTTGCCCAGGCCGATCTCAAAACTCCTGGGCTCAAGAGATCCTCCTGTCTTGGCCTCGCAAAGTGCTGGATTACAGGCATGAGCCACCCTGCCTGGCCTAGAATGTATGTATCTTAAGACATGAAGAATATAAAAATAGAAATGGGTGGTTCATCAGGCGTTTTTGTTTTCTATTAATTTTTTAAAGGAAGTGGAAGTATCACATTCAATTATATTGAGGTTGATGCCTCAATATATTGGCTTGTTTTTACTTATATAACATTTCATCAGTATTTTGTGGGATGAATGAATATAGAAGAAGAAATGTTAGGAGAGCAAGATGACTTTAGGTAGATTTAGAATAAGCCAAGATAATGAAGTTTTGTAGCCTTTCTTGTGAATATTCATTTGCTAGGATACTATAACGTCTATTCTCTACTTACACCTCTTAGCATATAGAGAAAAGGCACACTTAGTCCTAAAGAATACATTAGGTTTATATTTTACGTAATCGTTTGCTGTGGAAAACTAAAAAAAAAATTTTGACTAAAATACCTTGAGATGCAAAATTAAAAAAAAAAATGTGGCCTTTCTTATTTGCTTGGATCCACTGTCTTCCTCCCCGTGAACTACCACAGAAGGCCATCTACCTCCACCTTGCCACCTGCTATCATTACAGGCTTAGACATACTCCTCTACACCTTGGTATAGTAATATTTGTACTTTGAGAAAAAGATAATTTTTTTCATCTCTGAATCTGTTTTTTAAAATATGAAGGGCAGCCAAGGCAAGGTTTTTTGATTCTTTGGTACAAGTAGCTTAAGTTTTTATATGACAAAATTTAATTGAAAAATCAGATTTAAAAAAAATTTTTTTTTAATTTTTTTTATTTTATTTTAATTAGGCTCAACGAGAACCTTTGACAAGAGCACGAAGTGAAGAAATGGGGAGGATCGTACCAGGACTGCCTTCAGGCTGGGCCAAGGTAAAAGTCAGAATTAGCAGTAAAATAGCCACTGTGTTCCTAAAAAATGTTTTATTTGTTTATTTTACATCTTCTGTAATGCAGAGTCAATTCCATTTCTCCATTATAGAGAACATAGCTTATTCCCCTAATTATAACAGGGTGAGATTTCTCAATACCCAACCTGAGATGCTGGCTACAATATATGAGCATTCTGGCATTTATCATTTAGAAATAGTGTATTACTTTAAAACCTAAATTTCTTTTGAAGTTTATCGCCATTTTATTCGAATTATTTTAATCCAAAAGTAAATTTAGCAGAATACTTTGGAGTGATTTCTTTGTTTATATAATGCTTATTTTTGTTTTTTGACCTGTTTTTTTTTTTCTTTTCCATCTAAGTTTCTTGACCCAATCACTGGAACCTTTCGTTATTATCATTCACCCACCAACACTGTTCATATGTACCCACCGGAAATGGCTCCTTCATCTGCACCTCCTTCCACCCCTCCAACTCATAAAGCCAAGCCACAGATTCCTGCTGAGCGGGATAGGGAACCTTCCAAACTGAAGCGCTCCTACTCCTCCCCAGATATAACCCAGGCTATTCAAGAGGAAGAGAAGAGGAAGCCAACAGTAACTCCAACAGTTAATCGGGAAAACAAGTATGTTTATCTTAACTCCTAGAACTAAAATAATGTGCTGTATTTCAAAGTTTCTACTCTGAATCTGTCAGTATGTTAGTGTCAGGGAGTTGGAAATTTCTGTGGATGGCTATACCAGCCGTTATTATTTACCACAGAGAACAAAACAAATGAATAGAGAAAATGTTGTTGGTTTTTCTCCCAAGTGCTCACTTAATATCATACCAGAGAGGATTATTTTAAGTGTTAATGTAGATATAAAATCATTGTTATGTTTTACAGTTTCATGCCAGAGTACCCTCACGTTTTTCATAGACCGCCTGTGGTCCCGGAATCTCCCTTTGAGGACCATAATTTTCAGCAATATTGAGCTTGCCTTGTTGCAGCACTCAAGTTCCAAACTTTTTTTCCCCTTAGCCAATAATGTAAGCGAAGTTTTCCTATAGTATTAAAATAACAAGCACTTTAGTATATCATCCTCTAATCCTTATTCTGTTCCCTTTTCCTTCGTTGTAGTTTTGCTATTCTGTTTACAAATATTGACCAATAGGTTAGGTTTCCCAAAATAGTTTCATTTAGCTATACTTCTGGCTTCGTCCCTTTTGGAATCCTCTTAGCTTATGACTGATAGGGCTATGAGGAGATGATTTAAGTCTGTGTACCACTTCTAATCTTTACTTACTTTTTTGGGAGGAGGGGGGCAATAGGTGGAAGTATAAATAAATGATTTTTTTCCCATTTATTATACACTTGTATTTGCTAAGGAATTTTAATTAGGCTCTTTTAAGCCTAATCCTAAGTAAGTTGAACACATCCTAAGAAAGTTGAAATTTTTTCTTCCTGAGAACTTACCCTGCCAGGTGCAGACTTATTCGAAGGAGCTTTTAAAAATTCTATTAATCTTGTTATAGATTTTAGAGTTCATTATAATAACTAGTGAGATTTAATTTCTTCTTGAATCATTCTTAAGTGTGTTAATTTGATAATGTTTTAAGGACTGTATGCTGTTTGTGTATTTTTTTATATATTGAACAGAAAAAGCACACGAGTACATGCACCTGAGTACAGGTAAAGAGGAGCTGATTGAAATATAGTTTAATCTGTTCTCAGTATTACTTTTAGGGGTGGAAGAACGTTAAGGATTAATTAAAAAAGAAAAAAGACCTATCAGTTAAGATTTTCCTTATGCTTCAGCAGTTCTAGTAGTTCCACATATAAATCAAACACACCATATTACAGAAGTCTAGAAGGCATTCTCTGCCCCAGCACTGTCCAGCAGATCTTTCCATGGTGATAGAAATGTACTGTATCTGTGCTGTCCAGTATGGTTTGTGTCTACTTTGAAACGTGATTAGTGCAACTAAGGAATTTTTTTTTTTTGAGACGGAATCTCACCCTGTTGCCCAGGCTGAAGTGCAGTGGCATGATCTCAGTTCACTGCAACGTCTGCCTCCTCAAGCGATTCTCCTGCCTCAGCCTCCTGAGTAGCTGGGACTATAGACGTCCACTATCATGCCCAGCTACTTTTTGTATTTTTAGTAGAGACGGGGTTTCACCATGTTGGCCAGGCTGGTCTCAAACTCCTGACCTCAGGTGATCTGCCCACCTCGGCCTCCCAAAGTGGTGGGATTATAGACAGCCATTGAGCCCAGCTGGAACTGTATTTTTTTACTGTGATTGTGTATCCATCCGTGAATAGTCAACACACTCTAGAATTTAAGTAATAGTACCCAAATAACCTCTGCTTCCCTTGATATCTACTCCACGGTATGGTTTTTTTTGTTTTTGTTTTTATTTTTTTATTATTCCTCATTTGGCATTCTGGGTGAGTTCAAACATTTGATAATGCCAAACTTCCAGGGATCATTTAAAGGAGTTTAAAAGAGCCTTCTCTACTAGAGCTCCTAGTTCATGAGAAGTGAGATAATCTATCTCAAGGTGTCTCTAAGAACCATGACCCACATTAAGAGGTTAAAGGTATGTGTTTCATGGGAAGGTCTGAGACCTTAGTCGTATGACTAATGTTAACCTAAATATTAAATGTCCTGGAAGGCCCAGCATCTTATGAGTTAACATATTAACTGTTTACAAGATGCCTGTGGTACAGGTGCTACAGTTTGCTGCCATTTATAGTATAGAACCTTAATTTCATATGCTCAGCATTTTAAGACATCTTGTATCCTTTTTCTTCCTCAGGCCAACATGTTATCCTAAAGCTGAGATCTCAAGGCTTTCTGCTTCTCAGATTCGGAACCTCAATCCTGTTTTTGGAGGTTCTGGACCAGCTCTTACTGGACTTCGTAACTTAGGAAATACTTGTTATATGAACTCAATATTGCAGTGCCTATGTAACGCTCCACATTTGGCTGATTATTTCAACCGAAACTGTTATCAGGATGATATTAACAGGTAAATACATGTCATACTTTTTGCATTATAATGCTAAAAGGATGATCTAACCATATTTACTGTCTTAGTCCATTAGTTTTCTGCTGCTATAACAAAATACCTAAGACTAGATAATTTGTAAAGAACAAAAATTTATTTTCTCTTAGTTCTTGACTGGGAAGGCCATCGTCTAGGTGCCGGCATCTGGTGCGCTTTTTTGCTGCATCCTCACAGGGTAGAAGGTGGAAGCGAAAGAGGACAGACTCGTCCTGTCGAGCCCTAAACGGCACCTAATCCTGTTCACCCGGGAGGGGAGCCCTCATGGCCTTATCACCTCTTTAAAGGCCCCATCTCTTAATCCTGTCACATTGGCAACACCTGAATTTTGGAATATTTGACGTGAATCTGGTGGTAACCTATGAATAAGTAAGCATTTTGGTGTAGGGCTACAGTATGTGAATAATTTCATGTTGACATCAAGAACCCATTTTACCTTTCAAACCATAGTACTTACCACTCAGCTCCAGAAAAGTCAAATTAGGAAAGGGGAAAATATCTTTATCCTTAGGAATAATGAAGGCTGGGCATGGTGGCTCACACTGGTAATCCTAGCACTTTGGGAGGCTGACGTGGGCAGATCACTTGGGGCCCAGGAGTTTGAGACCAGTCTGGGCAACAAGGCAAAACTCCGTCTCTACAAAAATTAGCTAGGTGTGGTGATACATGCCTATAGTCCCTGCTACTTGGGAGGCTAAGGTGGGAGGATCACCTGAGCCCAGAAGGTCAAGGCTGCAGTGAGCCGTGATTGTGCCGCTATACTCCACCAGCCTGGGTGACAGAATGAGACCCTATCTCAAAAAAGAGTAAAGCCTTCTCTGATTAGTAAAGGACAGACAGGATGAGAGCAGTGCCAGAAGGCAGAACCTCGCTGTCATGAACTGGAGCCTGTTGATGATGAGGAGACCATGCAGGGCTTGCAGCCAAAAGAAGGAAGCTGAAGGGATGTAAGCAAGTCAGATTCAGATGAGAATCTGGTGGTGAGCCTGCAAATAAATAAGTAGTTTAATGTAGTGCTACAGTATGTGAATAATTTCATGTTGACATCAAGAATCTACTGTACCTTGCTTAACTTTTAAATTTCCTTTATTGTCTTTTGTAACAACTTTTATTTGCACAGGTCAAATTTGTTGGGGCATAAAGGTGAAGTGGCAGAAGAATTTGGTATAATCATGAAAGCCCTGTGGACAGGACAGTATAGATATATCAGTCCAAAGGACTTTAAAATCACCATTGGGAAGATCAATGACCAGTTTGCAGGATACAGTCAGCAAGATTCACAAGAATTGCTTCTGTTCCTAATGGATGGTCTCCATGAAGATCTAAATAAAGTAAGAAATTTGATTTTTCTAAGTTGCAGAGACTCTTTAGGGTTGCTCAGTAGCACTGTATTTTTATAGCAGTTTAAAATTCTAGTTGGTGATAGTTCAGTGCTTGTTTATTCAAATAGTGACTGTATAAGAGAATTATAAAACATCAGGTAAGTGTAATATTTGAAGCATATACAGTTGGTATTTACTAATTAACAAGCAGTATTGCTGAGAAATTTGCAAATGTTAAAATAGTTATTGGCGTTTGTGACCCACATGTATGTGAAAGTAAAATCATAAACAAATGATCTTATAAAAGATTATAGACAGTTTGAGCATTTTTATTGTATGTTATGTTTATATAATATGTATATGTTATTGTACATATCCTTATTCTTTTCTTTTTCCCAGTCCCTTGCTGAAAGTGGAACATGCCTTTATTCTTACACATCCTTCTAAAATAAGAATTACTTGGCTGGGCACAGTGGCTTATGCCTGTAATCCCAGTACTTTGGGAGGCCAAGGCTGGTGGATCACCTGAGGTCAGGAGTTTGAGCCCAGCCTGGCCAACATGGCAAAACCTCGTCTCTACTAAAAATACAAAAATTGGCTGGGTGTAGTGGCATGTGCCTGTAATCCCAGCTACTCAGGTGGCTGAAGCAGGAGAATCGCTTGAACCTGGGAGGCAGAAGTTGCAGTGAGCCGAGATTGCAGTGACCACTGCACTCCAGCCTGGGCGACAGAGTGAGACTCTTTCTAAAAAAAAAAAAAAAAAAAATTACTCCATGTAACCAAATGACTCATGTGACTAGTTATTATAAAGGCATGTATGTATACATAAATGACCACCCTCCATTTACATACTACAACTTCTTTTTAGCACTTTTTGTCTCACATATTTTGGGGTCACCATTCTTAACCACTGAACAGATATATATATATATACACACACACCTACACAAAAATATTTGTGTATATATATATACGTGTATATATACATACATATATACACATATATATACACATACATATATACATATATACGTGTATATATACATACATATATACACATATATATACACATACATATATACATATATAGAGAGAGAGAGGCTAGGGCAACAAAATTATATATGTCCAGTTGTAGCCCTAATTCCCAGCTATATGTGGGATATCTTTTCTAAAAACCAAACTTTTTAGCTTTTTCTTTTTTTAGTAGAGATTGGAGGGGGGGGTCTCACTATGTTGCACAAGTTGGTCTCGAACTCCTGGCCCCAAGCAGTCCTCCTGCCTTGGCTTCCCAGAATGCTGGGATTACAAGCATGAACCACCACATCTGGCCCTTTTCAGCTTTTTAAATAAAAATTTGGGAAATTTCAACAAGTCACATTCCTTCAATAAAGTGAGTGAGTTTTTTTTGGTATTTTTGGCTAGAATTATTTTTTGCCACACTCAGTGAGATCAGAACTCCTTTATGAGAACTACAGGTGTTTCTAAATCTGGCAAGTGTTTGTATTCACTTTTATTCTTTCAATTTAAATGTTTTCTTTGAGATATTAATATAGAGCTTAAATCATTTTATTTCCAGGCTGATAATCGGAAGAGATATAAAGAAGAAAATAATGATCATCTCGATGACTTTAAAGCTGCAGAACATGCCTGGCAGAAACACAAGCAGCTCAATGAGTCTATTATTGTTGCACTTTTTCAGGGTCAATTCAAATCTACAGTACAGTGCCTCACATGTCACAAAAAGTCTAGGACATTTGAGGCCTTCATGTATTTGTCTCTACCACTAGCATCCACAAGTAAATGTACATTACAGGTAAGTTTAAGAAGTAGAGAGAAAATGATTTATTGGATAAAAATGCTGTTTTTATGGATATAGAGATGTAAATTTCTGGTCTTTACCCTTACAAACATTTTATCAGTAAAACTCGGCCGGGCGCAGTGGCTCATACCTTGTACTCCCAGCACTTTGGGAGGCCGAGGTGGGCGGATCACGAGGTCAGGAGATCGAGACCATCCTGGATAACACGGTGAAACCCCATCTCTACTAAAAATACAAAAAATTAGCCGGGCGTGGTGGTGGGCACCTGTAGTCCCCGCTACTCAGGAGGCTGAGGCAGGAGAATGGCGTGAACCCTGGAGGCGGAGTTTACAGTGAGCTGAGATCTCGCCACTGCACTCCAGCCTAGGGGACAGAACAAGACTCCGTCTTAAAAAAAAAAAAAAAAAAAACCTTTTATCAGTAAAACTCAATATAAATTCTGTTTTATAATTAGGCCTATGTAGATTAGAAAGAATTAGAAATTTCTTTTTTAAAGATACCTTTATTAAATATTCTTTCAGGATTTCAGGATTGTTAGTATGTTTTTAAAAAGTTTTATAAGTTAATTTGGAAAGTTGTCTGTTGACTAACTTAGGCCTACTTTTCATAAGCATTTGCTTTACATGGGGATATCAAATAAATATCCTGTTTTCCATGTATCAACAATGTTTCTTATATAAAAGCTTGTTGATACCTTTAGTCTTAAAGTACCTCCAGAATGTCATTTCCTCCAACAGGGTTTCTCTGATTGACCAGGTTAGGGGCTTTCCTGTGTCCTGTCACAACACACTGTAGGTAGCACTCACCACACTCTGTGCTGTCATTGTTCACTTGTCTATGCTTCTCACTAGATCACAAGCTTTGGGAAGGCAGGAACTCTTTTGTGTAGATTGCTGTTGAATCACTGGTGCCTGCAGAGTGACTAACTAAATAGGTGCTCTCTGACATTATTGAAGAATCGAATTAACGAGTATCTGCTACTTGTTTTTTTCTGCCAGGATTGCCTTAGATTATTTTCCAAAGAAGAAAAACTCACAGATAACAACAGATTTTACTGCAGTCATTGCAGAGCTCGACGGGATTCTCTAAAAAAGATAGAAATCTGGAAGTTACCACCTGTGCTTTTAGTGCATCTGAAACGGTAAAGGGGAAAGTTTGTCCTCCTGTTCAGTGAAATTAAATGAGGGAATTTTAAGTTCTGTGTAATTTATACTTGTTGTACTGCCTGCCATGGGCACATAACAAAGGGCGATTATCTGGTTACAGTAGATCTAGGGAAATAAAGCAGAAATGAGACTGTTAGTTCACCTCAGTGTTTTCAGTACCACAGCAAAATGACAATACCACTATTTCATGTAATTCCTTATAATTTTAAATAATTACAAAGCATCAAGTGAAAATGTATAAAAATATTACAGTATAATTCAAACAAATTAGCACATGAAATGTAACATTCAAACAGCAGACTAAAGCATAACAGACTTAGTTATGTGTTAAATAAAATTTATAATTTTTAAAGTATTTTAATGATAAAATATGTTAACGATACCATTAAGTGCAGAAATAATTTCATCCAGATTTTTCCAATTGATGGAAAAGATCTAGTCCTATAATAGAAGGAATAATGACAAGAGTTATAAAACACGAACCAGATCTTTTGCTGATTCTTTGGTCTTCACATAATCACATAATCCATGTAACTCAAGAACTTTGAGTTGATTATTTGAAAAACTTTTTAAAGGAAGTTGCACTTTTTTATTGAGAGCTGTAATTTTTGTGTCAAAAAAGCATTTCTGTTAAAAATGTTTTATCTTGTATTGAGATTCTTAGTTCCATATATTAATTTCCAAATTTACATGTTCAGATTTCTCTTGTGTAAATTTTTCTAACAAAAGCTAGTTTTTTCCATTGTCCTAGTTGAGGATTCTGGAAGTATAAACATTCTATAAGTGATTACACATTTGCTAAAATTTTTAATGCTGAATATTTTCAAAATTATGAAATAACCATATTACACCAACCAAGATATCATTGTTTTGATGTTTAAAGGAGCAGAATATGCCAGAATAATGGAATGAATGACATTATTTTAGTCAGTAGTCTCCTACTCTCAATTTCTGGCTCTAGTTTTCTCTGAAGTACAAGCTTGACTCGAGAGCAGCTGTCATTCTTTCTTTTGTGGTGGTCAGCATTATAAACATGTGGGTCTTACCTTCCTAGAAGACTCATGTAGCAGTTGTAGCTGGACCAGAGTATAGTCCTACCTCTACCATTCTGGCTGTTTGACCTTAGGCACATCATTAAATATCCATATGCCTCAGTTTTCTTGTTTGTAAAATGGAAATGAAGCCAAATGTCTTTAACAGGTTCCTCTACTACTAAAATTCCAAGTCTTTGTATTTGAAATGGATTTTACAGTCCTGGCTAAAAATCTAGATGTTAATGAATGAGGATTCATCCTGGTATCTTCCTCTGTCAGTGTAATTGTAATGTTTTGTTCTGCAGTTTTTCCTACGATGGCAGGTGGAAACAAAAATTACAGACATCTGTGGACTTCCCGTTAGAAAATCTTGACTTGTCACAGTATGTTATTGGTCCAAAGAACAATTTGAAGAAATATAATTTGTTTTCTGTTTCAGTAAGTATCTCTTTGAACTGAAGACTTTTTGTTTCAAAGCAAGTTTAAAAAAAGTTTTAAGTGGTTTCCTACCTCATGGAAGAGTAAGAACAACATAAAGCTTTGAAACTATTGGCGTATTTTAAATAACAATTTTAACTGAATTGATTTTTTTTTCTATCTTGTTTGGCACAGAATCACTACGGTGGGCTGGATGGAGGCCACTACACAGCCTATTGTAAAAATGCAGCAAGACAACGGTGGTTTAAGTTTGATGATCATGAAGTTTCTGATATCTCCGTTTCTTCTGTGAAATCTTCAGCAGCTTATATCCTCTTTTATACTTCATTGGGACCACGAGTAACTGATGTAGCCACATAAGGAGACATAGGTTATAAACTAGTTATCTTTTAAAAGGCTCAGCAACACAACTCTTGAAATGCTTATCAGGATAATGGTAGCTATAGCTGGCCATTTAGAGGAATTCTAGGACAGTGGGAGCTGTGTTACTAGCACTATATAATTCCGGTCAGTGCTGACAAATAACATTTAACAAGTATTGCAGTAATCATCACTTACAGGTACCATTTATTTCAAAACAACTTTTTTAGTCTGCTCCAAAGTTAAAATAATTAACTAGCTAAGCATTATTATTCGACTGGTCTAAAAACTATTGTTATCTTTTTTTTTTCCTTTTCACTGTTATGGCCTTTTCACATTTCTAAATCCCATCTTGATATACTATGAATACTCTAGAATGATGTAAAGCAGATAGGAATGTATGTGTACATATTTATTGCATACTTGCACATCAAATCGATGTACATAGTTTAACACGTGGTCCTTTTGTGAAACCTAGAACTCAGAGGATTGCTTTTTTTCTTTCAGCCTATTTTGAGTTAACTTCAGTGCTTTCTTAGGGAAATGACAGGGCAAAGCAATTTTTCTGTTGGCTTTGGGCTGTATTTGTGCACTAAATCTTTATTCTAAAAAAAAAAATGGAAACTTTAATTTTTTTAAAACGAGAATTTCATTTACAGCTACATTAAAATCTTAATGAGAAAAATAATTTATAACCCTGTGGGTGTTCTGTCTTTAATATTGTATTATCAAATATAGGACAGTAAAACCATAGATTTTATATACACACGTGCTATATAATAACACCCAGAGTCATTCTTTCAAGACTAGTATTCTCACATATTGAGAATATTCATTCTAAATATTAAAGTAAAAATGCCGGGAGTCAGGCATGATTGCAAAGTGAACTGCATTATAAACTACATCTTTACAGAGTGATGTATTAAGAGGGTTAAAGGAGCTTATAATTTATTTAACCGAGGGACTCAGTTGCTATATATATAGTCAGTAAAACACTCCATATAAAAATAAGATTCTAAAAGTGCTTCAGAAAGAGACCACCATTAGCAGGCTCTCAGGGAGAAGATGAAAGGATGGGGTTCAAATTGTGAAGCTGACAACTTTTCATGTTTTACAATTAGTCTAAGAGACCACTTCTTGGCTAAATTATTATATCAAATATATTCAAATCATATTCTTAAACTCATCGAGCCATTTGAACAAAAATTATTTTTGTTTAGCTTCATGAGTATCTTTGGAAAATAATTTGTTGAATATATATGATTATGAGATATTTTCTGATAAACACTGAATTTTGAAACCTGAACTCACTATATAATTGCAGTGTTTTGAAGGCCTGCATCCATTAGCATTGCATTATATTCACACTGCCTTTTTTAGTGAACCAAGACCCATCTTCTGGACGACAGATTTATCTTAAGATGAAAGGTTGTATAACATGCCCACAAGGCATAAAAATGTTAATGATGCAAGTAAGTTCTAAGAGTTTAATGACCAAGCAAAACTCTACCACCAGATGCTGACTGCTTGTTTTGCAGTGTTCAGGAAACACCATTTTCCTGGCTCTTAACGCTTTTGTATTGGTATGGAAAAGGGCTGGCAGCTATAGAACAGGAGATCCATAGCATTTTGAACAGAAGTATCTGGAATCTCACTGACTCGTGTGTTATCAAAGCTATATCAGGCCTGGGTGACTGAATTCTTGCAGAAAGCAGTGTAGTGGCCACCATCCAAATCACCAAAATGGTTCTATGGGAGAAAGGAATGTCAAACTTAGTATTCACATATGAACACTAACTACTGGAACAGAAATGATAGGGCCAAGAGATGCTTTTTAAATTGTCCCTTATTCTAAATTAAAAGGAAGTGATAATTTTGTTGTTAAATCATGCATATAGCCTGACTGCTATATTGCTTCTCATTTCATTGTAACTACTTATATGTTGTGCCCATTGACTATCATCTGTGAATAAAGAAAGACAATATTTAGCAGCATCTGATTAATGTTTATCAGTGAACATTTAGTTAGCACTTAATATACATCAACTATTAAGCATTAAAGGAAATTTTACAATAAGAAGATAATTCAGGCCGGGCACAGTGGCTCACACCTGTAATCCCAACACTCTGGGAGGCTGAGGCAGGTGGATTGCTTGAGTCCAGGAGTTCAAGACCAGCCTGGGCAAAATAGCGAGACTCCATATCTTTTAAAGGAAAAAAAAAAAAAAAAAAAAGATGAGCTAGGCATAGTGGTGCACACCTGTAGTCCCAGCTACTTGGGAAGTTGGGGTGGGAGGATCTCTCGAGCCTGAGAGGTCGAGGCTGCAATGAGCCGTGATTGTACCACTGCACTCCAGCCTGGGTGACAGAGTGAGACCCTGTCTTAAAATTGTAAGTTCATTTACGTAAGATGGCTTCTTTTTTTTTTTTTTAAAGTTAGGATAAGCCACAGAAGAGACATTTAACATTAGAATAAGGATCTTAACTGCATATTGCTACAGCACAAATTGAGGGGGCTATGTAGCAACAACCCCTCAATCCCCCATAGGGTACAAAAAATAATGTATCTCATTTTCCTTTTTCCATGTCTTTCCTAACCCAGTATTGTTTGGAACAAAGGCATTAGAGAGGTGTACTTCCAAGGAGGTGTTATGGTGTATGATAAGGGTCAGCAAACCACGGCCCGTGGGTCAACTCCAGGCTGTTTTTGTAAGACCCATGCATTAGCAACGGGTTTTAAATTTTTATATGGTTGGGGAAAAGATCCAAGTAATAATAGTATTGTTATATGTGAAAATTTTATGAAATTCAAATGTCAATGTCCTTAAAGTTTTATGGGAACACAGTCATGCTCATTTGTTTACACTTTTCAGTGGCTGCTTTAATGATACAACAGTAAAACTGAATAGTTGCAGCCAATACCATATGGCTTATGAGGCCTAAAATATTTACTGTTTGGCCTTTAACAGAATAAGTTTGCTGACCTCTGCTGTAGAGGAAGAAAATTGATTATTTGTTAACTTATTTTTAATTTTTTGAGATGGAGTCTCTCTCTGTTGCCCAGGCTGGAATGCAGTGGCACGATCTCGGCTCACTGCAACCTCCGCCTCCCAGGTTCAAGCAATTCTTCTGCCTCAGCCTTCCAAGTAGCTGGGAGACTACAGGTGCCTGCCACCATGCCCAGCTAATTTTTTGTATTTTTAGTAGAGATGGGGTTTCACTGTGTTAGCCAGGATGGTCTCGATCTCGACCTCGGGATCCTCCCACTTCGGCCTCCCAAAGTTATTTATTTTTATTTGAGACAGAGTCTTGCTCTGTTGCCCAGGCTGGAGTGCAGTGACGTGATCTCAGCTCACCACAACCTCTGCTTCCTGGGTTAAAGCTCTTCTCCTGCCTCAGCCTCCCAAGTAACTGGGATTACAGGCACGCACCACCACACCCAGCTAATTTTTTGTATTTTTAGTAGAGATGGGGTTTCGCCGTGTTGGCCAGGCTGGTCTTGAACTCCTGACCTCAAGTGATCCACCTGCCTCCACCTCCCAAAGTGCTGGGATTACAGGCGTGAGCCACTGCACCCAGCCTATTTATTTTTAGAAGCAGTTTCTTGCTATGTTGCCCAGGCTGTACATGAATTCCTAGGCACAAGCAGTCCTCTCACTTCAGGCCCCCAAATAGCTGGGACTACAGGCATACACCACCATGTCCAGAATGAAAATGGATCTGACTAGTTAATTCCAACGTGAATTCGGGTGTAATAGTACATTGTGACCTTAGCGAAATTATTTGACCTTTCTGAGCTTTAATTTCTCATCTATTAACATGGCTTGTTTTGTATAGCTGTTATCAAATATCTCATGTATTGAGGGCTAGTACACAGGAGTTATTTATTCAATATTCCCTTCAACCTTCGTCTTCCCCACCTCTCTCCTTACAGGTAATAGAAATATCTGAAATTCACATTTAAAAGATCAAGGTTCCGCCAGGCCTGGTGGCTCACGCCTGTAATCCCAGCACTTTGGGAGGCTGAGGCAGGCGGATCACTTGAGGTCAGGAGTTTGAGACTAGCCTGGCCAACATGGTGAAAATCCATCTCTTCTAAAAATATAAAAATTAGCTGGGCATGGTGGCGCATGCCGGTAATCCCAGCTACTTGGGAGGCTGAGGCAGAATCATTTGAACCTGGGAGATGGAGGTTGCAGTGAGCTGAGATCATGCCATTGCATTCCAGCCTGGGCGGAGCCCTAAACAGGAAATTTAACAACAGTATGGTGTGTGGTTTATGCTTTGTGACTGCCTGGGCGTAAAGACAGTCCCTAGTTTCTGTAACCAGTATGCTCGGGTTTTAAAGGTCACGCAAGGACACTCGAGGTAAAGTCTTAGGCCCCCCTACAAGGTGAGAAGTTGGATTGAGATCCACATACAAAGCCAGGACCTTTAAAGACATTCACCCTCAATGGAAGGATTAAAAAACAAAATCCACCCTCTAGTGCTTGTGTTAGCTTGGACTCATGGTACAGAGAATAAAAGTCATTCCTGGGAATTTGTCACCATAGACCTACCTTTTCACCAGTTTGGGATTCAAATTTATACTACCTGTGTGGTCTGCGAATCCTGTGAACTTAATATGAAAAGTATTTCTAGGGCAGTTGCCAGAAGGAAACAGAATTTCTAGATTGTTGCATGTTAACTCAGACCTAACAGGATATCCACATATGAAACCCCAATGAAGTTGAGATCACAATTCAAAATAATAGAACATGCAAGGAAACAATTTATCATAAGAGTCAGAAGGCAATAAGATTTAAACCCCCAAGGACTTTAGATAATAGAATTATTAAGCAGAGGCTACAAATAAAGTATATTTAAATATATTTAGAAGAAGGAAACAAACTTTAGAAACTAAATAGAATTTTCAGAAATGAGAAATACAACATAGTTGGCCGTCCATATTTACGGGCTCTGCATCTTCAGAATCAACTAATGTGATGGGAAAGATTTGAAAAAATAATACAACAATAAAAATATACATATTTTAAAATACAGTGTAACAACTATTTACATAGTATTTATATTGTATTAGATATTATAAGTAATCCAGAGATGACTTAAAGTATATGGGAGGATGTGCATAGGTTACATGCAAATACTACTCCAGGCCTGGCATGGTGGCTCACACGTGTAATCCCAACGTTTTTGGGGGATGGAGGTGGGCAGACTGCTTGAGCCCAGGAGTTGTAGACCAGCCTGGGCAACATGGCAAAACCCTGTCTACACAAAATACAAAAATTGACCAGGCATAGTGGCACGTGCCTATAGTCCCAGCTACTTGGTAGGTTGAGGTGGGAGAATCACCTGAGCCCAGGAGGTCGAGGCTACAGTGAGCTGTGACTGAGCCACTGCTCTCCAGCCTGGCAACAGAATGAGACCTTGTCTCAAAAAACAAAAACAAAAAACACCAGAAAAGACACCATTTTATATAGGGCCCTTGAGCATCTGTGGATTTTGATAGTCAAAGGGATCCTGGAACCAACTCCCTGCAGATACTGAGGTACAACTGTACTGGAAATTAACTTAATGAAGATATTAGGACACAGAAAATGAATAAACCGGACTGGGCGCGGTGGCTCATGCCTGTAATCCTAGCACTTTGGGAGGCTGAGGCGGGTGGACCATGAGGTCAGGAGTTCAAGACCAACCTGGTACACATGGTGAAACCCTGTCTCTATTAAAAAAAACAAAAAAAATTAGCTGGGCCTGGTGGCGTGCACCTGTAATCCCAGCTACTTGAGAGGCTGAAGCAGGAGAATCGCTTGAACCCGGGAGGTGGAGGTTGCAGTGAGCCAAGATCGTGCCATTGCACTCCAGTGTGGGTGACAGAGTGAGACTCCATCTCAAAAAAAAAAAAAAAAGAATAAACTATAAAATGAAGTTGGGGAAATTAGCAAGAATGGAGTAGTGATGGAGAATACGTGTTAAGAGGCATGAAAAATTGAATGAGAATATTCAGCGTATGTCCTGTAGAAGTTCTAGGAGGAGAGAATCGAGTAGGGGAGCAAGGCAATATTAAAAGTGATAATGGCTGAAAATGATTAATGAGACATGAATCTTCACATTTAGGAAATGCAGCGAGCCAGGGATAAATAAAAATAATACTGCAGAACAACAGAGACAAAGAGAAAAAGCTTAAAAGCAACCAGAAAGAAAAAGAGAGTTTACCCACAAGAATCTAACCTGCTGGTAGAAGTTCTCCATAGCAGCCATAGAAATCAGAGACAATACAGTAGCTTCAAAATAATAGAGAAAAATAACTGTCAATCTGGAATTTGATTTCTAGTTATCATCCAAGAATGAAAGTGAATTAAAGACTTCTCAAAGACTGAGAGACTTCAGGATAACAGACCCTCACTGAAAAGCCTACTGAAATATATGCCACATGAATTTTAAAAACTCAATGAAGGAAGAAGTGATACATAATAGACAGTGATTAACAAAAAAGACTGATGAAGATCCGGGCAAATATAACCCAATATGAACAGTAGAAAACCATGATAATGTCTCCTTTGGAGGCATATTAAAAAATTAAAAACCGGCTGGGCATGGTGGTTCACACCTGTAATCCCAGCACTTTGGAAGGCCAAGGCAGGAGGATCGTTTGAGCCCAGGAGTTTGAGACCAGCCTGGGCAACATAGTGAGACCTGGTCTCTAAAAAAAATAAAAAAGTTGGCCATGCACAGTAGCATGCCTGTAGTCCCAGCTACTTGGCAGGCAGAGGCAGGAGGATCCCTTAAGCCCAGAGTTCAAAACTGTAGTGAGCTATGATTCATTGCACTAGTGCACTCCAGTCTGGGCAACAGAGTGAGACCCTGTCTCAAAAACAAAAGATGCTGAAAACAGTAGTTCAGTGATCAGAATTACAGTGTTCTAAGAGCTTTCCATTTCTTTGGGAGCAGAGTATAAAGATCTTGATTAACTTTAGGCTTTAAGTATGAAAGCTGTCGTTTTTTAGCATAATTACTAAAGAATCAAAATGTGTAACTTCCAAAGTTGTAGAGGGAAAATAAAGAAAGCTTTATCAGTTTAGTAGCAGCAAGAACAACAGGGGAAAACAACACAGCAGAGGTCCCCAACCCCCCCAGGCTGCCTGTCCCTGACCTGTTCAGGACCTGGCTGCACAGCAGGAAGCGAGCGGCAAACCTACCCTGAGCACCGCCTCCTGTCAGATCAGCTGCTGCATTAGATTCTCACAGCAGCACAAACTCTATTGTGAACTGCGCATGTGAGGGATCTAGGTTGCGTGCTCCTTATGAGAATCTACTGCCTGATTTTCTGAGGTGGAACAGTTTAATCCCAAAACCATGCCCGCCCCGGCCCCCATCCATGGGAAAAAAACCGCATCAGTGGAAAAATTGTCTTCCACAAAAATCAGTCCCTGGTGCCAACAAGGTTGGGGACTGCCGAATTAGAAAAATAAGGCTAACATAAACACAAAAGAAGATGACGACAAGTAAATCCGAATTTATTACTAGTTGAAATATATGGGATGTAGTAAATTTACCAAATATTTACTGGATTTTAAATATCCAGTTCTAGCCAGGCGCGATGGCTCACGTCTATAATCTCAGCACTTGGGGAGGCCGAGGGGGGCGGATCACGAGGTCAGGAGATCAAGACTATCCTGGCCAACACGGTGAAACCTCATCTCTACAAAAATACAAAAAATTAGCCGGGCATGGTGGCAGGCGCCTATAGTCCCAGCTACTCCGGAGGCTGAGGCAGGAGAATGGCATGAACCCAGGAGGTGAAGCTTGCAGTGAGCCGAGATCGTGCCACTGCATTCCAGCCTGGGCGACAGAGCGAGACTTCATCTCAAAAAAAAAAAAAAAAAAAAAAAAAAAAAAAAATCCAGTTTTAGGCCAAGTGTGGTGGCTCATGCCTGTAATCCCAACACTTTGGGAGGCCAAGGCAGGCGGATCACCTGAGATCAGGAGTTCCAGACCACCCTGGCCAACATGGCAAAACCCGGTCTCTACTAAAAATACAAAAATTAGCTGGGTCTGGTGGCACATGCCAGTAATCCCAACTACTTGGGAAGCTGAGGCAGGAGAGTTGCTTGAACCTGGGAGGTGGAGGTTGCAGTGAGCCAAGATCATGCCACTGCACTCCAGCCTGGGGCACAGAGTGAGACTCTGTCTCTAAAACAAAACAACAACAACAACAAATCCAGTTCTATGCACTATATAACATTTAGAACTCAGAAAAGGTGTATTTCCCTTGAGCATCATGTTGGTGCTTAAAATGTTTCAGATTTTGGAGCATTTTGGATTTTCAGATTAGGGATGCTCAACTTGTCGTAGGTAGATATGACCAAGAGAAAGCTGAAGTAGCTATACATCAGCTAAAATGGTCCCTAAGATAGAATGCATTGTAAATGAGTCACTTTATAATGAAAAAAGGTTTAAATCACCCAAATTGTATAATTTGAAACTGCTACCTACCTAACAAAACAGACTTGTTAAAAACAAATGACAGAACTATAGGGAAGTTTTGACAAGTCTACCATCATAATGGAAGATTTCAACTATTGATCAAGCAGACAAAAATATTAGTATAGATACAGCTTTTACAATATATACTTAGATGAGTATCTGACTCCTGAAATAGAAGTGCACTGTCTCAACAAATGTAAAAGAGTTAGTTTAGGCCAGGCACGGTGGCTCATGCCTGTAATCCCAGCACTTTGGGAGGCCAAGGCAGGCGAATCACGAGGTCAGGAGTTCGAGACCAGCCTGGCCAACATGGAGAAACCCCGTCTCTACTAAAAATACAAAAAATTAGCTGGGCATGGTGTCGGCTGCCTGTAATCCCAGCTACTGAGGAGGCTGAAGCAGGAAAATCGCTTGAAACTGGGCGGCGGAGGTTGCAGTGAGCCGAGATGGTGCCAGTGCACTCTAGCCCGGGCGACAGTGCAAGACTCTGTCTCAAAAAAAAAAAAAAAAAAAAAAAAAGATTAGTTTAATTTAGACCCTAGTCTTTGAACACAATACAATTAGCAGTCAATACAAAATGATACCCCCACAAAAAATCAATACTTTTGGAAATTAAAAAAACACTTCTAAGTAACTTTATAAATAAATTATAAAAGTAAAACACTTAGAAGTAAATAGTAATGAAAATACTATATCAAAACATGGGATGCACTGATGTCTGAGAATGTCTTAAAAATAATACGATGCCAAGAAGAGAGTGGGTCAGTATTAAGATGAATTGATCATTTATTTTATATTCAAATATCTTGCTTCAGCAAGCTAGTTGATGGATGCATGGCGGTTTGTTATGCTGTCCAATTTTGTATATGTTTGAAATATTCTATAATAAAAAAAGGCAGAGAAAGTGGGAGATAGACATTTGTAGTTTTAAATACTTATATCTTAAAGGATAGACTGAGTGTTAATACACTGGACACTCAGTTTAAAACATTAAAACATAACAGAATAAACCCTAAAAGAGTAGAGGGAAGAGATAACACTGTAAGAGGAATAACCCATAAAGCAGAAAACAAAGATGTAATACAGAAGATTTAAAAAAAGGTAAAAGTTGGTGTTTTAAGACAAAATAATTTGGATGTTAGCCTGCCACAGTGGTTCATGCCTATAATCCCTGCACTTTGGGAGGCCAAGGCAGATGGATCGCCTGAGTCCAGGAGTTTGAAACCAGCTTGGGCAACATGGCAAAACCCCGTCTCTATAAAAAAAAAAAGAGTACAGGCCAGGCGCGGTGGCTCACGCCTGTAATCCCAGCACTTTGGGAGGCCGAGGCGGGCGGATCACGAGGTCAGGAGATTGAGACCATCCTGGCTAACACGGTGAAACCCCATCTCTATTAAAAATACAAAAAATTACCTGGGCACGGTGGCGGGCGCCTGTAGTCCCAGCTACTTGGGAGGCTGAGGCAGGAGAATGGCGTGAACCCGGGGTCGGAGCTTGCAGTGAGCCAAGATCGCGCCACTGTGCTCCAGCCTGGGCGACAGAGCGAGACTCCGTCACAAAAAAAAAAAAAAAAAAAAAAAAAAAAATTACAAAATTAGCTGGACATGGTGTTGTGCCTGTAGTTCCATCTACTTGGGAGGCTGAGGTGGGAGGATGGCTCGAGCCTGGGAGGCAGAGGTTGCAGTGAGCCAAGATCACACCACTGCACTCCAGCCTGGGAGACAGAGTGAGACCCTCTCTCAAAAATAGTAACTTGGACGTCAATAGTAAGATTTAGAGAATAAGAGACAAGGCGGCCGGGCGCGGTGGCTCATGTAATCCCAGCACTTTGGAAGGCTGAGGCAGGCGGATCACCAGGTCAGGAAATTGAGACTATCCTGGCTAACACGGTGAAACACCGTCTCTACTAAAAATACAAAAAATTAGCCGGGCATGGTGGCGGGCGCCTGTAGTCCCAAGCTACTCAGGAGGCTGAGACAGGAGAATGACTTGAACCCGGGAGGCGGAGCTTGCCGTGAGCTGAGATCGTGCCATTGCACTCCAGCCTGGGCGACAGAGCGAGACTGCGTCTCAAAAAATAAAATAAAATAAAATAAAATAAAAAAGAGACAAGTCAACGATAAAATTAAAAATGAAAAAACATGTAATAGCTACAGATCCTGAATAAATTTATTGTTAATACCCTAAAAACTTTATGCCAGCCAACTGAGACCTTAGATGAAATAGACAAATATCTGGAGAATAAGTTACCAAAATGACTGAAGAGAAATACATGGCTCACACCTATATTTTTTACAGAAATTGACAAGGGCCAGGAATAATCGAAATACTACTGAAAAATAAGAATAAAGTTGTGATGGTAATGACTTAGGGAATAATGATGGTTCTTGCTCTGCCAGATATCAATGTTTATTTCAAAGCTATAGCTATAATTAATATTCATAAGCTAAATTAAGAATTAATTCAATATTAATTTAATAAATTTAATATTTTATAGCTATAATTAATACAGTACGGAATTAGCCCAAATGTGAACAAATTGACCAACAGACACACACAGCATAGGAAAACCAGCATTATATGTTACTGAGGAAAAGAAGAGGCTGAGACATTTGGTTATTCATATGCAGAAAAATGAAATTGAATCCCTAATTTATACTACATTTTTGTCAGAAGTGCAAAACAATTTAAATGTTTGGAAGATATGTAGGTAAATATCTTTGTAATTCCAGGGTTGGAAAGGATTTCTTAAATGAGACACAGAAAAGGACTAACTAGAAAAGATTGATGTTCCAACCAAATTAAAACTTGATTGTCAGCAATTACAATAAGATACAACAACCAAATGCAGTTTGTGAATTTTGGATGGATTCTGGTCTTTGAAAAAAAATGCTACTAAAAAAAAAAACCTTGTGACAATTGATATTTGAATATGAATCTATGAATATGAGTGATGGAATTTTAAATTTTCTTACATATAATTCTGCTATTGTGGGTATGTAGAAGAATGTGGTTAAGGGATTATTTTGATCTATGAAGTGTCACGATACAAGATTTAAATCAGCAAAAAGTTAGATATACGTGTGTATAGATGTGCACATATATATGTATAGAGAGTGAAAGTAATAAAAGTGTATACACTGCTAAATGTTAATAACTGAATCTAGCTGAAATGTACACCAATGTACACCAATGTTTTGTTTTTTGGTTTTTTTTTTAGAGATGGAGTCTCGCTCTGTCTCCCAGGCTGGAGTGCAGTGGCGCTATCTCGGCTCACTGCAAGCTCCGCCTCCTGGGTTCACGCCATTCTCCTGCCTCAGCCTCCTGAGTAGCTGGGACTACAGGCGCCCGCCACCATGCCCGGCTAATTTTTTTTGTATTTTTAGTAGAGACGGGGTTTCACCGTGTTAGCCAGGATGGTCTCGATCTCCTGACCTCGTGATCCGCCTGCCTTGGCCTCCCAAAGTGCTGGGATTACAGGCGTCAGCCACCGTGCCCGGCCGATGTACACCAATGTTCTCTGTACAATTCTTTCAGATTTTCTGAATGTTTGCAAAGTTTTATTTTAAAAACTGGAGAGAGAGCACTTGAAAAGATGCTCAACATCATTAGTCATTAGGAAAATGCAACTCAAAACCATGACATACCAGTTCATACCTACTTTGTATGGGATAGAATAAAAAATGAGAGGCAGTAACAAGTTCGGTTGAGGATGTGGGGAAACTGGAACCTTAGTTCCAGTTGCTGGTGGGAACGTAAAATGCTGCTGCCACTTTGGAAAACAATTTGGCAGTTCCTCAAAAAATTAACCAGAGTTACCATATGACCCAGAAATTTCACACTTAGGTATATACCCAACAGAAATGAAAACATGTTTACAGAAAATCCTGTACATAAATGTTCATAGCAGCATTACTGATGACAGCCAAAAGTGGAAACAAGCCAAATGTCCATCACTGGATGGATTAAGGAAATGTGGTATATCCTATACAATGGAATATTATTTGGCAATAAAAAGGAATGAAGTACAGATACATGCTATGACATGAATGAAACTTGAAAACATTATGCTGAATAAAAGAAAATAAAAACAGAAGGTCATATATTCTATGATTCTGTTTATTAAAATACCCAGAATAGGCCAGGCACTGTGGCTCACGCCTGTAATCCCAGCACCTGGGGGAGCCGAGGCAGGTGGATCACTTGACGTCTGGAGTTTGAGACCAGCCTGGGCAATATAGCAAAACCCCATCTCAACCAAAATACACAAAAATTATTGGGGCATGGTGGTGCACACCTGTGGTCCCAGCTACTCGAGGGAGGGAGGAGGGAAGATCACTTGAGCCAGGGAGGTTGAGGCTGCAGTGAGCTGAGATTGCACCATTGCACTCCAGCCTGAGCAAGAGTGAGATATTGTCTCAAAAAATAAAATAAATAAAATTTTAAAAATACGCAGAATAGGCACATCTATAGAAATATATAAAGTAGAGGCCAGGAGAAGTGGTTCATGCCTGTAATCCGAGCACTTTGGGAGGCCAAGGTGGGTGCGCCACTTGAGGTCAGGAGTTCAAGACCAGCCTGGTCAACATGGTGAAACCCCACCTCTACTAAAAATACAAAAATACACCTGTAGTCCCAGCTACTCGGGAGGCTGAGTTACGAGAATCCCTTGAACCTGGGAGGCGGAAGTTGCAGTGAGCTGAAATCATGCCACTGCACTCCAGCCTGGGCAACAGAGCAAGACTCTGTTAAAAAAAAAAAAAATAGCGAGAGATCGAGAGAGAGTGCACGTGAGAAGACTAGTAGTTGCTATGGACTGGGGGAGAAGGAACGGGTTACAGGGTTTCTTTTGGGGATAACGAAAATGTTCTAAAACTGGACTGTGGTGATAACTGCACAACTCTGTGAATGTACTAAAAACTACTGAACTGGCCAGGCACAGTGGCTCACACCTGTAATCCCAGCACTTTGGGAGGCCCTGAGATGGGCAGATCACTTGAGGTCAGGAGTTCCAGACCAGTCTGGCCAACATGGTGAAACCACATCTCTACTAAAAATATTTTTAAAAATTAGCCAGGCATGGTGGTGCACCTGTAATCCCAGCTACTTGGGAGGCTGGGGCATGAGAATCATTTGAAACCAGGGGGTGGAGGTTGCAGTGAGCCGAGATCACACCACCGCACTCCAGCCTGGGCGACAGAGCCAGACTCTGTCTCAAAAACAAACAAAACAAAAACAACAAAAAACACAACTGAACACATTTAAGGTGAATTCTGTGGTATGTGAACTATCTCTAAGAACTTCTTTTTATTTAAGTTGGGAAACAAAAAGATCATGTACAACAAACCAAAAACAAAAAAGTTATTTCTAACCCATGTAACATATAACAAGGATCTAGAACATGTAAATGACTCTTTCCAATCAATAAGAAGAAAAATAACCCAGTTTGTAAAAAATGTGCAAAAGACAAATATTTCATACAATAGGAAAAACTAAAATGAGATAATTTTGTATCCATTAGATGGCAAAAATTAAGAAGTCTGATGATCCTGGTAGGGGTATGTATTGGTATAATCACTTGTAGAAAGTTAAATATGCACATACTTTATGATCTAAGTGACCTCACTCCTAAGTATATACATGAGAGAAACTCTTATGCACATATATATGCAGGAATGTCTGCATAATGTTGTTCATGCCAGCAAAAATTTGGAAACAATGAAATATCAATAGGAAAATGGATAATTTATGATATATTCACACAATATACATCATAGGCTAGTGAAATTATAACCACATGCAACAATATGGATATATCTTTAAAATATTTAATGAAAAAGTATGCTTGGCGCGGTAGCTCACACCTGTAATCCCAGCACTTTGGGAGGATGAGGGAGGTGGATCACCTGAGGTCATGAGTTCGAGACAAGAGCGAAACTGTCTAAAAAAAAAAAAAAAAAAAAGAGTGAAGAATCAAGCCACAGAAGGTAATTTAAAAATGTACACTCAAGATTTAAAAAGAACTACAATTCCATAAGAAAAAGGCAGGCCACAGAATAGGAAAAAGAATAAAAGACTTGTTTAGGCATTTCACAAAAGAAAGTATACAAATTTAAGTAGTTATTTAAACCACAATGCCATTCTACTATATGGGCAACCAGAAGGGCCAAAACAAAACGAACAAAAGACTACCAAGTGTTAACAAGGATTTAAGGCAACTGAAACTTCCAGTCATTGCTGGTGGGGGTATGAATTGGTACAGTCGCTTTGGAAAGCTACTGAGCAGTATGTACTAAAGCCAGACATATGCGTATTTCTGAACCAGGAGTTTCACTCCTAGGTATGTACTCAAAAGAACTGTGTACACTATGTTCACCAAAAAACAAGAATGTTTATAGCAACCCTCTTTGCATTAGTCAAAAGCTAGTAATTACCCAAAAGTTCCTGAATGGTAGAATGAATTACTAAATTGTAGTATTTTCATACAATGGAATACTATACAGCAATGAGAATGAATAAATTACAATATAAACAACAATATGGATGAACATTACATAATTTTGAATGAAAGGAGCCAGACACAAAAAAAGGATATACTGTACAATTCCATTTATACGAAGCATAAAATCAGGCAAAAATCTATAAATCTGTCCTGCCAGAAGTCAGTGGTTTTCCAGACTCGAAGGCAGGTACAAGCACAGTTAGGGTGCTGGTAACATTCTGTTTAAACTCTGTTCTGCTGGTTACATGGGTATGTTCACTTGAAAATCCATCAAGTTTTATCCTCATGGTTTGTGTACTTTTCTGTATATATGTTTCACTTCAATAAAGTTTATTTTTGGTCAAGGGCAGTGTCTCATACCTGTATTCCCAGCACTTTGAGAGGCCGAGGCAGCCCGACTGCTTAAGCCCAGGAGTTCCACAGCAGCCTGAGGAACATGGAGAAACCCTTCTCTACAATTTTTTTTCTTTTTGAGATGGGAGTCTCGCTGTGTCACCAGGCTGGAGTGCAGCGGCGCGATCTCGGCTCACTGCAACCTCCGCCTCCTGGGTTCAAGTGATTCTTCCTCAGCCTCCCAAGTAGCTGGGATTACAGGCGCATGCCACCACACCCAGCTAATTTTTTTTATTTTTAGTAGAGATGGGGTTTCACCATGTTGGCCAGGATGGTCTCCATCTCCTGACTTCGTGATCTGCTTGCCTCAGCCTCCCAAAGTGCTGGGATTACAGGCGTGAGCCACCACCCCTGGCCTACAAATTTTTTTAAAAAATTAGCTGGGCATGATGGCACTTGCCTGTCGTCCCAACCACTCAGGAGGCTGAGATGCGAGAATCACTTGAGCTCAGGTGGTGGAGGTTGCAATGAGCCGAGATTGTGCACCACTACTTCAGCCTGGGAAAAAGAGAGAGACACAGTCTAAAAAAAAAAAAAAAAAAAAGTATTTTTTAAAAAACATGAAGAAATAGAAATCTTGACTAGACCTATAATAGCTAAAACAGCCTGAGTCAGTATTTTAAAATCTACCCACCAAGAAAAACGAAATTCCAAGACCAGATGGTTTTCCTGTTCAATTCTACCAGATTTTCAAGAAACAGATTTTTATTTTATACAATCTGTGCCAGAGAAAAGAGTGACAAACTCACTTTATGAGGCTTGTGTTTTGTTGTTGTTGTTGTTGTTTTTGAGACGGAGTCTTGCTCTGTCGCCCAGGCTGGAGTGCAGTGGCGCGATCTCGGCTCACTGCAACCTCTGCCTCCCGGGTTCACGCCATTCTCCTGCCTCAGCCTCCCAAGTAGCTGAGATTATGGGCATGTGCCACCACGCCCGGCTAATTTTTGTATTTTTGGTAGAGACGGGGTTTCACTATGTTGGCCAGGCTGGTCTCGAACTCCTGATCTCAGATGATCTGCCTGCCTCAGCCTCCCAGAGTGCTGGGATTACAGGTGTGAGCCACCACACCCAGACTATGAGGCTTATTCTAATAAGACTGACCCCCAAAACAGAAAAGGACAGTTTAAGAAAGAAAATTATAGGTTACTTTCTCAATTGTGATAATAGATGTAAAATATATATGTGTATATATATATATATATATATTTAAACACTTTTAGCAAAAACAAAATTAAAGAATAAATCAGTTGATGTAATTTACTGCATTAATAGATTAAAGGAGAGATTTAGGACTGTAGTTCTCTTGTCTGGTAAAACATACATATGCATACACATATACAAAAATTTCACATGTTAAGTGTGTGTCAATGCATTCTACAGTACTGTTTCTAAAAGCAAAATATTTGATATAACCTAACTGCCCAGCAACAGGAGAAATGATAGATACTTACACAATGGATTAATAAAAGCAGTTCAAATGAATGTACTAAAGCTAACGTATCAATCAAATTACAAAAATATGTAAATTTTGACATCAAAATCATAAAATGTTGAGGGGGAGTAAAAGTATAGTTTTTGATTGCTATTAAAATGTTAAGTTGTTATCAGCTTAAAATAGCCTGTAGTAAGTAAAAGATGTTTTATGTTATCCCCATGGTAACCACAAAGCCAAAACCTAAAAAGAAAGGATTCAAATCATACCACCACAGAAAACCATCAAATCACAAAGGAAGACAGCAAGAGAGGAAGAAACAAAGGCTCTACAAAATAACCAGAAAACTACAAAATGGCAGTAGCAAATATCAATTATTACCTTAAGTGTAAATGGATAAAACAAACAAACAAACAAACATGCCAGATGTGGAGGCTCACACCTGTAATCCCAGCATTTTGGGAGCCGAGGCAGGTGGATCACGAGGTCAGGAGTTCGAGACCAGACTGCCCAAAGAGACCAGCCTGGCCAACATGGTGAAACCCCATCTCCACTAAAAATACAAAAAGTAGCCGGGCGTGGTGGCGGGCGCCTGTAATCCCAGCTACTCAGAAGGCTGAGGCAGGAGAACTGCTTAAACCCAGGAGGCGGAGGTTGCAGTGAGCCAAGATTACGCCATTGCACTCCAGCCTGGGCGACAGAGTGAGACTCCAAATCAAAAACAAATGAAAAACAGACCCAACTATATACTAGCTACGAGAGGCAGTAGGGATACATATAGACTGAAAGTGAAGAAATGGAAAGAGATATTCCAGGTAAATGGACACTAAAAGAAAGCTAGAGTGGTAGCTATATATATATATATATATATATACAGAGTGGTAGACAAAACAGACTAAGTCAAAAACTGTAAACTGAGACAAAGAAGGTCATTATATAATGATAAAATGGTCAATTCATCAAGGGGATATAGCTATTATAAATATATATGCACCTAATGTTAGAGCACCTAAACATATAAAGCAATTACTAATTAATATGAGAGGAGAGACTGAAATGCAGTAACAGTAGGAGACTTCAATACCCCACTTGCAACAATGAACACATTATCCAGACAAAAAATACAGAAACATTGGACTTGAATTATACTTTAGACCAAACAGATCTGGCATATACAGAACATTCCATCCAATAGCAACAGAATAAACATTATTCTCAAGCACATGCAGAATATTCTCCAGGATCATATGTTAGAGGTCATACAATAAGACTTTAAAAATGTAAGCGGAGGCCAGGTGTGGTGGCTCATGCCTGTAATCCCAGCACTTTAGGAGGCTGAGGCAGGTGGATCACTTGAGGTCAGAAGTTCAAGACCAGCCTGGCCAATGTGGTGAAACCCCATCTTTACTAAAAATACAAAAAATTAGCCAGGTGTGTTGGTGGGCGCCTGTAATCCCAGCAACTTGGGAGGCTGAGGCAGGAGAATCACTTGAACCTGGGAGGCAGAAGTTATGGTTAGCAGAGATCACACCATTGGACTCCAGCCTAGGCAACAAGAGCAAAACTCCATCTCAAAAAAAAAAAAATAAGAGGATTGAAATCATATTAGGTACTTTTCCAATCACAATGGCATTAAACCAGAAATTAATAACAGGGGAAATCATGGGAAATTCATAAATATGTAGAAATTAAACAGTATGCTCCTGAATCACCAATGGGTCCAAAAATAAATCAAAAAGGAAATCATAAAATACCTTGAGACACATGAAAATGGAGACATAACATACAAAAACTCATGATATGCAGCAAAAGCAGTTTTTTTTGTTTGTTTTTTCTTTTGAGACCTGGTCTCACTGTCACCCAGGCTGGAGTACAGTAGCATGATCATGGCTCACTGCAGCCTCAACCTCCTGGGTTCAAGTAATCCTCCCATCTCATCCTCCCAAGTAGCTGCAACTACAGGTATGTGCCACTATGTCTAGGTAATTTTTTCAATTTTTGTAGAGACAGGGTTTCACCATGGCTGGTCTCTAACTACTGGGCTCAAGCCTTGGCCCCTCTAAGTGCTGGGATTAATGACGTGAGTCATCACACCCAGCCAACAAAAGCAGTTCTAAGAGGGAAATTTATAGCAATAAACACCTATATCAGAAAAGAAGAAAGGCATCACATTACCTGACTTTAAAATATACTATAAAACTATAGTAACCAAAACAGTATGGTACTGGTATAAAAACAGACACATAGGCCAATGGAACAGAATAGAGAACCCAGAAATAAATACATGTATTTACAGCCAACTGATTTTTCTTTCTTTTTCTTTTTTTGTTTTTTTTTTTGAGACAGAGTCTCGCTCCATCACCCAGGCTGGAGTGCAGTGGCGCGATCTTGGCTCACTGCAAGTTCCGTCTCCTGGGTTCACACCATTCTCCTGCCTCAGCCTCCTGAGTAGCTGGGGCTACAGGCACCCACCACCACGCCCGGCTAATTTTTTTTTATATTTTTAGTAGAGACGGGGTTTCACCGCAGTCTCGATCTCCTGACCTCGTGATCCGCCCACCTCGGCCTCCCAAAGTGCTGGGATTACAGGCATGAGCCACTGCGCCCAGCCCAGCCAACTGATTCTTCAAAAGGTGCCAAGAACATACCATGGGGAAAGGACACCTGCTTCAATAAATTGTACTGGAAAACTGGATATCCATATGCAGAAGAATAAAACCAGACCCCCATCTCTCACCACATTAAAAAAAAAAATCAACTCAAACTGGATTAATGACTTAAACATAAGACCTGAAACGATAAAACTACTAGAAGATAACACAAAGAAAATGCTTCAGGATATTGGTCTAAGCAAAGATTTTATGGCTAAGGCCTTAAAAGCACAGGCAACAAATTGAAAAACAGACAAATGGGACTATGTTAAACTAAAAAGCTTCTGCATAGCAAAGAAAGCATTCAACAGAATGAAGAGACAACCTGTAAAATGGGGAAAATATACTTGCAAACTATTCATTTGATAAGGTACTAATATCCAGAATATACAAGGAACTCAAACAACTCAACAACAACAAAAAAAGAAATAATCCCATTAAAAAGTGGGCAAAGGGCCAGGCGTGGTGGCTCACACCTGTAATCCCAGCACTTTGGGAGGCAGACGCGGGCGAATCACTTGAGGTCAGAAGTTTGAGACTAGCCTGAGCAGCATGGTGAAATCTCATCTCTGCTAAAAATGCAAAACGTAGCCAAGCATGGTGGCACACCCCTGTAGTCCCAGCTACTCGGGAGGTTGAGGTGGGAGAATCCCTTGAACCTGGGAAGCAGAGGCTGCAGTGAGCTGAGATCACATGACTGCACTCCAGCCTGGGCAACAGAGCGAGACTCTGTCTCAAAAAAATCAGTACAATACAATAAAAAAAAAGTGTGCAAAGGACATGAATACACATTTCTCAAAAGATGACAAATAGCCAACAGCTATATGAAAAAATGTTCAACATCACTAATCATCTGACAAATGCAAATCAAAGCCACCCTGAGGCCGGGTGCGGTGGCTCACGCCTGTAATCCCAGCACTTTGGGAGGCCGAGGCGGGTGGATCACGAGGTCAGCAGATCGAGACCATCTTGGCTAACCCGGTGAAACCCCGTCTCTACTAAAAATACAAAAAAATTAGGCGGGTGCGGTGGCGGGCACCTGTAATCCCAGCTACTCAGGAGGCTGAGGCAGGAGAATGGCATGAACCCGGGAGGCGGAGCTTGCAGTGAGCCGAGATAGTGCCACTGCAGTCCAGCCTGGGCAAAAGAGCGAGACTCCGTCTCTTAAAAAAAAAAAGCCACCCTGAAATATCATCTCACCTCAGTTAGAATGCAAAAAGATGAAAAATAACAAATACTGGCAAGGATACAGAGAAAAGGGAACTCTTATATGCTGTTGGTGGGAATGTAAATTAGTACAACCGTTATGGAAAACCAGCATGCAGATTCCTCAGAGAACTAAAAATAGAACTATTATATGATCCAGCAATCCACTACTGGGCATTTATCCAAGGGAAAGAAAATCATATCCAAGGGATACCTGCACCCTCATGTTTATTGCAGCACTATTCACGACATCCAAGATACGAGCTGGCCATAGTAGCTGCTTGTGCCTGTAATCCCAACATTTTTGGAAGGTCAAGACAAGGAGGATCACTTGAGGCCAGTAATTGGAGACCAGCTAGGGCAACATAGTGAGATTCTGTCTCTACAAAAAAGAATTAAAAACTCAGCTGGGCATGGTGGCCTATGCCTGTAGTCCTAGCTACTCGGGAAGCTGAGGTGGGAGGATCTCTTAAGCCCAGGAATTTGCGGTTGTAATGGAGCCATGATTTCACCACTTGCACTCTAGCCTTGGGCAACAGAGAGAGACCCTTTTTTTTTTTTTGAGATAGGGTTTCCCTCTGTCACCCAGACTGGAGTGCAGTGGCATGGTCTCGGCTCACTTTAGCCTCGACCTTTCTGGGCTCAAGTGATCCTCCCACCTCAGCCTCCTGAGTGGCTGGGACTACAGGCACATGCCACAATACCCAGCTAATGTTTATTTTTTGTAGAGACGGGGTGTCACTATGTTGCTCAGGCTGGTCTCAAACTCCTGGGCTCAAGTGATCTGCCTGCCTTGGCCTCACAAAGTGCTGGGATTACAGGTGTGAGCCACTGCAACTGGCCGACTCTGTCTCTTCCCCGCCCCCGCCAAAAAAAAGGAATATTCTTCATTCCTAAAAAGAATGAAATCTCATCATCTGCAGTAACATGGATGGAACTGAAGGTCGTCATGTTAAGTGAAATAAGCCAGGCACAGAAAAACAAATGTTGCATGTTCTCACTCATATGTGAGGCCTAAAAAAAGTTCATCTCATGGAGGTAAAGAGATAGTTACCAGAGGCTGGGAACAACTTGGGGAGGATAAAGAGAGAGGCTGGTTAATAGATACAAACGTGGATAGAAGGAATAAGTTCTAGTGTTTGACAGCATAATAGAGTCACTATAGTTGACAATAACTGCATATTATTTGTATATTTCAAAATAGCTAGAAGATTGGAAATATTTCCAACTCAAAGAAATGATAAAGGTTTGAGGTGATGGAAACCTTAAATACCCCAATTTGGTTCTTTTGTTTGTTTGTTTTGAGATGGAGGTTTGCTCCGTTGCCCAGGCTGGAGTACAAAGGCGCCATCTCAGCTCACTGCAACCTCCACCTCCCTGGTGCAAGTGATACTCGTGCCTCAGCCTCCCGAGTAGCTGGGATTACAGGCGCCCGCCACCAAGCTTGGCAAATTTTTGTATTTTTAGTAGAGATGGGGTTTCACCACACTGGCCAGGCTAGTCTTGAACTCCTGACCTCAGGTGATCCACTAGCCTTGACCTCTCAAAGTGCTGAGATTACAGGTGTGAGCCACCATGCCCAGCCAAAATATCCCAATTTGATCAGTACATATTGTATACATGTATCAAAATACCACATGTACCTTGTATGTACAATTATTATGTATTAATTTTAAAAACAATTTCAGAAAAAGAAGATCTCAACAATCTAACATTACATCCCAAGGCACTAGAGAAAGAACAGACGAAGCCCAAAATTAGCAGAAGGAGGGAAATAACAAAGATCAAAGCAGAAATAAACAAGGACTAGAAAAACAACAACAACAAAATCAATGAAACTAAGAGTTGTTTTTTTAAAAGATAAACACAATTGACAAACTATTAGCTAGACTAAGAAAAAAAGACAACTCAAAATCAGAAATGAAGCCGAGTACAATGGCTCATGCCTGTAATCCCAGCACTTTGGGAGGCCAAGGCAGGTGGATCACTTGAGGTCAGGAGTTCAAGACCAGCCTGGCCAACACAGTGAAACCCCCATCTCTACTAAAAATAAAAACACTAGCTGGGCATAGTGGCACACACCTGTAGTTCTAGCTAGTTGGGAGGCTAAGGCAGGAGAATCACTTGAATCCAGGAGGCGGAGATTGCAGTGAGCCAAGATCGTACCACTGCACTCCAGCCTGGGCAATAGAACGAGACTCCATCTCAAAAAACAGCAGAAACAAAAGAGGACACATTACAATTCATAACACAAATATAAAGGATCCTAAGAAACTACTATAAACAATTATACATCAACAAATTGGATAGTCTAGAAGAAATGTATAAACTCCTAGGTACATACAACCTACTAAGACTGAATTATGGAGAAATAGGAAATCTGAAAAGGCAAGGCATGGTGGCTCATGCCTGTAATCCCAACAGTCTGGGAGGCCAAGTGGGTGGCTTGATTGAGCCCAGGAGTTTAAGACCAGCCTGGGCAATATAGTGAGACCCCATCTCTACAAAAGATACAAAAATTAGCCAGGCATGGTGGCATGTGCCTGTAGTCCCAGCTACTAGGGAAGCTGAGGTGGGAGGATCAGTTGAGCCCAGGAGAAGGTTGCAGAATAGATCAATTACAATGAAATTGAATTAGTAATAAAGTCTCCCATCAAAGAAAAGCTCAGGACCAGACTACTTCACAGCTGAATTCTACCCAACATTTAAAGAAGATCTAGTACCAATCCTTCTCAAACCCTTCCAATAAATTGAACCAGAGAGAATTTTATGAGGCCAGCAATACCCTGATACTAAAGCCAGACAAGGACAGTACAAGAAAAGAAAATTACAAGGCAAGAGCCCTGATGAACATAGATGCAAAAATCCTCAACAAAATAGTAGCAAATCAAGTTCAACATCATATTTTTTATTTTATTTTTTGAGATAGAGTCTCACTCTGTCACCCAGGCTGGAATACAATGGTGCAGACCTCCACCTCCTGGATTCAAGTGATTCTCCTGCCTCAGCCTCCTGAGTAGCTGGGACTACAGGTGTGTGCCACCACGCCAGGCTAATTATTTTGTATTTTTAGTAAAGACAAGTTTTCACCATGTTGTCCAGGCTGGTCTCGAACTCCTAACCTCAAGTGATCCACTTGCCTCGGCCTCCCAAAGTGCTGGGATTACAGGAATGAGCCACCACATCCAGCCACTCACCACTTCTTTTCAGCATAGTACTGGAATTCCTAGCCAGAGCAATTAGGCAAGAGAAAGAAATAAAAGGCACGCCAATAGGAAAAGAAAAAGTGAAATTCTCTGTTTGCTGAGGACACGATCTTATATAGAGAAACCCCTAAAAACTCCACCAAAAAACTGTTAGAACTGAAATGAATTCCATAAAGTTGCAGGATACAAAATCAACATATAAAAATCAGTAGCTTTTTTTTTTTTTTTTTTGGTGAGACAGGGTCTTGCTCTGTCACCCAGGCTGGAGTGCAGTGGCAAAATCACAGCTCACTGCAGCCTCAACCTCCTGGGCTCAAGCGATCCTCCCACATCAGCCTCTGGAGTAGCAGGTGTGCACCACTATACTTGGCTATTTTTTTTTTAATTTTATGTAGAGACAGGGTCTCCCTATGTTGTCCGGGCTGGTCTTGAACTCCCGGACTCAAGCAATCCTCCCACCTCTGCCTCCCAAAGCGCTGGGATTACAGGTATAAGCCACTGCATCCGGCTACAGTGGCATTTCTATACATTACTGACAAACTATCCAAAAAAGAAATTAAGAAAATAATCCCATTTGCAATAGCAAAAACAACAAAAACTACTTAGGTGTAAATTTAACCAAGGAGGTGAAAGATACTGAAGACTATACGTATTGAAGAAAGAAACTGAAGAAAATGCAAATAAATGGAAAGATATCCTGTGTTCTTGGATTTGAAAAATTAACATTGCTAAAATGTCCATACTACGTAAAACAATCTACAGATTCAATGCAATCCCTATCAAAATTCCAATGAAAATTTTACAGAAATAGAAAAAAATCCTTAAATTTATATGCAATGACAAAAGACCTCAAATTGCCAAAACAATCAGGCCAAAAGAACAAAGCTGGATGCATCGCACTCCCTGATTTCAAAATATGTTATTACATAAAGCTATTATAATCAAAACAGCATGTTCTGGCATAAAAACCGAACTGTAGACCAGTGGAACAGGATGGAATGCTCAGAAATAAACCCATGCATTTATGGTCAAATGATTTTCCACAAAGGTGCCAAGAACATACAATAGGGCAAGGACAGTAAATAAATGGTGTCAGGAAAACTGGATATTCACAGGCAGAAGAATGAAAGTGGATCCTTATATCATAAACAAAAACCGGCTCAAAATGGATTAAAGACTTCAATATAAGACCTGAAACTATAAAACAACTAAAAGTAAACATGGAGACGCTACACAGCGTTGGCCTAGACAATGATTATTTTGGATGTAACCCTAAAAGCACAGGCAATAAAAGCAAAAATAGACAAAGGGAATTGCATCAAATGTAAAAGCTTCTGCACAGCAAAGGAAACAATTAACAAAGGGAAGAGATAACACAAAGAATAGGTGAAAATATTTGCAAACCATACATCTGATAAGCAGTTAATATCTAAAATATATAAGAAACTCAACTCATTAGCAAGAAAACAAATAAGCTGATTTTAAAATGGGCAAAGAACCAGAACAGATATTTCTCAAGACATACAAATGTCCAGTGGGTTCATGACAAAAATGTTCAACATCATTAAGCATTAAGGAAATAGAAATTAAAACCACAATGAGCTATCACTTCACACCTGTTAGAATGGCTACTATCAAAAAGATGAAAGTTAACAAGTGTTGGCAAAGATGTGGACATAAAGGAATCCTGTACTTTGTTGGTGGGAATGTAAATTAGTACTGTCATTATGGAAAATGGTATAAAGATTTAAACAACTAAAACTAAGCCAGGTGTGGTAACACATGCCTGTAGTCTCAGATACTTGGGAGGCTGAAGTGGGAGGAACGCTTGAGCCTGGGAGTTCAAGGCTGCAGTGAGCTATGATTGTGCCACTGTACTCCAGCCTGGGTGACAGAGCAAAACCCAGTCTTTAAAAACAATAACATCAACAAAAAAAAAACCCTACCACCAGCAATCTGACTTGTGGATATACGTCCAAAGGAATGGAAATCAATACATTGAAGGGATATCTACATGCCCATGCTCATTGCAGTATTGTTCACAATAGTCAAGATATGGAATCAAACTAAGTGTCTGTCAGTGGATAAATGAATAAAGAAAACATGATATATTTGGAATACTATTCAGCCTTTAAAAAGGAAATTCTGCCATTTGCAACAGCATGGGTGGAACTGGAGGACATTATGCTAAGTGAAATAAGCCAGGCACAGAAAGACAAATACTGCACGATTTCACTTATATGTGGAATCTATTGAACTCACTGAAGTAGAGAGTAGAATGGTGGTTACCACAGGCTGGGGAGGGGAGTGAGGAATCAGGAGTTTTTGGTCAAAGGGTATAAAGTTTCAGTGAGGAAGTTTGAGATCTATTGCGTGGCAGAGTGGCTATCGTAAATAAAAGGTATTGTGTATTTCAAAATAGCTGAGCAAATTTCAAATGCCTCACCACAAAAAATAAGTGAGGTGAGGAATATGTTAGCTTGATTTAATCATTCCACATTTTGTGTGTGTGTGTGTGTATATATATGTATATATGTATGTGTGTGTATATATATGTATATATGTATATGTATATGTATATATGTATATATGTGTATATATGTATATATGTATATGTATATATGTATATGTATATATGTATATGTATATATGTATATATGTATATGTATATATGTATATGTGTATATGTATATGTATATATGTATATGTATATATGTATATTATATATGTATATGTATATATATGTATATATGTATATGTATATATGTATATGTATATAATCTCTCAAAACATCACATTGCACCCCATTAATGTATAAAATTTTGATTTATCAATTAAAAATAATATTAATGAGTTTAAAAGCTAATGTATTGATGGATTAATATCATTAAAGATAACATTGAAGAGAAAAAACAGCTATAGAAGAATAAGTTCAGTATGATACTACATTTAGAGAACATGCAAAACAGAAAATGCAAACATTTGTGGAAAAGAATACATGGGAATAATATACACCGAATTCGGGTAATGGTTACATCAGGAAACGGAAGGGAGCGGGATCATTAAAGACACACAGGGGGCTTTTCTTTTATACAGTATTATATTATTTTATTTTAGGCAGGGTTTCTCTCTGTTGCTTAGGCCGGAGCGCAGTGGCACTATCTCAGCTCGCTGCAGCCTCAACCTCCCAGGCTCAAGAGATCCCCCCACCTCAGCCCCTCGAGTAGCTGGGACCACAGGTATGCACCACCATGCTCTGCTAACTTCTGTATTTTTTTGTAGAGATGGGGATTCGCCATGTTGCCCAGGCTGGTCTCCAACTCTTGAGCTCAAGCAATCCTCCTGTCTCAGCCTCCCAAAGTGCTGGGACTACAGGCGTGAGCCACTGCTCCTGGCCTGTATTTTATTTCTTTACCTAGGTGGCAAATAGCATGAATACTTACTCCGTTCAGATTCCTGTGCCTGAAGTATTTCATTGTTTTAAAAAACACTCTTTCTAGAAACCAATGATTTGAGGAGGGTTGAAGGAGTTAGATATTGTTAGCATATGGTTGCCATTTCCAAATATTTGAAGGAACATGTATAAGAAAAAAAGGTATTCTGTTTGCTAATGCATATGTACAAGCATGTGTTAACTGTAAGCCACATACATATTGCTATCACTGCTTCAGAGGACAGATTTAGGACAAATGGGAAGACACTACAAGGAGGCAGGTAGATTTGGGCTCAATATAGACATGTTTAACAATCAGAGGCAGCACAATGTCAGAGACGAGAGCAAGACGGTTTGGAGCCAGCCTGCCTGGGTTCAGATCTTGGCTCTGCTCTTTGTAGGCAGTATGATTTGGGGCAAATTATTTAACCTCTCTGTGCCTGTTTCCTATTCTGTAAAATGGGAATAATACAGAGTGCCTACCTCGTAGGCTAGAATAAGGATTAAATGGTTGATTATTTGTAAAGTGCTTAGAACAGTGCCTGATACATAATAAACACTATGTAAGTGTTCGTAAAATAAATCTAACAAAGAATCTAGCAAATGAAGAGCCTGCCTTGTAAAGCAGTAAACTCTTCAAGGGCTCATGCAAAGGCTGGATAAATCTCTTTTAAGGATGGTGCAGGGATATCCTTCCCTTCTAGTCTACAGATGTATGCTTCTTAAACTTCATTATGCACAGAAACCACAGAGGGATCATATTAAAATGCAGATTCTAAGCCAATGAGCCTGAGGTGGGGCCTGAGATTCTTTTTTTTCTTTTTTCTGAGACGGAGTCTCGTTCTGTCATCCAGGCTGGAGTGCAGTGGCACGATCTCAGCTCACTGCAACCTCCGCCTCCCAGGTTCAAGTGATTCTCCTGCCTCAGCCTCCTGAGTAGCTGGGACTACAGGCACATGCCACCACGCCTGGCTAATTTTTTTTTGTATTTTTAGTAGAGATGGGGTTTCACCATGTTGGTCAGGATGGTCTCAATCTCCTGACCTCATGATCTGCCCACCTCAGCCTCCCAAAGTGCTGGGATTACAGGTGTAAGCCACCATGCCCGGCCTGAGATTCTTTATTTCTAACAAGTGGTGCCAATGCTACGGTTCTCCTGAGGACCACACCTTAAGTAGCAAAGCTCTAGATGGTTTTATTCCTACTGTCATGCATCATAATTTCAAAGATGCTTAGTTTTTTATTGTTGTTTTTTTTTTTTTGAGACCGAGTCTCACTCGCTCAGGCTAGAGTACAGTGGCCCAATATCGCTCACTGCAACTTCTGCCTCCTGGGTTCAAGCAATTCTCCTGCCTCAGCCTCCTGAGTAGCTGAGATTACAGGTGCATGCCACCACACCCAGCTAATTTTTTTGTATTTTTAGTAGAGACGGGGTTTCACCATGTTTGCCAGGCTGGTCTCAAACTCCTGACCTCAGGTGATCTGCCCGCCTCGGCCTCCCAATGTGCTGGGATTATAGATGTGAGCCACCATGCTCAACCTCACAGATGCTTAGTTCTTACCTCTGATGAATCTTCAATTTGCAGCAAATTCTAAACACAGTTCTCTTTCGAAACCAACTTTTGACCCCTTAATTAACCAATAATAGTTTGATTACTAAAAGAACTAAGTTTTTTTTTTTTTTTTTTTTTTAGAGATGGGGTTTTGCCATGTTGCCAGGGCTGCTAGCTTGAACTCCGGGACTCAAGTGATCCTCCTATCTCAGCCTCCCAAAGTGCTGGGATTACAGGCGTGAGCCACTGCACCCAGCCTAGGAGTAAGAATTTATAGGAGGTTTGGGGTGATGTTTTATATAAACATATATTTCCATACTGCACATAATTACTTTTTTTTTTTTAAGAGATGGAGTCTTGCCCTGTCATCCAAGCTGGAGTGCAGAGGAGCAATCATAGCTCACTATAGTCTCTAACTCCTGGCCCCAAGTGATCCTTCCACGTCAGCCTCCACAATTGCTGGAATTATTAATACAAGAGGGAGCCACTGAGCTCAGCAATAATTATAATTTTTATATTCAATTCAGATTTTTGTCATTTGGATTTTCTTAAAGCAGAAACATCTATATGAGAAATAAAAATAGTAAAATATAAGGGAGGCAGTTCCTGCACTGTTCGGGAATCTACATTAGAGTCTGCATTTGATATAATAGAGAAGAGGATGCCACTCTAGATTCCCAAGCAAGGAAGTGAGAGAAGAAAAACCATGTTTGGGAGCAGGATAAATTGGAAAGGAGAATGTTGAGACTCGAAGTGAAAACACAAAATACAGAACTGATAATTTTGTTAAAGTGTGGAGGTATGGTTCTGAGAGCTGCTAATGAGGAAGACCAGTGGGATTCACATCTTAGAATACATTAATTCAACAATAAGCTGAAGAGGCAAATTAGACTTCGGTGGACTCTGGTGAATCCTACTGGGCTCCGGTGGGAGTCTCAACCATTTGATATGACATAACTGGACCTCCAGGTACAATTTGAAATATGAGTATGTTCTGAGACTGATCGTTAACACCGTGATCCAGAACAGAAACCCACAGAATGGCTTGCTACTTGGGGATGGTTGATATGAGTTCCGGTGGTTTGGTCTAAATTATACTCCATGCTTTCTTTCCTTCAGGAAATCTTTATTGATCATAGTCGACTTAGAACCATAGGGACCCCAGCGTTTTTCTAGGCCTGGCTGCATACAGGAATTGAATCTTGTGGCTAGTATGTACCTACTCTTTTGGGGCTTGGTCACAAAGTGGTTCACGGTTATTCAACATAAAGCTATCAGAGGCTGGGCATGGTGGCTGATGCTTGTAATCCCAGCACTTTAAGGGGCCAGGGTGGGAGGGTCCCTTGAGCCCAGGAGTTCAAGACCAGCATGGGCAGCATAGTGAAACCTCATCTCTACTTTAAAAAAAAAAAAAAAAAAATTGGTGGCACATGCCTGTAGTCTCAGCTACTTGGGGAGGATCAGTTGAGTTGGAGGCTGCAGCGAGCTGGGATTGCACCACTGATGGCACTCCAGCCTGGGCAACAGAGCAAGGCCCTGTCTCAGAAACAATTTTAAGCTGTTGGAACCAACTTCTGCTGCTGCTGCTTCTAGGAGCACAATTTGCAGTATCCTTAGATCTTAGATCTGAAATAGCCACTGAGTGGAGAGAAAATAGAGAGGCAGTGAACAGTATATTTTATTTCTTTGTTCCTCTACTTGTCTAGGTCAAAGTGGAGAGTTTCCTGGTCTATATTTTTTAAAAGTAGGGCATAAGCCAGGGAGAGACAGGAGAAATAGGGATTCAAGCAGATAATTCTGGAGTTTTCTTTAAAATTGGATTACTTTTAACAGTTTGTTTTTACTCACCACCACTGCACAGAGGTTGTATTTAGGATATTTCCGGAAAATTGAGCAAATATAAGGAGTGAGGTCCAAGTTAGTGAGTGGGTAATGAATATCCGTTCTCAGCTTCCTTTTTGTTGTACCCTGAATGTCAAACCTGCAGGTATAATAAATGTGTGAAATACAAAGTAAGCTTGTGAACCACTCATTTGTCTACATGACAAATTCCGAGTATTTTAAAAGTAATTTCTTGACTGGGCACAGTGGCTCATGCCTGTAATCCCACAACTTTGGGAGGCCAAGGTGGACATATCCCTTGAGCCTAGGAGTTTGAGACCAGCCTGAGTAACATGGCAAAACCCCGTCTCTACATAAAATTCTCACCTGTAGTCCCAGCTACTCAGGAGGCTAAGGTAGGAGGATCACCTGAGCATAGGGAGGCTGAGGCTGCAGTGAGTCGTGATTGTGCCACTGCACTCCAGCCTGGGTGACAGAGTGAGACCCTGTCTCTAAAAAAAAGGAACTTCTGGCCTGGCAAGGTGGCTCACGCCTGTAATCCTAGCACTTTGGGAGGCTGAGGCGGGTGGATCACTTGAGGTCAGGAGTTAGAACCAGCTTGGCCAATATGGTGAAACCTCGTCTCTACTAAAAATGCAAAAAAATTAGCCGGGCATGGTAGTGGATGCCTGTAATCCCAGCTACTCGGGAGGCTGAGGCCGGAGAATTGCTTGAACCTGGGAGGCGAAGGTTACAGTGAGCTGAGATCGCACCACTGCACTCCAGCCTGGGTGACAGAGCGAGACTCCTTTCCAAAAATAAAAAATAAAAAAAAAAAGTAATTTCCTGGAAAGATTATTTGGTACAGACTTATAAATTACTTTTTTCTTATCTATTTAAATACCGCATCCACAAGCCTCACCAAAATGAGACTGGAATTTGAATCAAGGAGTGAGATAGCAAAGATTCAAGCTAAACTGAATCTAGCAGGGCAAAAAGAAAGGGATAACCAAGGCTCAACATTGGGGGAAGCAGAAACCCCATTGATAATTCCTGAGGCTTTTGCTCCAGCTGAGCCTATTTATTCTAACCAAGCTAGCTCAGCTTTTCCTTATCTTGTTTTCAGCACAGGTAGTCTTGGCAATGTCCTGTTTTCAAGCTCTGAGTTTTTGTTTGTTTTTTTTTAATGTTTTAATAAGAACATTTTGTGAAAATCTTTCACATTCTGTATTGTTACATGGATCCTAAGTTTGTAAATCTGGGCTCACATCAGAGTTACTCAGAAGCTTTTAAAAATATAATTATGTTCATTTTGGAAAAATGGCTGATGGAGGTCTGAGGCCGGGAAATTACCGCGACTGAGACATTCTTGTGTCAGAAAGCAAGATACCCTGTTTTCAAAAAACTAAGGGAATGCCATGTGATCCAGCAATTCTGTACCTAGGTATCATCCCAAGAGAAATGAAGCCTTAGGCCCACATAACAAGCTATCTGCTAGTATTTGTAGAAGTTGTATTCCTAACTATGCAAAACTGTAAACAACCCAAACGTCCATCAACTGGTGGAGACATAAGCAACTATGGTACACTCACAAAAAGGAATAGCACACAGCAATAAAAAAGGCACTACTAATGCACGCAACAACACAAAAGAATCATGCTAAGTGAAAGAAAAACTCTGAAAGCTACATACAGTATGACATAGCACGTTCTGGAAAACAAAATTATAGGGACGGAAATCAGATCAACAATTTCTATAGGCTTAGGGAGGAGAATGATTAGAGAGGAGCATGAGATAACTTTTTGGGGTGATGGAAATGGTTTATATGTTGGTTGTAATGGTTACATGACTGCATGCATTTGTCAGAGTTCATAGAACTGTGCACCTAAAAATGATACATTTTAGGTAAGCATACCCTAATAAACTAATGGGGCCCCAGGAGCTGACTTGAAGGGGCTCCCACTGGCCAATTTTGAACAATTTGAACACCAAAAGCAATGATGAGAGACATCTAGTTTTCAGTTCAACACGTAAGGAAACTTTGAAGTCACCATTCTGTCCTAACAAGTTAAAAGCTAAATAAAGCTTTTGGTTATTTTCCTTCCCTCAGGAAGGAAAGAATTAACCGAAAGGAAAATAAACAGCTCTTCTTAGAGCTGAAAGAGCAGTGAGGTCACAGGACAAACCACTGCCCCCAAAACTGGAAAAACAGACCAGCAAACATAGAGAATCACAGACTTACCAGAGCCAAAACTGCCGAGCAGAAACCTCTGAGGGAACAGGTCTGCGTAGGAAAACCTGAACTGTAATTGATGAATTGCTAGAGGCTCAGTGCAGAGTCTGAGAGTTAAAAACTCCAAAGAATCCAGTCACAGGGGGACCACACTTTGTGAATTTTCCTTCCAGGAGCCCAACCACACTCGCACGGTAAATATTAGAGACAAATCTCCTCATGCTTCTGGCAAGAAGAAGGGAAAGAAACCATTCTGAAATAGGCTAAAGCACCCTGTTCGTAAAGCCTGCCCACAGGAGAAACTCATTAACCAGAGCCTAACCTGCTGGGGTCTTATCAGAGCTTAACTAACCTGGGAGAAGGAAAACACCCAACTCCAGCCCACTCTAGCCATCCTGTTCCACCGAAGCGGGTGTGGAGGGACTGAGCAGCGCTTGTGAAGTTCGTAGTCTGGAGGCTGAAGTTCATTAAAAGACCGAGACCCACTCATAGGATTATGGAACGCTTCCCCTCCCCCTCCGCCTTACCACCCCATCATTAAGGTCTATTTAAGTCAGTTTCTCTTACCCAGTTCATCATATCTGGCTATCAGGAAAAAATTACAAGGCATACTAAAAGGCAAAACACACAGTTTGAAGAGACAGTAAGCATCAGAACCAGATAGCGCAGGGGTGTGGGAATTTTCAGACTAAGAATTTAAAACTGATCAACACACTAAGGGTTCTAACGAATAAAGTAGACAGCATGCAAGAACAGACGGTCAATGTAAGCAGAGACTTGGAAATCCTAAGAATGAACGAATGAACCAAAAGAAATGCTAGAGGTATCCTTGTTAGTACAGTGGTTAGTTTCTTTTCTTTTCTTTTAACTACTAGAGGAAAAAACTGCATCTTCTAACATGTGAAGAATGCCTCTGATGGGCTCATTAGTAGACTGGACACAGCTGAAGAAAGAATCTCTGAGCTTGAGGAACCTCAGTAGAAACTTTTAAAACTGAAAAGAAGAAAGAAAAAAGACTGGCCGGTCAGGCGCAGTGGCTCACGCCTGTATCCCAGCGCTTTGGGAGACCAAGGTGGGAGAATCGCTTGAGCCCAGGAGTTTGAGACCAGCCTGGGCAACAAAGTAAAAGCCCCTCCCCCTGCCCCCACCATGCCTCCTAAAAAAAAAAGAAACAAAGAAAATAGACTAAAAAAAAAAAAAAAGCACAACAATATCCAGGGACTGTGGGACAACTACAAAGATGTAACATCTGTGTAATGGCAATACCAAAAGAAAAAGAACAGAAAAAATATTTGAAACAATAATGACTGAGAATTTTCCCAAATTAATGCCATACACCAAACCACAGATACAGGAAGCTCAGAGAACACCAAGAAAGATAAATACCAGAAAAATGACACCTAAGCATTTCATTTTCAAACTGCAGAACATCAAAGATAAAGAAAAAAATCCTAAAAGAAGCCAGAGTGGGGGGGAAAAAAACACACCTATAGAGGAGCAAACATAAGAATTACATCTAACTTCTCAGAAACCATGCAAACAAGAAGAAAGTGGAAAAAAATATTGAAAGTGTTAAAAGGAAAAAAACCCACCAACCTAGAATTCTGTAGTGTAAATTAACCTTCAAACGTGAAGGGAAATAAATACTTCACTGGACAAAGAAAAATTAAGGGAATTTTTTGCCAGTAGACCTGCCTTGCAAGAATGTTAAAAGAGGTCTGGCACGGTGGCTCATGCCTGTAATCCCAGCTACTTTGGGAGGCCAAGGCAGGTGGATCACTTGAGGTCAGGAGTTCAAAACCACCCTGTTCAACATGGTGAAACCCCGTCTCTACCAAAAATACAAAATTAGCCTGGCATGGTGGTGTGGGCCTGTAGTCCCAGCTACTCGGGAGGCTGAGGCAGGAGAATCGCTTGAACCTGGGAGGCAGAGATTGCAGTGAGCCGAGATCATGCCACTGCCCTCCAGGCTGGGCAACAGAGTGAGACTCCATCTCAAAAAAAAAGAAATGTTAAAAGAAATCGTTTACAGAGAAGGAAAATGATATAGGTCAAACACTTGGATCTACATAAAAAGCACTGAAGAAGGAATAAGTGAAGGTAAAATGAAAACTTTTATTTTTCTTATTATTAATAACAGTTTATTCAAAACAATAATAGGGACAATATATTCAATTATGTATGCTTATGCATATATCATATATATTCTTGTGTATCTTTATATATAAGTGAAATGAATGACAGCAGTGATACAAGGAAAGCAGTATGGTATTATTTGAAAGTGGACCAGGATTAGTTGTAAATGTATATTGCAAACTCTAGGGCAACCACTAACAAATGTTTTAAAAAGTATAACTGATGTGGTAATAAAGGAGAGAAAATGGAGTCATATAAGATGCTCAGTAAAACCACAAAAAGCAGGAAAAGAGTGGTAGATAAAAACAGGAACACCAAGAACAAGGGCAACAAATAGCAGTAACAAATACAACAGATATTTAACCCAACGGCATCAACAATCACTTTGAATGTCGATGGTCTATATACATTAATTAAAACACAGATTGTTTTAATCCGTGAATCAAAAACAAAATTCAACTGTGTACTGTGTACAAGAAACATACTTGAAATATAAAGACACACAGAGCCTAAAAGTAAACAGAGGAAAATATACCATCCTACCACTAAGAAAGTGGGAGTAGCTATATTAATTTCAGACAGAGCAGTCTTCAAAGCAAAGTGATTGAGGATAAAAAGGGCCATACATAATGATAAAGGGATCACTTTTTCAAGAAGACATAGAAATTATTAACATATATGCACCTAACAACAAAGGGTCAAAATACATGAGGAAAAACTGGCTGGGTACCGTGGCTCATGCCTGTAATCCCAGCATTTTGGGAGGCCGAGGTGGGCGGGCCACTTGAAGTCAGGAGTTCAAGCCCAGCCTGGCCAACATGGCTAAACCCTGTCTCTACTAAAAATACAAAAACCAGCCAGGTGTGGTGGCACGCACCTGTAATCCCAGCTACTGGAGGCTGAGACACAAGAATTGCTTAAACCCAGGAGGCAGAGTTTGCAGTGAGCCAAGACGGCACCACTGCACTCCAGCCTGGGCAACAGAGTGAAACTCTGTCACACACACACACACACACACACACACACAAAAATTGATAGAAGTGCAAGGAGAAATAGATGAATCACTTTTATAGTTGGAGATATCAACACACCTCTGTCAGAAATGGACAGATCCAGCAGGCAAAAAATTAGTAAGGACATAGTTAAACTCAACGACACCATCTGTCCATAGATGTAATTGACATCTGTAGACTCTTTCACCCAACAACAGCAGAATATATATTATTCTCAAGCTCACATGGAACATTCACCAAGCCTCTAGCTAGGCTAAATAAGGGTAAGTTAGACCTTCTGGCCTAAGGTGTGCTTGTTAAAACACACTTTAACAAATTTAAAATAATAGAAATCATACAATCTCTGCTCTCAGACCACAATGGAATTAAACTAGAAATAACAGAAAGATAATTAGGAAATCCCCAAATACATGGAGATTAAGCAACACACTTCTAAATAACACAAGTCAAAGAAGATAGCTTGAAAGAAATTTCAAAATGGGCTGGGCACAGTGGCTCACGCCTGTAATTCCAGCACTTTGGGAAGCCAAGGTGGGAGAATCTCTTGAGCCCAGGAGTTCAAGACCAGCCTAGGCAACATAGTGAGACATCAACTCTACAAAAAAATTTTAAAAATTAGCTGGGCATGGTCCTAGCTACATACCTTTATCCCAGGTATGCAAAGCTGGTCCTACATTGGAAAAATTAATGAAATCTATCACATAATTAGGTTAAAGGAAAAAAAATCACACACACAATCAAATCAACAGACACAGAAAAAGTGTCTGACAAAATCCAATACCCATCATGATAAAAACTCTCAGTAAACTAAGAATAGAGGAGAACTTCTTCAACTTAATAAAGAATGTCTACAAATAATCTACAGTAACATCATACTTAATGGTGAGTAACTAGAAGCTTTCCCACTACAGTCAGGAGCAAGGCAAGGATGTCCCCTCACCACTACTTTTCAACATTGTATTAGAAGACCTAGCTAATGCAATAAGAAAGACAAGAAAATAACAGGTATAGAGACAGGGAAGTAAGAAATAAAACCGTCTTTGTCTACAGATGACATGATTGTATATGTTGAAAATCTGAAGGAATCAACAAAAAAACCTCTTGGAAATAATAAACAATTATAGCAAGATTGTAGGATACAAGATTCATATACAAAAAGTATATTACACATCAGCTTTGAACAAATGGAATTCAAAATTAAAAATATGGCTGGGCATGGTGGCTCACACCTGTAATCCCAGCACTTTGGGAGGCCAAGGTGGGTGGATCACCTGAGGTCAGGAGTTCAAGACCAGCCTGGCCAACATGACGAAACCCTGTCTCTACTGAAAATACAAAAACTAGTCGGGTATGGTGGTGCATGCCTATAATCCCAGCTACTCAGGAGGCTGAGACTGGAGAATCACTTGAACCTGGGAGGCAGAGACTGCAGTGAGCCGAGATCGTGCCACTGCATTCCAGCCTGGACAACAGAGCAAGACTCCATCTCAAAAAAATTTTAATTTAATTTAAAATGAATTAAAAAAAAACACAATACCATTCACATTAGCACCCTCAAAAATGAAATACTTAGTTATAAAATTAACAAAATATGTACAAGACCTATAGAAGGAAAACTAGAAAATTCTCATGAAAGAAATCCAAGAGGAACCTAAATAGAGAGATATATTCTATATTCATGGATAAGAAGCTTCAATATTGTCAAGATGTCAGTTCTTCCCAACTTGATCTGTAAATACAATGCAATCCCAATCAAAATCCCAGCAACTTATTTTGTGGATATTGACAAAATGATTCTAAAGTTTATGGGGTGAGGTAAAAGATCCAGAGTAGCCAAAACTATACTGAAGGAAAACATAATTGGACTGACATTACCAAACTTCAAAACTTATTTTAAAACCAGAATAATCAAGACAATGTGGTATTGGTGAAAAAAATAGAAAAATAATGGTATAGACAAGAGAGCTCAGAAAGGGACCCACAAAGATATAATCAACTGATCATTGACAAAGGAACAAAGGTAATACAATGGAGAAAAGATGACCTTTTTCAACAAATGGTGCTAGGACAACTGGATATCCACGCGAAAAAAAAAAGAAGAAGAAGAAGAATCCACACACAAACCTTACACCCTTCACAAAAATTAACTCAAAATGGATCACAGACCAAAATGTAAAACAGAAAACTACAAAACTCCTGGAAGATAACACTGGAGAAAATCTAGATAATCTTGTGTTTGGCAATGACTTTTTAGCTACAACACGAAAGGCCTGCTTTACAAAAGAATTGATAAGCTGGACTCCATTACAGTCAAAATTTTCTGCTCTACAAAACACTGTCAAGAGAATAAAAAACAAGCCATGGACTAAAAAAAAAAAAAGACACATCTGGTAAAGAACTGCTATTGAAAATATACAAGAAACTTGGCCAGGCACAGTGGCTCATGCCTATAATCCAAGCACTTTGGGAGACCGAGGTGGGCAGATCGCCTGAGCTCAGGAGTTCAAGACCAGCCTGGGCAACATGGTGAAAACCTGTCTCTACCAAAAAAAATAAGAATTAGCTGGGCGTGGTGGCGGGTGCCTGTAGTCCCAGCTACTCTGGAGGCTGAGGCAGGAGAATGGCTTGAACTAGGGAAGTGGAGGCTGCAAGAACCAAGATTTCACCACTGCACTCCAGCCTGGGTGACAAAGCAAGAGACTGAAGAAAAGAGGGGAGGGGAGGGAGGGGAGGGGAGGGGAGGGGAGGGAAGGGGAGGGAAGGGAAGGGAAGGGAAGGGAAGGGAAGGGAAGGGAAGGGAAGGGAAGGGTCTTAAAACTCAGCAATTAGAAAACCAACAACCTGGCCAGGCGTGGGGGCTCATGCCTATAATCCCAAAACTTTGGGAGACCGAGGTGGGTGGATCATGAGGTCAAGAGATCAGACCATCGTGGCCAACATGGTGAAACCCCATGTTTACCAAAAATACAAAAAAAATTAGCTGGGTGCGGTGGCGTGCACCTGTAGTCCCAGCTACTTGGGAGGCTGAGGCAGAAGAATTGCTTGAACCTGGGAGGTGGAGGTTGCAGTGAGCTGAGATCACATCACTGCACTCCAGCCTGGCAACAGAGTGAGACTGTCTCAAAAAAAAAAAAAAAAAAAAAAAAAAAGACAGAAAAAGAAAAGAAAAGAAAACCAACAACCCAATTTTTAAAATACGCCAAAGACTTTAACAGACCTTCATTGAAGTATCTTACCAGGGACTAGGGGGAGCAGGAATGTGGAGTTACTAAAGGTTACAGAGTTTCTGTGTGGGTGAGGAAGAAGTTTTAGAAATAGTGATGACTGTTGCACAACATTGTGAATAATTAATGTCAATGAATTGTATGATTATAATTGCTAAAATGGCACAGTTTTGTGTTATGCTGTATATATTTTATCACAATTTAAAAACAATAATGTAATATACCAAATATCATTGAATTGTATACTCTAAATGGGTGAATTATTGGCATGTGAATTTTATCTCTATAAGGCTGTTCGAAAATATGTGCCCACAAAAATGTAAAAATCCATACCTTTTTAGGTGGAAAATAATTATTTTTGGTGCTTTGGAAATACTGGCCCTCACAGCAGTTTCTTGCTTGGTTTCACAAAAGGAGCAGTGAATTTCGTTGTTCCAGGTCAGTGCGTCTTGTTGAAAAAAACATTGGAGACAGTCCTGTTAAGGAAAAAAAGGATTTGGTGACCAAATTGGATCAACTGCAACCTGCACTCTCTGTTTCTATTGGAACTTTGCAAATGCCGTGGAAATGTAGTTCTCAGTGCTTTTCTCAAAGTCAACAAATCCAGAAGACAACAGTCTCACTAGCTGCAGCCAGATACCTGTAAAATCCACCTAGAAGGTGTTTCTTTCTTGTTACTGAGATGGATTTGAGTGCCTACCTCACTTATAATCTAGAAATCAGTTTTTTTTGGTTTTGTTTTTTTTTTTTTTGAGATGGAGTCTCGCTCTGTCACACAGGCTGGAGTGCAGTGGCATGATCTCGGCTCACTGCAACCTCCACCTCCCAGTTCAAGTGATTCTCCTGCCTCAGCCTCCTGAGGAGCTGGGATTACAAGTGCGCACCACCAAGCCCAGCTAATCTTTATATTTTTAGTAGAAATGGGGTGATCTGCCTACCTTGGCCTCCCAAAGTGCTGAGATTACAGGTATTAAGCCACCACACCCAGCCTATACATCAGCATTTTAACTTTTCTGTTTTTTTTTTTCAGAATAATACTGATTTTGCAATTTTTTTTTTTTGAGACGGAGTCTCCCTCTGTCGCCAGGCTGAGTGCAGTGGCACGATCTTGGCTCACTGCAACCTCCACCTCCTGGGTTCAAGCGATTCTCCTGCCTCAGCCTCCAAGTAGCCGAGACTACAGGCGCGTGCCACCACACCCAGCTAATTTCTGTAGTTTTCATAGAGATGGGGTTTCACCATGTTGGCCGGGATAGTCTCGATCTCTTGATCTCGTGATCCGCCCGCCTTGGCCTCCCAAAGTGCTGGGATTACAGCCTTGAGCCTCCATGCCCAGCTACTTTGCAGTTTTCAGCAGTGAAATCAGGCAGCTGCTTTATGCTATTCATCTCATTGCTAAAATGATCCGGTGACAAAAATGACTCTCAGGGTTTGGGGGTGGCCCATAATAAAGATAGCAGAACAGGGATAAATTAGACCCCATATCCATAGGAGAGATCCTCAGTGTGGCCAGCTCCTTGGTTCTGCAAACCATTAACTGGAAGAAGAAGAAGAGCGCAGATTTTGTTTGCAGAGGAGCCACTAGCACCTTACTTAGAGTGTCAGGAATTTCTTTCCAACAATCTTTAGCAGTTTGAGCTGAGAAACAAAGCCCAGTGCTGAATAAGTAATAGGATTCTATTCTCCAATTCTGGTAGGTAAAACTTTTAGCAATAAAATGTGCTTTCGTAATTTAGGAAGAAAAAATGTAAATTTGCATAATTCTGCAAGAAAACTTATTGCTGTCCGCCCCTTGTTTGCTCCTTATTGCTGGCTGTCTTCTACTGCCACCCACCCCATGCCCACATCCCCAGTTACAGATTAACTTTTGGCGTTGTGGTGAAGAAAATTTGAGAGGTAAACCAAGGCACTAGATTCCATTCTCTCTTTCCAAAACATTTCACAACTTTAGTCCAAAATATAAGAGCTCAAGTCTAAGAGTCTAGAATGTTTTATATCTAGTTCCCAATCTGGGCCTTACAGACCTCTGGGGTAAGGGAGGGTCATAAACTTTTTGCAAGAAATTATAAATTTCTTTTATGCACAAATCTACCTCAATAGACTCAATAAACCCCACTATATTTCCAATTTTACAGTCAGGCTATTTCGTTGAGTACATTTAAAAATATGATTGAATTCCTAGGAACTTTTGGCCAGTATGTCCCTATAAAAAAAAATACTGTCATCATGGACTTCCTCTTTCTTTTATTTATTTATTTACTTATTTGAGACAGAGACTCACTCTGTCACCCAGGCTGGGGTGCAGTAGTGCGATCTTGGCTCACAACAACCTCCGCCTCCCAGGTTCAAGCGATTCTTATGGCTCAGTCTCCCAAATAGCTGGGATTACAGGTGCCCGCCACCATGTCCAACTAATTTTTGTATTTTTAGTAGAGACAGGGTTTCACCATGTTGGCCAGGCTGGTCTTGAGCTCCTGACCTCAGGTGATCCGCCTGCCTTGGCTTTCAAAAGTGCTCGGATTACAGGCATGAGCCACCGCACTCAGTCTATTTTTTTTTAAATTAAAGTTATAAAGCCGTCTCTCATACTAAACAAATGTAGGAAACAGCCCCGAGAAAATCCGGGGCTGAGAGTATAGCGAGACAAAGTGTCCAGGAATACTGCATTCCTACCCGAAGGGAGCATTCATATTTGGATGGAATGGGGAGTGAGAAGACAGTGAAGACTTCGTTCTTGTAGGTGCATTTCTCACACTTTAAACATACGATGCTATAATTGAGCTGCTCTTCAAACAGCTGGGTGATGATGGATGTCTCAGTGGTAATCCACTTCCTGCAGCATCTCTGAGTAGATCCTTTCTCATATGATCTTCTCCGGGAGTAGTGGTACTGAATCAAGGAGCAAATTTCACCCAAATTAATTATTGGTTATTTAAAAAAGACTGTGGCAACATGGTGAGATCCCATCTCTACAAAAAAAACAAAAAATTAGCTAGGCATGGTGGCACACATCTGTGGTGCCAGCTACTTGGGAGGTTGAGGTTGGAGGATCAGTTGAGCCTAGGAGTTTGAGACTGCAGTGAGCCGTGTTAGCACTACTGCACTCCAGCCTGGGTGACAGAGTGAGACCATGTTTCCAAAAAAAAAGGAAAAGTTTTCAATAAAATGACTGATTTTTTTTTCTATCAGAATGAGACATTGCTACCAGAAACCACTTAGTTTTGGATTCAGACAATAGAGTAAGATATCCTTGAAAGTATATATATCATGTGTGATTTCTGATAATTCAGATATTTTCCCGTTAGATGAAACAGAGGAATGATGACAGTCTAACTCTGGTAAAACATATACCCATGGCCCCATAAGCTACCAGCCTTGGGAGCTAGTTTTTTCTGGAAGGGGGTAAGTAAGCTAAATTAGCATTAGTTCACTCAAGCAGATCTAAAGGTAAAATATTAAGAAATCCAATCTTTCCTGTCTCCAGTCCCTTCAGGTTACATTCTGCAGCCTTTACTCCTTTAACTTCTAGAAAACACTTTTTTAAAAGAGCAAATCTTGGCCAGGCATGGTGGCTAACATCTGTAATCGTCGTGCTTTGGGAGGCTGAGGCGGGAGGAGTTTGAGATCAGATTGGGAAACATAACAAAATCCTGTCTCTACAAGGTTAATTAAAAAAAAAAAAAAAAGATAAGAGAGCAAATCTTAAATTTCTAAGGCAGCCTGGTGGAACTAGCCTTGTGGCCTGGTTTGGATCCAGCTCATACTCAGCAACAGCATTTCTGGGGCACACCCTGAATTTTCAGTGATTTAAGAGCCTCAGTGGAATATACATTTTGAAGATGTGTTAGCTCCACAGCTGGCTCTAATTTGGGGCTGTGCTCAGCATTCCATTTTTGCTTGCTCCTTTCATCACACTCTGCTGCCAAAGTCTTCCACCCTGACAGTAACTTAATTCCCCTAATTCCTACTTTGATCTTGGGAAACAGAATGCTGTTTGTTTCAGATTGGCTGTAGAAGAGGACATAAGTGATTTTTACTGCCCACTCACCTCTTTTCTTAAAAAAGTGCTGCCATGAATATGTTTTTGTTTTTTTTTTTCCTTTTCATTTTTTTTTTTTTTTTTTTTTCTTGGAGACGGAGTCTTGCTCTGTCGTCCAGGCTGGAGTGCAGTGGCATGATCTCGGCTCACTGCAACCTCCGCCTCCTGAGTTTAAGCGATTCTTGTGCCTCAGCCACCCGAGTAGCTGGGACTGCAGGCTCCTGCCACCACGCCTGGCTGATTTTTGTATTTTTAGTAGAGACGGGGTTTCACCGTGTTAGCCAGGATGGTCTTGAACTCCTGACCTCAAGTGATCCACCCACCTCAGCCTCCTAAAGTGCTAGGATTACAGACGCGAACCACAGCGCCTGGCCATGAGTACTTTTTTATTACTCTAAATGAAAAATGGAACTGAGATCTGCCAATGAGAACAATTAATAGCTATAGTTTGCAACCTTTATGCTAACCATTCCCTGGGTATTAGAGGTGCAGTGAGGTAATGTTAGCAGAAGGATGTTGCATAAAGTCAAGGACACATTTTCAGAGAATGTGGGTCTCAGACCAAGGCTAAGGGCAGTGAGTTTTGTAAATAAAGGCAAAACCTCTAGAGTAACTGATGATTTCATGTTTAATGAAATGTATGTCCTAATTCGGTGATGAACTCAGGTTAGGTATGTTTGGTATGAGGATGAAACTTTGTAGTGCGTAGATCTGTTGCTTAATCTAATATCAAGCTTAATATTTTCATGGATTTGTAGGTCCCAAGAAAATTTAAGCTATAAAGTTCTATATGTTATTTCTCATGAGGAATATATTTTGCACTTTTAAAAACTAGTCCATTCAGCCTCTATTTACAAAGAAAAGTAGATTAGTGTTTCCAAAGCCTAGCTGACCACTGGAAATGCCAAGTAAGCTTTCCCAAAAGACATTCTAATTAATTACCCTTGGAGTATTTGCCTTAAAATCTGTGTTGTAAAATCTTCCCAGATGATTCTGATGACAAGTAAGTTTGGTAAATACAGCTACACATTCAAATACTAACTTGGATGTTCTCCATGGGACACCTAGCACAGTGCTTGGCACAAAGTAGACAATATTAATTGAACAAGTAAAAGAATGAAAAATGGAAGCTGCTGATAAAGGTTCAGGACTATCCTATTTCAAGGTCATTAACTCTACTTACCTTTTTTAGAGCTTCATGAAGTTCATTTAGGACACAAATCAAGAATTCCTGAGCATCTTGTTGCATCTTTTTCGTAAATGCTGGGTAGAGGTTGCCAAGAGCTGACCAGAATATTTCTGGTGAGACACAGTCTGAGTCTCCCAGCCACATGTCTGTCATCAGATAGGCAAAAGCAGTGGCAACTTCACTGCAATCGCTTGGAAGAAGAAAGGGATATGTTTCTGGCTGATTTAATGAAAAGAAGGCACCTAATCACCCAAGCCTAGGAAATTAGTCTCAAAATGGAAGAACGTGGTGTCTCATGCCTGTAACCCCAGCACTTTGGGAGGCCAATGCAGGAGGATAGCTTGAGCCCCCAGAAGGTCGAGGCTGCAGTGAGCTGTGATCATACCACTACTTCACCCCAGCTTGGGTGACAGAACAAGACTGTCTAAAAGAAAAAAAAGGATGCCAGGCTCAGTGGCTCACACCTGTAATGCCAGCACTTTGGGGGGCCGAGGTGGTAGGTTGGGAGGGGTGGATCACTTGAGGCCAGGAGCTCAAGACCAGCCTGGCCAACATGGTGAAACCCCGTCTCTACTAAAAATACAAAAAATTACAAAAATACAAAAAAAATTAGCCAGGCATGGTGGCGCGTGCCTGTAATCCCAGCTACTCAGGAGGCTGAGGCAGGAGGGTCACTTGAACCCGAGGAACAGAGGTTGCAGGGAGCCAAGATCGCACCACTGCACTCCAGCCTGGGCAACAGAACGAGACCCTGGCTCAACAACAACAATAAAAAAAAATAAAAAATAAAAAAAAAAGGAGCTGCATTCATTTCTTGGTTGCCCTTCCCACTTTTACTTACTCTAGCGTGTTATCTGGGAAGCTACAACCTCTACTGACTTGTTTGTTTATCTCTTAATAGGGATTCCAGAGTTCCTTCTCTAACCTCATCTGTGGGGAAGTGGGGGTGGGGGCTGGGCTGCAGGGAATGCAAATGGTCTTACTTTTGCAGAGCGGTGATATACTTCCCGGTGAGAAAGTATTCCACCAGCGGCAAGATGCTGCAGAGACACTGTGAGATGGCATTCACGCAGCATGTGTTGCCCAAGTTCCACAAGCCAGTGACACCCTGAAAATGGGGCTGGTTCCCATCAGCCTCCTTAACTGGAAGGGTATCATAGTAATCTGTGCACTCTGCACTGTGTTGGTGCCACATGGGAAGAAAGGGTTTTGAGAGAACAAAATATGTACAAATGACAATAAGCTTCTCTTAATATTATGAAATAAAGAAGAGTTCTTAATAAGACTTCCTCCAAACACATTCCCTACCAAGGACAGGAAGTATTGGAACTTGGAGTCTAAAATTGTATTATGGCAGAGCATAGTGGCTCACACCTGTAATCCCAGCCCTTTGGGAGGCCGAGGTGGGAGGATTGCTTGAGGCCAGGAGTTTGAGACCAGCCAGGGTAACATAGTGAGATCTTGTCTCTATTACATAAATAAATTAAATTAAAAACAAAATTACATAACTTAGACCAGAACTGTGAACAAGTACCTGAAGCCAAATAAGACAGATAAAAATTTCCTTCTAAAACTAAAGCAAGACAACTGACAACTTGCTGGGCAAGTAATTAAATTATTATTATTATTATTAATAGTTAATAAAACAATAGCTATCAGGTAGTGAGCCTGGCACTATTTAAGTACTTAACATGCATTTTCCCATTAAATCTTTCAACAATTGTGTAAGGCAGGAACGATTATTTTTACATCCCATTTTACAGATGAGATGTCAGGTTTAAATGATGTAGTCATTTACTCATGGGGTGTGTGGTGGTATGTAAAAAAAGGAATATCCACCTATCTGTTTACCTCCCTCCCTCTCTCCCAACATACCTATCCATTAAGATATTTGGATTTACATATATTAAGATTGTCTATATATATTAAGATTGTCTCTATATATGTGATATATATGTATATATTTGTATATATATGTATGTATGGCATATATATTGAAGGCATAATATATGCACATTAAGAGCATGAATATATATATCTTAAGAGCACACATATGTGTATATGTGTATGTATATAGCTATATACATATAAACACACACACACACATATACACGGAGAGGAGAAAGAGCACAGACTTTGTAAAAATATAGATCTTAGTTTAAATCCCAACTATGCCGTTTATTAATTATAGGATCTGGGATTCTATGTCCGTTTCTCATCTATAAAATAGGAATAATATCATCTGCCTGATAGGATGGTTGTGAGGATTATGCAGGTATCATGCAAGCTACTTGACACAGGTTCGTCTAAATGACAACTGAAAAATTTTTTTAAGTGATTGATCTAGGATGTCCTTCCCAGTAAGCTACAGGATTAGAGTGTTCATGTGAATTGCCCAGACCTGCCTGCACAGAGAGAACACTGAGGGTTCCAAACGGGACCTCCTCTCCCTGCACAGAGCTTCCTCTTACAATTTTTTGTATTGTGCCAGGCAGCCTGGTATCTATGTCCTCTCGGATTTTTCTTTCCATATATTGTATCTAAAGTTGGGGCTCCATGAGACAGTGACCTTACCTCATACATACTTTTAAGTACAGTTATGCCAGTTTGAAAAGTGTTCACTGTTATAAGCATGGTCATTTTCACTTTTACTCACTGATACCACAGGAGGTCCTAGACTGTCACCCTTTAGGAAGGACATGTATTTATTGCCAAGATATTAGGTACAATCTTCCTTCCTTTCCGGGGACCTTCCATGGGTCACACCTGGGAGAACCCTCCTGAATGCAGTGTGTGTCCCCTGACTCCTCTGAGCTTGACTTTCCCACCACTGGGCTAATCTAGAAAGCTGTAGTAGATCAAGGCTCACAGGACGTGGTAGATATCGAAGTCATCTGCAGGGAGAGACGGCTGAGAAGTCATTTTAATGGAACCACGTTGGACTTTTGCTTCTATTCAGGAGCTACATCTATTCCTTTCAACTTCATTTCTCTGAGCCTGTTAACGCTGGCTTTTTGTTTTAAACAATTGATATGCTCCTCTCTCTTCCAGTAGCTGCGAACTGATTTTCACCTGTATCAGGCACCACTCCAACTTGGATTTTCCGTACATCATAATCCTTTCCATTCACCTTCAAGATTCTATCATGTTGCCATGAGACACTGTTACTGGGTTGTCTGAAATGTTTTAGAAAGATTAGGCTCCAGAGAATGAACTACACATATAACCTCTCTTCCTTCTTCCATCACTCAGTTTCTCTTGTGTATATATATATTACACATACACACACACACACTTAACATGTGCACAAAAATTTACCGCCACTGAGTTAGTGGACACTACGGCAACCCTGCCTGCTCTGGGCACTCATTCCCCCTTCCCAGCGACTACACCACACCTAGGAGCCCTGAGGGAATTTCCTCACCCCGGGGAGCGAGGATTTCCACTTCTATTCAGGAGCTAGATCTATCCGGACTGAATACCGGATCAGAAAAAAAAAATTGCCATAAAAGAACATTATGGGAACGATTGATGAAATTTGAATATGGATAATATGCAGATAGTTTTTTCTATTAATGTTGAATCTTCTGAATTTGATAAGATTGTACTGTGTTTATGCAAGGGGATGCCCTTGTTCTTAGAAAATACACACTGAAGTTTTTCGGGGCACAGGGGCATGATATATGCAACCTATTTTCAAACGGTTCAGGAAGCACACAGGGACAGGAGGACAGGAAGGAAGGGGACTGATAAAGCACATACTATAAAGCCAGTGCACCCACACGCCAGCAGTTGGTGATTCCGAGTGAAGGCCCACTAAAGAGCACTATTCTTGCAACTCTTCTGCAAGTTTAAAAAATTAAAAAGAGGCCGGGCGCATCGGCTCACGCCTGTAATCCCAGCACTTTGGGAGGCTGAGGCGGGAGGATCACGAGGTCAGGAGACAGAGACCATCCTGGCTAACACGGTGAAACCCCATCTCTACTAAAAATACAATTAACTGGGCGTGGTGGCGGGCGCCTGTAGTCCCAGCTACTCGGGAAACTGAGGCAGAAGAATGACGTGAACCCGGGAGGCGGAGCTTGCCGTGAGCCGAGATCGCGCCACTGCACTCCAGCCTGGGCAACAAAGCGAAGACTCGGTCTCAAAAAAAGAAAAAAAAAATTAAAAAGAAAGAATATATTACACATATTTTTTGCTAAAATGGATTTCTCTCCAGATATATGACTGGTAAGTCAAAAAAAGCAAGGTGTTGAGGAATCCATAGTATGCACCCCAACTTATGTCTAAATGGTTAAAAAAAACCCACATATATGCTCAGGCTACACGAAGATATTTAGAATATTCATTCTTTGACACCTGGATAAGGAATCCTGGCAAGTAGAGCTGTCCTCTCTTGCAGGTATTTGATATTTGCGATGTATTTACAGAGGTATCTCTCCAAGTCACCTCAGTGGTGGTTCTGCAGGACTTAAATCCTGTAAACTTGCTCTATTTGTCAGTGAGGCTCTCCCAAGTCCTTCATTTTCTCCTAATCAATAGGGTCTTTTAAAAGTTTCATTTTGTGTTTGATGCTGGTAGGTAAAAATACAATTATTTGTCATATGTTGGTTGTCTATCCAGGAACCTTTCTAACCTGACTTACTCTTTAATTTTTTAATTTTTATTTAAATAGAGACAGGGTCTCGCTATGTTGCCCAGGCTGGTCTCGAACTCATGGGCTCAAGCAATCCTCCCACCTCACCCTCCCAAAGTGCTAGGATTACAGATGTGAGCCCCTGAGTATGGCCTAACTTGACTTACTTAAGTCTAATTTTTACATAGGTTCTTTGGATTTTTTATAAACACATTCAAGTTGTCTGCAACAAAATCAGTTTAATTTTTTTCTGAGTCTTACTTCTTCTTTACTAGTGAGGACTGCCAGTAAAATAGTGAAAATAGTGAAAAATTGTGAACATAGTAAAATAGTGAATAGAAGTGGAGATAGCTAATTGCTTAACTCAGAGAGAAAGCTTTGGATAATTCACCATTAAGTATGATGTTTGCAGACATAGTATTGAAGAGTTGTAATCATGAATGGATAGTGAGTATGACCAGATTTCTCTGTATTTATTGAGGTAATCATGAGATTTTCTTTCTTATTCTGTTATTGTTGTTCATTATCAATGATGGTCACATATTAATCTTCTATTCCTCAGGTATATTTTGTTTGAGCTGTAGTTATTATTTTCGTGAATTGTTGGGTTCTAGTTGTTAATCTTTTTGTTCAAGGGTTTTGTATCTATGTTCATGAGTTAGATTATCTATGTGTTAATATTCTGTGCTCTATAACAAACTACTAAGCTTAGTTTAAAACCAGACATGGGGCTGGGTGTGGTGGCTCATGCCTGTAATCCCAGCACTTGGGGAGGCCGAGGTAGGAGAATCGCTTGAGTCCAGGAATTCAAGACCAGTTTGGGCAACACAGTGAGAATATCCCCCACCCCCACCCCCATTCCCCCCCACCCCACTCTCCACCCTCCGTCTACCAAAAAAAATAATAATAATAATTAGCCGGGCATGGTGGTGTATGACTGTAGTTCCAGCTACTCAGGAAGCCAAGGTGGAAGGATCACTTGAGCCCAGGACGTCATGCTTGCAGTGAGCTGTGATTGTGCCATTGCACTCCAGCCTGGGTGACAGAGACCCTGTCTCAAAAAGAACCCCAAAAGCCAGGAGTGGTGGCTTACACTTGCAATCCCAGCGTTTTGGGAGGCTGAGGCGGGTAGATCACTTGAGGCCAGGAGTTAGAGACCAGCCTGGCCAACATGGCGAAACCCTGTCTCTACTAAAAATACAAAAAGAATAGCTGGGCATGGTGGCACGGGCCTGTAATCCTAGCTACTCTGGAATCTGAGGCACGAGAATCCCTTGAACCTGGGAGGCGGAAATTGCAGTGAGTCAAGATCATGCCACTGCCCTCTAGCCTGGGCAATAGAACAAGACTGTCTCAAAACAAAACAAAACAAAACTCAAAAAGGAAAACCAGATATAGTTTAGCTGGGATCTCACATTGCATTTAGTTTTCATGTCCCTTTTAGGCTCCTTCAACCTGAAACGGTTCTATGTATTTCCTTGATTTTCATGAACTTGACTTTTGAAGATTACTGACCAATTATTGTGAAGAATATCCCTTAATTTCTATTCAGGAGCTACATCTATCCGGACTGAATCCCAGATCAGAAAAAAAAAATTGCCATAAAAGAACATTAGGGGAACTATGTTCTCTGATGTTTCCTCATTAGATTCACATTATGCATTTTTATGAAGAATATCACAGAAGTGAAGCTATATTCTTATTGCATTGTATTAAATGTTATACAATTTTGATTTGTCCCAGCACTGGTTATGTGAACTGTGATTAACTGTGATAACTTGAATGAGGTAGGGTCTCCCAGGTTTCTCCAATGTAGTTTTTCCTTTTGTAATCATCAGGAAGCATTTTGCAGGGAGGACTTTGAGACTGTGTAAATGGTCTGTTCCTCATCAAACTTTCATACATTAGTTTTAGTAATTGATGTTTCTTGGCTGGATTTTTGCTATGGTGATTGCCAAGTGGTGATTTTCTAATATCATTATTCTGACTACATTCATCTGTTGGTACTCGACTATAAAGAGAAGTTTCTCCATTTCTTTTTTTTTTTTTTGTGACAGGGTCTCACTGTCCCCCAGGTTGGAGTGCAGTGGCACAATCTCAGCTTCCTGCAACCTCCACTTCCCAGGCTTAAGCGATTCTCCAGCTTCAGCCTCCTGTGTAGCTGGGACTACAGGTGCACGCCACCAATGCCTGGATAATTTTTGTAATTTTTGTAGAGACAGGGTTTTGCCACGTTGCCCACGCTGGTCTTGAACTCCTGAGCTCGAAGCAATCCACCTTGGCCTCCCAAAGTGTTGGGATTACAGGCGTGAGCCACCGCACCTGGCTGTCTCCATTTATTCTTTTATTTTAATCAGCATGGACTCACAAATTCCCGTTTTGTTCAATGGATTACATCTGATATTTTATTTATTTATTTTTAAATTATACTTTAAGTTCTGGGATACATGTGCAGAACGTGCAGGTTACATAGGTATATGTGTGCCATGGTGGTTTGCTGCACCCATGCTATCCTTCCTCTAGCTCCCCACTCCCTGACAGGCCCCGGTGTGTGATGTTCTCCTCCCTGTGTCCATGTGTTCTCATTGTTCAACTCCTGCTTATGAGTGAGAACATGTGGTATTTGGTTTTCTGTTCTTCTGTTTGCTGAGAATGATGGTTTCCAGCTTCATCCATGTCCCTGCAAAGGACATGAACTCATCCTTTATGGGTGCGCATCTGATATTTTCATGTTTTTTTGTGTGTGTGTTTTTTGAGACAGGGTCTCGCTTTGTTGCTCACTGGAGTGCAATGGCATGATCTCGGCTCACTGCAGCCTCAATTTCTTGGGATCAAGCAATCCTTCTGCCTCAGCCTCCTGAGTAGTTGGGACTACATCACATGCCACGAAGCCCAGCTATTTTTAAATTTTGTTGTAGAGACGGGGGTTTCACTATGTTGCCCCGGCTGGTCTTGAGCTCTTGGTCTCAAGCTCAACCACTTTGCCCTCTTAAAGTGCTGGGATTATAGGTGTGAGCCACCGCACCTGGCCATGATTTATTTTAGATGTTCAAATGGTCTCAAGATTAGCCTGCAGGAAGCCCTTCAAGATGTCTTCTGTATCCATTTGACATGTCCTTATTGTTCTTTGAGCACTTCCTTTGTTTGGCACAGCAAGATCTTCTAGAGTACCATTCCTGCCCCAATCCTGAAGTCAGGTGTTTCTCCGAGCCCTGGTTCCTTTTAGTGAAGAATGGTATTTAGAAACCAAGATCTGGGAGCTGGGTATACTCATGTTATTACAGCGTTGCTGCTTCCAGGTCCTCTATGCATACATACATCCACATCCATAGGTATATCTCTCTACATTTTTTTTTCAGTATTACTACCATACTGAATACATCTTGATATTTTGGGAACCATGAATTCATGCCAGTAATTCCAATTCCAAACCTACATTTCAGGATTTATTCTAGTTTCCTCCCTTTTACATATTTACAACCCCATCTCCAACAGAGAGGCACTTCCCATTGTCCTCAATGTATTTCCTTATTTGATCAACCCCTCTGCATATAACTAATCTCCTGTCGCTGCTGACATCAACCCCACTCCCCTCTTTACACAACACACAAGCACTATCCTCACCCTGCTTTGCTGACACCCCCCACCAGGTCACTGTTGCCTCCCAACATGAACACCTATGATTGGTCTGAAACCTAATGGATTTTAGACTAAATTATGAATGAATGAGGATGAAAGGGACCTGGGGCCTGGTCTTCCTGTTAGTGTGTGTGTGTTTTTGAGACAGCATCTTGCCATGTTGTTAGGCACATCCTGAACTCCCAGGCTCAAATTATCCTACTGCCTCAGCCTCCCAAGTAGCTGGGATTATAGGCGTAAGCCACCACTCCTGGCCCTAGTGGATTACTTTGTAAAAATCCTCTCCTTCCCCTCCAACTTTTTTATTTCCTTCTAATGGCCAAGAAGTGTATTGTTTCTATATTCTATTTATTTCCTTTAAATATTAAAAAAAAAATAAAAGTAACCTGTTACCTTAATCTATTTGGGTCTAAGGTTTGAATAGCAAAGAATACTGTTTTATCCCAACCTATTTGGTTTCTAAACTCTGGATGCCACGAGTCTGTGTGAAAATGTACGTTAATCTATGTAGTTCCTGAGCTCACATAGTGAAAGTGAAGATAGCAAGGGTTACCCGTATTTAGAATTACCTTTCAATGTCAAAAATAACCATAATTTTTCCCAAATAGAAACGAAACCTTTAATGTGCTTTTACTATCTTCCCCTGAATCACTTTCAATATTTTAAAAAATCTCATTCTAGTTTACATTTTTCAAAAAACATTTGTGACCAGATGCAGTGGCTAGCACTGGTAATCCCAGCACTTTGTGAGGCTGAGGCACTGAGGATTGCTTGAAGTCAGTTCAAGACCAGCCTGGGTAACACAGTGAGACCTCATCTCTAAAATAACAAACAAACAAAAATAAATAAATTAAATAAAAGTAAAATAAATAAAACAAAAAAAATTTGTCAGTAAGCATTTAAATTTGTGTATTTCATACACCATTGTTTACTTCTGTGCCTCTTTTTACGTTGTGTCTTCTTAGATTCTTTTTCTTTGAAGATATCCTTAACATTTTCCAAGAAAAAGCATGGGAAGTAGACTTTCTGCGAGCGCCATCACCTGACTGGATTCAACTTTCTCCCTCTTTCCCCTAACAACATTGTTTTGCTGCCTCTTAGATACAGGAGATAAGAATTTTTTTTTTTTTTTTTTTTTTTTTTGAGACAGGGTCTCACTCCGTCACCCAGGGTGGAGTGCAGCGGCACAAACACGGCTTACTGCAAACTCTGCCTCCCAGGCTCAAGCAATCCTCCTACCTCAGCCTCCAGAGCAGCTGGGACTACAGGTGTGTGCCACCACGCCTCGCTAATTTTTTTTTTGGTAGAGACAAGGTGTCACTATGTTGCCCAGGCTGGTCTCGAACTCCTGGGCTTAAGCGAACCTCCCACCTCAGCCTCCCAAAGTACTGGAATTACAGGTGTGAGCCACCACGCCTGGCCTACCATGTGAGAATTTTGATGTCAATCTGTTCCCTGTAAACTTTTTCTTTCTTTACTTGCAGAATCACAAAACGTGGCATTTAGTGGGTTATTTCCTTCCTTCTAGCGTTTTTATTCTAGAACCTTTATTAAACAGTTATTGTGGCCGGTCATGGTGGCTCACACCTGCAATCTCAACACTTTGGGAGGCCAAGGTGGGTATATTGCTTGAGCCCAGGAGTTTGAGACCAGCCTGGGCAACAAAATGAAACCCCATCACTACAGAAAAATAGAAAAATATCAGCTGGGTGTGGTGGTGCGCGCCTGTGGTCCCAGCTATTTGGGAGGCTCAAGCTTGAGCCTGGGAAGCGGAGATTGCAGTGAGCCAAGATCACACCACGGCACTCCAGCCTGGGCGAGAGTGAGACCCTGTCTCAAAACAAAACAAAAACCCCCAAAACACAAAAAGCTATGGTATCTCATTTATTAATCCAGAAAACGTGTATTTACTTTGTGCCAGTCATCATGCTAGGGGTATAATACTGAAAAAAATACTAGTATTCACTCTCATATAGCTTACAAACTACTGACAACTTATTGACAACTTGGATTATTCTCTGTACTTCCAACTCTTCCCACGTTTTCCATCATTTTGAATTTTTTTTTTTTTTTAACTTTTTTGTTGAGATGAGGTCTCAATATGTTGCCCAGGCTGATCTGGAACTCCTGGTCTCAAGCGATCCTCCAGCCTCAGTCCCCCTAAATGGTGGGGTTACAGGCATGAGCCAACACGCCTGGCCTCATTAGTCTTCTTACATATGCATTTGTATGTAGTTGAACACTTGTATGATTACTTTAGTTTTACATTTGGTGCTTGTGGCCACTTTTTATTAATACCTTGTACCATCCTGCCCCAACCTTCAGCCTTTTCCCCTAGTCTCACTCTTAAAGAGTAACCTAAAAGTGCCTTCAAATGTTGAGATGGGTTAGACTTACACACTCTGATGCACAATACACACATCTACAAAGATCTTAAGCGTGTGGTCATACTTTGAGTACTAATGGAAGAAGCTACAAGATAAATTCCTTCATAGAAAAAAAAAATCACTCTCAGAACGTTTTCTATTTCCCATCATGTCCTTCTGTCTTCATTGGAATTCCTGAATTAAAAAGGTAGCAAGGAGGGACCCAATACTTGAGACCTCCACGTGCCCAATATTTAACTCATTCTGCTTTCACAAGACCACCATGAAGTATTGTCAGAAATGGTTGCTCAGTAAGCCAGTCACTCATGGAATAAGTGGCAGGGTAAGAATGACAGTCCAAGTCTATTTAGATCCATTTTGCATTGCAGTGTATTATAATGTAGTAGCTACAGAATTGAAAGACCCTTAATATCAGTACTTCATTCTTTTTTAACTGTTAAACAATATTCCACTGGATGGATATATAAATATCCAATGTATATATGGAGAAATATCTATTCAGATCCTCAGGCCATTTTAAAATTAGGTTGTCTTTTTTTTTTTTTTTTTTTTGAGATGGAGTCTGCAATTCTCCTGCCTCAGCCTCCCAAGTAGCTGGGACTACAGGCATGAGCCATCACGCCCAGCTAATTTTTGTGTTTTTATTAGAGATGGGGTTTCGCCATGTTGTCCAGGCTGGTCTCAGATCCACCCACCTCTGCCTCCCAAAGTGCTGGGATTACAGGCACGAGCCACTGCGCCTGGCCTCTTATTTCAATTTTATTGATTGATATGTCTATCATGGTATCATACACTGTCTTGATTATTGTAGTTCTTTACGGGAAGGAGTATTTTAATAGCCTTTTAGATAACTGCGGATATTCTTGAGGATGAGGACACGAAAATTGGATGAGAAGTAGTTTCCTAAAGGTTAACTGTAATGTAGACTCTGAAACCTCGTAAACAAACCTTTTCTACTATGTTAGATCTTTCACTCATGCATTATTTTGTAATACTATGCATTGGTCATTCCGAAAATACTGGTTTAGTTATGCAGATCTTCGAAACACTGACACATCTCATTATACACTATCTAAATAAAATCATTTTTGGCCTGGTGCGGTGGCTCATGCCTGTAATCCCAGCGCTTTGGGAGGCCGAGGCGGGTGGATCACCTGAGGTCAGGAGTTCATGACCAGCCTGGCCAACATGGTGAAACCCCGTCTCTACTAAAAGCACAAAAATTAGCCGGGCGTGGTGGCTCATGCCTGTACTCCTAGCTACTTGGGAGGCTGAGGCAGGAGAATCACTTGAACCTGGGAGGCGGGGTTTGCAGTGAGTGGAGATCACGCCACTGCACTCCAGCCTGGGCAACAAGAGCAAAACTCCGTCTCAAAAAAAACCAAAAACCAAAAAACAAGTTTTAATATCAACACTACTGATTTCATTAGGAAAGTATTAGGAAGCTGTAGTGCTACTGGTGTTAAAGTCAAGTTTTCCAAAATTCCAATTTTCACTTGATTCATGGTAAGGTTCTGGCAGTTTTACCCATCACTGCTTTTACTCCATCAATAAAACTCTCAATACAGCGAAAAAGGCGAATAATATCTTAGTATTATAAGTTTTGACCTTATGTTATGTACACCTTGAAATTGTCCTGGGGAGACTCTCAGGGGTCTGTGACCCACCATGAGCACCACTGACCTAATTAATAATAGACCTAGGCAATGACTATCAAAAAGACAACCAGGCATGTGTTTCCTAACAGAATTATATACCCCCACCAATGAAGCATTCTTACCAAAAATTCAATACTGAATCTGATCAAGCCTTTAGACCTAACTAACCACTAGTTTATGACATATGCAGGAAACAATCAGCAAAATCTCAAATGTAGTAAACTTTTCAGGACAAGTAAGTTGGTTCTTTAAAACATAAGCAGGGGGCAAAGATGAGACAGAGAACCTACATACTAAGAGACTTTAAAAACAAGCAATTGTTGGCTGGGTTCAATGGCTCACGCCTATAATCCCAGCACTTTGGGAGGTGAAGGCGGAAGCAGGTGGATCACTTGAGGTCAGGAGTTCGAGACCAGCCTGGCCAACATGGTGAAACACCGTCCCTACTAAAAATACAAAAATTAGCCTGGTGTGGCAGCATGTGCCTGTAGACCCAGCTACTTCGGAGGCTGAGGCAGGAGAATCATTTGAACCTGGAAGCGAAGGTTATCACTCCACTGTACTTCAGCCTGGGCAACAGAGCAAGACTCTGCCTCCAATAAAAACAAAACAAAACTAGCAAGGAACTGCAATGTATGGACCTTCTGTGTCCTAATTAAATTACTTAAAACAAATTTTTTTTAGAGCAATGATTACATATTTGACAATATTTTTGGTTAAACTTTCAGGTGTAATAATGTTATAGTTCTTAATCTTTAAGAAACATATACTGACATAATTAAAATGAAAGAAAAATTCTGTAATGCAGGATTACACAGAAATTCCAAGGGAAATACAAGGAGAGAGCCTAATGTTGGTTTGGACAGCACAAGAAGAAAGTGCTCTGTTCACTGGTGCTATTTACTGTTAGCCTGAAGTGTGTGGCTTTTCTGAAGAATAACCACATCCTCTCCCATCTTCATGCCCACCAATGTGGAATCATGGGCCCCAGGAATGGAAATCTGCTTTAAGGAGTTTCCAAAGAAGTTAGAAAATCATATTCTAGAGAGGACCAGAGCCTTAGCCTGGAATTTTCCTAAGAAAAAGCTCACAGATCATTTGGGACCTTTAAATACAGATGCCTTGTTGAAACCCAGCTAGGAAGCAATAAGATCAGATATGGTAAATAAGGAGAAATTCAAAAATCCCTGTTGTGTAGACACATCATTTTCTGTAAATAATTACTTGATCTTTCTTTCAAGTGGTAAATAGCCATTTATTGAGTATTCTTGCTTTGATTGTCTACGTAAGCATGTAAGACTACAACATTACGACCCATCTCTTCAAGAGGAAGTCTGGTATTATGGAAAAACATTTTGTCATTCAGATTTTTTTTTCTTACAGTATGCCCATCACAAACCAGGCAGCAAGCAAGGTATTGGGTGCTACTCAATCCAGTGAAGTCTTGAGGGTCCCTTCCCTCTGTGAAGCATATAATCTAGTGGGGTAGACTGCTAGCTACTAACTATGAAAACAACATAGTCTGACTTGAGAGTGGGGAAAGTGGAACAAGGGAGTAATTTTTATATTTTTCTTCACATTTAAAAATATTTTCTAAACAATCCAATATAATCTTTTCTATAATTTCCAATACAATCAACATGTATTACTTGTAAAATAATAGCATACATATATCGACAGACTGAAGAAGGTATACTATTAGAGAACATTTGCAGAAAAGAATTCCACATCTTTTTTTTGAGACAGAGTTCTGCTGTCACCCAGGCTGGAGTGCAGTGGCAGCAATCTAGGCTCACTGCAACCTCCACCTCTTGGGTTCAAGCAATTCTCCTGCCTCAGCCTCCTGAGTAGCTGGGCCTACAGGCACGCGCCACCACACCCAGATAATTTTTGTATTTTTAGTAGAGACGGGGTTTCACCATGTTGGCCAGGCTGGTCTTGAACTCCTGACCTCAGATGATCCACCCACCTTGGCCTCCCAAAGTGATGGAATTACAGGCGTGAGCCACTGCACCTGGCCGAGAATTCCACATTTTAAGAATATGGTAAAAGAGTTTTATTCTCTTCAGTAAGATGAGGTTGAGAATAAAAAATTAAAAAGATTAAGCAAATGACACTTTCACATCATAGGGTAGTAATAATGAACTTTAATAATCTTAAAAAAATACTTATTGGGGATAAGAAATGTGGTTTACAAGTAAACTGTTACTTTCTAGACTTAACCCAAGAAGTTAATGGAGTAGGTGTGTTTCAGTAAAGTAACAGGAAATGGTACAGAAACCACCAATGGTCATCATGCTTGAGAGTCAATACAGCACATAATTCACAGCACAGATGAGGCTGGGTGCAGCAATTCATGCCTGCAATTCTACCACTTTGGGAAGCTCAGGCGAGAGGATCACTTGAGCCCAGGAATTTGAGACCAGCGTGGGCAACAAGGCTAGACCCCATCTCTACAAAATATATATTTAAAATTAGTTGGGTGTTACCCAGGCATGGTGGCTCACACCTATAATCCCAGTACTTTGGGTAGCCGGGGGAGGTGGATCACTTGAGGTCAGGAGTTTGAGATCAGCCTGGCCAACAAGGTGAAACCTTGTCTCTACGAAAAATACAAAAATCAGCCAGGCATTATGGTGGGTACCTGTAATCTCAGCTACTTTGGAGGCTGAAGCACGAGAATTGCTTGATCTTGGGAGGCAGAGGTTGCAGTGAGCCAAGATTGTGCCACTGTACTCCGGCCTGGGCAACAGAGTGAGACTTCAACTCAAAAAAACAAAAATAAATAAAAATGAAAAATAAAAAAATATATATATAAAATTAGGTACGTGTGGTGGTGCATGCCTGTGGTTCCACCTAATCAAGAGGCAGTGGCAGGAGGATTGCTTGAGCCCAGGAGTTTACGGCTGCAGTGAGCTATGATCACGCTACTACACTCCAGCCTGGGCAACAGAGCAAGAGGTTGTCTTTTTTTTTTTTTTCTTTCTGAGACAGGATCTCACTCTGTTGCCCAGGTTGGAAAGCAGTGGCATGATCTCAGCTCACTGCTGCCTCAGTCTCCCAGGCTCAAGTGATCCTCCCACCTCAGTCTCCCAAGTAGCTGGAACTACAGGTGCACACCATCACATCCAGTTATTTTTTTTTTTTTGACGGAGTCTCGCACTGTTGCCCAGGCTGGAGCGCAATGGCACGATCTCAGCTCACTGCAACCTCCACCTCCCAGGTTCAAGCAATTCTCCTGCCTCAGACTCCTGAGTAGCTGGGATTACAGGCACTCACCGCCATGCCCAGCTAATTTTTTGTATTTTTAGTAGAGACGGGGTTTCACTATGTTGGTCAGGCTGGTCTCGAACTCCTGACCTTGTGATCCGCCCACCTTGGCCTCCCAAAGTGCTGGGATTACAGGCATGAGCCACTGCACCTGGCCTAATTTTTGTATTTTTTTTTTTAGCAGAGATAGGATTTTGCCATGTTGCCCAGGCTGGTCTCAAACTCCTGAGCCCAAGTGATCCACCTGCCTTGGCCTCCCGAAGTGCTGGGATTACAGGCATGAGCCACCATGCCCCACCAAGACAAACAAAACAAAACAAAACAAAACAAAACAAAACAAAAACAGTATAGATGAAAGGCAGCCAGCCTGGGTTCAAATCCTACCGTTGCTACTTATTATTAAATAAACGTAAGAATCTTATGGACGTTACTTTACCTCTCTAGCACCTTGACTTTCAAATCTGCAAAACAGGATAATAACACCTATTTCTTTATAACATTGTTATAAGGATTAAGTAGGTTAATATATGTGAAATACTTAGAGTAATGTCTGGTACACAGTAGGCACTAAATAAGTGTTAGCAGCCAGGTGCGGTGGCTCACAAGGTCAGGAGTTTGTGACCACACTGGCCAACATAGTGAAACCCTGTCTCTACTAAAAATATAAAAATTAGCTGGGCATGGTGGCGTGTGCCTGTAGTCCCAGCTACTCGGGAGGCTGAGGCAGGAGAATCACTTAAACCCGGAAGGCGGCGGTTGTGGTGAGCTGAGATCGCACCACTGCACTCCAGCCCAAGCAACAGAGCGAGACTCCGTCTCAAAAAAAAAAAAAAAAAAAAAAGTATAGCTACTATTATAATCCTGTGAAAATAATCAATATAAAATTAAAAATCAACAGACAGCCCATATTGCCCTTTTTTGGCCTAACAAAAAACAGATTTCTAAGAAGACAGTAAGAAATCAGTATTAATTTAAACATTGTACAGGACAGGAGATCAAAAGCACAGGTATACAAATGGTTCATTTAAAAAAACTGATACTCAAATTGACACCCTGAAAATGTCAGATAATTTTTCAGAATGATTAAACTCACTAAACATCTGTAAACAATAAATTTATTTCATTTCTTTTAAAGATTTAATGATATACAAAACGTATATAGTATCTTTAAGTAATACACTTTTTCTTTCTCCCCACCCCCAATCAATATTAAACACTATTTAAACAGCTTATCATCTCTTGCCTTGTCTGTATCTATGAGATACACTACTAAATACAAATAAGCTTTATACTGCTCCCTTCCAAATAAAAATTAAAATTAGTACCAAGGAAACAAAAGAAAAAGAAAAAAAAAGAAAAAAAATTAAAGCATAAAACTTAGATGAAAAGCTTTTCTTGTTATTGTTGAATATTCAACAATATCTGGGGCTGTTAAATTACATTTTATTGGCATAAGGTTGCACTGCAATCTGCCAGTATCACATAATGATAATCCAACTGAATTAATTTCTTAAGTACCACAAACAGCATTCATGTTCAAATGTTCCAACACAATTTTAAATATATGCAAGAGTTCATGTTTACATTCTGATTTGATATAACAATCAATAAAATCTTTGGAGAAGTTTGTAAGTTCTGGGTTGTTGCTATAGATACAGATAGGGAAAAAAGTACTTTAACTTTCCTCAAAAGGTAACTTCCCTTGACGAGTGAGTTAGGTTTCTGCTTTTATAATTTAGGTTATGTATCAGTTTACCATGGCTTTCTTCTACTTAACAGTGACTTGATAAAACAATGTTTAAAAAACCCAATTAACATTTTTACACAATTTGGGTTCTATTTAAAAAAAAAAACTGGCTCTATCTTTAAATATGGAGCCTAACCCTGATTCATAAATACCGTCCCTCTTGAAAATGGTCTTCAGTTCAGGCTTCTCATACCTCTGTGAACCTAGAATTAGAACAAGTCATTTCCCTTCCCGTGGCCAACAAGCATCTAGTTGGGAACCAGTGATATCATCACTGAACACACTAAATACACTGAGGAAAATTTTGACTGCCATTTAACCAAAAGGCTGCGTGATTTCTTCATTTCCCTAGTTGAATGGCAATAAAACAGCTGCCAATAAAATCTGCATGGACACCTACCTTTGGTTAATGGTATTGTACCACATAAGAGAGAGCATCACCCTCATCAAAACAAAGTCAAATGAGATCCTCTGCTATACAAAGAGCCCTTTAAAAAGTTATAAATACTAATTATCAATTACCTTTAAAATTTCTCAGCTGCCAGCTCTATCCTATAGGGACTTTCTGACTGATTAATCAGGTCAAAAGAATATTGACCTTTTAACTGTGCTGGAGTCAGCAAATTCAACTTGCATACACCTTTCTATATTACCAAACAATTTCCTCCCGAGGGAAAAGTGACACAGTAACATTTCTGTGAGGTGCAGGCAAAACCAATGATTCAGTAATATTAATATTATAACATCAGACGAACAGAATTAGTTGATTCTGATTCTTTGGTGGAATTTCCAGGCTGAAGATTCAAATCTGAAGGCTCATCCTGAGGAAATATAATTTTATCAGGCGTATAATCATTCCTCTTCAGATCTACATTGAACACCCACAACAATTAAAAAAAAAAAAGAAAGAGAAAAGAAAAAAGTTAGTATTTCTTAGAAATGGAGAATTAGGAACCTTTTATTTTCTTTTCAAGACGGAGTTTCGCTCTTGTTGCCCAAGCTGGAGTGCAATGGCGCGATCTCGGTTCACTGCAACCTCCACCTCCCGGGTTCAAGCGATTCTCCTACCTCAGCCTCCCAAATAGCTGGGATTACAGGCATGCACCACCATGCCCGGCTAATTTTTTGTATTTTTAGTAGAGACAGGGTTTCACCATGTTGGTCAGGCTGGTCTTGAACTCCCGTCCTCAGGTGATCCACCTGCCTCGGCCTCCCAAAGTGCTGGGATTATAGGTGTGAGCCACCATGCCCGGCTGAATTAGGATCATTTCTAATCAATTTTTCTCCAAACATGTCAGACTTGTTTTCCATCAGGTTGTTATAAATTCAGTAGTCACCAAATTTATACACATAAAAATGAAGTCATTCATTCATTCAACAAATAATTACATATTGACCATGAGTCAGAAACTCATGTAGGCGTGGGAATGTAGCAGTGAACAAACCAGACAAGCTCACTGGTCTCAGTGAGCTTATATTCTAGTGGGTGACAAAAAATAAGCAAACAGAAAAATGACAGAATTATAAGCAGTAAAAAGTGCCTTGAAGGCAGGGTGCAGTGGCTCATGCCTGTAATCTCAGCACTTTGAAAGGCCAAGGTGAGAGAATCATTTGAGGTCAGGAGTTCAAGAGCAGCCTGGCCAACATGGTGAAGTCTCTTGTCTCTACAAAAAATACAAAAATTAGCCAGGTGTGGTGATGTGCGCCTGTAGTCCCAGCTACTCAGAAGGCCGAGGTGGGAGGACTGTTTGAGCCCCAGTAGGCAGAGATTGCAATGACCCAAGATCATGCCACTGTACTTCAACCTGGGCGACAGAGTGAGATCCTGTCTCAAAAAAAAAAAAAAAAGTGCTTTGAAGAGAAGAGTGTAGTGAATTATAATGAGGGACAGATGGAAGATGGTATAGGGTGATTGTTTCAAACAGGTCTGGGCAGGAAAGCCAGAGGAAGAGATTTGAGTAAATACCTTAATATTGAGAAGTGAACTATCAAAGCTCTAGGAGGAGTGTTCTAGGCAGAGGGAGGGTTAACTGCAAAGACTGTCAGAAGGAATGGACTTAGTGTGCTTTGCGAATGGTAAGAAGACAGTGTGGCTTCTACATAGTGAATGAGAGGAAAACTAGTAGAAATTGAGCTCAAGCAGCAGTTAATGGCCCAAGATTGTCAACTACAGATTGTGGGCCAAATCTGGTCTGTTGCCTGTTTTTGTAAGTAGTTTTACTGGAATGCAGTCACACTCATTTGTTCACAGTCTGTGGTTATTTCCACACCACGACGGTAGAACTGTGTAGCTGGGACAGACCACATGGTCTACAAAGCCTAAAATATTTGCTACCTTGCCCTTTACAGAAGTTTGCTGATCTTCATTTATACATCATAGATACAAGCTATGATGAGAAGTACAGATACAATACAAATCCACTGGAAGGTTTTAAGCAGTCTCAAGAGAGGAACATCATCAGATTTGTTTCAAGAACTATTCTGATGACTATGAAAACTCTTGTGAGAGGATGGGTGGCAGCAGTCCAGGAAACAAGGTGGTAGCCATGAAGACAGAGAAGAGCAGATGAATTCTAGGGAGATTTCAAAATTAGAACAGACAGAATTTGATGAATTGGCTATGAAGGGCAAGGGAAAAGAAGAATTGGATAGTTTTAGGTTTTGGACTTGAGCAACTGGGTAACCATTAATAAGATAGGGAAACAGAGTTCTATGTAGGGTGGGAGATATAAATCAAGAATTTTGGATTGGACACGTTACTAAAGATGCTTTATAGCAAGCCTGCCCGACCCTCGGCCCACAGGCCACATGCAACCCAACACAAATTCATAAACTTTCTTAAAACATGATGGCATTTTTTTGCATTTTTTTAAGCTCATCAGCTATGGTAGTGACAGTGTATTTTATGTGTAGCCCAAGACAATTCTTCTTTTTTTTTTGAGACAAGGTCTTGTTGTTGCCCAGGCTGAAGTGCAGTGGCACGATCTCGGCTCACTGAAACCCCTACCTCTGTGGTTCAAGCGATTCTTGTGACTCAGCCTCCCCAAGTAGCTGGGATTACAGGCCTGTGACACCACACATGGCCAATTTTTATATTTTTAGTAGAGACTGGTTTTTGCCATAATTGGCAAAGCTGCTCTTGAACTCCTGGCCTCAAGTGATCTGCCCACTTCGGCCTCCCAAAGTGCTGAGATTACAGGCATGAGCCATGGTGCCTGCCCAACAATTTTTCTTCCAATGTGGCCCAGGGAAGCCAAAAGGATGGACCCCTCTGCTTCAGCCTGGGTGACAGAGTGAGACTGTCTCAAAAAATAAAATAAAATAAAATAAAATAAAATAAAATAAAATAAAATAAAATAAAATAAAATAAAATAGTATCCAAGTAGAAATATAGGTAGCTGAACAGAAACAGGAGCTTGGGAAATATGTCAAGTCTTCAGACAGATTTGCTATGATAAGTACATAAACATATTTATAGGTATGGGACAAGAAGAAATCACTTAAGAAGTTACAGACATAGATGAAAATAGTTGCAGAACTGGAAACAATGCAGTAATATCAACATTATAAACTAACCAAGTCATGCATTAACATATATATATGTATGTTTTTATTTTTTTAAAAAAAAGGATACACGTGCAGAACATGCAGGTTTGTTATATAGGTATATGTGTGTCATGGCGTAAACCCTTATATTTTTATCTCCATATAAAATATAACTGATACTCAGAATATGAACTAATTTATTTTTTAAAAAATAAAAATATTTGACCTCACTGAATCATAAACTGTTAATTTTAATCTAAGAAACAGCCTATATTAAACAATCCAAACATATTTGCAACTATATTAATTATTTTTGATAAATTTTAAATTCAAGACTATGTCAGTATGGCTTTAGGGATATAAGCTAATCTGCGATTACTGTACAAAGAACAGTGGAGAGAAACACAATTATAGCTCACCTTAATTATATTGTTAACTAGTAAGTGTATCAATGAGCAAATCATCTCAACTTTAATTATATTATCTAGAAAATGAAGGATCTGGGCCAGATTGCTTTTTTTTTTTGAGATGGAGTCTCACTCTGTCTCACAGTGGTGCAATCTCTCCTCACTGCAACCTGTGCCTCTCGGGTTCAAGCAATTCGCCTGCCTCAGCCTCCCAAGTAGCTGGGATTACAGGCACCCACCACCACGCCCAGCTAATTTTTGTATTTTTAGTAGAGATAGGTTTTCACCATGTTGGCCAGGCTGGTCTCGAACTCCTGACCTCAAATGATCTGCCCTCCTTAGCCTCCCAAAGTGCTGGGATTACAGGGGTACCGTGCTGGCTTAAAAAATGGAAACTGTTTAAATTTAAAACAAAATCAAGAACCTCAGTATATGCTGTCTACAAGAAACCCACCTTAAATATAATTATATATAGATGTGTGTGTGTATGTTTTGAAAAAAAGACTGGCAAAAGGTATATGATGAAAACATTAATCAAAAGATAGCTGGAGTGGTTATGTTAATATTAGAAAAAGTATACGTCAAAATAAGGAAAATTACCATGATATTATTAATACACAATGATAAAATAATCAATTCGCCAAGAAGACATTAACAATAGTATATGTGTATGCATCTAAGAACAACGCCTCAAAACACATGAAGGAAAAACTGACAGAACTGAAAAGCAAGACAGACAAATCCAATTATATTTGGAGACTTCCTTTCTAGTTAATCAATAGAACTAATACACAGAAAACCAGCAAGGATACAAGAACTCCGAACACTAGCAACAAACTTTAATTAATATTTACAGAATACTCCATCCAACAATAGCAGAATATACATTACTTTCCAAAGCACATGGAATGCTCAGAGACCATAAACTCTTTTTGTTTTTTTTTTTTTGAGACGGAGTCTTGCTCTGTCGCCCAGGCCAGAGTGCAGTGGCGCAATCTTGGCTCATTGCAACCTCTGCCTCCCAGGTCCCAGTGATTCTCCTGCCTTGGCTTACTGAGTAGCTGGGATTACAGGCACCCACTGCCACACCCAGCTAATTTTTGTATTTTTTAGTAGAGATGGGGTTTCACTATGTTGGCCAGGTTGGTATCGACCTCCTGACTTCAGGTGATCCACCTGCCTCGGCCTCCCAAAGTGCTGGGATTACAGGTGTGAGCCACTGAACCCAGCTCCATAAACTTGTACTTCAATTAAAAAAAATTTAATTGAAATAGTACAAAGTATGTTTCTTTTATAATAGAATTAAGCAAGAAATCAATTAAAGACATTTGTAAAATTTTAAACTATTTAAGAACTAAACAAGACAATCCATACATCAAAGAGGAATAACAACTGAAATTATAATTATTTTAAAGTAAATAAAAATGAAAATAAAATATACTCAAATTTGAGGGATGGAGCTAAAACAATGCTTAGAGGGAAAATTATAGCACTCAATCTCTTGTTAGAAATAAACATCTGAGGCCGGGCGCAGTGGCTTACACCTGTAATCCCAGCACTTTGGGAGGCCGAGTCGGGTAGATCACGAGGTCAAGAGATCAAGACAATCCTGGCCAACATGGTGAAACCCTGACTCTACTAAAAGTAACAAAATTAGCTGGGTGTGGTGGCACGTACCTGTAGTGCCAGTTACTCAAGAGGCTGAAGCAGGAGAATCGTTTGAACCTGGGAGGTGGAGGGTGCAGTGAGCAGAGATTACGCCACTGCACTCCAGCCTGGTGACAGAGTGAGACTCCATCTCAAAATAAATAAATAAAATAAAGATCCGAGAATCAATAATCTAAGTTTCTACTTTAATAAACTAGAAAAAGAACAAACTACACCTAAAGCGAGTATAAACATGGAAAAATAAAAAGAATAAATCAAATAAATTGAAAACAGAAAAGCAAGAGTAAAACAATGACAACGAAAACTGATTCTTTGAAGGTATCAATAAAATTGATAAACCTCTAGCCAGGCTGATCAAGAAACAAAGAGCACAGACCAAACTGCCATAAGGAAAAAGGGGATTTGCCACAGACCTAACGGATATTAAAAAGATAGTAAGGTAACAGCATAAATAACTTTATGCCCCCAAATTTGACAATTAAAAAAAAAAATGGACCAATTCCTTAAAAGACACAAACTACCAAAACTCACTCAAAAACAATTTGATAATCAACAGTCCTATCTCTATTAAAGAAATTAAATGCTTAGTTTATTTTTTTATTTTTTATTTTTAAAATTATTTTTTATTATTATACTTTAAGTTTTAGGGTACATGTGCACAATGTGCAGGTTTGTTACACATGTATACATGTGCCATGTTGGTGTGCTGCACCCATCAACTCGTCATTTAGCATTAGGTATATCTCCCAATGCTACCCCTGTCCCCTCCCCACTAAATGCTTAGTTTAAAACCATGTGACAAAGAAAACTTCAGGCCAAGATGGTTTGACTGGAAAATCCTATCAAACATTCATGGTAGGGACAATATCAATTCTATACAATCTATTCCCGAAAATAAAACTTATTTTATAAGTATTATCCTAATACTAAAAGAAAACAAACATAGTGCCCCATAAAACAAACCTACCACAGACCAATATTCTTCATGAACACAGATGCAAAATCCTCAACCTATTATTGAAAACTGAATCTAACAATAAATAAAAAAGATATGTATCACAACAAAGTGTGGTTTGTCCTAGGAATGCAATACTGGCTCAACATTAAAAAAATCAATCGATGTAATACACTATATTAACCTATTAAAGGAGAAAAACCACATGATCATACCAAAAGATGCAGAAAAAAAAATCTGACAAAATTCAATATCCATTCAAGATAAATATTCTCAAGAAACAAGGAGTAGGCCGGGCACGGTGGCTCATGCCTGTAATCCCAGCACTTTGGGAGGCCGAGGCAGGCGGATCACAAGGTCAGGAGATCGAGACCATGGTGAAACCCCACCTCTACTAAAAATACAAAAAAAAATTAGCCGGGCGCGGTGGCAGGCGCCTGTAGTCCCAGCTACTCGGGAGGCTGAGGCCGGAGAATGGCGTGAACCCGGGAGGTGGAGCTTGCAGTGAGCGGAGACCACACCACTGCACTCTAGCCTGGGCAACAGAGCGAGACTCCGTCTCAAAAAAAAAAAAAAAAGAGCGAGACTCTGTCTCAAAAAAAAAAAAAAAAAAAAACAAGGAGTAGAAGGAAATTTCTTCAGCCTCATAAAGTGCATCTACAAAATCCTTAAAGTTAACATCATCTTAATGGTGAAAAGACAGAATGCCTTCCCCTTAACATCAGAAACAAAGCAAATTATGTTTACTCTCACTACACTCATTCTATACTGTGCTGGAAATCCTTGCCAGTGCAAAAAGTCAAGAAAAAAAAAAAGATACACAGAAAGAAACTGTCTTTATTGTCTATACAAAAAAAATCCTGAGAAGTCTATTACAAAAAGCTCCTAAAAAAGAGTTAAGTAAGGTTGCAGGGACATATGCTCAAAAAAATCAATGGCATTTCTGTATACCAGCAATAATAAAAAACAAATTTTAAAAACTAGTACCATTTACATACCTAATAATGCTTATTATATGGCTGGTACTAAGTATCTCACAAAACCAACTCATTAAGTCCTCAAAAACTCCTTGGTGATGTAGGTATTCTCTGGAGCCATGCATCCTGGCTCTTGAGTCTAAGCTCTTAACTATTACAATACTGGGCATACGAAGTGGGACTTTCAAAAATACACAAGGGCTGGGCGTGGTGGCTCACGCCTGTAATCCTAGCACTTTGGGAGGCTGACGCAGGTGGATCACTTGAGCCCAGGAATTCGAGAGCAGCCTGGGTGACATGGCAAAACCCCATCTCTACAAAAAAAAAACCAAAACAACAATTAGCCAGGTGTTGTGGCACGTGCCTGTAGTCCCAGCTACTTGGGAGGCTGAGGTGGGAGGATCACTTGAGCCTGGGAGGTGGAAGCTGCAGTGAGCTGAGATCGCACCACTGCACTCCAGCCTGAGCAACAGAGTGAGACCCTGTCTCAAAAACAAACAAATAAACAAACAAACAAACAGCTCAAGGGTGGGCCCCAGACATGTGTAATTTTTTTTTTAAATTTAATTTTTAAAAGAGACAGGGTCTCACTATGTTGCCCAAACTGAAGTAGGCACTACAGCTTTGAACTCCTGAGCTCAAGCGATCCTCTGGTATCAGCCTCCTGAGTAGCTGGGACTACAGGCATGTGTCACTGCTCCTGGTAGGGGAATTTTTTTTTAAAGTTCCACAGGGGACTATGATGCACATCAAAGAGAGACAACCACAGGTTTGTGCTTTAACTAACAATTAAATAATAACTTGTAATTCTCTGCATACAAAGATGATGTTAATATCATGAGACAATATATTTACAGTTCCTGTTCCTGCTTGATCAAATAGCCTTTTCTCAATTCTTCTGCAAGGCTAACTTGAAGGTCTATTCATTCTCCAAGTAAAGGCAAATACGTTAGTTTCCCAGGATCATTCCCGGACCTGGGTTTGAGTTAAGGGACCTGCTTACATGTTCTATAGCACTCTGTTCTGTTTTTTCCTCTCTCTTGGCATTTATCAGTCCTGTAACTCCCTGCTAATCTTGTCAATATTCAACATGAGGCTAAACTCCATGAGGGCAGAGACATAGCTGTCTGGTTCAATATTCTACTTTCAACACTGAGCACAATTCCTGGCATTCTGCAGACACATAATATATTAAATTAATGAACTTTGTATAAAGAAAGAAGGAAAACACAGATTCATTTATAACCAACAATATGTATTTGCAAAAGAGCTGCTGAAGCTGGCACAATTAGAGACCATTACATTAAACATTTGTACCTCTGGCCTTATGAGGTATTGTAGTAACCAAGTTTCGTAACAATTTATATACTATACTGATTAAGAAATTTTTTACCTGGAAGTTTAAGCTTTCTACAGCAAGAATTACAGTGATGTTTTGCTCTGAAGTTTTTAATTGCATCTTCTCCTAGATTTGCTGGGCCAAAAACCATATCACAGGATCTGTAGAATTGGTAATTTTAAAAAAAACAACAAAAAAAAGGGGGCAGTTTATACAGGTACAAATATAAAATGTGAAATTATGCCTTAATGAAATAGTTAAAACTTATTACCTCTTTTCTTCTGCTTTTATCACAGATGGGTCAGTCAAATTTTCACCAACACCTTTATATGTGTATATAAAAAAGACAAATAATTTATATTATATAATTGACATAAATACTGACATCTGCATAATAAAAATCATCTTAAGAGATGTTATAGTATCATCAATCATTACAATGTTAAACTATTCAAAGGAGTGTAGTTCTTCTCTTTTGATATTTCATAACTTGATTTATGACTCTGGCATTCTACCAGGGAGAGGCATATCTCCTTGTAATGTGAACAAGAGTTAAACGTCAGAGTTGGTAGGTAGGCATTAAGTTCCTTATCCTACAGCACCAAGGATGCAAATACCTCCTTACTTGTAAAAGGTCTGGTCAATCTGCCCTTGTTTCATCTTAGTTAGCAAAGAACAATTTGGTACATGAAGGAATAATCCATAGGACTTTAAAAGTGTTTGGGATTGGCCAGGCGCAGTGGCTCACGCCTGTAATCCCAGCACTTTGGGCGGCCAAGGCGGATGGATCACCTGAGGTCAGGAGTTCGAGACCAGCCTGACCAACATGGTGAAACTTCATTCCTAAAAAAAAAAAAAAAAAAAAAAAAAGTTAGCCGGACATGGTGGGGGGCGCCTGTAGTCCCAGCTACTTTCGGGAGGCTGAGACGGGAGAATCGCTTGAACCTGGGAGGCGGAGGTTGCAGTGAGCCAAAATCGTACTACTGCACTCTAGCCTGGGCAACAGAGTGAAATTCGTCTCAAAAAAAAAACAAAAACAAAAACAAAAAACAAGTGTTTGGGATTTAAGGGAAAAAAACCACACACATTAACACATATCACATTTTCTTGCAAAACATTCATGTAACACAGAGTAAGATTGTGAAAATCTTTCTTCACCTCCAGCCCTCTCCAGAAGTATTATGATTAAATCCTTCCAGTCTCTTACATATTCATGTGTGTATATATAAACACATACACACACACACTTAACACCTACTGATATTTTGAATAATCACAAATATTTAACCCATTAGAGCAAAATCTAATAAAATGGTTCAATTTCACAAAAGGAAAAACCAGAATTAAAACACGATACTATTTTCCATCCAACAGAATGGCAAACATTAAGAATATTCCATACTGGAAAGACTGTAGAGAAGCAGGAACTTCCGTAGAAGGCTGAGTATGATTTCTGATAAGCTTTTGGGAAAGTACTCTGGCAGTTGTTATTAAAATTAAAATTGTACTAATCTCTTTTCTACACCAATTTAGGAACTTACTTTAAGGAAATAAAAGTAGCAGTGCATGAGAATGGTTTGCTGCAAGCACTGTTTGTAGAAGCAAAAAACTAAAAGTAGAGTGAATGTTTATCAACACAGATGTAAATCATGCTATAGCTGCTACACTATAGACTATCACGCAGCTTACTAAAGAAATAACTCTAGAAAATGCCTATGATATATCGTTAGGCAGAAAAAAAAAGTGGAAAAAAAAAAATCTCATGATCCCAGTTGGGGTAAAACCAACACAACAAAACAAAATAATAAAAAAGAGGGAAAAAAGTCTCCGTTTGTGTATATGTCTTCACAGAAGTAGAGAAATAAAAAAGATGGGAACACTTTGTTCTTTATATATTGCTACATTGTTTAACTTGTAATCATCTAAGATATTCCTATGTAAAAATTGTTCAATAAACATTATGTTGAGATGGAATCTACTCGGTGAAGATACCGTGAACATTGTTCAAATCACAAGGGATTTAGAATATACATAAACTTTGTTGATAAAGCAGCAGGGTTTGAGAAGGTTCACTCCAATTTTGAAAGAAGTTCCACTGTGGGTAAAATGTTATCAAATGGCACTGCGTGCTACAGAAGTCCTTCATGAAAGGAAGAATCAATCCATGTGGCAAACTTCACTGTGGCCAGAGAGTGGCTCATGCCCGTAATCCTAGCACTGTGGGAGGACTGCTTGAGGCCAGGAGTTCAAGACTAGCCTGACCCACCTAGTTAGACACCCATCTCTACAAAAATTTTTAAAAATTAGCTGCATGCAGTGACGTGAGCCTGTAGTCCCAGCTATGCAGGAGGCTGAGGCAGGAGGATGGCTTGAGCCGAAGGAGTTTGAGGTTGCAGTGAGTTGTGATTGAGCTACTGCACTCCAGCCTGGGCAACAGAAAGAGACCCTGCCTCTATTTTTTAAAAAAGAAAGAAAAAGAAATTGCTGCAGTCATCGCAAACTTCAGCAACTATCAGTTAGCAGTCATCAACATGGAGGCCAGATCCTTCACCAGGAAAAAGACTACAACTTGATGAAGGCTTAGATAATTCTTACTATTTTTTAACAATAAGGTATTTTTAAATTAAGGTATGTACACTGTTCTTCATACACAATGCTATCACACACTTTAGACTACAGTATAGTGTAAATTTAACTTTTATATGTACTGCAAATCCAAAAAATTCATGTGATATGCTTTATTGCAATATTTGCTTCGTTGCAGTAGTCTGGAACTGAGCCTGCAGTATCTCTAATGTATGCTTGTAATTTTTAAACTTAACTGGATTGGCCTAACTCATAATGGACATCAGAGAGTTTTTCACAACATACACCACCATAATCATTTTTATAAAGGTATGAACTACTGAAAAAAGTATAGTTGTTTTTACATAGATTTTCATTCTTGAGCTGAAACCTGTTTGCTTTTCAACAAATCTTTTATATTTATACCTGTACACTAAAGAGTCACTGAGTAATAAACATTCTAAACAATTGTTCTCATGTGATTTAAAATCTGGTCTGTGTTTACATTTGAAATTAAGTCTGCTCTTCAGGGAGAAAAATTATGGAAGCCATAATGAAGAGAAGAGCTGGCAACTTGCTCAATTTAACTTCCTTTGACTCACTGTGAAGCTCAGCAGACATTACTCCAAGCAAACCTGCCCTCTTGCAGTCACCATTTCTTTTTTTTCTTTCATATATATGAAAGTCTTTTTTCTTTTATATGTATGAAACACAGTCTATCTGCTAAGATGGCTATGAGCAATTTTTCCCTCTATAGATGCATATCGTTCTACCCATCAACTGCTGAATCTACTTCGCCTCCCCTTGAATGTGGGCTACCCTTGTAAGTTGCCTTGATCAGTAAAATGTGGCAGAAGGCATCTCAATCCTGGGCCTAGCCTTAAGAGGTTCTGCTTTCTCTCTAGAAGAAGCCAGCTGCTATGTAAGAAGTCTAAATACCTGAAACTACCATGCTGTGAGCAAGCCCAAGCTAGCTAGCCATGTAGACAGAGAACACTGAAGAACTGAGGAATTTAGTTGACAGTGAACAGAGACCTCAGACATTTGACTCCAGTCAAGCTGTTCAATGTCTCCAGCCATTCCAGTCTTTTGAGGTGACAGCAGAGAGAGACATTCCCACTATGTCCCATCCAAATTTCTGAATGAAAGAACTATAAGGAAATAAAATGGCAGTTGTTTTAAATCCACTAAATTTTTAGGTAGTTTAGTTCACAATAACAGGTTAACATAAACACCAGGAACAATAGAGGTATTTGTTATTTTTAAAGAAACGGTCTTTATACTTTTGAAATACTAGACTGCATATCTTAGAATAGGGAATTTTTACATGTTTTTGCTTATCAAAACATCTGTATTATCTTAACCATAATTTAGATAGCCAGGCCGGGTGTGGTGGCTCACTCCTGTAATCCCAGCACTTTGGGAGGCTGAGGCGGGCAGATCACAAGGTCAGAAGCTCAAGACCAGCCTGGCCAACATGGTGAAACCTTGTCTACTAAAAATACAAAAATTAGCTGGGCGTGGTGGCAGGTGCCTGTAATCCCAACTACTCGGGAGGCTGAGGCAAGAGAATTGCTTGAATCCGGGAGGCGGAAGTTGCAGTGAGCTGAGATTGCACCACTACACTCCAGCCTGGGTGACTGAGCAAGACTCCCTCTGGGGGTGGGGGAGGGGGCGGGGGAACAAAAAAAGATAGCCAGATTCTATTACTCAAGGCCCTGATGGCTATATGCTATGACTGTGATTAACTTGCTTTTTTATAGCTTCTATTGGCCTAAGATTTTATTTATCTATAAATTAGCAGATTCTGTATAACATATGAATAGGTGAGAACCTACTGCAGAATTTCACCTTAGCAATATTTTAATAAATTTACCTTGCAAATCAAGTACCAGTAACTCCCCTCTTGTATATTCGTAAGTCCAGTGGCTAAAGGCTAGCATGATCTCTTCCAGAGTATTAGTTGGAATAATCTCATCTCCATTATTATTGTTGTATTTTCTAAATTCTCCAGTCATACATTCTTCCACAGCAAACCACTGTCCTGCTGAATGGCAATACAGCAGGAAAACTTCAAGGAACCTTATAAAAAATAGTTATAAATATTACTAGCAGTTTTGTTAATAAAATTCTAATTGATCTACAAAATGGATAATTAAATATTCAACATCAAAAATGAAGGTCAAAAGGGACTGCTATCCATATAATAAAAGATCCCAGAAAAAAATTAAAGATTTACCTTGGAGAATATGGTATGGATTTGGGTTTCATTTGATTAAAGGCAAACGTAAGCTTTTGTGCTGCTCTCTGTTGTTGAATTTCCTATAAAAGGGAGGGTGGGGAGAACCCTTGTTTAATATTTAAACTAAGATTATATTTGGCTTATTGATATTTCAGAAGTTAAAATATAAAGCTTAAATTATGTTCCACTATTAAATATTCACTGACACTTACTCTCAGACAGAGATGCAGAACTGTATCTTCTTTGTAAATACTTGACCATGTATTAACCACCTCTGGAAGAAAAGATTTGATAATATAAAGATGCCCTGATTTGAGGATATCATGTTCTGACCAGGTACACTGTACTTTGACAGCTCTTCGTAAACCTCCTCCCATCTCCTCTTTGCTTAAAAACTCTATTTTGGCACAGAGGCCTAGTTGTGACCAAGAAGACATGCTGTTATTTAGTATGTTGGGTGAACTCTCTTCCAAACGATACACTGTGACAGGCTCCCCTGCAACACAAATGGAAAAAGTTTAAGATTAAATTGTGACTTTTTAAAAACGACAAAGTAAAATAAAAATTAGCAGGCATCTTTGATTAAGGAACAGAAGATAAAATGGACCAAGATGTAGTTTTATACAAAGAAATTTAATAGCAATAGGTAAGAAATCAAGGATACTTTCATAATATCTTTGAATTCATGTGTAATGTTAGGCATTTTTGAAATTCTGGCATTTTAGAGAAAACCTTTAAAAAAGCAACTAAAATTCTACACACTTCTGAATTAAACTTAGAAGTTAGAGCTGTTTCATGGACACTGTGATGTCAGTTTATATAAATTACTAGATAGTGGATCAAGAACTTTTTAGAATTAGAATATATTGTTGCTTCTGAATATGCCAGTAATGGAGAAACTCAATATTTCTGATGCTTCCCTTCTTCTATTCAAACATACCTCACCCTTGTGGTAGTCAGATTAATCAAGAATTTATTTGAAATTGATACTTCTTAATGTAATCCCACCCACATTCTATATTATAGCTAAAAATCATTAAAGGGTTAATTTTCACTTATTTATTTCTTTAATTTTTGGATTTACCTCTTGGAGGCACAGGTGTAAATGGAATGCTCTGTGATAACCTCATCAAGTTATTTCTTTCCACAGCTGCATAAAAATGAGAGAGAAATAATTAAATCTGTAAAGGTCCAAAATGCTATTAAATTTTGTTTTTAATATTACTGACCTGAATAATAGTAATTTGTATCCATAGCTGGCTTAAATGGAGAAGTGAGACCTAGAATGGCAAATAAACAAACGAGACCATTTAAAAAGTACTAGTACAGCAAAAATTTTAACCCGGATAATCTCATAAAATCATTTTGAATTTCCATAGTGTAACTGTTCCTCACAAAAACAGAAAAATTAGGGATAAAATATGTCCACTGTGCTATATTACCCTATTTCATTATGCCAGATTAGTGACAGCTGTGCATTTAGACACCTACAAGTGAAGAGCACATTATGCTGCACACTATCCTAACTCCTGCCATAAACTCACTCCTCCCATACCTCCCATTCAGAAAGAAAAATCTCTCTTTGATTCTGATGTTTGGGGGTTGGGGACTGTAGCCATGTAAATATTTTAGCAGGTCTACCATGAGAAGATGAACTTCTGGAATGTGAAACATACCCATCAAAAGCCCTTCCCCCATCTTTTTGTGTGTGTGTGTGGAATTGACCTTTAAATGTTGCAAGAAGACAAAGACAAGTCAAATCTGCTATGTGCTAAGTTTCTAGAACACAAATAAAAAGAAACCTACTGTCTTGCAGGAAAAGGAAGTTAGCCAACAGTTTTAATACTGTATAAAAATATACTTTAAAAATGTGTATATACACATACATGTGTGCACATACTGTACGACTATATAGGAGTACCTAATGCCTTTTGGTTGAGAAGACGTCAAAGCTATCTCAGAGTAAGAGAAGGGGGAAGATTGACCTATAGTGCTTTTTGGACATACATCCACCCAGATGTCACTCCAAAATATTCTAATTCTGTAGGTATGTGTCATCATAGAAATGATTCTCTACAAATGATTTGAATATGCAGCTAAGACTACAAATTAATGGGCAAGAGTACAGGGATAACTGCAGGAGGTGAAGCTACAGAAACAGGGAATATCAAATTGTTAAGAGGAGGCCAGGCACAGTGGCTCACACCTATCATCATTAACACTTTGGGAGGCTGAGGTGGAAAGACTGCTTTGGGGCCAGGAGTTCAAGACCAGCCTGGATAACATGGCAAGGCCCCATTATCAACAAAAAAGATTTTTAAAATTAGCTGAGCAAGGTGGCACCCACCTGTAGTCCTAGCCACTCAGAAGGCAGAGGTGGGAGGAATGCTTGAGCCTAGGAGGTTGAGGCTGCAGTGAGCAAAGTCTGTGCCACTGCACTCCAACCTGGTGACAGAGAGATCCTGTCTTTGGCAGGGGAGGGGGCGGGAGGCGTGGAATTAAGAGCCTAAAGTGTGTGTGGGGGGGTAATTAAAAGCCTAATATGTCATGTTAAGGAAGAACACTGGATTTCATTAAACAACAATGGGGAAAAAATGTAAAGTGGAGGAGTGACCTTTAGAAAAATCAGGCCAGGTGCGGTGGCTCTCGCCTGTAATCTCAGCACTTTGGGAGGTGGAGGTGGGCAGATCATGAGGTCAGGAGTTAGAGACCAGCCTGGCCAACGTGGTGAAATCTCGTCTCTACAGAAACACAGAAATTAGCCGGATGTGGTGGTGCATGCCTGTAATCCCAGCTACTCGGGAGGCTGAGGCAGGAGAACTGCTTGAACCTGGGAGGCGGAGGTTGCAGTGAGCCAAGATCACACCACTATACTCCCTACTCCAGCCTGGACGACAGAGCAAGACTCCTTCTCACCCGGGGGCAGGGAAGGGTGGCAGAATAGAACATTGATGAGAAGCAAAACTACAGGCAGGGACCCCAAACTGGTATAACCACTCTGAAAACCTATTTGGTAGTAATTACCAAATGTGAACACATGCTAACTCTGACTCAGCAATTCCACTCCTAGGCATATGCCAATAATAAATAAATACATATGTTTATCAAACAACATGAACAAGAATGCTTGTAGCAGCAAGTCATAATAGCCATACAGTGGAAGCTACTGAAATGACCACCAAATAGCAGAATGGAAGTAAATTCAATATATTTACATAAGAAAATTTTATATAGTAGTGAGAATGCACAAATTACCACTATCCACAGCAATATTGATGAATTTTATAACAATATGTTAAGAAGAAGAAGCAAGACACAGAACAGTATATACTGTACAATTTCATTTATATAGCCAATATGCACATACATGCAAACACTCACACACGCACATACACCCCAAAATAGGTGAAACTATTGTTTTAGGGGCAGGGACTATAAGAAGTAGAAACAAAGGAATGGAGATATAGGCAAAATTGTTTTTAGGTGCTGATTACATGGCTATACTTACTTTGAAAGAATTCACTGAATTCTGCACTATTCTGTATGCACTATACACTTCGATAAAAGGTTGACAAAGTAATGGTCTAAGCTGAAAGCAGCAGTGGGATGTATAGTGGAGGATGGATTTTAGAGACATGTAGGAAGTAAATGCAATAGGACTTTGTGAGTACAAAGTCAAGGTGGTCAAGAATAACTCAGCTGACTAAAAGTTTCATTTGTTAAAACAGATGGAATATTAGAAAAGGAGCAGGCTGTATAGCAGAGACCAAGTAGCAGGGAGGAAGTGTGACAGTAAAGATATCATCATTCACAGGGTGATTCGTGTGTTTGTGAAACATCTACAGTAAGGAGAAAGTATATGAGGGAAGAACTCTTCAATACCTTGGCTTTTTCTAGCTTGAAGTCTAAAATATCTTACCTAGAATAATGTGGTGTTTGCTGTAACAGATCATGTAAGATTCTCATTTTTTTCACGTTCAATCTACCACACAGACTCACCATTTAATGTTCCTTCTTCAGATGGCCTAAAGAAACACCAAAAAATATAGTATAAGCTGTGCTATGATTTAAGTTTTGGCTATCATTTAATTTTTTGATTTTATACAATTATTATATAAAAAATATTATTAAGGAAATTCTGAAATTGATTCCCTTTGAATATTTGCCATTTCCCTTAAGCCAATCCCAATCCATATATAGATATATATATCTATATATATATATCCATATGTATCTACTTATTAATAACTTGTATCTCCAATTTATGCATAAATATTATTAGCAGTTTGGTGCCAAATTGAAGGCTCTATACTAATAAACTATTTCATAACTTCTGTATTCGTGGAGATTCATTCCAGTACTGTAACAATACATTGAGATGACTTTGCAGGATGCTAGAAATATTTCAATAGAATTGATGGACAAAGAACTGAGAGAAAAGTAAGTAGATGTCATTTTGCCTCTTAGTTTCTAATGTTGAAAAATATTTCTCCCAATGTTAACTGTATTTATTTATAACAACATACACTGGCACCAAATGCAGGTTCTTTTACTTCCAAGGATTCCAGTGTCAACTAGACACACAGGTAGAGTGGAAAAGAGAACAGAATGAGAATAAAGGAAAACGGGTTAGAGGCTTAGCACTTTCATTACACAGCTATGTAGCCTTGCTCAGGAATGAAAGGACCAGATCCAGAAAGGACCTTGGGAGTAGATAACCTGTCTCTTTCCAGCTCCTACATTCTATCTGACCCTGTTGTTTCCTGTTGATTTTCACCTTAATAGAAACATTTTCTTACAAAAAGTATTTTGAACCTAACATCATTCCTTTGCCTGCTGCTAATCAATCACTCTTTTCTCAGCACTCAAAGGGCTGCCAATCAGCTCCACCTTTATGGGTAATTCTCAGGGTCAGCATTCTGCAAGACAATGTTCTGTTGTTAGACACCGGAATTAACACCAACTTGAAGTGCCTATTTTGTACTTACATCCCATGGCTTTGGTTATAAAAGAAAATATTCCTTGAAGAGGTCTGACTATAGGTGGGCCTTCCAAATGCCATTCCAGGGTCAGGAAACTCAATTTGAGCAGCTGCTTATCCTGTGGCCCAGGTTTATTTTCTTCTTTATATATTCAGATTTATTTATTTTCTTTTTTAAAAAAAATTATTTGTTTTGAGACTAGGTCTCGCTGTTGCCCAGGCTGGAGTGAAGTGGTGCAATCATGGCTCACTACTCCTGCGCTCAAACAATCCTTCTGCCTCAAGCCTCCTGAGTAGCTAGGACCACAAGCGCACACCACTATACCCAGCTAATTTAGAGATGGGGTCTCACTATGTTTCTCAGGCTGGTCCCCAACACCTGGGCTCAAGCGATCCACCCACCTTGGCCTCCCAAAGTGCTGGGATCACAGGTGTGAAGCACCATGCCTGGCCCAGATTTATTTCTGATTCACAGAAGGGGAAAAACACTGCAGAATAATAATTTCCCCCAAATTGGCTTCTCTGCTCAAGTAATCCATATGACAGAATAACTCTACCATGCTTCCAGTATCAGGTGGGTGTCAAAACAAGACTTTTTTTTTTATTTTTTTGCATATCCTTTGGAATTCTACAATACTAATTCCTAGGATGGAAACACAGAGATTATCTTAGATTTGTCTTTACCCTTATGTCTAATATGTACTAAAAAGTTTTACTTTCTGGGGACAATAACCTGTCAGATTGCCTATAGTTTCCACTTTTGGTTTTGGATTACCACATCAGCTTTCTAGTGGATCTTCCTGTATGCAGGCTTTCTAATGCATACTGTGTATTACTGCTCTAATCATCAAAGTGCTTACCAAAAGCAGATGCAAGGTTTTGACTAGAATGATGGATAGAGAAATCAAGCAAGTACAAAACTAAAGTCTCAAACTAGGTCTCTCAACAAATTTATTCAGGAATAAGTTAGAAACAGGACTAAATAATAAAATCAGAATTGTATCACTATTAGGAAGACCTTAGTAGAGTTGTAATTATGGTACAACTATATGAAAATAATAAATTTTAACTTTTATATTAATTCATAATAAACTTGTTCCCCTAATCTCATCTATGTGAAGAGAGGAGATGCTAGAATAAATAATCATCACTCATAAAGAAATGTTAAAGAGATGATGTAAAGAGCAGGAAAAAAGACAACATTCAATAACTATGATACTTCGCAAGCTAATGGTAAGAAAAAGCTTACTTACATTTCTCTGTTTGATGGTCTATCTTGTAACCAATCCTTCAGTAAAAAAAAAACACACACACACAAAAACCTTAAAGACAAAAATCTCTAGATGAAGCATAACGGTTTAACTTTTTTTCTTATATTTTAAGAATGAAAGGCCAAAAAACTAACATACAGTTCTTGTTTCATAAAACAATAAATTTATTTATTATAACTGTATTTACTGTAAATGTAACTACCATAAGACTATTCAACAAGGTGGAATAAAAAATTCTGTTATTTCCCACAACATTGTCTTTCTATTCTTTATGAATTTTTATATTGTTTGAAGACAATTCTATTCTCTTAAAATATATATTTGTGGCCGGGTACGGTGGCTCACACCTATAATCCCAGCACTTTGGGAGGCCGAGGTGGGTGGATCACCTGAGGTCAGGAGTTCGAGACCAGCCTGGCCAATCTGGTGAAACCTCGTCTCTACTAAAAATACAAAAATTAGCTGGGCGTGGTGGCGGGCGCCTATAATCCCAGCTACTTGGGAGGCTGAGGCAGGAGAATCACTTGAATCTGGGAGGTGGAGGTTGCAGTGAGCCAAGATCGTGCCATTGCACTCCAGCCTAGGCGACAGAGCGAGACTCCATCTCGAAAAAAAAAATAATAAATATATATATGTATATATACATATACATATAAACATCAAAATACAAACAGAAAAATTAAAATCATGTAAGCTGTGAATGCTCATGACATTTAGGCATATTTCACTGCAGCCTTTGTTGTGTATATGTGCATATGGTTTTTATTCTGCAGTTGTATAATGTTCCTAGGTGTGGGTTTATTTTTACTTCCCCAGTTTGAGACTCATTCTGCCCGAATTTGAATCTTCACATATTTTATCATTTTGTAAAATTCTAAACCATTTCTAATCTCTTCAAATTTTGTCTACTCTCTCAAGGCCAGTTAGATATGTCTTCCATGTCTCTTTACCTTTAATATATTTTCCATCTGACTATGTAGTTTATCTTTTTTTTTTTACTTTAATCTGTTGCATTCTGATCCAGTTTAGTAATTTTCCCTTCAGATGTGCCTAATCTGTTAATTAACTCCCACTGAGTGGGGTTTTTTTGAGATGGAGTTTCACTCTGAAGCCCAGGCTGGAGTGCAGTGGCGCAATCTCGGCTCACTGCAACCTCCACCTCCCTGGTTCAGGAGACTCTCCTGCTTCAGCCTCCCGAGTAGCTGAATTACAGGCATGTGCCACCACACCCAGATAAGTTTTGATTTTTAGTAGAGACAGGGTTTTGTCAGGTTGGCCAGGCTGCTTGAACTCCTGATCTCAAGTGATCCACCCGCTTCGGCCTCCCAAAATGCTGGGATTACAGGCATGAGCCACTGCACACAGCCCCCACCGAGTTTTTTTTTTATTTCTAGTTTTTCAAATTTGCCAGTCTTTTTGAATAGTATCTCCTTCTTTTCTCATGTTTTATATTTAAAACTTTTTTATGTCCATCATCACTTTAAACATACTTATTTTGTCATCTATAACCAATAATTCCACTATCTTATCAGAAATCAAATACCGTTTATGTAAGTTGACTCCCATGAGTTCTAAATTGCCATTGTGAGGTCATCTTCGGTTAGGCTTTAATTTGTTGCAAAGTTGTGCAGCTCAGGGTCAGGAAGAGTCCCTCCAGAAAGGAGGATTTGTTACTGTGAATCTCTTTGTTAACTAACCTCTTTCCCCACTGAAATAACTTTTTTCAATAACATGATTTTAACAACATAATCTCTCTATGCCAGAACAGATATATTTTGAATGTAAGTCAATATTTTCTTGAGCAAAATTATGAGCACTGACTTATATATAATACTTGATTATAAAGGAGTAATTTTTCTGCCTTTTCCTGAGCTTTTTGTCTTGTCAGTGTGTGCTTTTAAAGGGAATTTGCAAAATCAATCATTATCGCAGTTAGCTGGAAATGAGTTCATATAATTAGCTTCAATTCAAACAAAAAGAGATTCCTGCCTTTATTCTGCATAAATTTTTCTTTAAAATTCCTGACTATTCACTGTAAGAAACTTTTCTGTAACTGCTACTATGCTAAAGTCAGTTTTCTTAAGAAAAATTTTTTTGAATTTTTGATATAGTCCCAAATATCACCACTTTGTAGATCTTATCTAAAAAAGTTTAATGTATTTAATAATATATATCTGTTTAGTTGAAATCTACAAACCGGTATTAAAGCTGCTTTGGAATCTACTTCATGAGTGTCTTCGGTAGATGGCCTTCTACTGATTTTTTCTGCTAAAAGAAAATTAAAAAATATAAAAAAGCTACACAACTGAAGTTTTATGAATACCAACTAACCAAACACAAAGTATTCTAGGCACAGTATAACCTTCATAAGATAACTCAACCTTTCCTCAACACGCTGAACACAAGAGTTACATGAGGCCCATAAATTATTCAATTTATTTTGAGTAAACTATTCAATTTATTGTGAAAAGGCAACAATAAATGAGAGTATGAAGTAAAAAAAAATTTCTCCCCCTCCTGTTCCCAATCACCCTGACTGGGGACAGTAAAGGTAATTCATTTCTTGCATATTCTTCCTGGGATATTTGTATGTGTATACACATACCCCCGCCAATATTTAACATAAATGGTAGAGAAACATATATGTCTGGAGGGTTTTGTTATTTTAAACTTTAAGCTTAGAGTTTTGTTTTTTTTTTTTTGAGACAGAGTTTCACTCTTGTTGCCCAGGCTGGAGAGCAGTGGCACAATCTCAGCTCACCACAACCTCTGCCTCCTGAGTTCAAGCGATTCTCCTGCCTCAGCCTCCCTAGTAGCTGGCATTACAGGCATGTGCCACCATGCCCGGCTAATTTTGTTTTCAGTAGAGACTGGGTTTCTCCTTGTTGTTCAGGCTGGTCTCAAACTCCTGACCTCAGGTGATCCACCCGCCTCAACCTCCCAAAGTACTGGGATTACAGGTGTGAGCCACTGCGCCTAGCCAGCTTAGAGATTTTCTACAGAACAGAGAAGATTTCCCAATTATCTTTCGATGCTCTCTTTATTTCATATTGGATACACATTAATGTATTTAAACAAACTCCTACTGATGGAAATTTGATCTGTTTCCAATCTCTTCCTATGATAAACAGTGCCGCAATGAATAATCCTTTTCCCCAATTTATGATAATACCTTTGTTGTCATATCTTATTTATCCGAAATGAACTTTAGAATTAAGCCTACTTCCAAAAAAAGTCAGGTCATTAAGTTACAAATCAACTTAGAGAAAGCTTACAATTTTACAGTACAACAAAGGATAACCTCAGAATGAAGAAAGGAAAATCTCAGAACAAAATTTGTATTCCAGGTGTAGAGGACAAAAAGACCAGACTGAGATATATTAGAAGACTCTGGGCAAAATGTTTTCAATATGATGAAACTGACAGAATACATTATATTCTGAATATCATGAAGAAATCTGGTTAAATACCAGAGAACCTAGAGTGTTGATTTAACCAAAACTGTAACTATACTTGGTGGAAAAGGGTGAACAGGTGTGTGTGTGTATGTTCGTTCTGGGAATACAGAGTGAGAAAAGAGAGTTCAATTCTTGTCTTCTTTAGTGGAAGGTCAACAGATACGGCCTAAAACTGAAATATGAGGATGCTGCAATACAGGTAGGTTTGAGTATTTCTAGTGATCACTTACTAGAAATGCTTGGGATCAGAAGTGTTTCAGATTTCTGTTTTTTTTTTTTTTTTTAAATTTTGGAATATTTGCATTATACTCACCCAGGTGAGCATCTGAAAATCTGAAATCTGAAACGCTCCAATGAGCATTTCCTTTCAGTCAGTACTCAAAAATTTTGGATTTAGGAGCATTTTAGATTTTGGGATGTTCAATCCATATAAGCATACTAACTTAGGAATAACATCTATGTTAACTTAAATACTGAGAATTCTTTTTCTTCCCTCCTAATCCTTCTACCATTTCTTTCTCTTTTTCTTTTTTGTTTGAGATGGAGTCTCGCTCCCATTCCCATTGCACAGGCTGGAGTGCAGTCGCGCTATCTTGGCTCACTGCAACCTCCATCTCCTGGGTTCAAGCGATTCTTCTTCCTCAGCCTCCCGAGTAGCTGGGATTACAGACGTGCGCCACCACATCTAGCTAATTTTTGTATTTTTTTTTTTTTTTTTTTTTTGAGACGGAGTCTCGCTCTGTCGCCCAGGCCGGACTGCAGACTGCAGTGGCGCAATCTCGGCTCACTGCAAGCTCCGCTTCCCGGGTTCACGCCATTCTCCTGCCTCAGCCTCCCGAGTAGCTGGGACTACAGGCGCCCGCCACCGCGCCCGGCTAATTTTTTGTATTTTTAGTAGAGACGGGGTTTCACCTTGTTAACCAGGATGGTCTTGAACTCCTGACCTCAGGTGATCCACCTGCCTCGGCCTCCCAAAGTGCTAGGATTACAGGCGTAAGCCACCTGGCCCACTCTACCATTTATTTTACTTGCTTTACTGCTCTGGCTAGAATGTAAAACAGAAACAGTAACAGTCAAAATCCTTGTCTTGCTCCCCATCTTGGGCTTTCAATAGTTCACTATGAAGTTTGATGCTTTGTGATAATTTTTTGTTGATATCCTTTTTGAGATTAAGAATGAATACTGAATGTTAACCAAATCAGCTGTTAAGATGATCTCATGATTTTTCTCCTTTAATCTGCTACTATCATGCATTATCACAATTATATTTTTGAATGTTAAGACAACTTTTATTCCTGGAATAAACCCAATTTGGTCATAATATGCATTGCTGAATTCAGTATGCCAAAGGAAAATGAAAGTGATGGTGAGATGGACAATGTAGTACTATTTTTCTTAAGGAACCTTTATAATTATTCAACTTTTCAACGATGTGCATATATAATCTTGACTTATAAAAAATTATGATATGGAAACATCACCACAATATAGTAAATGAGAAATTAATGGTACAAGGCAACATGTATTGTCTGTGACCTTTTGTGTAAAAAATGAGAGGTATAAGATTGTACTGTCATACATGACTGTATAAGCATGAAACTCTAAAGGGTAGACAAATAGTGGTAAATGTGGGAACAGAGTGAGAGAGAAAATTTTCAGAGTGTGTGTATTTTAATTTTGAACCAAAAATGTATGATTTTTAAAAGTTAAACTAGAAAAATATGTTGAATAAGTGATGATACAGATTAAAACATGATACAGATGAACAGATACATTTGCAAAAGCTAAAAGCAGCAGATTTACAAAAAGTTTTTCTATTCCATCTTTACAGAATAAACAATTTGTAAAACATATTCTAATAAAACATTCTAATGAATGCTAGGATTACGACTTATTCAAGGTTACAGTCACTATGGCAGATCAGAATTTTCGTCTTCTGACTCCTGCACCATTCACTGCTCATGTGTTTGACAAACATAAAATACATTTAAAGTGTAAATGAGTATGTTTTCTGACACTATTCATATGGTCAAAATACTCACCTTGTTTTGAATGAACAGGAATGGAAGTTCTGTGACAGTCAGTAAATCCAGCAAGAGAACTCACTCGTTTCAAAGTGTTTTCAGAAGTATTGTTATTCTGCAAATATTGTGCAGACATATAATTTGAAAATAATTGAACTAAATTTCAACCCATTACTCTAAGTAGTATTAGAGTCCCTTGATCTATTTAGCTCAATATGCTTTATTCTACCTGGACACCAATGGGTGTATTATAGATTATGGTTATTTTCTTCAATGCCAATTTCAAAAGCTGCACCAAAACACCTTATTTTCCTACTGTTCATAAATCCATCCAAATGAATTTTTTATAATAATAAAAACTCAGACTGGGCATGGTGACTCACACCTGTAATCCCAGCACTTTGGGAGGTCGAGGCGGGCGGATCATGATGTCAAGAGATCGAGACCATCTTGGCCAACATGGTGAAACCCCATCTCTACTAAAAATACAAAATCAGCTGGTTGTGGTGGCGCATGCCTGTAGTCCCAGCTACTCAGGAGGCTGAGGCAGGAGAATCACTTGAACCCGGGAGGCGTAGGGTGCAGTGAGCCAAGATCAAGCCACTGCACTCCAGCCTGCTGGCAGAACGAGACTCCGTCTCAAGAAAAAAACAAAAACAAAAGAAAACAAAAAACCTCACAAAAAAGTTGGAAAAATATACAAAACTGTGGAGAAAAAACGCAATCATTATGAATTCACCTCACCCCCAAAGAAGCTATTATCTTACATGTATCTTGACACACTGATAACATTAATGGTGGGGGAACTATTTCCTTTTGGGGATCTTGGTAACTTTCTTATTGCTTTGTATGAGCTATTTATACAACAAGGTTATCTATATGCTCACTATTTTGTCAGATTTCAATTTGTATTTCAAATTTCTTTTGACTATGTTTTTTAGGTACTTAAATCTCTACATTTTCCCTTAATATTTTTCTATTATTTATGTGTTTGGAAAGCCCTGAAGGCTTTACTGGCTCAATAAATACTGCTTTTTTTTTTTTTTTTTTTGAGATGGAGTCTTGCTCCATCTCAAAAAAAAAGTTGTTTAAATCAAAACACAGCTACTGCTTTTCTGCTAACTCACAGAAACTTGCAATGTCTTGTTTTTATCAAGGAGTACCTGCCACTTAAAAATTTTCAGCACGTTTTTTCTTTAAGTTCATTATTAAAAAGGTGAAATCTGTGGGAAAACTCTGATGCTTTACCTTTTCCCATTAAGAAATGTCCATTTATCCTAAATTTTATGTCTTACTTCTATCAAGTGCTTCGCAATAGCAAAATGATACCACCAGAGTGTGGCAATATGACAATAATTTGTGTAAAGAAAAAGAAAATGTGATGAACTTAGGTTTAAATAATTCTACATTATAAACAGCTTTACTAAAACTTATGAAAGTCCATAAAACATTTCATTTACCTATAAAATCTACTTCAACCCTATATGGAATACAGATATTCCATATGTCATATGGCAATAATTATAAAACCAATTTGGTAGACAGCAGTCTGTTCTTTCTTCTTTCTAGCACTTTTTCTCATTCCCGCTTTTCTTCTTTCTCTTTTTATCGTGTGTCAGCTAAGGCTACCTAAGTGAACTTGATCCATTTATTTAGCTCTCAGTCTAAATATGCCATAATTAAAATGGTTAGAAAACACTGCAAATTATAGTCTTATGATAGGTCCGCTGAACCTACACCTATTTCCTCCATCTAAAAGCACATGGGTATATTTTAAGCTGACTTTCTGACTTCTGCATATACTAAAGAGACTTTACCTCATATTTAGGCATCTCTGTATACTCCATAATCACATTTCTTACATCATTCTGCTGCTCCTATTTGAGGTAAGAAAATTATGCAACTATTCTCAAACTTAAAGGCAAATACAGAAAGGAAAAAACCCAGGTAATCATTACACCTCAATTTGCATATAATAACCAATTAAATACCAAGTTATCAATATCTAGTTAATAGATATTAAATTAAGTTAATTGATTTAGTACAATACTTTAATCAAAATATGATAATAAAAATACAAAATGTTACAATATAAAAATGCATTTGAGTCTACTTTTTATATGTAGGGTAGTAAGTAATATGGCCTGACAGCAATTACATAATTCACCTGGATCACATAAAAAGTAATCATTCATAGAAACTCCTACGTCATTATCATTTCCTTGGTTCTAGCTTTAGGAAAGGTCCTGTTTTCACTGTGTATGTCACTTAACATTTCTATAATGTAAGTTCTTTAAGGGCTAGAGAAGCTTAACACCTTTCTAGGTGTTTTTAATTATCTTGTTGTAGCCACATTACCACTCCAAAGGCTCTAAATAGCCACAAGTAATATATGAGAGCAACATTTAAGAAATAAAACCAACTTTGCAGGCAAGAATACACCTTTTTTGCCAGCTGTTCTACATATTTTGAAACTTATTTAACAAACATTTATCAAATTATCTTGCACTTGTACATAATATACAGCTTCTCACTGCTAGACAATAGGTTTCTAAGAGTCAGGGTCATGTTCAAATAAAACTTTTGGATCTGGGAAGAGTGAGCTCATTAAGTATTTAATCAGTGGAAAACATATGGGGAGAAGAAATTTTTAAAAAAGAAATGTAGGCCGGGCACAGTGGCTCACGCCTATAATCCCAGCACCTTGGGAAGCCGAGGCAGGCGGATCGCTTGAGGTCAGGAATTTGAGGCCAGCCTGGACAACATGGTAAAACCTCATCTCTACTAAAAATACAGAAATTAGCCAGGCATGGTGATGCGCACCTGTAATCCCAGCTACTCAAGAGGCTGAGGCAGGAGAATCACTTGAACCCGGGAGGTGGAGGTTGCAGTAAGCGGAGATCACACCACTGTACTCCAGCCCAGGTGACAGCGAGACTCCGTCTCAAAAAAAAAAAAAAAAAAAAAAGAGAGAAATGTTAAATAGCTGATGTTTTTTATTTAGTGAGTATAATTACGCAAGCTGTTTGTACCTTTTCATGTTCCTCAATTGTTCATTTTTTCAAACTGAGGACAGCTTCAAATATTTGGTATCAGCATGTTAATGATATCTGCTAAAACTGTATTTTTGCTGAAAAAATGTTTAATTAAATTTTGAACTAAACATCAAGACAGTAAAATAAATAGAACTGTGGGTGTTTTAATAAGGATTTACTTACGGATAGTATTTTTATCTTGTTTGATGTTTCTTTAAACCTCTGTAAATCCATGCTATCTCTGTGTCCTTTAATAGAAAAAAAGATGTTGCAATGAGAAATTTTTATTTTTCTTCACCGAAATAATGGCACTGCTTAAAGTTTATAAAAACAATAGGTTTATGCTGTTTTTCAAGTACACTTGATGGCTCTGCAGTCTCCTTTAGCTCTTTTGATAAATAAAATTGAAAATTGCCAAGAAGCTGGTGAAGGTTACAGTTTTTTTTGTTTTTTGTTTTTTTAAATTTGAGAACAAGTCTCGTTCTGTTGCCCAGGCTGGAGTGCAGTGGTGTGACCTTGGCTCACTTCAACCTCTGCCTCCCGGGTTCAAGCAATTCTCCTGCCTCAGCCTCCTGAGTAGCTGGGACTACAGGCACGTGCCACCATGCCTGACTAATTTTTGTATTTTTAGTAGAGACAGGGTTTCACCATGTTAGCCAGGCTGGTCTTGAACTCCTGAACTCAAGATCTGCCTGTCTTGGCCTCCCAAAGTGCTGGGATTACAGGCCTGAGCCACCGCACCTGGCCAAGATTATAGTTAAGTTTACAGTAACGTTAAAAGCCAAAGTCCTTATAAAACAAACCAACATGTGATATGAATAAATAGCTCGAAATTTAAAAGAAAAAAGGGGACCAAGCATTTTTACTATTAATAAAAAAAAAAGCATTACATATATACGGATAATCACTCAAAAAGGAATGATTTATTCTTATGCCTATAACTTAAACAAAAACAGAACAAAAATATTTTGGCAATAACACTTTAATGACCTTAATGAAAACTGTTCCACACATAGAGATTGTTCAGACAACATGTTAATAAGCCCATGTATAATCTCCACATTAAGACCAGTCTAGCAAGTTATTCAGGCACTGAACATGCTGATACTTACTGCTAGGCTATATGGAATTCACTCTAGATATACAGATATGTAACTTTTCCTATATAATATACATGTAGAGAAAATATATATGATATATACATACACCCCACTGGTAATACATTAACAAATAGGCTAAAATGCATTTTTAAAAATAAATTGGAAATTAGCCAGGTGTGGTGGCGTGTGCCTGTAATCTCAGCTACTCAGGAGGCTGAGGCAGGAGAATCACTTGAATCTGGGAGGCAGAGGTTGCAGCGAGCCGAGATTGTGCCACTGCACTCCCGCCTGGGCGACAGAGGGAGACTCCGTCTTTTAAAAAAAAAAAAAAAAGGGGGAATATATTTAACGTAGGAAAAGTTATATCTATGTATCTAGAGTGAATCCCATATAGCCTAGAAGTAATATCAACATGTTTAGTGCCTAGATAACTTCCTAGGCTGGCCTTAATGTGGCAATTTTCCATGGGCTTATTAACATACTGTCTGAATAATCTCTATGCATGAAAGTTTTCACTAAGGTCTTTAATGTGTTACTGCCAAAATAAACATTTTTTTTTGTTCTTATCTTATTTAAGCTATCATAGGTATAAGAATAAGTCATTCCTTTTTGAAATGTTCTCTGTGAATATATAAATAGGTACACCATAAGTACTAATTTTCCCAGTAGATTCCTAGATTTCCATTGTTGTTCTGATATAATTATTAATAGTGCACCCTTTCACTTTTAAAGTGTCTTGGTTTGGGTAAAAAAATTATATGGTCATCTATTTATAGGGCACTGTTCTTTTCCAGTTGATTCTAACCTCCCCTATGAGGTTCTCCAAGTACTTAAGAATCACTTAGGTTTTCAACAAGAGTTGATGAAACCCAATTGAAGATATTCAAATTCAAAAGACAGAACCTAAAATTCCATCAAAGAGGTTATGTGCCAATATAACTCTTATAGCCTAATTCAGTCTATTTCCCCTACTTCTGATTTTTTTTTTTTTTTCATTTCATTTCTAGAGACAGGGTCTCATTCTGTCACACAGGCTATGGTGCAGTTGTGTGATCACAGCCCACTGCAGCTTTCAGCTTCTGGGTGCAAGCAGTTCGCCTGCCTCAGCCTCCTGAGTAGCTGGGACTTCAGGCACATGCCACTGCGCCTGGCTACTTCCAAAAATTTTTTGTAGAGATGGGGTCTTGCTATGTTGCTCAGGCTGGTCCTCAACTCCTGGGCTCAAGCAATCCTCCCCACTCAGCCTCCCAAAGTACCAGAATCACAGGTGTCTGATTCTTTTTAAAAATTTTATAATTATACTCTATGAAAAGATAATGACTTGTAACAGTACATATTTCTATTATTTCTAAGGTGAAAAGTAAATAATATTGATATACAAATACGAATTTGCCAAACTTACCTACAAATGCTCCAAATTCTGTATTATCTCCTTCTGTAGCTTTAGAGCAAACAGTTTCTTGATCTTTGGTTCCAGTTTCCAAGTGGCTTTTGCAACTTGGCTGAGATGGTGTACTAACAAAAAATTTGGTTGGTGGGGATGACAGATGTGGTATGCTAGTAGATGAACTGCCTAATTTTTGATTTTTATTAAATATTTTTAAGAGTTCTACCCCATGTAGTCTCTGTCGCAGTTCTGGAGGGGAAACAGCACTTGGGAATAAGGCACCAGAAGAGGAACCAGCCTCTGGAAAATTAAATTCTTTTCTCTGGGGTACTGCAGGTAAGTCTTGACCAAATATATTACACTGGGGATCTTTGTCATCTTTCATTAAAATATTACAATGAAAAGGATTATTACTTTCAAGATCACCTTGAGGAAGAGAGGAGCTAAGTGTATTTACAACACCATGCTTTTTCCATACAGAAGGTCTTACAGGACCATCATCAATAAGGTTTTGAGCCAAGTGTTTGGAAATGCTCAGTTCTCGTGTGATTTCATTATGAACTTTGCTAGCTTCCGACGCTTTCTGGGCAGTGAGTGTTTTTAATGTATCTACCGTCAGGGCTGAAAGATCTTGCAAATGGCCAATTTGAGAATCTAATGATTGTAATGATCTTTTTATGTAGTTGACACGATCTCCAACTTCTTTAATCTGAATGCACATCTGTTCCACTCTGTAGGAGAGAAATAAGCTTTTTTTACAAATGTGAAAAAATAATGTAGAATTTTATTTTGTAGCCTCAAATAATAATGATAAAAAGAGAAAAATTTCACATGCATTTAAACAAGATATAAAATAAGGTACAGTTATTTAATTATACAAGGCCTACCTTATGTTTAAGAAGGATCCAGTGCTAATCTTATATTAAAATGCAAGATTTCAAAAAACGTTTTTGTTCCACAGGCTACTTATTCCAATTACCCCACATCAAAGTAACACAAAATAATGTATATACAGCTACATATATACAGAACTACCATTACTGTTACTGTAACTGTTACCAAACACCATATGCTTCCAGAATGTAGTGAAGCCAACAGAAAAAAAGAAATGCTGGCCAGGCACAGTGGCTCACGTCTGTAATCCCAGAACTTTGGGAGGCTGAGGCGGGCAGATCACGAGGTCAGGAGTTCGAGACCAGCTTGGCCAACATGTTGAAACCCTGTCTCTACTAAAAATATAAAAATCAGCTGGGTGTGGTGGTGCACGCCGGTAATCCTAGCTACTCAGGAAACTGAGGCAGGAGAATCACTTGAACCTGGGAGGCGGAAGTTGCAGTGAGTGGAGATTGTGCCACTGTACTCCAGCCGGGGCAAAAGAGGAGACTCTGTCTCAAAAAAATAAAAATAAAATAAATAATAATAATAATGATGATAATAAAAAATGCTGTAAAATAGTGAGGACAGTTTTACTTTTCTCCCTCCAAACAGTAAAGAACAGTAAACTCTTCTATCTTCTGTAACTAGGGTAAAAAAATAAGAGACTGACCAACTGACTTATATGAAGTATTAATAGAACTGAACGATCTTTCCAATACATCATGTAAAACTGTAACTATGCTTATTGTTTGACAAAATAAATTTAACAATGACCATGTATAAGAAATATAACGAATAGATCCCATTTTGACATATAACCGATTTTAACTAAAGGGCTTCTGAACCTTTCAAAAGTGACACGAATTCTCTCTTCACTCCCAGAATGAAATTTGTCATCTTTTTCATTGAAATACATTTCAACACACTGCTCTTCAAAATCATGAAGTTTCTTTTGATCTTCTTCTGTTAAGAAAAGTTCTATGGGAGGAAAAGGAGAAGAAAATCAAGGAAGAGCTATCAAGGTTTCAACTTTAGCTCATAATTCTTACGAATTATTCAGGGTTTCTAAGACTACATCCATCATCTGCACTTTTTAAACTTTTACTACTATGCTTCTAAAGCACTAGACAATTATCTTTCTTTTTTGCTTCACCAGTGTGATGTCAGCAGAATACAATCAGGTACTTCCTCCTCCTCTTCTGATTTCCTTTTCCTATACAACATCCCTCCGCTATCTCTCTCATACCTCTCCCTCACGTATCTACTCAGAGAAATTTAAGAACTAATTTGAAAGTCCCTGTAAAATTTTAAGCATAATTTGACACAGTATGATTAGTCTCATGTACACAGAATGTACTAAAATTGTTATTGTTTACAGAGCTGTAAAAATGGTTTGTAGAACAACAAAGAAGTTCGGTTTACATTACCATTTTAACAGAAACAGAGACGCCATTCTCATAACGAAGTTTAATGCTAAATCCATTTTTATAGATATCATATTGCACTTAAAAATTCCTTTATGTACAGGCATATTTAACAAAAATCTACCATAACATTAATCCACTAAGTCATTTTTGAATAAAATCAATATATAGCCTTTGGTGTAAAAATGAGAAGTGATAAAATGAAAACATTTGCCTTAATATAGTTTACTTACTTGGTCCATCGGAAGTCTTATCTTTCTTTCTTCTCTTACATATGCAGCAAAACAGAGAAACTATATGGCTAAGAATGATAAGTGGAGGAGGCAGAACTGGTTTCTCATGATAAGCCATAATAAAATGATAACGCTGGTACTTCCATACAATATTGGAAATTGCCTTCACTTGTAAATACACATTGCTAGAGAAATAATGAATAAAAATAAAATAAACTTTGTTAATCATCTCTTAAAGTTTTAAATACTGATGATTTCATTGTAATTCTGTACTAAATAATAATTCAAAAAATATCCTTCTGTAAACAAAACTAATAGCAAATGAGAAACTAGAAAAGATACAGGCAGTAAGTATAAGGCAAAGACTAACATTCAGCAGAAAAAAATAATTTAAAAAAATTTAAAATATTGTATGTAAATGGGTAAGACATAAGAAAATACTCAGACTTATTAGTAATCAAGTAAGTGCAAATTTTAAAAAACAAAATCCTGGCTGGGCATGGTGGTTCATGTCTATAATCTTAGCACTTTGGAAGGCCAAGAGGCAGGAGGAGTGCTTGAGGCCTGGAGTTCAAGACGAGCCTGGGCACCATAGTGAGACCCTGTCTATTTAAAAACAAAAAAGTTAGCCAGGCGTGATGGTGTATGCCTATAGTCCCAGCTACTCTGGAGGTGAGACAGGAGGGACTACTTGAGCCCAGATGGAAGAGGCTACAGTGAGCTGTGATAGTGCCACTGCACTCCAGCCTGGGCAACAGGCTGTCTCAAAAAATAAAATAAAATAATTTTATTTACTATCAAATTGGCAACCATTAAAAAAAAAATACTCAGTGTGGGCCGAGTTGAGGAAACAGGCCTATTTAGACTTAAGTGCAAAAGCCCTAAAAGTACATATACTGAACAGCCCTGCTTTTAGAAAAACATTCTAAACAAGCAAGTATTGCTCACAGATTTAACTACAATGTGGTGTTTAGGAGCAAGAATTACAATCTAATTGACCAATACAACATACTAGATTGAAAAATTATGGTCTATATCATGGAGTATCAGGTAGCCATTAAAAATAGACTGGAGAAGAATATTTGTTTATCTGAAATAATGTTCATGATGCTTTGCTTAGTTATAAAACAGTACATAAAATATAAAAATAGGCTAGGCACTGTGGCTCATGCCTGTAATCCCAGCACTTGGGGAAGCTGAAGTGGATGGATCACATGAGGCCAGGAGTTTGAGTCCAGCCCGGCCAACATGGTGAAACCTCATCTCTACTAAAAATACAAAAAAAATCAGCCAGGCGTTGTGGTGCACACCTGTAATCCCAGCTACTCAAGAGGCTGAGGCATGAGAATCCCTTGAACCCTGAAAACTAAGGTTGCAGTGAGCCAAGATTGTGCCACTCCAACCTGGGTGACAGAGGGAGACTGTGTCTCAAAAATAAATAAATTAAATAAAAATACTATTTCTGAAAAGAAAAATGGTTTACATATATTTGCAAAAAAAATGATAGAAAGGTGTACACCCAAATATTAACAGTGGAATTACTGATGAATTTTCTATATTGAATGCGTATTTGTTGGCAACCGAGGAAAAATCCCAGATAACGATTAAATTTATAAAGAAAACTGCAGGTTGAAAGATAATCAAACTTAAAATTTAGAACTCATTTGATTAGAAAAAGCATCTCCTATTTGTAATTTTTCAAATATAATTTTAGTAGTTTAAGCCTCAATAAAATTTTTAGATTTTAAGTTCTATAAATTTCCTTCAAAATATGTAGAATTGCATATTAAATCATCTTATAACAAACAATTGAACAAAATTCTTACTTGAAAAATGCAATAAGAAGATTAACCATAATGATATACTGTACAAAGAGGTAGACTGCTTGAAGAAATGGAGTCAACCACGTCCCAGGACCACAGATTTGAGGGATAACAGAATCATTTGCACACACTTTAGAGAGAAAAAAAGAAAAAAACAAAAACAACTTAAAAATAGTAATTCATCAGTAACTGCTATTCATGAGTGTTTCTGGTTATTTATTTACTTAAAGTAAGTTTCGATTATGTACAAATCTGTTTCACAGATTCCAGCAAAAGCATCTGGGCAAGGAGACATAGGAACCCCAGCTTAAGAGTGTTCAAACACAAAAAGATGTTGTGAGAAATGTGGGTGCTATCTGTTTTACAACTCTATTCCAGAAAAGAAAGTATATTTAGGTGTTATATTTACCCTTCGAGGCAGGGTTTAACCTGACGAGCACTAAAGAGGGTAAAATTCCTGGATCAACCATATGATAATATTTCTGTAAGAAAAATGTCCAAACTTTTTTTTTCCCCTGAGACGGAGTCTTGCTCTGTCACCCAGGCTGGAGTGCAGTGGCGCGATCTCGGCTCACTGCAACCTCCGGCTCCTGGGTTAAAGCAATTCTCCTGCCTCAGCCGCCCGAATAGCTGGGACAACAGGCATGCGCCACCATGCCCAGCTAATTTTGCATTTTTAGTAGAGACCGGATTTCATCATGTTGGCCAGGCTGGTCTCGAACTCCTGACCTCGTGATCTGTCAGCCTCAGCCTCCCAAAGTGCTGGGATTATACGCATGACTCAACTTTAAGAGTATGGTTGACTCATAGCAAAACATATACATTTAATAAAGAATATTGAGTTTATCTTATTATGTCACAAAAATGGGGCTGAAGAAATAGCTAAAAGTGCTTCTCAATTATACCGTGATTAGATTTGAATTCCTTGTTTTTCATTACCCCTAACTGAAAAATTTCTGAAGCCAGAACATAGCTAATTACAAACAAGGAAAGGAAGAGCTTTAATACCCCCAACAGCATTACAAGGAATAAAGTAAATTAGGCAGGGCGAGGATTAGAATTAAATAATGATGAATTAGTGATAAGTTCTAGCTAAATATTTATAGTACACTTAGCATTTAGTATTTGGTAATTTTTAAAAAGTATATGCATCAATGACATTCATACGGTTCTATGATTCCTTTAAATGGTTTTACGGGCAAATTAATGGTAAGGTCTTTTCACTCTTAAATAATTTTATGAATCTATTTCCATTCTATTCAGATTAGTTTGCGGAAGCAAATACCCAAGAAAGAGAATGCAGGAAACTAAAAAACTATACTCAATGCTTTATAACAACTACACAATTAGAGTCATATCATTAGAAAAATAGCAGACAGCCAGGCGTGATGGCTCACGTTTGTAATCCCAGAACTTTGGGAGGCCAAAGCAGGCCAATCACTTGAGGTCAGGAGTTCAAGACCAGCCTGGCCAACATGGTGAAACTTTGTCTCTACTTAAAAAAACAAAAACAAAAAACTAGCCAGGCATGATGGTATGCAGCTGTAATCCCAGCTACTCCAGAGGCTGAGGCATGGGAATCACTTGAACCTGGAAGACAGAGGTTGCAGTGAGCCAAGACCACACCACTGCACTCCAGCCTGGGTGACACGGTGAGACTCGGTCTCAAAAAGAAAAAAAAAAAGTAGCAGACAATGAAACCCTGGAAATAACACCAAACAGAAGCCATTAAACACAAAATTTGACCAGGCTGGTAAAACAACATTAGTTTAACTACCGCCCAAGAACAAATAATGACCACAAATTTTCTATGTGGCCACCCTTGGACCTAACCACAATCCTCTCACTACATGGCCAACCCTTGACCTAATCACCCATAAATACGTAGGAAGGGAGTAACACAGATATTGGGGGAGGTAAGAATGAAGGAAGAAGAAAGAATAAGAGTGAGAGAGAATCAACAAAATAAAGATTCTATATCTCAAATGTGGAAGTCAGCAGAATATCACTGAAAGCTGACAGCATCACTTATGTTCACAGGTTATCTAGTCTCACTGACTAAGACAATGTAAGAGTCAAAATGTGAATAGTAACAAAATTGAACAACAAACTTAATATTCTAAGAACAGGGTTGAATCAGTGGGAGTTACGTCATTGATTATCCAGAGAATGTACTCACAAGCTGCAACAAAAATCTTGAGTATCTGTCATCTGTAAAACTCAACATGCTGTAAGCTTTCAGTATTCACACAGGATCATTATTTTTGTAATTAACGTTGTGCTTGACTTCTCAATATCGAATCTACCTGAATGATCTACGCTAATCATGGTAATCCCATCCCCCTTGTCTGTAACCATTTTAGAGATAGGCAGGCTGAAGCCAACTCAAGCTAATGAAATGAAAGGACAGGTTCAAAAGGGAATTTCTATGAAAGGGACATTTTCCTCTAAAGAGAACCATCGATAAACAGTGTCTCTTTCCTCCTGTTGCTAATGACAGTCTTAGAATCATAAGGGAAACTTATAGAGTTGGCAGCCGGAAGAAAAAGAACAAGTGTCCTTAGCTATGAATTAACCAACCCTAAAGACCACTAGACCTAGCTCAATATTGTTATGTGAGTTAATAAATGCCCTTATTGTGTCCTAGGACAGTTTAGACTAGACTTCTAATACCTGCCACTAAAAAAATTCTAAAATATTTTTTCTTCCAATTAATTTGTATGTTTCTTCTGGAGTTCACTAACGCCTTTGTGTGGGGCTTAGGTTGGTAATAGTTTGACTTCTGAAAATATGCAATATTACTATAATTCAATATTGGTTTTAAAACACAAAATAACCAAAAGATAAATCTGTAAATATACAATTCTTACCATCAATTTCGTATGCATAAACTTCACCAAAAATCATCCAGTATGGGTGAAAAACTATATCTTTAGCAAGAGTCCAAGATGGTGCTTCATGAGGATAAAGTATTGCCTTTCTGGGAACACCAAAACTAAGTAATACAAGAGCCATAATCACTACAATGTAGAACATATTGGCCACCTGTTAAAAAATGAACACTGTTAAAATACAAGGAAGTTTAAACACTATGACAAATCTTTCTAAAAGCTTCTAATGTTCTAATAGACCAAAAAAATCCATTAAACACAAAAAATCTTTGAGATTCTTTTTGTTCCTAGTGATAGCTTTCAGAAGAATTTCATCACTATATAAATCTTAACATCTAGGAGATTACGTAAAAAAAAATCTATTAAGCTAAGCAAGTCATGGGCATCTTTATCTACATAATGAATTGTATCACTGGTTCAAACTGAAGTGTACCTATCTCTGTGGTACGTGAAGATTTTCAAGAAGTACAGAGACACAGACAGATTTAGGGAATCAATTTCCACAACTGCCCTTTCCTAAAGCTTCTCTGTTCTTATAATGGAAGCACAGACTCTCTCTTTTCCATGTTGCCTCTGGTAATTGTACTTTGCCCACTTCACACAAAAAAAGAACACTTCCCACCCACCCTGAATCCATGGGTGCCTTGTCCTGGGATATGAAAACTTCCTAGGAGCCAAACAAAACAATCTGAATTATTAGCATGGGTGTTGAAAAACTAAAAGACACCAATGTCTGGGAAACAAATACTTTTGTAAGTCATGTAGTTTGTAATTCTTTAATTTCAATAAAATTCAAAAAGGGCCTAATTGAGCTAAAACCTAGTAATTCATTGAAAAATTATTTTCATTGTTAAATTACAATGTACATTTTGACATAATTATTTAAGGATTCAAAGAATTAAGCAGAATGCTATAATAAAACTTCACCTCCCATCTACTTATTTAGGTATATAAGTTCTCCAGCCTGCACTACTTACTGTCTAGCCTAGACAATATAAAAAAGTGAATATACGACCAGGAACAGTGACTCAAGCCTGTAATCCCAGCACTTCGGGAGGCCGAGGCAGGTGGATCACTTGAGGTCAGGAGTTCGAGACTAGCCTGGCCAACATGGTGAAACCCTGTGTCTACTAAAAATATAAAACTTAGCCGGGCGTGGCGGCACACTCCTGTAATCCCAGCTACTCAAGAGGCTGAGGCAGGAGAATCACTTGAACCCAGGAGGCGGAGGCTGCAGTGAGCCAAGATCACGCCACTGCACTCCAGTCTGGGAGACAGAGCGAGACTCCATCTTAAAAAAAAAAAAAAAAGGGAATATACATATAAAAAAGTGAATGCTTTCTCACTCTAGCAATATGTAATATTCATTCATAAATAATCATCTAGCTGAGGAGAAAAGCCTCATGCAAAAGAGAATACATTTACAATAAATCTGTACATTAACCTACTGTAAACTTAAAATAATTGTAATGACAACTTAAAATAAATTATGACATTTCCATATATTTTTAAAATGAATATACAGTGACAGCAGAAATGGAAAGTAAGATGTGAAAGGTAAAGGGGACAATAAGTAGTCAAGGCCGGATAAAGTAATTTTATAGGGGCTTAAGATTAGAAAGAAAAGTTGTATAGATAGCTGCGAGTCTTAAAATGTCAATTCAAATGAAGAGATGAGACTTGATGCTTCATCTTTAAAATTCTGTTAGATGAACAAATAAATTTTCTTTTTAAATTAAGAGCTGGCTCTCTGCAACTTGCAGAGGCCTAACACGCTCCAAAATTCTTAATTGGGTGTTCTTATTTGCAAAATGGACAAATAATGCCTTCATTGAGCATTTGAGAACAGTACTGAGAGAATGCATGCTTTCAAATAAACAAAATATTGCAAAACAAAAAGTATATTAAAAGATTTTAAAAGGCAAAAAAAGTATTAAAACATTATTCATGCTATTTGATATATTTTAGAATACAAATGCTTGTAATTAAAGGAAAAGCCAAGTCAAATATTCCAAATGAAACGCAAATCTGTATTGACGTAAACTAAAATTATTCAAGGTCTATGGTTGATGATTCATAGTCATCTTTGCATTTCACACAGCTTTTCACATAAAGCCTAAATGACAACCACTTTCCTTGTGCTTGATAGGAATTTAATTAATTAAAAATATGTGAGTATCAGCTTGCTCATAAAAATGAGGATTCTTAAAGTAAAATTTTACTGGGCACGGTGGCTCACGCCTGTAATCCCAGCACTTTGGGAGGCCGAGGCAGGCGGATCACAAGGTCAGGGGTGTGAGACCAGCCTGGCCAATATGGTGAAACCCTGTCTCCACTAAAAATACAAAAATTAGCCGGGCATGGTGGCGCACACCTGTAGTCCCAGCTACTCGGGAGGCTGAGGCAGAAGAATCGCTTGAATCCAGGAGGTGGAGGTTGCAGTGAGCACAGATCGCGCCACTGAACTCCAGCCTGGGTGACACAGCGAGACTCCATCTTAAAAAATAAAATAAAATAAAGTAAAATTTTTAAAAATGAGGATTCTTATAATGCATACAGAATGAGTGTGAGAAGTTTAGCATTTACCATATAATTTTCATTAGTCTGCTATTAAAAGATGTATTAGGTTGATGCAAAAGTAATTGCAGTTTTTGCAATTACTTTTAATGGCAAAAACCGCAATTACTTTTGCACTAGCCTATAAAGTGTGAGGGAGGTTTCTTCTTTTTAATCTTTTATTGTCTTCAAGCTTTTCAAAGCTGTTTCCTCTGGTTAGAAACTCCCTGCTCAGAAGAAAAATCCCACATATTTTCTTTTTTTTTTTTTTAATGATTATACTTTAAGTTCTAGGGTAAAGAAATACCATTTGACCCAGCAATCCCATTACTGGGTATATACCCAAAGGATTATAAATCATGCTACTATAAAGACACATGCACACGTATGTTTACTGTGGCACTATTCACAATAGCAAAGACTTGGAACCAACCCAAATGTCCGTCAATGATAGACTGGATTAAGAAAATGTGGCACATATACACCATGGAATACTATGTAGCCATAAAAAAGGATGAGTTCATGTTCTTTGCAGGAACATGGATGCAGCTGGAAACCATCATTCTGAGCAAACTATTGCAAGGACAGAAAACCAAACACCGCATGTTCTCACTCACAGGTGGGAACTGAACAACGAGAACACTTGGACACAGGGTAGGGAACATCATACACCGGGGCCTGTCATGGGGTAGGGGGCAGGGGGAGGGATAGCATTAGGATAAATACCTAATGTAAATGATGAGTTAATGGGTGCAGCAAACCAACATGGTGCATGTATACCTATGTAAATCCTACGTATTTTCTAAACTCCTTTGAAATGCCATAATCTTTGTGAAAGCCTTCATGACAGAATTGGTTACTAGCTCTTCTATCTTCACGTAACAATTTATCATATTTTTCAATAGCTACCTATCTGTTCACATGTCTATATTTAGAGACTCAATTGTTGAGTTCCACGAAGATCTGGACCATGTCTTATTCATCTTTGTAGCCCCAGCTTAGTTTAACTCTTAACATGTAATAGATACACAATGACGAAATAATGAATGTTAGAACTAAAACAGTAACCATTATGAAACTTCCAAAGGGGATGTAAAGGGAAGCTGGCACTAGGGAAAACACACAATGACGGAACAAATGACTAGCTGACAAGGAGAAAGACATCCTAGCAGAGGGTGGTTCTAGAGAAGATCACAAATAAAGGCTTCTGTACTTCCTAACTCTTCCATTTACATTACCATTAAAGTAACTAGACACCACTGAGTCACTAAATAACCTGGTAAGCATAAGAGCTACAACACCTTTTTTGCATGCTAAAATGTTAGGCTAAAACCAATTCTTCCCAAAAAACCTTAACTGCCCTATTTTTCCTTGAAATACCATAAGAATGCCAAAATGTGTGAATAATGAGTAATACTTTGATGTGAAAAACAGTACACCAGTTATTCTCAATTAAGGGGGGGAAGACACATTCTCTTGGAGGGAAACAGTGCAGCGTGAAAGTGCAAATATAATAATTTATATTTAGAAAACCTAAAAATCTTGTTTTCAAGATGCGAAGATAATCTTGTGAGCTTAGCAGGGTTACTCAAGAAATATTTAATTTAGAAGACTGATTTTTTTTTTTAATTATTATACTTTAAGTTCTAGGGTACATGTGCACAATGTGCAGGTTTGTTACATATGTATACATGTGCCATGTTGGTGTGCTGCACTCATTTACATTAGGTATATCTCCTAATGCTATCCCTCCCCCTGCCCCCCACCCCATGACAGGCCCCAGCGTGTGATGTTCCCCATTCCCCACCGTGTGTCCAAGTGTTCTCATTGTTCAATTCCCACCTATGAGTGAGAACATGCGGTGTTTGGTTTTCTGTCCTTGCAATAGTTTGCTCAGAATGATGGTTTCCAGCTTCATCCATGTCCCTACAAAGGACATGAACTCATCCTTTTTTGTGGCTGCACAGTATTCCATGGTGTATACGTGCCGCATTTTCTTAATCCAGTCTATCATTGATGGACATTTGGGTTGGTTCCAAGAGAAGACTGATTTTCTAAGATTAAGGGAGTATAAGAAACTCTAAGAATAGCTTTTTATATTTATTAAAATGGGACAACTATTTTAAAATAATTGAGAAACAGCATGTATTTTTAAAGCATATTTTGATAAAACTACTGTATATATTTATTTACAAGAAGTCTGAAACAAACACATGTGTTCATACACATCTTGAGAGATGGAAGGATGTACGTTAAACTGTTAATAGTGAATGTCTCTGAATAGTGATTTGTCTGCATTTGCTGAAATTTCCTAGGATGAACAGGAATTTCAGAATAAGGAATAGCAATAGCTATATTACAAATTTTGCCTTTTTCACCACTGAAAACTAAAAGGAATTACGGCAAGGAGTAGACCCAATATATTTCAGATTCAGTGTATAAAAAAATTACACATTCAACTTGACATCTAGATTTTAAAAAATAAAACCTGCCACTCAGATAAGACTAAGGAAAAGAGCAAAATACTGGGCATACTGTATTAGGAAAAGATTAGGTATTTTGGGTTTAACTTTTAAAAAATAGCCTGGATCAAGCAGGGTGTGGTGGCTCACGCCTGTAATCCCAGCACTTTGGGAGGCCAAGGTGGGCAGATCATCTGAGGTCAGGAGTTTGGGACCAGCCTGACCAACATGGTGAAACCCTGTCTCTACTAAAAATACAAAATTAGCTGGGCATGGTGGCACATGCCTGTAATCCCAGCTCCTCGGGTGGCTGAGGCAGGAGAATCGCTGAACCTGAGAGGCAGAGGTTGCAGTGAGCCAAGATAGTGCCATTGCACTCCAGCCTGGGTGACAGAGCGAAACTCTGTCTCAAAAAGAAAAAAAAAAAAAAAAAGCCTGGATCAGTGAAGACAGGAAAAAGGAGTTACCTACAGACATAAACCATAGATGGTATAGCTAACATTATCTTGCAAAGCACTAAATGGGTATAGGGGATTGGGATTGAGCATGAGAAACTCTTAAGGAATGGCAGATGTGAAGTATGAGGCAAACAAACACAAAATAAAAGACATTCACTGGCTCAAATAAAACTATGTTAATAACATTTTTGTGATTTTTTAAAAAATCAATAAACCCACGAGTATTATCAAACATCTGTCAACTTACCATTTTTCCAATCATCATTACATAAGGTCCTGCCTGTTGATTTACAGCTAGAAAATCTAGCAAACGCACATACCAAAATATTATGTTAAGACAGTAAATTAATCTTCCAGCCACAAAAACATGATTATCATATGCATTTGCAAAGTTCCATTTTGCTCCAAATCTTAGTCCAAATCCAATGAAGAAAGAAATTATGGCAATTGTATCACTGATGTTGAAGTAATCACTAAACCATACTTTAATCTTCTGGTTTACTTTCCCAGCTTCAGACATAAAGATCTAAAGGTTTAACAACAACAAAAAAAAGTGTAATCAGTTTATTCCTATTAAAACACATACAGCATTCAACTATAACATTACAGTAGAATTTCACATAGCTTTTATTTATTAACTTATTTATTTTGAGACAGAGTCTCGCTCTATTGCCCAGGGTGGAGTGCAGTGGCTCAATCTCGGCTCACTGCAACCTCCGTCTCCCAGGTTCCAGAGATTCATCCAACTAAGAAGCTGAAAATTCAGATTACAACCCAGTTCTCTAGACCTGGATTGTAAAATACTTTTGAAAAATTGTTTTATTTCAAATTAAGGCAGCACCTGGATATCCTGGTAGTAGCTGCCAAACCTGCCTTCTTTGTAGAAAGTAAATAACTCAATGGTTTAAGTAGCTGTATTTACCTAACTAATTTAAAACATATGCCTCTTCTCCTGAATATATGAATTTTAAGAATCATCTTTTGGGAGGAATGGTAACACATTCACAACTTCAAAATTCATGGTGTATCATAAATACTGCAAAGCATCCGTTTCACTCTTCTCCCTTAGCCAATTAATTACTCTTCCCACTAGAAGCAACCACTACTATTACTGTCTCATGAACACTTGCAGAGCTATTTTATGAATATACATATTTTAAAACGCTTTGCAATTTGCTTTTATCATTTAACAAATCAATTTCTTCAAACATGCTGATAAAACAACAGATTTAATAAACATATGGATCATAACACTCAGAGGAATTTAAAATGCAAAATAAGCTATCTAATAAGAAATTCCTTCTGGTTCGAGTTGGTGTTTGGAAAAGAAAAAAAAAAGAAATTCTTATGATATCTAAGTGAGAGAGAAGTACAACACCTTCTAATTATTTTTGCAATTTCTTGTATTCTCTAAATGTAAGGTAGAGACATGAAATAATTCAGAGGTACTTATGCAAGTATGTTATAAAACAATATTCATGGCCAGGTGCGGTGGCTCACGCCTACAATCCTAGCACTTCGGGAGACAAAGGCGGGCGGATCATGAGGTCAGGAGTTCAAGACCAGCCTCACCAACATGGCGAAACCACATCTCTACTAAAAATACAAAAATTAGCCAGGCTTGGTGGCACGCACCTGTAATCCCAGCTACTAGTGAGGGTGAGGCAGGAGAATCGCTTGAACCCGGGAGGCAGTGGTTGCAGTGAGCTGAGATTGTGCCACTGCACTCCAGCCTGGGTCACAGAGGGAGACTACGTCTCAAAACAAACAAACAAACAAACAAACAAAACCCAATATTCATGTAGCTACTACTTCAAAAACAAAGTATAAATATTACGAAAAAGATTTTCTTCAAAATCAGGATATTAAAAAAGACCTAACTATTTTATTTTTATTTTGAGATAGAGTATCACTCTTTCGCCCAGGCTGGAGTGCAGTGGTGCAATCTCAGTTCACTGCAACCTCTGCCTCCTGGGTTCAAGTGATTCTCCTGCCTCAGTCTTCCAAGTAGCTGGGATTACAGGTGGCCGCCACCATGCCTAGCTAATTTTTATATTTTTAGTAGAGATGGGGTTTCACCCTGTTGGCCAGACTGGTCTTGAACTCCTGACCTCGAGTGATCCGCCCGCCTCAGCCTCCTAAGGTGCTGCCATTACAGGCGTGAGCCACCGCGCCTGGCCTAAAGACCTATTTATAACTTACCTACCTAATTGGCTAAATCAGGTAGGTAAATTAAAAGTCATTTAGCTAAGTATATTTAATACTTTTTGAAGAGTGACAGAGAGCAAAAATGTGAATGTTCAGGAAATAAAACAAACAAACAAAATACAGGTTACATTTTTATAGGCTACATTTCTAACACAAATCATTTTATCTGTAATGGCAACAAAGTATACAGCATACTCACTAATCTCTATTCTTTTGCCATTATTTTGGGAACAGCAAAATTACACAGGTTCTACACTTCTACAATGTCATCATACACACACACACCCCCCTACGTATACACCCAAAACAAAACAAAACAGAAAATCTTCCATGTATACAGTAAATTATTGGTAGAAAAAAACTAAAGACATACCTCACGGACTTTCTCAATGGCATAAGTAAAAATATAAGCAATAACAATCCATTCTTGAACTGAAGGTAACTGTTCCATTTGTACAAGAACCACAAATGTATAAAGCATCAGAAATCCTAAATATGCCAACTAATGAAAAAGTAAAGGTTACATAAATAACATTGGTTACAAAATAAATCTTTTAATTATGAACATTTTCAAACACACACAAAAACAGACATTAAATGAACCTCTGTAAATTATCTCCTAGTTTCCTTTATTAAAACAATTTTAGAAATATCTCTTCTTCAGCACAGACATTGCATTTATTGGTGTATAAATGGTCCCCAGAGTATAAACGTGTTGTTCTACAACTCTTGTCAACCTTTAGAACGTCCCACAGAAGGGATTTTACAATCAGGTTTATGTTCTCAGCATATGCCACACAATTCTGCTTAACTCATACCTACAGTATCATAATATATTAAAATTACTGCAGAATTTCACCACCATAATCATCAAGGAACACATGTTTCCTGCCTCCTTCCTCCCCAAACCAAACAGTATTCCTAAAAAAGACAACTGGGGCACGCCGCGGTGGCTCACGCCTGTAATCCCAGAACTTTGGGAAGCCAATGCAGGCAGATCATCTGAGGTCAGGGGTTCGAAACTAGCCTGGCCAACAGGGTGAAACTCCATCTCTACTGAAAAAAAAAAAAAAAAAAAATTAGCCAGACGTGGTGGTGCATGCCTGCAATTCCAGCCACTCGGGAGGCTGAGGCACAAGAATTGCTTGAACCTGGGAGGTGCAGGTTGCAGTGAGCTGAGATCATGCCATTGTACTCTAGCCTGGGCAACAGAGCGAGACTCTGTCAAAAAAAAAAAAAAAAAAGAAAGAAAGAAAGAAAAGAAAAGAAAAAAAGACAAGACAAGACAGACAGACAACTGGTATTTTCTTAGCTCCCAGTCACTAAAGTTGAACCCCAAAAAGTGGAAAAAATGTGAAGTGGCTTTGACCCAGGTAAGGAAACAGCCCACCTTTGATACTCTTTACAAAACAGGTTACAGAGAGGTGCTAAAGTTTATGTATAAATACATGTGAGTATTTATTTCATTTCAGAGGAAAACCCACACTTATTGACCCTTGAAAAATTATGGGTAAGAATCCTCTCATCTGTCTTTTATTTATTTCTAGACTTTTATGTCTTGTCTCCACCAGTCCTAGAATAAGTCACATCCTTTATTTGATTATCTGTGGCAGGCTAGGGAGTAAACTGCAGTAAAGAAAGAAAAGAGAAATTCCTGTAGTCACCCATGTTGGCTATTTTAACGCAGCCATTCACATGAATGCAAATGTAAGCAAACTGCCCTATTTTCATCAGTGGAGACAGAATTTGGAGATTAGATCAGATAACTGATATTTGCAATTCCAGCCTCTGAATAGGAAGGAACAAGAACATTTTCATATAGAGGTGTAAGGAAATGTTAGTCTCAGGTTAATGGTCACATGTGTGGGTGAAAAAGCAATCACCAAAGAAACAAATTCTTGTTGATGAAAATGAAAAAATCTCCCCAACAACAAAGTTAAAAAACATCTTCATTAAGGGTTTTCCTATGACGGGGAGTTAAGAACTCATTTACTCAGTCCCTGGTTAAAAGTAGGGGCTAATCTCATTTGCTGTATCACCTGTTCCTTCAGGTTGGTCCATTGCTAGGGAAAGTAGCACCAGCAAGACAGCCAACTAATATTTCCTAGTGCTCATTCTCCACACAAAACAACCAAAACAACACATAAACACCTACATTTCAACCAAAATAACAGGTGAGTCCATCCTTGTATGGACATATGCTCTTTAACCTGCTAGTAAAATCAATTTTTCCATAAAGCAAGAGAAAAGCCAATTATATGGAAGGTAATCAAGCATACACTTTAATACAATTAAAGAAATAAGCCACAGATAAATAAAACCATATAAACAATCTGGATTACTTTTTATCATCATCAATTAACACTGCAAACAGGTTTATTTCTAGACTTTTATGTATCATCTGCAAAATCCTAAAGCACAAAAAATTATAACTGTGTATCAGAATCTCTTTTGGTCCATCTTTTATCATTATTTTTACTAGTTGATTAGTATTTGCTACCAACTTACAAAGGCCAATGGTATTGTATATTTGTTAAGTACATTTTTGGTTCCAATTAGAACTAAAATTTGTTAGTGTTTATCACTCTAGATGATGACAATTTAAATGAAACTAAGGCAAATGTATCACTCTTTTAAATGTGAAATGCCTTTTCAGTGATCTAAGTTATATCAACATTAGTATGGATTCCGAACCAATGGTCCCCCAAAGCCTAACTCTTAAAAACATTATGCTTGTGTAATTTAAAAACATACCGTGTTAAACCAGAATTTTACAATTGGTGCATGATAAAAGGCATAAAACTTTCGCGTAATTGGAAGCTTTTTTGATTTCATTTGTATCTCCATCTCATTCTTTCCTTCATTACTATCCAAAATCCGTACTTCTTTAAACACTTCCTAAAATTAAAAAAAAAAAAATTCTTTTGTACAATTATTCAGAACAAACTTATATTTACTTTAAAATGTTTTCCTGCTTACCATGGGGATCTCTTCTGTTATGTTCTGAAAGTTGTTTTCGCTGTCATCCATTGTCATCTGATGAGCATCTTGAGATTGTGGGATATGGGACATTTCAGCCTTAGTTTTATACTCTAACAGCAATATGGCAGGTGGAACTAAAATGCTTAGTATGACCTAAATTTTTAGAAACATAATTTTGCATTTAAAAATTAATGACCTTCAAGAATATAATAAAAACAAAACAAAGAATAAAAACAATAAAAGATTTTAAATATCTTGTGATTAGCCATTTTGCCCCTAGCAGTAGAGGGAAAAAAAACAACAAATTGATTTTTTACTTATATATTGTATTTAAAGAGGCCCAAGTTTAACTGTTTTAAAGAGTAACAAAACATTTGATTATTATGATAATAAGGGTATAGGATAGATTTAATAATTATTATAGACTTGTCCTTTAAATAAAATCAGATTACAATTTGTTCAAAAAATACATTTTGTTTAAACAAAATTCAAGCCTTATAAAGGTGCTATGTCCTTAATTTTATCCTAAATCTCTTTGCAAGTGTTCCATGTCATAATGTGATTACTCAGCTTGTGCCTCTATAAACAAAAAGGTTTATTTCTAAAATTTTACTTATTACTTGCAAAATCCCAAAGCATGAAGAAATTGTAATTGTGTAACAGGTTTTCTGTTGGTTATTCAGTGGCCTATGGTTAAACTATTTGCCTGATTTCTGACTCCTACATTTCTGCACCTTATTTTAAAAGATATAAGATAACAAAAAGCAAAGTTCAAAGCAGTATCTATCACCATGACAAAACCAAAGGTACATGCCATTTTACCCAAATTTTTAATCATAAAAACAGGCCACATGGATATACTTATCTATAATGGGTATATCAATATACTCATCCAATATACTTTAAGTAACTTAAAAGTAACAGATTATTAAATTAGTAGATAGGTCTTGAATTTCAGAATTTGGGAATAATCTTTTCATAAAGTAGTAACTTTTTTCAAGGCTGCTAGGGGCCATAATCTCCAATATTTGCCATTTGTTCCCCTTCTAGCTCAAAGAGAGGCCATAATCATTATAGACACCTGAAAAGGATTCAAAAGTTAAGTAGAGGAAAAAAGAAGCCCATTATACCACTTGGGATGAAATGCCAATCATCCATCTTGCTCCCTCTTTACCCCCCACCATTACACTCACACATCAAGGCATTTTACTACACATTTAGACTAATTCTTCTGTTCTTTTTATCTAATCACATGCTTTATATCAAATTATTTCTAAAGTATACCTTGTACCAGGAATTTTTCCTCATATTCAGCCTTCCCATCCACATATCAGATAACAACATTTGTGTACAGGTGTGAGCTACAAAAGGTCTAAGTCTTGAAGAAACTGCTAACTTAAGGCAGGTTGAATTACTCCAGTTCTTCAGTTCATAAGTGAGCAATTTCATAGCCATGGTTTCATCTTGTCTGAAGGACTGTTCTAATAATTCAACGGCCAACTGACCAAAATCACTATAAAAAGATAAAAGCCAAAATATACTCAGATTAACAAACTGCAATTTTAAACCACTATTCTTATATACATTAATACTTCCTACTTTTTAATATTCTCACACACACTTACAGAATTATGAGGCATTAAAACCATAACTCTGTTTTCAGACATCTACATCTATGTGGAAATCACAAAATATTAAAATATGTCGCATTATGTACAAGATTGAGAAGGTGAATCCAGAGCACATTCTCCCGGTCCTAGAAATCAAACTATAATCTCAAAGGGAATCAAAACTCACAATGCTACAATGCTCTGTTCAAAAAAGTTTATGTAGTATTTCAAACACAGAAAACAGTTGGTACCTGGTAGAGAGGAAAAACAATGTGACTAGGGACTAACCTAATTATGAAAAACATCTGAATCTTGAAGTCCCACTAAGTAACCATAGGATCCCTGTTAAAGAGTTATTTTCAGTAACAATTATCACTGCCCTCTAAATACCCCACTTGGGGAGCCGGAGGTCTTAGTATATATTAGAAAACTTCTACAAACTACTTTTCCAGTTTAATATTCCAACACTGCCCCTCTAAGTAAATTGTAAACTTTTATGAACTATGTCGTTACTCTGTGTATGTAGTTCTAGCTTCTGAAGTGCCTTCCCAGTTGAATTCAGTCTATTTTCTTATAACACAGCTCCAACTTCACTTCCACCCTTTCCTTACCAATTCAAATGGAACTTTCTAATCCAATTGCTACTATTTGCAAAAATTAAAATGAATTCTGGCATTTCTTCTTTGTTTCGAGACAGGGTCTATTGCTGTCACCTAGGCTGGAGTGCAATGGCATGATCACAGCTCACTGCAGCCTTAACCTCCCAGGCTCAAGTGATCCTTCCACCTCAGCCTCCTGAGTAGCTGGGACCACAGACAAGTACCACCACACCCAGTTAATTTTTAAATTTCATGTAGAGACGGGGTCTGCCTATGTTGCCCAGGCTGCATTTCTTCTTTCTTGCTGAGATATTTAATTCTTGAGTTGCAAATATAATAACCTCTTTTTCATAGAGGCAGAAAGTTTCTTTTAATTAAAAAAATATATACTTATATAATTTTCTGTCAATTGTACCAATAAGATTATACATATAAATACATCACCATTAAGTACGTGGCACTGTAACAGCCACTCAAACAATACCTACTTTGAATTTTTAAAATGTTTTCAAATGATAAAATACCACTTACTTGGAATACTGTTTTAGTTCTTCTGAAGTATCATCTACCAGGTCACTCTGCTTTGCTTCATATGCCATTGAACGATAGATCTTACAGGCAACTAATGCTTTAGCCATTGATTCTTCACCATGTTGCCATAAAAAACGGGCCATGACCTGCCTCTTCATAAGGCAAGCCCAAATTAAAAGTTCATTAAGTGGATAAGGAAAGCGCTTGGTTTCTGGATCATCAATGTCTACAATTTCATCTTTGGTTCTTTTCTTCTTTCCTTCTTCCATAACTGTATCAATCTTCCAGGGAAAATAAAGTTATAAAGCTCATTATAATAAGGCCATATGAAATTTATGTCAGTGAAAATTTTAGTAAAATATCTTTACATTATTCAGCTCCATAAAACTGCACAATAGCATAAATTTTATAAACTTGATTTTTATTATAGCTCATAATTCATTTTATGAAAATGCTGTTTCAACAAAAATGCCTTTGCAATAAACATTTTCCAAAATTTAAGGGCCTAAATATTTCAACTAATATTCTAATAGAACATAATTTTAATAAAGGGTTAGATAACATTTTTGTTATACATGTTCTTAATCAAGTAAAACTGGAATGAAAGGAGTCAGGTAAACATTTATTAAAACATTTTAATTTGGTTATTATCATACCTAAATATGAAAATGTACGCTGGGCGCGGTGGCCCACGCCTGTAATCCCAGCAGTTTGGGAGGCTGAGGAGGATGGATCACGAGGTCAAGAGATCGAGACCATACTGGCCAACATGGTGAAACCCAGTCTCTACTAAAAATACAAAAAATTAGCCAGTGTAGTGCTGGGTGCCTGTAGTCTCAGCTACTCGGGAGGCTGAGGCAGGAGAATCACTCGAACCTGGGAGGTGGAGGTTGCAGTGAGCCAAAATTGTGCCACTACACTCCAGCCTGGTGACAGAGCAAGACTCCTGTCTCAAAAAAAAAAAAAAAAAAAAAAAGGAACAGAATCATTAACTTATAATTAATATCTCTGTGTGTGAGAAAATGACAATTCTAGGACATATCCAAAAACGAAAGGTAATTCTTACTAAATCAATTAGTTTTTTTTGTTTAATAATACTAAGTAATTTAGAAAGAAGAAAATAAAAACCCAGAAAGAATAATATTTAAATAAATTTACCTTTGGTCGGTAGGGCTGTGCTGTCTTAATGAAATGGTTATGCCTCATTTTTTCCTTTTTATCTGCCCTATTGCCAAAAGATTCATGACTCTTTCGCAACTGAGGAGTGCTGCTGGAGGTATTTCGGCCAGACCTCTGAAAATGAGATCTTATTAGCTTTTATAGATTTAAACGTGCTGACATGTTATAAAAATTCAAGAATCAATTTATATATGTGTGCAAATGTGTTTGTGTACACACACAAAATATGACTGATTTAGGATTTTGACGACATAATATTTCTAATTGCTCTTAGTTGAAAATGTTCAACTTTATGACAGTGTAACCTTCTCCGTTCTAATGTTAATTCTTAACAATTAAAGTGCATGTGTTAATATTAAAGCATATATATAGATTTCCCCACAAATTTTACATACCCGATTATTTCCACCAAGACTATTATATATTAATCGAAAACGTTTCCTAGTATAGGTGCATCTGTAGGTTCCTCCCATGAGATATTCAATAACAAGTCCTATATCAATCAGAGTGATCTTATATCCTGGAGGAAGATTTCCCTAGAAACAAAACATTTGTTTTAAATAGATCAGATAGCACTTCTCAATATTGCCATGCCCTGCCTAGGAACAGGCCTACTCTCCAAAATGACAAATGTTTACTTCTTATAAGAAGCAAGGGCCAGGTGCAGTGGCTCACGCCTGTAATCCCAACATTTTGGGAGGCCAAGGCGGGTGCATCACCTGAGGTCGAGTTTGAGATCAGCCTGACCAACATGATGAAACCCCTTCTCTACTAAAAATACAAAAAAATTAGCCAGGCAAGCTAGTAGATGCCTGTAGTCCCAGCTACTCAAGAGGCTGAGGCAGGAGAATTGCTTGAACTTGGGAGGCGGAAGTTGCAGTGAGCCAAGATCGTGCCACTGCACTCCAGCCTGGGAGACAGAGCAAGACTTGGTCTCAAAAAAAAAAAAAAAAAAAAAAAAAAGCAGCAGCAAGGGTTGCCAGCAGCTAAGCTATCTTTACAGAAGGAAATGCTTGTTTCTCTATTTCCTCTGTAAAAATATGGGATTCTAAAGTTCTGAGGTCTCAAAGGTGTGCCCTGAGACAGGAGTATGACCTAAAGCAGGAAGATAACAATTTCATCTCTTCATTGCCCCAACACTTTACACATGAGACAAAGCAGGCTGGGCGCTGTGGCTCAGGCCTGTAATCCCAGCACTTTGGGAAGCCGAGGCAGGCAGATCACCTGAGGTTGGGAGTTCGAGACCAGCCTGGCCAACATGGAGAAACCCCGTCTCTACTAAAAAAATATAAAATTAGATGGGCATGGTGGCAGGCACCTGTAATCCCAGCTACTTGGGAGGCTGAGGTAGGAAAATGGCGGGAGGCAGAGGTTGCAGTGAGCCGAGATAGTGCCACCGCATTCCAGCCTGAGCGACAAGAGCGAGACTTTGTCTCAAAAAAAAAAAAAAAAAAAAAAAAAAAGAGACAGTGGAAATGCTAATCAGCCAAATATTCCATTTTCATTGTGATACATACAAAAAATTGCATTTTTCTGGAAAAATAATGCTGTATTATGTTTCCAGACTGGCCCAGAAATACATGTTAAGTATTTTTTTAACCAAAATTATACTGGTAATATTATAGGTTTTTATAGTGTTGTCCAGGAATTAACTACCGCTTGCAACATTGTTTAAAGATAAGACTTCATTTTCCCATGGCAATTTACAAATGCACTTTTGGAACATACACCATTTGTGAGTTTGGAAAGATTGCCTGTTTTAAAATTTAAAAACTGGTTAATTTTATTAAATAATCTTAAAGGGATTTAATCATCAGATAATTTGTATTTTTTAACTAATTCTGCCCTCCTACCATCACCATTTTTTTATTTCCCTGATTATGTCATGAACTTGTTTTTTTTAATGTCTGTATTTTTACTATCTTGGTTTCACTGGGCACGGTGGCTCACCTGAGGTCAGGAGTTTGAGACTATCCTAGCCAACATGGAGAATCCCCATCTCTACTAAAAATACAAAAATTAGCTGGGTGTGGTGGAGGGCACCTGTAATCCCAGCTACTCAGAAGGCTGAGGCAGAAGAATCGCTTGAACCCAGGATGCGGAAGTTGCAGTGAGCCAAGTTCACACCATTGCACTCTAGCATGGGCAACAAAGGCGAAACTCCGTCTCAAAAAAATATATATATATTGGTTTCATCTGTGAAATTTCTAATTTCTAGATAACTATATCCTTTAAATCTCTAATTTGAAAATAAATCAAAATACCTATTTCCATCTTGAATACAAGATTTTTGGTTTTAACTCAAGCAATCTCAAAATATGCAGAATGATTGAGAATGTCACCTATGATATTCTTCAATATTATTTATTAAAAACCACAAATGCCATTATATGAACCCACTTGAAGAAGAAATTTTTAAATTAGGTAAAATAATGTGAATTATCTAACAAATGTCATGACGATCAAGTTCTCAAACTACACTAAGTCATAAAACTCAAGTTACCAATTTGAATAAAAATATTCAATTACTACCTGTATTTAAAGATTTATCACTTATAGAAATAAAAAAAATAGGGCTTATTATTATAGCCACCGATGTAACAACAATGTATACAAATTCTCACATTTGTTTCCAAAATTTTAACTACCATAATTCTTTCTTAGAAACATGGTCTTAACGTCTCCCCCATTACTTAAGATTTCTAGGGGAAGGAGGGGGAATTTTAATTATTTAAAAAGACCAAATCAAATTGATGTGAAATGACCAGAATAAGCAAATCATTAGATTAATAGTTACCATAGGTCGGGGACAGAAGTGGGGAGTACAGAAGGAGAAGAAATGAGAAGTGACTGCTAAAGGGTACAGGGTAACTTTTCGAAGTATTATAAATGCTCTAAAGTTAGACTGTGGCAATGGTTGTACAACTCTGAATATAGTAAAGTCAAAAAATGTATGCTTTTTTTTTTTTTAGACAAAGGGTCTTGCTCTGTTGTCCAGGCTGGAGTGCAATGGCACAATCTCAGCTTGCTGCAACCTCCGCTTCCCAGGTCCAAGCAATTCTTCTGCCTCAGCCTCCTAAGTAGCTGGGACTACAGGCACATGCCACCACACCTGGCAAATTTTTGTATTTTTAGTAGAGACAGGGTTTCACTATTTTGGCTAGGCTGTTCTTGAACTATTGACCTCAAGCCACTGGGTCTGGCCAATATACACTTTAAATGAATGAATTTTGTAATTTGTGAAATGTATTTCAATAAAGCTATAAAGAAAAGCACATGCAGGCTGGGCGTAATGGCTCATGCCTGTAATCCCAGCAATTTGGGAGGCGAGGTGGGTGGATCACCTGAGGTCAGGGGTTTGAGGCCAGCCTGGCCAACATGATGAAACCCCATCTCTACCAAAAAAATAAATAAATAAATAAATAAATAAATAAATAAATAAATAAATAAATAAAATAAATTAGCCAGGCATGGTGGTGTGCGCCTGTAGTCCCAGCTACTCGGGAGGCTGATAGGAGAATTGCTTGAACCTGAGAGGCAGTGGGTGCAGTTAGCCAAAATCGCGCCAACTGCACTACAACCTGGGCAACAGACCAAGACTCCATCTCAAAAAAAAAAAAAACAAATCAGTCAGGCTTGGTGGCAGGCACCTGCAATCCCAGCTACTCGGGAGGCTGAGGCAGGAGAATCACTTCAACCCAGGAGGCAGAGGTTGCAGTGAGCCGAGATCGTGCCACCACACTCCAGCCTGGGCAAGAAAGGGCAAAACTTCATTTCAAAAAAAAAAATTTTAAGTATAAAATGTCTCGGTTCTTCCTATAGGATAGTAGTTTAGTATTAAATCAGTTACAAAATAAAGAAAATGAAAACAGAAAATCACATTTTTAAAAAACATCCTCAAGGCTGTTAAAATGACATTTCTAACGTCATTCTTTTTTCTTAAGAAGGGTCTTGATGTGTACCCAGACTGGAGTACAGTGGCTCGATGACAGCTCACTGCAGCCTCAACTCCTGGGCTCAAGTGATCCTCCCTCAGTGCCCCCCACACCCCCACCAATCATTTGGACTACAGGCACGTGACAACATGCCGGGCTAATTTTTAAATTTTTTTGTAGAGAAAAGGTCTCGCTTTGTTTGCCCAGGCTGGTCTCAAACCCCTTCTCTCTGGCGATCCACTCACCTCAGACTACCAAAGTGCTGGTATTACGGGTATGAGCCACCAGCCCTGGCCTTCTATGTTTTTAATAATGCACTCATACTTAGCAGCAAGTAAAAGCTGAAATAAATAAATAATTCTAAACAAAATTTAAGTTTAGAAACTTAGAAGATATTTTAACCAAATAAATATAAATACTATTTTATCAAGGAAAACAAAACTGTATTGAATACCAATAATATAAATGGCTATAAAAGTGGTGATAAACGTTTAAAACTTTTAGTTCACAAACAATCCTGATAGAAGAGGAATAACAGTACATCAATTTAGTGGCCACAGAATAGCCTGAGATCATGACAGTGTTATGCGTTCATCACCACCAATACTAGATGTTTTTTACTTTTAAAAAAGTTAAAAATGCTCACGCCTGTAATCCCAGCACTTTGGGAGGCCAAGGAGGGCAGATCACGAGGTCAGGAGATCGAGACCATCCTGGCTAACATGGTGAAACCCCGTCTCTACTAAAAATACAAAAAATTAGCCAGGCGTGGTGGCAGGTGCCTGTAGTCCCAGCTACTTGGGAGGCTGAGGCAAGAGAATGGTGTGAACCTGGGAGGTGGAGCTTGCAGTGAGCCAAGATCACGCCACTGCACTCCAGCCTGGGCGACAGAGCAAGATTCCGTCTCAATAAATAAATAAATAAATAAATAAATAAATAAATAAATAAATAAACGTATGTTAAAATGATTTATATATATTTAGGGGGTACAAGTATAGATTTCTTACACGCATATGTTATGTAGCGGTGAAGACTAGGCTTTTAGTGTACCTATTATCTGAACAGTGAATAGTGTACCCACAGGTAGTTGTTCAACCCTCACCACCCCCACCCAACCTCCCACCTTTTGTAAAGTCTCCAATGTCTATCATTCCACTCTATGTCCATAGGTACCCATTGTCTAGCTCCAACTTGTAAGTGAAAACGTGGTATTTGACTAAGTTATTTCACTTAGGATAATCAACCTCCAGTTCCATTCACACTGCTGCAAAGGACATGATTTCATTCTTTTGTGTGGCTAAGTAGAAATACTAGATTTTTTTTTAAAGGGGAGAGAGTTTTCAGCATTTTTACTGGCAAAGTCTGCCATTAAGATCATGACCCAGTCCTCAATTTCCTTATTCAACATCCTTTACATTGGGACAATTTTCTGAGGAATAAATTTCTGCTGAAGATAGAGGAAAAAAGATACATTCTATCAACAGTCTTTCTTTTATGAACCAATGAGCTTTATACATCATATTCTATCTTGGATGACCAGAAGCTCAACAGCTTTTTTTTCTTTTTTTTTTTTTTTGAGACAGAGTCTCACTCTGTCACCCAGGCTGGAATGCAGTGGCAAGATCATGGCTCATGGCAGCCTCTACCTCCTGGCCTCAAGTGATCCTCCCACCTCAGCCTCCCGAGTAGCTGGTACTACAGGTGTGCACCACCATGCCCAGGTAATTTTTTTAACTTTTCGTAGCGATGGGATTTCAGCATGCTGCCCAGGCTGGTCTTGAACTCCTGGGCTCAAGCAATCTGCCAGCCTCAACCTGCCGAAATGCTGGGATTACAGGTTTGAGCCACCCATGCCCAGCCTTGGTCTTAATTCCATAAACTCTCTTTTTTTCTTGTTTTCTGATACATTATGCTCTTTACTCCTCTCTTACCACAAATTCAGCCCATATTTTATCTTGTTCTGTAAACTGTAATTTTATTGGTATTTCTAAAATGTATTTAAATGATTTTTTTTTTAAAAAACATGAAATATAAATGATTTTTTAAAATAACATTTTTCAAAAGCAAAAAATAATCTCTTACCTGTTTGACGTCTCGAACAAGATGAAACAGCATTGGATTAGTTGGACCTTGTTTCTTTAGGGAGAAAAAGTTACAGCAAACTATTATTTTTCTTCTAAACTAATTTAAACCTTACAGGATTTTTATGAACCTTCTTATACAAATTACATTGTTTTGGAGTTATTTCCTTAAGTTCTATTCATAAAGTAGAACAACAAAGAATTTTCACATTTACTGCCAAAAAACAAATAATCTTAAGAGTATCACTAAAATGATACATAAGTTTTTGTTTCACAAAAGTCATCACTGCAACTTTACAATTGTATCTTAAATTTAAATTTACATTTCTTTCATTGATAATGGCGCTGTACAATACCTTTCTTCTTGTTAAAATGTCTGTTCCTCTGTTTCTGTCACTAATAAAGTCATATTGAGACTTTAAATATTTTGGGTAACAAGACTTTAACACAAGCTTGTTCAACCTGTAACCCACGGGCTGCATGCAGCCCAAGATGGCTTTGAATATGGCCCAAGACAAATTTGTAAACTTTCTTAAAACATAGAGTTTTTTTTTCAATTTTTTTCAATTTTTTTTTTTTTAAGCTCATCAGCTATCGTTAGTGTTAGTGTATTTTATGTGTGGCCCAAGACAATTTTTCTTCCAATGTGGCCCAGGAAAGCCAAAAGATTGGACATCCCTGATTTAACATTTATATATGCCATAATTTTGCCATTATCTTACTTCTCTTTATATATACTGTTAGAGTGGGCCACCTACCATTATTTCTTTGGAGAAAAAGTTATTTTCTTTGATATTCTTGGCTTTCAAATTCTATATAATATTTAAGATGACTACAATTGATATTGCATATGAATCATATTTTACTTTACTTTGCTCTGCCTTCTTTTTACAATATTTATTTAGGGCTGGGCGCGGTGGCTCAAGCCTATAATCCCAGCACTTTGGGAGGCAGAAGCGGGTGGATCACCTGAGGTCAGGAGTTCGAGACCAGCCTGACCAACACGCAGAAACCCCGTCTCTACTAAAAAAACACAAAATTAGCCGGGTGTGGTGGCACATGCCTTTAATTCCAGGTACTCGGGAGGCTGAGGTAGAAGAATCGCTTGAACCCGGGAGGCGGAGGTTGCGGTAAGCCGAGATCGCGTCATTGCACTCCAGTCTCAGCAACAAGAGTGAAACTCCATCCCCCAAAAAAGTAAAAAATTTAAAAAATTCCATCCTGGCTAACACGGTGAAACCCCGTCTCTACTAAAAATACAAAAAATTAGCCGGGCATGGTGGCGGGCGCCTGTAGTCCCAGCTACTCGGGAGGCTGAGGCAGGAGAATGCCGTGAACCCCTGGGGGCGGAGCCTGCAGTGAGCCAAGATCGCGCCACTGCACTCCAGCCTGGGCAACAGCGAGACTCCGTCTCAAAAAAAAAAAAAAAAAAAAAAAAACCTATTTATTTAGTCGATCAACTCAGGGGCTAAGTTCTCTCTGCCAATTCTCCCCCACAGGTGAACTTTTTAAAATAAAAGTTTCTTCTAAGTTAATAAGACGTATCTCATATTTTGGGGGTATTGGGGAATTTCATTGCATTTTTCTCTAACGGTATGTAATCACATGGAAAGGCACTTAAAATTTCTTAAATTCTATTTTATCCTACTCTATTAAATGTTTATCCATTAAAAATAAATTGTTAATAAATAATAAATGTACTTTAACACAGTAATTCTCAAAGTGTGACCTGGGGACACCTGAGGCCCCCATGATTCCTTCAGGAGTTCCACAAGATCAAGACTTTTTTCCTAATCATATTAAAATTGTATTATTTCATTCTTATTCTCTCAGTGTTTGGTGGAGTTTTCCAGAGGCTTTTTGATGTGTGATATTGTGAGATTGAATTCAGAAGCAAATACGAGAATCCAGCTGCTTTTATAAGGCTAGACTTTAAAGACATTTGCAAACGTGTTTTCCTCTTCTCACCAATTTTTTTGTTTTCTTTAAAAATAAAAACATAGCAGGCTGGGTGCGGTGGCTCATGCTTGTAATCCCAGCACTTTGGGAGGTCGAGGCAGTGGATCACCTTAGGTCAGGAGTTCAAGACCAACCTGGCCAACACGGTGAAACCTCATCACTACTAAAAATACAGAAATTAGCTGGGCGTGGTGGTGGGCATCTATAATCCCAGCAACTTGGGAGGCTGAGGCAGGAGAATCGCTTGAACCTGGGAGGTGGAGGTCGCATTGAGCCAAGATTGTGCCACTGCTCTCCAGCCTGGATGACAAGAGCAAAACTGCGTCTCAAAAAAACAAAACAAAACAAAAAAAAAGTATCAGGCAGAAGGGTGCTAATTTAAGAAAAAAGAAATAAGAACAAATATTTATGTTAATATGGGATAAGTTTAGAAATTTTAAGTAAATATAACTGCTACTTTAATAAAAACAAATATTTTTTAAAACTCTCATTTTTACATTCTAAAATACCAACACACACAAACAAAACCTCTTTAGAAAAGCTCTTTGAAGTTCTCAATAATTTTAATGTAAAGGAACCCTGAAAATCAAAAAGTTTGAGAACTACTGCTTTATCATGTTGCAAGCCCTTAAATGTTTTAAAACTTCATCAATAATTGATGCTGAAAGTAACTACAGTATTATCTTAACACCTTTGAGTCATACAATTTAAAAAATTACTTGTCTTGCTAATGGGATCAATTTTTATTTTTATTATTTTACATTGCTTTATAGTTCAGGTATAAACCTTACTACAGCACAATGAATAATCCTTTTAATTTTTACATCTGTCCACTAGGGACAGTAAAATGCCAACAAAGTTCAACGCAAATGTGCTACACATACTAAAAGAAAATAATGGAAGCTGGGCCCAGTGGCTCACGCCTGTAATCCCAGAACTTTGGGAGGCTGAGGCAGGCGGATCATCTGAAGTCGGGAGTTCAAGACCAGCCTGGCCAACATGGCGAAACCCCATCTCCACTAAAAATACAAAAATTAGCTGGGCATGGTGGCATGCACCTGTAATCCCAGCTACTCAGGAGGCTGAGGCAGGAAAATTGCTTGAACCCGGAAGGCAGAGGTTGCAGTGAGCCCAGATCGTGCCACTGCGCTCCAGCTTGGGCAACAGAGTGAGATTCTTTCTCAAAAAAAGAAAAAAAAGGGAGAAAATGAGATATAATACCTACTTCAAAGAAATTTACAATCCAAAGGGAAAGACATAATAATTGTACTTAACTATGCCACCAAGCTTCATGGAACCAGTGGCATGGCATTTAAGCTAAGTCCTAAGCAATTAATAAAATTTCAATAAATGGGTTATTAGTTGGAAGCAAAACAGACCAGCACTGTGAAAATAGCAAATGCTTTTTTTTAAAAAAGTTTGCATTTTTGGCCGGGTGCAGTGGCTCACGCCTGTAATCCCAGTGCTTTGGGAGGCTGAGGCGGGCAGATCACGAGGTCAAGAGATCAAGACCATCCTGGCCAACATGGTGAAACCCCGACTCTACTAAAAACACAAAAATTAGCTGGGTGCAGTGGCACACGCCTGTAGTCCCAGCTACCTGGGAGGCTGAGGCAGGAGAATCACTTGAACCAGGGAGGCGGAGGCTGCAGTGAGCAAAGATGGCACCACTGCACTCCAGCCTGGTGACAGAGCGAGATTCTGTCAAAAAAAAAAAAAAGAAAGAAAAAAGTTTGTATTTTTAGTAAATAGTAGGTAGACATTTACCATCTTATTGCTGCCCCGCCCCCTCCCCGCCCCGCCCTGGATTTGGGGGGCAATAAAAAGGCCAAGTGAGAAAAGTAGATGGGGCAATATATGAAGATCTTTGAAAATCAAGTTAAGGATTTGGGTAGTAAACTCATATTCATAACACAGAAAACCACTAAGAAGGGTAGTATATCTTCAATGCTAATACAATAAAAATTTGGAATAAAATGTGAAAGTCTTTGTTACGAGAATAGTAAGTTTTCAGGAGTCCTTTACAAAAAAAATGAAAACAGTATGTAAGCTAAAAGGGGTATACCATGAGGTCAAACAATGAATGTAAAAAAAGAAAAAAAAAAAGAGAAAAAAGCAATGCATAATTCCTCCATTAGACAACGGAGTCAAAAGAAACATAATCACCCTATAATTAAGAAGTTGATCCTCTAGTTTTGATAAGGGGAGGGAAAGGGAAATACACAGGAAAGAGAGGTAGGCTTAATAGCCCTATGTGGTTATGGTGACAGGGAATGGGTTCTAAAAACAAGGAAAGGGTTTCAGACTGTAATACAACCAATCCATACTAAGACTGGCTATAATTTTTTCATATAACTAAGGAAGACATTAAGGGTTTTATCAATAGGAATGGCTATATTCAGGTAAAGTAACATTTCCCAAAAGATAAAATGTAGTCAATAAAGAATTTTAATGTAGACTTACAGTGTTGTAAAGTTCTTCCAGTCTCGGAATGGTAAGGAATTTATGCATGCTTACTCCATTTTCAATAAGAAGTTTTACAAATGCAACTCTATCCATTACAAGAGCATCAAGCATAGCTTGTTCCAAGGATCCAACCTAGGAGTATCAAATTTAATAAATACATATTTCACATATTCTAATTATACAAACACTTTTAAATGTTAAGTCCTTAGGATTTACATTTAATTTGTTCCCAACAGTTTTAGAACAAAATTAGAAAGATGCAACACAGTAAAAAGCTAATAAGACTTTAGGTGTTTAGGGAATAGATTAAAAGACCTCTCTAGAACAACGTTTCTTAAAGAATATTCCACAAACACTACTTCTGTAGGAGAATAAGTGTTACATGGGGGAAAAAACAGAATCCATCATCAATTAAATCTTGGGAAAGAATACCTTAAAGCAATGCTCTCAGTGTTTAGGGAAGGTTTTGTGGGAAGGATTATTTCAATAATTGAGTGCTGTTACTAACATTTAATGGGTAGGGTCAAGGGACATCAGAAATCATGCAATATGCTGGAGAATTCTACTCAGAAAGAAACTATCCCGCATCCCACACAACTTTTTATTATCCTGTTAGATGTTTATGACTGAAAAACCAGTAATTCTGCCTTACAAATGAACACAAAGTATTTCATCATAGTTTTTGTTCTACAGTGAATTTTCCAAAAATACAACCATCAGATAAGTCAGGCAAGATTGTACTTAGTCTTCAGAACTTTAAAAGAAATCATTCATCATTATGGAAAAGAAATCACTTGACAGCAATACAACTTATGTCCTTTGTGCTTAATATAACACATCTGTATCATTCAGCATTTGTAGCTGTCCTTTATATATTAAAGCCTATTTTATAAACTTCAACAGACTTGAAATCAAATATTGGTAAATTAGTAGGGACATGAAATATAGGTATTTCACTGAGTTTTATTAATAAAGGTTGTTTTAATATAGTCTGTATATTTTTTAATATTTTGTATATTTCTGTGTATTTTAAGTATTTTAGTACCACATTATTAAAAACATCTCTGTGGCAAAAATCAATACAAAACCACTGGTTTTTTTACCCATTATTTTTCAATCTTATTCTATCTTCAGAGGTTTAACACACAACTACACAACTTCTCTAGAGCAACTTGTATTACCATTTCTTTCTCCAATCTATCTTCGATTTACATCACCTAGCAAGGATATAGTCTTCATGATATTTTAAGTATATACTTTCTGTTTTTTTGAGACGGGGTCTCATTCTGTCACCCAGTGGCACAATCATAGCTCACTGCAGCCTCAAACTCAGGGGTTCAAGGGATGTTCCCACCTCAGCCTCCCACGTAGCTAAGAACTACAGGTGTGTACCCCTGACCCCTGTACCTGCCTTTTTTCTTTTTCTTTATTTTTAAAATAGGGACAGGTCTCAAACTCCTGGCCTCAAGTGATCTTCCTAACTCAGCCTCCCACAGTACTGGAATTAGAGGCATGAGCCACCACACCCAGTCCTATTTTAAGTATATACTGATGAAATGTATGCCTTTTACATGATGGAATTTAAAGATGAAAGGTATGTTTTCTGTGACATTTTTCAATACTCAGTTCTGTCACAACAAGGAAAATATTTTTCACTTGCTTAAAAATAAGGCCTGATCTCCAAGAAAATAATACTTATTAGTTTTCTCTACATTATTAGGCTGTAGTTTATCATGGCATCGTACTATTTTACTTAAGATTATTTCCTTCTTTCTCTTATCACATACAAATAATCCTAATGTTATTACTTACTCTAACAGTAATATTCTAACATTATTCTAGTGCCCACTTGGTCTTTCTTTGTCCTACACTTGCAAAGGGTGTTTATCTGTTCCCCAGGATATTTAAGTTACCAACAACATACTTGTATTAGTATGTATAACTGCAGCATTTACACTGATTCTTATTATAACTGCAGGCATCTGACTTATTATGTGTTTTATATTGCCACTCTTGAACATTTATATACTGAAATATTTATTTTTTATTATAAATCATTTTTTCTGTCTTATTACAATTAGGGCATTATACATATATTCTTAATTTATGTAATTACTTATGAAATTTCACTTTAGTAGAATAAAAGGGGATATAACAAAATATTGTTTTTAAAACAAGAACATTCTGTGTTTATAACCACTGCCCTAGAACAAAATCTTAATTTTCATATCTGAGGGGGAAAAAGGGACCATTTTAAAAAAAAGTGTCTGTTTTGTAAGGAGCATTTCCTCACACTCAATGCATATTGAACTCCTGGCAAGCAAGAAGAAAGAAGAAAAACAACTGTCCTGCAAATTCTAAGTTTAGCAAGAAGCACAAAATCAAATAGGTAACACTATGCAGAAGAAATTCATCAGACAAACCACATATACACAGAAGATAAATGCTTCATCCAAGCCTTTACATCTGAGAACAAAATCCAGTTAAATTATTCAAGGGAAAAATAAGGTTGGTTATAGTCATCACCACAGATGATTAACATTAATTTTTTTCCTCTGTAGTCCTGCAAGAGGAGAAGTGACTAAATAAACTCTTTTTTATTGCTATATAGGAAATACATTCCCATGGTTAAAAAAAAAAAAATCAAACACTACAAAATGGTATAAAATAAAACTTTCCTTCAGCCCCCATCTCTCCAAGATGAATCCCATGTTAACAGTTTTAGAAAGGTACTATTAACTACACAGTACATGTAGATATGCATGAATGTTTGTACATTCATAAGGAGAATTTGCCACAATTAAGATCATACTGTGCATACTTTTCTGCAATTTGCTGTTTATATTTACTATGTGGACAAAAAGGATCTAGTTTGTCCTCCGTAAAGGCTGGTAATACTTCAAGGTACAGATGAACAGTTAATCTGCCCAGCCTCTTATTAATTCGGACATGTAACAAAACTTTAAGTGATTACTACCTACCAAGCTGTCAATACAGTAGTAAACAAAACTGAAAAATATTCTTGCCCTCAGAAAGTTTACTTTCTAGGAGAAAGACAAACAATAAATAATAGCTACATTATATGGTTTGTCAGATGGTGACAAAAGTTAGAAAAAAATAGCAGGGAAGAATGCTGGTTTAGGGGGATGCTATTAAAATAGGGTAGACAGAGGAAGTCCAAAGAGGAGACATTTGGTTAGAGGCCAGAAAGATAGGAGGAATTAAGCCCACGTGGGTATGTAGGGAAAAATGTTAAGATAGAGAGACAGGCAAGTACAAAGCCTAGAGATAGGAGCATGCTTGATATGTTCAAAGAAGAGCAAGAACGTCAACAAGGTTAGATAAAAAAGAGCAAAGAGGATAGTAGTAGCATGTAAGGCTCTGGGTTATGCTCTGAATAAATGGAATGTGATTCATCTCCTGTCCATAAAAGGAGAGCAAGTATGAGAGTAGTGAAACCAAAAAGTATGCTACCGAAATAACACAAAAGAAGGATGACAGACTAGACCAGGATGATAAAATTAGGTATTTTGAAACTAGATCTGACAAGATTTACAGATGGAATTGGATTGGAATACATGAGAAAGAGAAAAGTAAAGGATAACACTAAAGAGTCTCATCTTAGAAACTAGGAAGAAGTTGTTCCCATTTAGTAGGATGAGGAAGACTAAAAAAGGAATAGGTCTAAACATCAGGGGGAATGCTAGAATGGACTCTCTGGTATACAGAGCATGAGTTTTAAAGCTTCTTTCAGTTCTAAGATTCTTAGAGATCTATATACTCTACAAAAAAATAAGGTTTTATCTAGAGGCATACATTAAATCCTAAACTGGATCGGAATGGTGTAGAAATACTTAGCTAAACTATTTTTGAACTATTGGCAGAAAGGTAAAATGTCAAGTCAGGTCACAGTTCCCGCAAATACTTTTTTATTACTTAGTGTAATTTAATTGTATTGTGTATGTAGATTATTTACATACCAGCCACTGCTGTCCATAAACAAATACATGATTTTTGGCAATGTCAACTCTATCCCATGCCAATGTAAGGATAAGCTGGTCAAATGCAGATGCATTAGTACCTAATCGAATAAAGAAAATAGTTGACAGGTTCAATTAATTTATCTCCATTAAAAGGTGAACACTTTTTTTTTTTTTAAGAGATGGGGTCTTGGTCTGTTGCTCAGGCTAAAGTGCAAAGGTGATCATGGCTCACTGCAGCCTTGAATTCCTGGGTTCAAGTGTACCTCCCGCCTTAGCCTCCAAGTAGCCGAGACTACAGATGAGCACCACCACACCCAGCTAATTTTTTAACTTTTTTGTAGAGACAGTCTCACTCTGCTGACCAGGCTGGTCTCAAACTCCCGGCCTCAAGTGATCCTGCCACTTCGGCCTCCCAGTGTGCTAGGATTACAAGTGTGAGCCACAGTGCCCAGCACGAACACTTATGACATCTCCCCACCATTCTTTAGTTAACTTACACAGCTGGTGTCAGCCACCATTCAGAAGTAGCCTGCCTCAGAGATAAGATTAGCCCCAGGGTTAAGAACTTTACCTTTCCAGCTATAAACGACATATTCCCATTCATTGCAAACATTTAGAAATGCAGAAAAATGAGAAGAAAACAAAGATGAACTGTTTCTATCACAGAGATAGCGCTATTAGGATTCTGAAAATAGCCTGCCAGGCACCTTTCTGTGCACATACAAGCTCATGCATATACTTTCCATTTTTTATTCAAAAATGGGTTCATACTACAAAAGTGTTCAGTAGCTTGCTTTATGTACCTTGATATCGTACCTTGGTTCTTCTTAAAATTATACATAAATCTCCCTTATATATACTTAGGTAAACCACAATTTATTTAACAAATACTTCAAATGGTAGATATTCAGGTTATTTTGAATTTTTTGCTGAGTATGTTTTCATGCACATGCTTGATTATTCAAATAGGATGATATTCTAGAAGTCAAATTGCTAGGTACAAGGATATATACTTTAAGGTTTTTGATATACTCCAAAATACTTCAGATTGCTTCTACCATCCACCATGGGAGGGGTATAACCATAACCATTTCTCCATGTGCCATGGAGAGGGGAGTTTCCTTCTTCTTCTCTTTTCTGAGACCGAGTCTCTCCCTGTTGTCCAGGCTGGAGTGCAGTGGCGTGGTCTTGGTTCACTGCAACCTCTGCCTCCTGGGCTCAACTGATCCTCCCACCTCAGCCTCTCAAGTAGCTGGGACCACTGGTGTATGGCACCACACCAGGCTAAGTTTTGTATTTTTTGTAGAGATAGGGTTTTGCCAAATTGCCCAGACTGATCTCAAACTCCTGGGCTCAAGCAATCTGCTTGCCTCAGCCTCCCAAAATTTATTACTGTAACATTGGCCATCCTTCCATATTTTCTCTAAGCATTTGGATTCCTCTACTAATTATCTATTACATAAGTTCTGACCCATTTTTCTAAGAGGTAGTCATCTTTTTCTTATTAATTTTTAACAGCTCTTTTTGATCCCTCTACTTTAACATTTCTATTCCTTAGTTTCCTCATCTATAAAATGAGTAAAGCCATAGGAAATCTGACTTGTAGGAATAAAATGAGATAAATAATGTAAACCACTTGAACACAGTGGTTAATACACAGAAAAGTACATGGTAAATAATTCATGAATATGGTACTCTCTTTTTAACCTTTTTTTTTTTTTTTTTTTTTGGAGACAGTTTCACTCTGTCACCCAGGCTGTAGTGCAGTGGTGTGATCCTGGCTCACTGCAACCTCTGCCTTCCGGGTTCAAGCAATTCTTGTGCCTCAGCCTCCAGAGTAGCCGGGACTACAGGCATCCACCACCACCCCCAGCTAATTTTTGTATTGTTAGTAGAGACGAGGTTTCGCCATGTTGGCCAGGCTGATCTTGAACTCCTGACCTCAAGTGATCCACCCGCCTTAGCCTCCCAAATTGCTGGGATTACAGGTGTGAGCCAGCGCACGCAGCCTTACTTTTTATTTTTATGCACTCCCATTTATTAATTTTTTTTCCTTTTTGGTTTCTAGGTTTCCTATCACTTGTGATCTCTTGATACCATGATTCCAGATGATATAAATATATTTTATCACAGTATTTTAAAAATGCTTGATGTATTGGCAATTTATTATGGTCTAATATGCAAGAAAATTCTTGTAAATAAAAGGACAGTATCCTCTTAATGTGCTGGGCTCCTGGCACATCACTCTACACTAACTTTCAGGTAGACAGATGGGATACCGTCATAGTTTCTAATTTCTGAGAAGATTTTTCGCTATAATGTTGTTATATCTGTTGGATGTCTTTGGGGAGACAATAAGAGGATCAGTGTGTGTGTGCTTCAATCCCTTAGTCCTAAAAGATACCACTAGTTTTCAAATTTTCCCTTCATAATGAAGATGACATGTTTTAAAATCCTATCTTTATATTCTATCAACTAATGCCTTATAACCTTTAAACACTTATTTTTCAGCTGATTAAGAAAGTGACACATTTTTATTTGGAGACAGGGTCTTGCTGTCACCCAGGCTGGAGTGTAGCAGTGTGATAATGGCTCACTGTAACCTCAAACCCTGGGCTCAAGCAATCCTCCCGCCTCAGCCTCCTGAACAGCTGGGACTACAGAGTGCACACCACCATGCCCAGCTAATTTTTCTTTGTTGTGAGATAGGGTCTTGCTCTGTTGCCCAAACTGGAATACAGCGGCATGATCACAGCTCACTGCAGCCTCAACTTTCCAGGATCAGGTGATTCCACCTCAGCCTCCCAAGTAGCTGGGACTACAGGTAAATGCCACCATGCCCAGGTAATTTTTAAACTTTTTGTAGAGATGGGTCTATCTTGTCCAGGCTGGTCTTGAACTCCTGGCCTCAAGTGATCCTCCTGCTTTGGCTCCCAAAGTGTTGGGATTACAGGTGTGAGCCACCATGCCTGGCCCAGGATGTTAGACGTTCTTAATAGGACTATTAAATAGGTTTGGTGGCATAAACCTTGCTAAAAACTTTTATTTTTTAAATTCTACAAGATTAAATTAAAAGTTACCTTGCCGCCAAGGAAACCAACATTGTGTCTTTCACAAAGAAAAATGACTGAAAATTCACTTTGCAAGCATTTAGCCATGGTAAAAGGTTTTATATTTTATATACATACACATATACACACATACACACACATATACATACATAAAATAAAAGGTCTTACAAATAAAAAAGTTCTTAGAGGCTTACCTTTTAGCAGTGCAGTAAGTATTGCTACATCTATATCTTGATGTTCATCTGACCCAATATGGAAAACAGTGATCTATTTAAAGATAAATTTATAACATTATGCCTTTATATTTTTAAAACAAAGGCATCATAAAACTCAGTAATTTCAAACTATATGGGGGGCAAAATATATATGTATGTATCTAGGAATCTATGTATTATGTATATATAAACATACATACACATAATATATTTATGTATATAGTTAGTAACTTTATTTCAACCAAAAAACCAAAAAATTTTAAAAACTTTATCATTTACTAAATAAAATGGCAAATATACTAAAAATATTTGGTTTCATATTACATTCATATTTTGACCTATCTTATGTCCCTTACTAGAGTAAGAAATTTAGGGGCTGAGGCTATAGATTCCTTATCAGGGTAAATAAATCCTACAGGTCCTTCCACAGAATGAACATTTACATGTTCACATAATGTATATATTCTTGAAAGATAAATGTTTGTTTTGGTCAATATTTTTATTGCAAATATCTTTAAATCACTTGAAACATAGCACCATTTCAGAAATTGTAATTTAATAACATTTTTCATAAAGTGAAAGATGGCCAGGCCCATGGCTCATGCTTGTAATCCCAGCAATTTGGGAGGCCAAGGTGGGCGGATCACGTGAGGTTAGGAGTTCGAGACCAGCCTGGCCAACACAGTGAAACACCGCCTCTAGTCAAAATACAAAAATTAGCCAGGCATGGTGGCGTATGCCTGTAGTCGGGAGGCTGAGGTGGGAGAATCGCTTGCACCCGGGAGACAGAGGTTGCAGTGAGCTGAGATTGCACCACGGCACTCCAGCTTGAGCAATGGAGCGAGACTCTGTCTCCAAAAAAAAAAATAAATAAAAATAAAGAAAAGAACGTGAAACATTATTATACAAAATTTTTGGCCAACTTTATTTCATAGTTTACAAAAACTTGCAATGAAAAAGACAGCAAATCAAATCATGTTATGTATTTATAGGCTTGCTAAAAATTTTATCTCTGAAAACTTATGCCCACATTTACATGATTGAAACAAAGCAGCACTGATCTTTAATTTAATAGGCTTAAGCACATTAAAAATTTTTTTCCAAACATTTTATTAGAGAAACCATTAACAACTCTTTATAGTTCTTCCTTGGTACTGAACATTATCTGTTGAGACCTAGTTACTTTTCCTAAAACTTTTCCTAAAACAGAAGCACAAATACAGTCTCAATACCATATAAAAAACTACAGGCCTCCTTCTATGATACCTCTCAACTTGAACAGACCAATAAATGACATATTTTTATGGTTAATAAAGATTTCAAAGTTTAAAATCCAAATAAAAACAAAAGTATTTCACCAGTTTAGAATGTGTTTTGAATGAAAGAAAAATGGCCTATCAGCTTTTTAAATTTCTGCTGAAATCTACTTACAAGCTCCTTTCTTTTCATGCACTCCATCAGTGTTTGAAATAAATGAAGTGCTTCATTCTGGCCAAAGTTAAATGTTTTTTTGATAGTGGAAATAATATCGGGCTCTGCTGCATCAGGAAGATTCCTGGAATAAAAGGAAACATAATTCACTGATTTCATCTTCCATTATTTGTAGGATCAATATGAAGTACAGGTAGATCCATGTAAGACCTTTGAAAATAATGGATTAATATTACATACTTCACCTTGGGTGGGATTATTTCTTCCTACATGAGACTCCCAACACAAATGTTAGAAGGAAAATAAATGAAACGGAGTGATTTTTCTCTTTGAATTACTTTGTGAATTTTATCAAAAAGTATGTGTGTGGCAATATCAGTACTTACATAAGATATTGTATAAAAATAATTTGAAGATCTTATGATGTATAAACTAGTATTTCACCACGATGTTCTTAAACATAGGAACTCACATTTTTCTTTTTTGAATACTTAATACATTTTCATGGCTCAAAAATAGTAGAAAACATAAAATGTTAAAACATTAAAATTAATAGTGAAAGTCTCCTTCCCGCTCTCTTTCATCTGCCCAGTTCTATCACAACTATTTTTAGGAATCATTTACTTATATATAACTTTCCAAGATGTCTTTCTGCATATACAAATAATTATCCCCTCTCCTTTTATTCTATATAAAAAGTGGCACAATATATATGCTTCTCTACACCTTCCTTTTTGCATGTACATATTTTGGTAATCTTCTCAAAACCATTCTTACTCAGCTATAAACCATTTCTTTGTATAAATACACCATAACTTATCTAGTCTTCTCATGTTCTACTTTGTTCCAATCTTTTATAAAGAACCCCGTAATGAGTAGCTTTAAACATATATTATTTCACAGATATACATCTGTAGGAACAATTCCCAGAAATGAAACTACTACGTTAAAAGATAAGTGCCTCTACGTTTGACACATCTTACAAAACTGTGTTCCATGAAGATGGTTTTATTTTAATTTGTTCCAATAACATATGAGTCAGGCTATTTCCTCAACCCTTAACAAAGTATTGTATTAAACTTAACATTTTCATGTTCATAAAACACAGGGAGGAATCCAACACTGTATTCTAAAAACCACAAGCCACTTTAATAAATTCATTAAAATGGGCCAGGCATGGTGGCTCATGCCTGTAATCCCAGCACTTTGGGAGGCTGAGGCAGGTGGATCACTTGAGGTCAGGAGTTCAAGACTAGCCTGCCCAACACAGTGAAACCCCATCTCTACTAAAAAGATACAAAAATTAGCCAGACGTGGTGGCTCATGCATGTAATCCCAGCTAATTGGGAGGCTGAGGCAGGAAAATCGCTTGAACCTGGGAGGTGGAGGTTGTAGTAAGCCAAGATTGCACCACTGCACGCTATCCAGGCTGGGAGACACAGCAAGACTCCGTATCAAAAATAAATAAATAAATAAATAAATAAAATTAATTAAAATGTTGTCATACACTTACCCTCCTTCTTCTGTTTGTTTATGAATATACGCTAGCAGATCTGCAGCTCTGCCTGTTCCTTCACACACAACTACTGGAACAGGGGGGCTTTCCTGAAGGTATTCAAGAACTGTGAGGATAACATTTGGCCCACCCTCAAATATAAGTGCCACCACAGGGACACCCTGGCCAATCCCTAAAAAGAGCAAAGTTAAATTAAAAAATTATTTCATCCCAAGCAAGTTTCTCTCCAAGAAAAAAAAATTAGGCAAAATTCAGTACTCTAATTTTAGATTTTACTGAAAAAAAATTAAAAAGTAAAAACATAATTTCTAAGACTATGTTGACTTGACTTTAAGCACTCCACCTGATACCAGTTCACGTAAGTAAATTAAATAATGAATACTTTGTCACTATCTTAAAAGCTGTTCTCTAAATGACAAAATTAGAAAATCCAATATATAATAGACAGCAAATAATTTATATATTCACTACTTAAAAGTAAAAATTTGTTTTCCATATTTTACTGAGCTCTTGACGTGAAATGTAAACAGTAATTTTTTAGTTTGCTTTACAATACATTAGTTGAACTTCTAACATTGATTTTTATTCATTTTTAAAATATATATTTCTGATTCCAAATGAGACATTAAAATAGAAATTAATGACAGTCTTGGCCGGGCGTGGTGGCTCATGCCTGTAATCCCAGCACTTTCGGAGACCAAGATGGACGGATCACAAGGTCAGGAGATCAAGACCATCCTGGCTAACACAGTGAAACCCTGTCTCTACTGAAAATACAAAAAATTAACCAGGTGTGGTGGCAAGCACCTGTAGTCCCAGCTACTCAGGAGGGCTGAGGCAGGAGAATCACCTGAACCCAGGAGGCAGAGGTTGCAGTGAGCCAAGATCATGCCACTGCACTCCAGCCTGGTGACAGAGCGAGACTCCCTCACATAAAAAAAAAAAAAAAAAAAAAAAAAAAGACTGTCTCAAATGCCACCTGAAAGGTTTGTAAAAAAGAAAAAAGAAATGGCTCACGCCTGTAATCCCAGCACTTTGAGAGGCCAAGTCGGGCAGATCACGAGGTCAGGAGATCGAGACCTTCCTGGCTAACATGGTGAAACCCCGTCTCTACTAAAAATACAAAAAAGTAGCCGGGCATGGTGGCATGCGCCTGCAGTCCCAGCTACTCGGGAGGCTGAGGCAGGAGAATTACTTGAACCCGGGAGGCGAAAGTTGCAGTGAGCTGAGATCGTGCCACTGCACTCCAGCCTGAGCAACAGAGCAAGACTCCATCTCCCAAAAAAAAAAAAAAAAAAAAAAAAAAAGAGGACGGCTGGGTATGGTGGCTCATGCCTGTAATTGCAGTACTTCAGGAGGCCGAGGCCGGCGATCACGAGGTCAGGAGATCAAAAGCAGCCTGGCCAACATAGTGAAACCTCCTATCTACCAAAAATACAAAAAATTAGCTGGGGCGTGGTGGCGAGTGCCTGTAATCCTAGCTACTCGGGAGGCTGAGGGATGAGAATCGCTTGAACCCAGGAGGCAGAGGTTGCAGCGAGGTGAGATCGGGCCACTGCACAACAGCCAGGGCGACAGTGCGAGACTCCATCTCAAAAAAAGAAAAAAAAAATTAAAAATTAAAGAAGAAATTGATGACAGAATTACATAACTGGAACTGATCAATAAAATTCCAAGACCTCTAGAAGAGCAACAACAGATAAAATTAGTGAAGAATATGAATTTTTGCTTTTACAATAACTTGCGGTGCACAGAGAAAATGGAAAAAAAAAAGGTATCTGTAGGACTATAAACAATTCTTAACTTTTTTTTTTTTTTTGCAATGGAGTCTTGCTCTGTCAACCAGGCTGAAATGCAGTGACGCGATCTTGGCTCACCTCACTGCAGCCTCCGCCTCCTGGGCTCAAACAATTCTCCTGTCTCAGCCTCCCAAGAAGCTGGGACTACAAGCACACGCCACCACGCTCGGCTAATTTTTGTATTTTTAGGAGAGACAGGGTTTCACCATACTGGTCAGTCTGGTCTAGAATTCCTGACCTCAGGTGATCCACCCACCTCGGCCTCCCAAAGTGCTGCGATTATAGGCATGAGCCAGCACGCCCAGCCCATTCTTAACTTTTAGCAAAAGTTCTGACTCCACCATAATCTGTAAACACTGTTCTGTAGTTTTTTTATTTCTATTTCACTTTACCACAGAGCTCAACTTCCTGGGGTCCTTAGGTTACAAATTTTCCTTTATTTGAAATAAAAATTTAGATGTTGAACCAGAAAATTCAGACATGGTTGGAAAGAAAAATCAGTCCCAGGAATACAATTTTTAAGACACATTTAGCCAAACAGTGATACTCATTTCATAAATTTTAAGCTGATTTATTTCTTTCAGTGATTTTTTTCCCTTTTAGTTTTCAATCTTGAATTTCACAGCCATGTATTAGAATAAATCACACATTAAGAATATTTATGGGTCAGGCGCAGTGGCTCACGCCTGTAATCCCAGCTCTTTGGGAGGCCGAGACGGGCAGATCATGAAGTCAGGAAATTGAGATCATCCTGGCTAACATGGTGAAACCCTGTCTCTACTAAAAATACAAATTAGCTGGGCATGGTAGCGGGCACCTGTAGTCCTAGCTACTCAGGAGGCTGAGGCAGAAGAATGGTGTGAACCCAGGAGGCAGGGCTTGCAGTGAGCCGAGATCATGCCACTGCACTCCAGCCTGGGTGACAGAGCGAGACTCCGCCTCAAAGAAAAAAAAAAAAAAAGAATATTTATGAATTCCTTGGGCTGAAATGGAATTGCAATAACAACAGAGCTTCCAATGAACCTTTTTTGGTTTTAGCCTTGATAACTGAGTACCCAATTTTCACTTCTTTTCCTTGGTCTTATCATTTTGTCTAAGATCAACCACTGTTGGTTGTTTCATATGTTATCTTGCTATGTAAGAAAGAGCACTTCAAAGAACATTCTACTTTCTTTGAATTTGGCTATTAGTACAGCCCAGGACAATTTCAACAATAACAAATTTGTGAATTCACTTACTAGCATGAATTCTTTGCTGATTAATAGTTTTTTCAAGTTCTCTTCTCAGTCTGACTTCCGCCCCATACTTTCCAACAGTGCCATCATCCACCAATATGAAATGGGAATGCAGATTATTCAAAACATTCAATTTGCTCAGGGGGTTCAATAAGGTTTGATAAGGAGCAACCACCTAAACAATAGCAAACAAAAGAGTTAGTGAGCAGGATTAAATACAGTATGATGTAAAATAAATTTTGAAATAATCCGTAAAGACAAGTAAGAAGTAAAATTCTATTTTACATACAGAAATAAATACCAAATGACAAAGAATGTTTCAAAAAGCGTAAGCTTTTAAGCAGCTGAGGATTAATCATTAATGGGTTGAAACACATGATTATATCTTGACCCATACTGCAGAATTATATATTTCATCATCACATGCAAAGAGAGAAGCAATAAATAACTAAATAGTGCAAATAAACTATTATCAGATTATTAAGTGACTAAACTACAATATATAAAAGATATTGTGGCCAGGCACAGTGGCTCATGCATGTGATCCCGTCACTTTGGGAGGCCGAGGCGAGTGGATTACCTGAGGTCAGGAGTTCAAGACCAGCCTGGCCAACATGGTGAAACCCCATCTCTACTAAAACTACAAAAATTAGATGGGAGGCCGGGCGCGGTGGCTCACGCCTGTAATCCCAGCACTTTGGGAGGCCGAGGCGGGCGGATCATGAGGTCAGGAGATCGAGACCATCCTGGCTAACACGGTGAAACCCCGTCTCTACTAAAAATACAAAAAATTAGCCGGGCGTGGTAGCGGGCGCCTGTAGTCCCAGCTACTCGGGAGGCTGAGGCAGGAGAATGGCGTGAACCCGGGAGGCGGAGCTTGCAGTGAGCCGAGATCGCGCCACTGCACTCCAGCCTGGGCGACAGAGCGAGACTCCGTCTCAAAAAAAAAAAAAAAAAAAAAAAAAAAAAAAAAAAAAAAAATTAGATGGGTGTAGTGGTGGGTGCCTGTAATCCTAGCTATTCAGGAGGCTGAGGCAGGAGAATCACTTGAACCTGGGAGGAGGAGGTTGCAGTGAGACCAGATCGTGCTACTGCACTCCAGCCTGGGCGACAAGAGTGAAACTCCATTTCAAAAAAAAAAGACACTGTAAAAAACAATAAAATGTAATATTGCTATTTTTCCAGCCATGAGTAGACTCAAAAACTGACATTAGAAATTTAATAACACTTGAAAGTGATCATTATAATTCAGTAATTGTATGTATGTATGTATGTATGTATGTATGAGATGGAGTTTTGCTTTGTCACCTAGGCTGGAATGCAGTGGCTCAATTTCAGCTCACTGCAACCTCTGCCTTCCAGTTTCAAGCAATTCTCCCGCCTCAGCCTCCCAAGTAGCTAGGAGGCACAGGCCACTACACCCAGTTAATTTTTGTATTTTTAGTAGAGACGGGGTTTCACCATGTTGGCCAGGCTGGTCGTGAACTCCTGATCTCCAGTGATCAGCCCGCCTCAGCCTCCAAAGTGCTGGGATTACAGGTGTGAGCCACTGCGCCCAGCCAGTAATTCTTTTTAACAGTGTTGATAAATATCTATAACCAATTCACATGTCTTTAACCTATTCAAACAAAACACTAGCATTTAACTCCTATTCCCTAGTCTTAGTGAGAATAAAATTAATTCTCATGTCATGTAGTCATTAAAAATTTAATTACAAAGACTAGCTTATATGGAAAATGTGAAATAATTTTACACATAAAAGACTGAAAGCAAAATGTGCCAACACTGTAACAGCATTTATATTTATGAACTTAATTATTTATAGTTATGAATTATTTATATTTATGCATTTCCAAAAATTCAGAAGTAAACCTCAGGAAAATACCTTTTAAACTTAATTTGAAAAGTATAATATAATCATAAATATTTTAAACTGGCACTATTCTTACTATAATTTTGTTTACATATAATTTCAAACATAAGAAATTTTAAAAATAATTCTTACATCTCTCCCAACAAGATCATTTCTGTTTTCAATCACTCCCCATGGAGCTATTCCGATAGTGCAAATCTTTCGAGATGATCTGGAAGCATGTTCTTTGAGGGCATCTCCAACATGTTTTGCCACACCTGTTCATAAAAAAAGTTTATTCATTTTGTTTTTTTTATTTTCTTAAAGACAGGGTCACCCAGGAAAGAGAGCAGTGGCGCAATGACAGCTCACTGCAGCCTCAAACTCCTGGACTCAAGCGATCCTCCCTTGTGAGCCTCCCCAGTAGGTGGGACTACAGGTGCGTGCTAAGACAGCCGGCTAATTTTTTTTTTTTTTTTTTCAGTAGAGACAGGTGGGTCTTGAACTCTTGGGCTCATGCCTCAGCCTCCCAAAGTTCTGGGATTACAGTCATTACTGTGTTCAGAACAATCCTGTGCTAAATCTGTAACACTATAATATGTGATATATTTCTCCACACCTTCAAGATATAAGGCAACAAGGTCATAACAAACTTAAAACAAGGTCATAGCCAAACCTACAGAAGAATACACAAGGACCAAAAAGGAACAAAAACCACTAAACCCCACAATATCAAATCACTACAAATGCCAGAAAACACATATAACACTAAATTTTACCATGTTATTTGGTCTAGTCCGTTTTTGCATTTCTCCTCTAAGTAACTGTAGTTTTTTATTATTGCTCTACACATCATTTAGAAAAAATTAATCGGTGGCACAGGACCATACGCAAAACACACACACACACAATAAACAATGACAAAAGTCTATTTCAGTCAAAAATGAGAGAGAAAAGTATAAAAGGCAGTTCCAAAGAGCATATAACTCCTCATTATCACTTCTTTTTTTTGAGGGAGGGAGTCAGGGTCTCACTCTATTGCCCAGGCTGGAGTGCAGTGGTGTGATCATGGCTTAGCTCACTGCAGCCTTGACCTCCCGGGCTCAAGTGATCCTCCCACCTCAGCCTCCCAAGTAGCTAGGAGGGTAGGCACATACCACCATGCCGGGGTAATTTTTTTTTCTTTTTTTTTTTTTTTTTAGAAAGTGTCTTACCATGTTGCCCAGGCTAGTTTTGAACTCCTGGGCTCAAGTGATCCTCCCACCTCAGCCTCCCAAAGTGCTGGGATTATAGGCATGAACCACCATGCCTGGCCCATTATTACTTCTTATGGGCTGAATTGTGTCCCCTAACTCCCAATACCATAAAATATGACTGCAGTTGGAGACAGGGCCTTTATATATGTGATAATACCTTAAAACATTACTGTACTTGGAGGCAGGGCCTTTAAATATGTGACGATTAATTTAAAATAAGGCCTCTGGAGTGGCCCTGAATCTAACTGGTGCTCTTATAAAGAAATCTGAATACAAAAGGAAACACCAAGGATACCTATACACAGGAGGCCATGAGAGGGAGGACACAGTGTGAAGATGACCATGTGCAAGCCAAAGAGAGAGGCCCCAAGATAAACCAAATCTGCTGACACTTACTCTTAGACTTTTAATCTCGGAAACCATGAGAAAATAAATTTCTGTTTTTAAGCCACCCAGTCTGTGATATTTGGTTACAGCAGCCCCGGCAAACTAATGCATCACTCAGTTTGATCTCCATAATGCATCACATCTCATCCCTCACCCAAATTATGAAAATAGCATCTTCGTAGGTCTTTCAACTGCTGCCTTGCCATTATACTCCATTTTGAAAACATCATCCGAGTGATCTTTGCAGCTGTTGACTCTCTACTTAAAACCTCCTCTTCTCATTCAGAGCAGAAGCCAAAATGCTTATAACGGTCCCCAAGGCCTCATGCGATGAACTGCCTACTGCCTCTACTAGTCACCATGCTTCTCTACCACCATACACCAGAACTTCTGACTTCATCACCTAGCACTCTCTGCTTATTCCACTCAAGCTATATTAGACTGTTCTTACTATTCTTCCAACACACGAGCCATCTCCTCCCCTTTACATGCTTTGCCTTATGTTTTTCTTGTACCTTGCTTCCTCATTTCCATTTCTCCTCAACTGTCACCTTATCAGCTCTCCTTGACCATGTAACAAAATAGCAGCCCTTCCATCATCCCTCACTATCCCTCTTCTTGACTTCATGTGTCTGCATAACACTTATCAGCATCTAACACGTTATACATTACTGAGTTATCTGTTTCTTATCTTTATCTCCCCCACTAGAAGTTCCATGAAGGTAGATATTTTTACTGTTTATGGAATAAATTCTTAGCAGCCTCAAAAACTTCTGACACAATGAGGTTCAAAAAATAGCTGCTGGCCAGGTGCAGTGGCTCACACCTGTAACCCCAGTACTTTGGGAGGCCTAGGCGGGCGGATCACCTGAGGTCAGAAGTTCAAGACCAGCTTGACCAACATAGTGAAACCCCATCTCTAGTAAAAATACAAAACTTAGCCACGTGTGGTGACGGGCACCTGTAATCCCAGCTACTTGGGAGGCTGACACATGAGAATCACTTGAACCCGGGAGGTGGAGGTTGCAGTGAGCTGAGATGGCACCACTGCACTCCAGCCTGGGTGACAGCAAGACTCTGTCTCAAAAAAAAAAAAAAAAAAGTTGCTGATAATGAATTAGATGTTTGCAAGCTGACTTAAATGTTTTATTTTAGACAATGAAAGTAATCTGCCCTCTTTATATTCAACCTGTATATGTGATAGGGAAGATATAGAATAAAAGACAGTAGTATGTTACAAATTAATTTTTGAAAGCTACTTCTTACTGCTGCTGAGGCAATGGATTGCCATTCTTGTATCAATTTACCACTAGAAGGAAAGTGATGGAAATAATGCTTTGCTCTACAGTAGGGTCAAAAACCTTTTTCTAAAAGGCTAAACAGTATAAGCTTTATAGGGTATACCATCTCTGTCACAACTATTCACCTCTGCTGTTACAGCACAAAAATAGCCATAGACAATATATAAACTGATATGGTTAAGCTTTGCATCCCCACTCAAATCTGATCTTGAATTGTAATCCCTATAATCCCCAGGTTTTACGGGAGAGACCAGGTGGAAGTAACTGAATCATGGGGGCGGTTTCCCCAATGCTGTTCTGGTGATAGTGACTGAGTTCTCCCAAGATCTGATGGCTTTATAAGGGGCTCTTCCCTCTTCGCGTGGCACTTCTCCTTCCTGCCACTTTGTGTAAGAAGGTGCCTTGCTTCCCCTTCACCTTCCACCATGATTATAAATTTCCTGAGGCTCCCTAGTCATGCTGAACTGTGGGTCAATTAAACCTCTTTCCTTTATAAATTACCAAGTCTCGGGCAGTTCTTTATAGCAGTATGAAAACAGACTAATACAGTAAATAAGTGAATGTTCCAGTAAATCTTTATTCAAGGTTTGGGCTGGATTTGGCACACAGGCTATAGTTTGCCAAATCCTGCTCTAAAGTGTTGCGTTTTTTTTTTAAAGACAAAATAATAACCAAACAGGTTCGATTATCATTTTTACCTACAAACTGTAGATTATTTATCAAGAGTTAAGTATATCTATATTCAGTGTTGATCTGTATTTCAAATATCTAATTGCTATTATAAAAAAATTTAAGGGCCGGGCGTGGTGGCTAATGCCTGTAATCCCAGCATTTTGGGAGGATAATTTTGCGGATCACGAGGTCAGCAGTTCGAGACCAGCCTGACCAATATGGTGAAACCTCGTCTCTACTAAAAATACAAAAATTAACCGGGCATGGTGGCGCAGGCCTGTAATCCCAGCTACTCTGGAGGCTGAGGCAGGAGAATTGCTTGAGCCCGGGAGGCAGAGGTTGCAGTGAGCCGAGATTGTGCCATTGCACTCCAGCCTGGCAACAGAGTGAGAGTCCGTCTCAAAAAAAAAAATTAAAACACACTAAATAAAATTGGTATAATCATCACATTACCTGTGTTTACTCCTCCAGTTAAAATCCAGGCTCCAGTTGTAACTGCAGCTTTAATAAGACCTTTTCCAAGCAACTGCTTGATTCGTGGGTGAAGCTCAAATTTCTGCATGCCCCCATGTACAGAGATAACAAGTTTGGGTAACTCCATTTGCCATTCTTTAAGCAGAAGTTGCAGAATGACTTCAGGTTTGGTGTCATATGATAGCCTCACATACTAGAAAAAGATTTTAAAAGGAGAAAATAATTGAACATGTTCACAGGTTTCATAATGTGACATTATATGACTTTGGAAAATTTTATATGAATCAGATTATGTAAAAAGAGATTTCATAGGCTATTTTCAATATATTTATACTCCAAGGAATAAGCAATAGTAAATGATTTTAAAGTTGAAAAAATCATTCTGTGAGATCTACAGAAATAGCGAAACTAACTTTTAAACATTTAGACACAAATGTTACTCTTTCTGTTTAAACTCAATTACCATTGACCCAATTTACCCAAGTACCTGCAGTATTTATTGCCTTCTTTAACTATGACTACACAGTGAGTTAGAAACATTAAGACTGGCTGAAGAGGATCGGAAAAGGAAAAAAAAGGAATTAGGGGGGAAAAATATGGAGGCTTCTAAGGCTCTTGCTATGAAGAGAGGCAAATACTGAATTATTTGTATGAAAGTTTGGCAATGATCTAGTCCATTTATAAATGAATTGTGACTATGGAGTAAAATTTAAAAAGATATATTTAATATAGATGATTATTTTCTTCACTGTAAATAACTGGATTTGATCAGACTGAGAAATAATCAGAAAATCGTAATCAACATTTCATGGTGTTCGGATGGATTCTCCAGTTTAATTTTTGAAAACATCTTTCTATAGAAAAATAGAAAAAAAAGCTATCGTGTGTGAAATAACTTCTTCTGGTTTGAAAGATTTTAAAAATTAACTTCCTGTTTAAGTGATATCATAAGACTTACTTGCTATACTCACATTAATTCATTCTCTTGGCCTAAAGCACATATATGAAGTAGCTCATAAGAAACTTCAAGTATTCAGACATTGAGACATTTAAAAATCATCTCTAAGAAACCTTATTTGCAAAATGATGTATTTCCCATTCCTTTACAAAGATCAAACACTACTGAAAATCTCAGTACTGACAAACAAATGAAGCCAAAAGGCCAGGCACAGTGGCTCACGCCTGTAATCCCAGCACTGTGGGAGGCCAAGGCAAGTGGATCACCTGAGGTCAAGCGTTCGAGGCCAGCCTGACCAACATGGTGAAACCCCGTCTCTACTAAATACAAAAAAATTAGCTAGGCGTGAGTGCTTGTAATCCCAGCTACTTGGGAGGCTGAGGCAAGAGAATTGCTTGAACCCAGGAGGCAGAGGTTCCAGGGAGCTGAGACTGTGCCATTGCACTCCAGGCTGGGCAACAAGAGCGAAACTGCGTCTCAAAAAAAAAAAAAAAAAAAAAAAAAGAAATGAAGCCCAAAAAACCCCAGAATTCCATAAAACTGAGTAGAAGACTGGAGTCCCTTAAGAATACTTTGGTTTTTGGTTTTGTTTTGTTTTTTTTAGACACGGTCAGGCTCTGTTGCCCAGGCTGGAGTGCAGTGGCGCCACCACGGCTCACTGCAGCCTCTGCCTCCCAGGCTCAAGCCATCCTCCCACCTCAGCCTCCCAAGCAGCTGGGACTACAGACACAGGGCACCCTGCGTAGCTAATTTTTTAAATATTTTTTGTAGACACAAGGTTTCACCATGTTGCCCAGGCTGGTCTTGAACTCTTGGGCTCAAGTGATCTGCCCACCTCAGCCTCCCAAAGTGCTGGGATTACAGACACACGGCACCCAGCATGGTTAATTTTTTTGTATTTTTGGTAGACACAAGGTTTCACCATGTTGCCCAGGCTGGTCTTGAACTCCCGGGCTCAAGTGATCTGCCTGCCTCGGCCTCCCAAAGTGCTGGGATTATAGGCATGAGCTACCACACCAGACCAAGAATGCTTTGTAAATAGGATTTGTTCTTTTTTTTTTGACAAAGTCCCGCTCTGTCGCCCAGGCTGGAATGCCTCCCGGGTTCAAGAGATTCTCCTGCCTCAGCCTCCTAAGCAGAGTAGCTGGGATTATAGGTGCGCACCACCAGGCCCAGCTACTTTTTGTATTTTTAGTAGAGACAGGGTTTTGCCATGTTGGTCAGGCTGGTCTTGAACTCCTGACCTCAGGTGATCCATCTGCCTTGGCTTCCCAAAGTTCTGGGATTACAGGCATAAGCCACCGTGCCCAGCCGGATTTGTTCTATAATAAGTCTTTCTGTATCAGTTTTGTTTAACTCATTATTATATTTGGGCACATAAAGTAGTATTAGAGAAGCAGTCTAAAGTTAATGTTTTTAATACTATATTAGAGATAAATGAGAAATTCCACTTCCTACAATGATGGGCTAGGTTGATTTGGACATACTCTGCCCCTGGGAACTAGAAAAACTAGAAAAAAGAACAATAACACCTGCTTGAATACATTAGCAGGTGGCCGGGCATGGTGGCTCACACCTGTAATCCCAGCACTTTGGGAGGCGGAGGCGGAGGCAGGTGGATCACTTGAGGTCAAGAGTTCCAGACCAGCCTGGCCAACATGGTGAAACCCTGTCTGTAATCCCAGCTACTCGGGAGGCTGAAGCAGGAGAATCGCTTGAACCCAGGAGGCAGAGGTTGCAGTGAGCTGAGATCGCGCCACTGCACTCCAGCCTGGGCAACAGAGCGAGTCTCAAAAAAAAAAAAAAAAGACATTAGCAGGGTACAAAGGCAGTGAGAATTTGTAGGATCGGGATCCAGGAGAAAAGAAAAACTTGGAGAGATGATGAGCTCACTGTTGGGCAAGGTTTTCCTCATCAGAACACGGAGGCAGGCAGAACAATGTAGAGGTTAAAATGGTTTTTGCTGTTGTTATTTGTTTTTCAGGCAAGGTCTGGCTCTGTTGCCCAGGCTAGACTTTGGTGACATGGTCCAAGGCTCACTGCAGCCTCAACTTCTCAGGCTCAACTGATCCTCCTGCTTCAGGCTCCCAAGTAGCTGGGACTACAGGCGTGTATCAGCATGCCCAGCTAATATTTTTGAATTTTAGTACAGACAAGGTCTCACTATGTTGCCCAGGCTGGTCTCAAACTCCTGAACTCAAGTGATCCTCCTGCCTAGGCCTCCAAAAGTGCTGAGATTACAGGCATGAGCTACCATGCCAAGGTTAAAATGTTCAAATCTAAATAAATAATAACTGTTTTAGGGGTTTAAAACAGAAAATTAAAATTCATGCTGACAAGAGCACATAAGTCTTAAGAGAAATAAGTGCAGTTTCAAATATTCCAAAGGTTCCTGCATTGTTGAAAAAGTGGTAAAGGATTAATTTACAGTACAGTCATGTGCCACACATTTTGATTAATGATGAACTGCATACATAAGGTGGTTCCCTAATATTATAATACCATACTTCTGTACCTTTTTCTTGTTTATATATATTTAGACACATATTTCCCATTGTGTTACACTGTTACACCTGCCTACCATATTTAGTACAATAACATGCCATAGAGGTTTACAGCCTAAAAGCAATAGGCTATACCATATAGCCTAGGCATATAGTAGGCTATACCATCTAGGTCTGAATACACTCTACGGTGTTAGCATGATGAAATTGCCTAACACATCTCTGAGAACATATCCCCATTCTTAAGTGATGCATGACTGCATATAACAAGTTAAAAATGCATTTTATCACATTATCACATTTATTATAGTATTCTTTTTCTTTTTTTGAGACAGTCTTGCTCTGTCACCCAGGCTGGAGTGCAGTGGCGCGATCTCGGTTCACTGCAACCTTCACCTCCCAAGTTTAGGTGATTATCCTGCTTCAGCCTCCCAAGTAGCTGGGACTACAGGCTCGTGCCACCACGCCCGACTAATTTTTGTATTTTTAGTAGAGACAGGGTTTCACTATGTTGGCCAGGCTGATCTCAAACTCCTGATCTCAGGTGATCCACCCACCTTGGATTCCCAAAGTGCTGGGATTACAGGCGTGAGCCACCGTGCCTGACCTATAATATTCTTTTTCTAAAGAACAGAAAAACAGGCCGGGCACAGTGGCTCAGGCCTGTAATCCCAGCACTTTAGGAGGCCGAGGCGGGCAGATCATGAGGTCAGGAGATGGAGACCATCCTGGCTAACACAATGAAACCCTGTCTCTACTAAAAATACAAAAAATTAGCTGGGCATGGTGGCACACACTTGTAGTCCCAGCTACTCTGGAGGCTGAGGCAGGAGAACTGCTTGAACCCAGGAGGCCGGAGGTTGCAGTGAGCCGAGATTGCGCCACCGCACTCCAGCCTGGGCAACAGAGACACCATCTCAAAAAAAAAAGAATAGAAAAAGAACATATAGTAGGCCTTCTGTATCTGTGGGATCCACGTTTATGGTTTCAACCAACGGTGAATCAAATATATTCAAGAAAAAACATTGAGCCTATACTAAACATGTGTAGACTTTATTTACCTGTCATTATTCCTTAACAGTGCAATTTAACAACTATTTACATTGTATTGGGCATTTTATTAATATTTTTATTTTAAGTAGAGACAGAGTCTCACTATTTTGCCCAGGCTGGTCTCCAACTCCTAGCCTCAAGCCATCCTTCCACCCTCTCAAAAGTGTTGGGATGATAGGCGTGAGCCACTGTGCCTGGCCTATATTAGATATTATAAGGAATCTAGAGATGATTTAAACTATACAAGAGGGTGTGCATAGATTACATCCAAATACTATTGATAATCTGTAGACTTTGGTATCTGAGGGAAGTCCTGAAACCAAGCCCCCTGAAGGATGACTGTATAAATAATATGCTAATAAAGGAGTAAGAAAATAATAAAAAATATTTAATCCAAAATAATACAAGAAAAAAAACAGAACAAAGAAAAAAGTGAGACAAATAGATAACTAATAACATAATGGTAAATTTAAACTTAAATACACAGCAGACAACATTTTTAAAAACAATTAAAAGACATCTCTTAAACATAAAAGGTTAAAACCGAAAAGGAAGAAAGATGGCTTAACTACACTGATTGCAGAAAAAGCAAACCATGTCAAGAAAAATGACAAGAAACAAAACACATTTTATAATGATGAAAGGTTCAATCCACCAGAAAGATACAATTCTATATTTGTATGCACCTTTGTACTTTAAAATATACAAATAAATTACTGAGACCAACTTTTTGTCAATATTGCTACACAAATTGTGATGTTTATTATTTAAATAACAACATAAATGAAGAAAAATCCAATATGTGACATACCTTAGCTCTGTAGGAATGAGAACCCCCTTGAAAATTTATGACTCCATAAGCATCCGTTGGGCTCTGTTCTGTATGCTTTTCCACAGACCATTCTTCTATTGCCTGATTAAAATGGTCACCCAATTTCACATCTGAGTATTTCATGGCAAGACTTGCAGTAAAACAAGCATGTTGCTTGACCAAGCGACCACAAAAACACCTAAAAGAAAAAGGTGAGATTAAAACACCCTTCAAAAAATTAGAGTTAATGAAAAAATGGAATTAAAAGTGAATGAACCGACAAATATAAGCTTTAAAATTTTTATATTTTATATAAGTATAAAAATAAGCTTTTTGATTTTAGGATATCTATATATTAATACCTTCATCATAGCACTGAAATAGTATAATTAGTCTAAGATGAATTCATCATCTAAATTTAACATGAGGCATCTACAAAACATGGCATAGGCATATAACAGAAATAGTATTTACACCGGCTGTGGCTCACGCGGGTAATCCCAACACTGTGGGAGGCCATGGCTGGAGGACCTTGAGGTCAAAAGTTCAAGACCATCCTAAGAAACACAGCAAGACCCTGACTTGACAAAAAATTTTAAAAAATTAGGCAAGTGTGGTGGCATACACCTGTAGTCCCAGCTACACAGGAGACTAAGGTGGGAGGCTTGGTTGAGCCCGTCAGGGCTGCAGTTAGCCTTGGTCACACCACTGTGCTCCATCCTGGACGACAGAACAAGCAAGACCCCAACTCAAAAAAAAAAAAAAGAAAGAAAGAAAGAAAAAATACTATCCAATAATAAAGAGAAGTGAATGAACCACTAATAATACTACAGAATGGATAAATCTCAAAATCATCATACTGAGTGAAAGAACCTAGACACCAATGATTATATATTTGTATGATTCCACGTATACAAAATTCAAGAAACCGTGAACTAATCTATATAGTGACAAAAGGGTGATCAATGGTGTCTGAGGCTGGGGTACAAAGACAGATGGCTTTCTACCCAGAAGCACATACTGGACTATAACACCATAAGTAGGAACCTAGTGGAGCTGGGCAGTCTCATTGATTTGATATAATCTTAAAAATCAGATGAGAGTTTGAGGAAGCCAAGGCAGCTAGAGTTTGTGAGGTAGAAAACAAAAAGAGGAGGGAGCTACAACGAGAAAGTTCCAAGTATCTGCAGAAGGGTCTCCTTAAGCATGTGGAAGAATAACTACTTGGCCAGGTACAGTGGCTCACACCTGTAATCCCAGCACTTTGGGAGGCCGAGACGGGCAGATTACCTGAGGTCAGGAGTTCGATACCATCCTGGCCAACATGGTGAACCGTCTCTACTAAAAATACAAAAAATTAGCTGGGCATGGTGGCGCGTGCCTGTAATCCCAGCTACTCAGGAGGCTGAGGCAGGAGAATCACTTGAACCTGGGAGGCGCAGACCACAGTGAGCAGAGATTGGGCCACTGCACTCCAGCCTGGGTGAAAGAGTGAGACTTTGTCTCAAAAAAAAAAAAAAAAAAAAAAAAAAAAAGAATAACTACTTAAGGCAAAGTTAAAAGCTACTGGACAGCAATAGCCGAAACAATTTCTGAAGCTCATAAAGGGCAGGGAACACTTTATGTTCCCACCAGCCAGAGTAGAGATCTCATAACACACAAGGCTTATGACAGGGTCCTCAAAAAAAGTATCATTAAATTAGAAGGACTAAATTAGACCTAGACAGACCAGGCACGGTGGCTCATGCCTATAATCCCAGCACCTTGGGAAGCCAAGGTGGATGGATCACCTGAGGTCAGGAGCTCTAGACCAGCCTGACCAATATGGTGAAACTCTGTCTCTCCTAAAAATATAAAAATTAACTAGGCATGGTGGCGTACGCTTGTAGTCCCAGCTTCTCAGGAGGCTGAGGCAGGAGAATCGCTTGAACCTGGGAGGCAGAGGTTGTGGTGAGCCGAGATCGTGCCACTGCACTCCAGGATGGGCAACACAGCAAGACTGGGTCTCAAAAAAAACAAAAAAAAACAAAAAAATCAGACCTAGACAGCCCATGCCCTGACAAAGTTTAAGAGCAAGACCTGAAAGGATCAAACTGATCCAAAGTAATCTAATTGCATGCTATAGCAAGTCTAAAACTCGCTAGTGGAATACAACAAATGCCAGTAACCAAAAACATAAAATTCACTATTGTCAGCATGCATGAAAAATTCCCAGACATTGGCCGGGCGTGGTAGCTCACACATGTAATCCTAGTATTTTTGAAAATGGAGACCGGCAGTTTGCTTGAGCCCAGGAGTTTAGACCAGCCCGGGCAACATGGTGAACCCCATCTCTACAAAACATACAAACGTTAGTCGGGCGTGGTGATGCACGCCTGTAGTCCAAGCTACTTGGGAAGCTGAGATGGGAGGACTGCTTGAGCCCAGGAGGCAGAGGTTGCAGTCAACTGATATGGTGCCACTGCACTCCAGCCTGGGTGACACAGAGAGACCCTGTCTCAAAAAAGTAAATAAATAAAAATTTCAAAGAATACTGAGGCATGCAAAGAAGCAGAAAACTATCAATAAAATAAAATCACTAAATGAAGACCAGAAAAGAACGAGATGATGGAATTATCAGAAAATGACACAAAAACAAGTATTATAAATGAGCTCCAACTATTAAGACCATGCTTGACGCCGGGTGTGGTGGCTCACGCCTGTAATCCCAGCACTTTGGGAAGCCGAGGCGGGTGGATCACGAGGTCAGGAGATCGAGACCATCCTGGCTAACACAGTGAAACCCCGTCTGTAATAAAAATAAAAAAAATTTAAAGAAAGACCATGCTTGTTGGGCACGGTGGCTCATGCCTATAATCCCAGCACTTTGGGAGGCCGAGGCAGGTGGATTGCTTAAGCCCAGGAATTCAATATTAGCCTGGCAACATAGTAAGACTCTGTCTCTAAACGAAAAAATTAAAGAAAAAATTAAAGAAAAGAAGACTGTGGGAAAAGAATATGAGCATGATGAAGACCAACATGGTGAAACCCCATCTCTACTAAAAATATAAAAAATAAGCTGGGCGTCGTGGCAGTCGCCTGTAATCCCAGCTACTCGGGAGGCTGAGGCAGAATTACTTGAACCCAGGAGGTGGGGGTTGCAGTGAGCTGAGATCGCGCCACTGCACATCCAGCCTGGCGACGGAGCAAGATTCCTTCTCAAAATAAATAAATACAATAAATAAATAAAATAATAATTTTCTAAATAAAGGTTTTAAAAATTTCATTTAAAAAATAACCTAAACTTCTACCTTAAAAACTAAAAATAACAGCAAATTAAACTCAAAGTAAGCAGAAGAAAAGATATGATAAAGAAAACAGAATGGGCCGGGTGCGGTGGCTCATGCCTGTAATCCCAGCACTTCAGGGGGCCGAGGCGGGTGGACCACTTGAGGTCAGGAGTTCGAGACCAGCCTGGCCAACATGGTGAAATCCTGTCTCTACTAAAAATACAAAACTTCACCGGGTGTGGTGGTGGGCGCCTGTAATGCCAGCTTCTGAGGAGGCTGAGGCATGAAAATTGCTTGAACCTGGGAGGCGGAGATTGCAGTGAGCCAAGATCATGCCACTGCACTGCAGCCTGGCTGAGTGAGACTCCATCTCAAAAAAAAAAAAAAAAAAAAAAAAAAAGAACACAATGAAACAGAAAAGAGAAAAATCGTGGGGGAAAGCAAGAAAACAAAAAGCTTGTCATTGAAAAGATAAATAAAATTGATAAACTGAAGTCAGAATAATGAGAAAAACTGAACAGGAAAATAAATCAACACTCCAGCCTGGACAATACAGCAAGACTCTGTCTCAAAAAAAAAAAAAAAAATCATTAATACACCTTTCCACAAAGAAAATTCAAAGCCAGATGCCTTCACTGGTGAATTTCATCAAACATTTAGGAGGAAATATAAATTCTACATACGTTCTTCCAAAAAAATCGTTTAAGTGGGTACATTTCCCAATTCATTTCATGAGGTGAGACTCATTCTGCTTTGGAAAAAAACAAAAACAAAATAAAACCAGCCCGTAATTCCAGCTACTTAGGAGGCTGAGGTGGGAAGACTGCTTGAGGACAGGAGTTCTAGATCAGCTTGGGTAACAAAAGGAACTCCATCTCAAAAAAAGAAAAAAAGGCAAAGCATTAGCATTACAAGAAAAGACTAGGCCGGGCACACTGGCTCGTGCCTGTAATCCCAGCACTTTGAGAGGCCAAAGTGGAAGGATCACTTGAGCTCAGGAGTCAAGACCAGCCTGACAACATGGCAAAACTCCTTCTCTACAAAAATTAGCCAGGCATGGTGGCATGCACCTGTGGTCACAGTTACTTGGGAAGCTAAAGGGAAAAGATCACCTGAGCCCGGGAGGTCAAGTCTGCAGTGACTGTGACACTGCACTCCAGTCTGGGCCACAGAGTGAGACCCTGTTTCCCCACTCCCCCCAAAAAGAAAAAAGAAACGGACGTGGTGGCTCACACCTGCAATCCCAGCTCTTAAGGAGGCATAAGTGGGAGCATAGCTTGAGCCGAGGACTTCAAAACTTGCCTTGGCAATATAGTGAGACCCCGTTCTCCACAAAAAGGAAAACAAGCATTGGACAAAACTGAATGTCTGTTCATTATAAGCACTGTCAGCAAACTAGGAAAGGAGGAAACTTCCTCAACAGATAACATAATACTTATTAAATCTTATCAAGAGTACCACTACATGCTAAGTCTTGTGATTCATTCTAGCTAATCATGGAATCTAGGTGTGGTCTCGGAGATTCCTGACATAAATGTGAACAAAATATATGAGATAACTGTTTCAGGCATTAAACAAGAAGAAACACGAAGCTGTGATCCTTGAAATGAGGGAAACACATGAGGTAAACCCCCATGACTGCACCAGCTTGGGGGCAATTTCTCAATCATAGAGATGACACCTAGGCAGAAAACAGTAGACACTGGGCCAAGCAAGGAAGTAGAGAACAGAATTCTAGGCTGTTGAAACAGTTGGAATTTGTAGCAGAGTTACCAGAGAAAAGGGAGCTATAAAGACAAGAAGGAAAAAAATCTCACATGGGGATTCACCATGGGTCTTTGGCCATGGTCTAAGGTGTATCTGTGAGAGATTCTGTGATGCCTAGCAGTAATCACTTGCTGTGTGTGGGTCTGTGAACGGGGTCCTAAAGGTCTGGAAGACATAGCAGTTTTAGTTCAGCGTGAAAAGACATCACTGAACCCCCTGAACACTCAATTGAGAACACAAAAAAGCTATACCTTAAGAGGAAGGTCCACATCCTAGGACTAAGTTCAAAATAGAAGTAGAACTGCCCTAACAAAGAAGAAAATCAAACCTGAATGGACAAAAGAATCTATCAAAAATTAATTTAATCACCTGTCAGAAAGAAACTGAACACTCCTTACAGGAAAATTATTTACTCCAGAACAACAATATATGATAAAAAATTATTGGCCGGGTGCAGTGACTCACACCATCCCAGCACTTTGGGAGGCCAAGGCGGGCGGATCACCTGAGGTCAGGAGTTCCAGACCAGTCTGGCCAACATAGTGAAACCCCATCTCTACTAAAAATATAAAAAATTAGCTGGGCGTGGTGGTGTGCGCCTGTAATCCCAGCTACTCGGGAGGCTAAGGCAGGAGAATTGCTTGAACCCGGGAGGCAGAGGGTGCAGTGAGCTGAGATTGCAGCACTGCACTCCAGCCTGGGCAACAGAACAAGACACCATCTCAAAAAAATAAAAAAATACTAGACATATAAAAAAGATGAAGGAAAAAAAGCAGTCACCAGAAACAGACCCTAAATGATGCAAATGTTGGAATCAGTAGACAAAGACTCTAATGCAGGTATTATAAATATGCTGAAGGGCATACAGGAATAGACAGTCATAATGAGAGTGCACATGGTGCATCTCAGCAGTAAAATGGAAACTATAACAAAGAATCAAATAGCAATCCTAGCACTGAAAAATGTAATGTATGAAATGAAAATTCACTGGATGGGCTGGGCGCAGTGGCTCACGCCTGTAATCCCAGCACTTTGGGATTACAGGCGGGCAGATCACAAGGTCAGGAGATCAAGACCATCCTGGCTAATAAGGTGAAACCCCATCTCTACTAAAAAAAACCACAAAAAACTACCCGGGTGTGGCAGCAGGCACCTGTAGTCCCAGCTACTCGGGAGGCTGAGGCAGGAGAATGGCATGAACCCAGGATGCAGAGCTTGCAGTGAGCTGAGACTGCGCCACTGCACTCCAGCGTGGGCGACAGAGTGACACTCCGTCTCAAAAAAAAAAAAAAAAAGAAAAGAAAATTCACTGGATGGACAAAACAGCAAAATGGAGAATGTAGAAATAAGAGTGAACCTGAAGACATCAATAGAAATTATTCAATACATCAGATAAAGAAAAAAAAGTTAATTAAAAAAAAAAAACTTCCTGGCCAAATGCAGTGGCTCACGCCTGTAATCCCAGCACTTTGGGTGGCCAAGGCGGGCGAATCACGAGGTCAGGAGTTCAAGACCACCCTGACCATCAAGGTAAAATCCCATCTCTACTAATAATACAAAATGAGCCAGGCATGGTGGCATGCGTCTGTAATCCCAGCTACTCAGATGGCTGAGGCAGGAGAATTGCTTGAACCTGGGAGGCAGAGGTTGCAGTAAGCCAAGATCGCACCACTGCACTCCAGCCTGGACAACAGACCAAGACTCCATCTCAAAGGAAAAAAAAAACAAAAAAACAAAAAACCTTCTCAATCAGGTAAAAAATTTGAACGTGCAAATATTTACGCAAGCAGAATAAGTACAAAGAGAATCACTCTCAGGCATATTATAGACATGCTGCTGAAAACCAAAGGAATAGAAAAAAAAAATATTTAAAGTAGCTAGAGAAGAAAAAGACCCATTCCACACAGGAAGACAACTACTGTATTACAGCTGCCTTCTCATTAGAAACAAAAGCTACAAGATAAAATAATGACACCTTTAAAGTGCTGCAATGGGCTGGGCGCAACAGCTCACGCCTGGAATTCCAGCACTTTGGGAGGCCAAGGCAGGCAGATCACAAGGTCAGGAGACCAGCCCAGCCACCATGGTGAAACCCCATCTATACTAAAAGTACGAAAATTAGCCAGGCATGGTGGTGTGTGCCTGTAATCCCAGCTTCTGGGGAGGCTGAGGCAGGAGAATCACTTGAACCTGGGAGGCAAAGGTTGCTGTGAGCTGAGATCGCACCACTGTATGCCATCTAGCCTGGGCAACAGGGCAAGACTCCATCTCAAAAAAAGAAAAAAACAAAAAAAAAAAACCCCTGCTGCAATAAAATAACACAACCCAGAATTCTATATCCAGTGAAAACATTCTTCAAACATGAAAATAAAAGAAATATATTTTCAGATAGACCAAACTGAGAAAATTCATGTTCAGTTCAGTGTAGCTGCACTATATGAAATGCTAAATAAAAGAAACTCTTTGGCATCGTCAAACAAGAGACACCAGATGGAACCTCACCATCTATAAGAAGAAATGAAAAGGACTGGAGATGGTTAAGTACAGGGGCAAATATGAAAGACTGTCAGGTCTTTTTGTTTGTTTTTTTTTCTGGAGACAGGGTCTTGCTCTGTTGCCCAGGCAGGAGTGCAGTGGTGTGATCAGGGCTTATTGCAGCCTCAACTTCCCAGGCCCAAACGATCCTCCCGGCTCCAATGATGTTCCTGCTTCAGCCTCTTAAGTAGCTGGGACTACAGGTACATGATACCATGCCAAGATTTTTGTGTGTGGTTTTCTTTTTTTTTTTTTTTTGGTAGACACAGGGTCTCACTATGCTACCCGGGCTGGTCTCAAACTCCTAGGCTCAAACCATCCTCCTGCCTCAACCTCCCCAAGTGCTGGGATTACAGGCGCGAACCATCACATCCAGCCTGTCAGGTTTTTTGTTTTTGTTTTTACAGACTTCCTTGAAAAACTCTTCAATATATCTAAAATAAACCCATTCTATGTACTTTTATTCCTAGCCTACCACCCAGAGACCTTCTCTTCTTCCTCTTATACTTCCTCATCAGACCCTAAAGCATATTACAATTTACTCAGTTGCCTAAGAAGGAAATGTAGTTACCATGCTCAAATCTTCCCTTTTCTTCACATTCACCAAATCCTATTGCATTTATCTCATTAAGCCCTTCAAATATGCCTACTTCTCTTCATTGTCAAAAACATCTTACTTCAGGTTCTCATCTTTTTGCCAGAGTCACTCTAAAACTTTAGCAACTGGTCTATTTTCTTCCAATCCAATCTAAAAATGCAAACTGCTCTTACAAAAAATAAAATCAGCCGGGCCTGGTGGCTCACACCTGTAATCCTAGCACTTTGGGAGGCCGAGGCGGGTGGATCACCTGAGGTCAGGAATTCAAGACCAGCCTGGCCAACATGGTGAAACCCCATTTCTACTAAGAATACAAAAATTAGCCGGGCATGGTGGCGCATGCCTGTAATCCCAGCTACTCGGGAGGCTGAGGCAGGAGAATTGCTTGAACCCATGAGACAGAGGTTGCAGTGAGCCGAGATTGTGCCACTGCACTCCAGCCTGGGTAACAGAGCAAGACTCCGTCTCAAAATAATAATAATACTAATATAGCATGTTATTAATTGCCTGTACAATATCCTTTTAACATGAAATCAAAAGCATGTGCAACAAAAAGCCTTGTAGAGTAACTGAAACTCTCATTTTTCCAGGCCCAAATCTCTCAAATCTCCATCTTACATTCTGCAGTTTCCTGACAGAACCATGATGTCTTTCACTATCAGGCCTTCCCATACACTGCTCTCGCTGCCTAAAATTCCTGTCCTTCAACTTCTGCTCAACAGACACAACTTTACAACTCTTCTTAGGTAGCTTCACCTGAGTTTCAAACAGCCTTGACTGACCCTTCACCTTCCAAGTCTAGGTAAAGTACCCATCAAATATAATAGCATGTGAGTTTCATGCCACTGTGTTCTAACTCATATTTCTAATAGATTAGTTTTATTTATTTTCCGAAATTTGTGCGGTATAGTTATGTTAAACTTACCTGACGAGTTGCTGACAAATTTGACATCCTGGAAGGCATCTATTGAACACAAAAAGGTAAATAAATTATTTCAGGTGAAAAACTTTCTGATTTTAAAGTATATAAAATACATAAAATACAAAACAAAAAAAATTATATACCTAGTTTAATTTTTCAGTAGATATTATAGTTCACGTATACCTTGATTTATAATTCAAATAACTATTTTTTAACTGACAGTCTCAATTTTTTTTTTTTTTTTTGAGACAGAGTCTCGCTCTGTTGCCCAGGCTGGAGTCCAATGGCGCAATCTCAGCTCACTGCAAGCTCCGCCTCCCGGGTTCACACCACTCTCCTGCCTCAGCCTCCCAAGTAGCTGGGACTACAGGCTCCTGCCACCATGCCCGGCTAATTTTTTTGCATTTTTACTAGAGATGGGATTTCACTGTGTTAGCCAGGATGGTCTCGATCTCCTGACCTTGTGATCCACCTGCCTCGGCCTCCCAAAGTGCTAGGATTACAGGTGTGAGCCACCGCGCCTGGCAGACAGTCCACACCTATAATTGCAACACTCTGGGAGGCACAGGTGAATTGCTTGAGTCCAGGAGTTTAAGATCAGCCTGGGCAACAAAGCGAAACTCCGTCTCTACAAAAAAAAAAATTAGCTAGGGGTAGTGGTGCAGGCCTATAGTCCTAGCTACTAGGGAGGCTGAGGTGGGAGGATTCCTTGAGCATGGGAGGTCGAGGCTAAAGTGAGCCATGATCATGCCCCACTGCACTCCAGCCTGGGCGAAAGAGCGAGAAACTGTCTCAAAAAAAAAAAAAAAGACATTATCTTGGCAAGAATACAGAGAGAGTCTGGTATCTGTGGGTGAGAGTATATATTTATATAATCCCTATGGAAGGCCACTTGGCAATACCCATCAAAATAAAAAACGTTGACTCTCACACACTAATTCCAGTTCTAAAAGCATAGGCTAAAACACATCTGTAGTATACGTATAAAATGAAAATTGTACAAGGTCGTTGACTGCAGAATTTTTTTCCTAACAGCCAAAAGAAAGTGAAAATAGCTAAAATGTTCAATAAGAGATTACTAAAACAAATTACAATTCAGACATAATTAAATAGGCTGCAACAATTAAGAACAAACTAGTGGCCAGGCGCAGTGGCTCACGCCTGTAATGCCAGCACTTTGGGAGGCTGAGGCGGGAGGATCACGAGGTCAGGAGATCAAGACCATCCTGGCTAACGCAGTGAAACCCCGTCTCTACTAAAAATACAAAAAATTAGCCAGATGTGGTGGCACACGCCTGTAATTCCAGCTACTCGGGAGGCTGAGGAAAGAGAATGGCCTGAACCCAGGAGGCAGAGCTTGCAGTGAGACTACGCCACTGCACACCAGCCTGGATGACAGAGCGAGACTCCGTCTCAAAAAAAAAAAAAAAGAAAGAACAAACTAGTGATCGCCAAGATAAGTTACAGTCACAGTGGGCTACACTATATATTTTAAAGGGGGAAGGGGGATAATCATCTGCTTGGACATACAAAGACTATATCTAACTTTCTGGAAGACATTCCAAGGAATGGATAACATCAGATTTTTTATTAGCAAGGTAAACTTATAGCTAAAGCACAGTACTGGAAAGGAGACTTTCACTTACAGCATTTGGTACCTTTTAAGTTATGAACCAAGTGTCAATTACCTATTCATATAAAATTAAGAGTTCAACTACTGTAGAAAGAAGTGACGAGCTAACTGTAAATTATGTCTCTCATGAATGGTTAAAGGTGGGGATACTTAGTAACAGCTTTGGATTTCTTTAATACCTTGAGTGCTTTTATTATTTCTATTGCAAAGTGGAATTAATAAAACTATAGAAAATAAACTCCTTAATGATAAAATCTATTTTTTCTTTTTTTTTTGAGATGGAGTCTCACTCTGTCACTGAGGCTGGAGTGCAGTGGCACCTTGTCAGCTCACTGCAACCTCCGTCTCCTGGATTCAAGCAACTCTCCTGCCTCAGCCTCCCAAGTAGCTGGGATTACAAGTGCCCACCACCACGCCCAGCTAGTTTTTATATTTTTAGTAGAGACGCGGTTTCACCATGTTGGCCAGGCTGGTCTCGAACTCCTGACCTCAGGTGATCCACCTACAGCCTCCCAAAGTGCTGGGATTACAGGCGTGAGCCACCACACCCGACCAACAAAATCTATTTTTTTAATAAAGCAAAACATCAATTTCTCCGGAAGAAAAATGGTATTTTATTTTAGAACTGGCACACTGAACTAAGGAGGCTTAAATACTAATCCCATCTTTATGAATAGCCATGTGACTTGGGAAATGTCATTTATCCTCTTGTTGAGAAATGTGATACGATGTTGTAATAAAACATATCTTTAACAAGTAGTAAGAAATCAGAATAAATCATAGACTCTAATGATTGGAAGAGATGTTAAGGTTATCTATTTTAATGATCCAAAAAGAACTAATCAAAAACATTTACAGAATGTATTAAAAAATTGAGGGATATTTAAAAAACATAAAATATTTTCTCAATAATAAATAAATCCAAATTTAAAATATATACTATTATAATTACTGTCAACTAAAAATAAATAAATGTATACCAGGCACGGTGACTCACTTTGGGAGGCTGAGGCGGGCAGATTATCTGAGGTCAGGAGCTCGAGACCAGCCTGACCAACATGGTGAAACCCCTGTCTCTACTAAAAATAAAAAAAATTAAGTGGGCGTGGTAGCGCATGCCTATAGTCCCAGCTACTCAGGTAGCTGAGGCATGAGAATCGCTTGAACCCGGAAGGCAGACTTTGCTCACCTCAGTCTCCCAAAGTGCTGGAATTACAGGCATGAGCCACCATGCCCAGCCTAAAAATATATACATACTATTTTCTACTTATCACGTTTTCTTGATGGTGATGGAAAATGTTACTCCAGTCATTACTCAGTAAAGGAGACAATCTCATTCACTACTGGGTGATCATTTATATTCCTTTAATACTTTTCAAAAGATTCTGGCATTACATAACCTAAGGGGGGAAAATCTTAAATATAAAAAAGGTTTTATCCACAAAGATCTTCATTGTGGCCTAATTAAATTTTAAATGGCTAAAAATCGAAAACAACTAAATTGACCAATAGTAGAACAGGTATATAAATTGTGGTATACACAATAACAGAATATTAACTACCATTCCTTTTTTTTTTTTTTGAGACAGAGTTTCACTCTTGTTACCCAGGCTGGAGTGCAGCAGTGTGGATCTCAGCTCACTACAACCTCTGCCTTCCAGTGTCAAGCAATTCTCCTGCCTTAGCCTCCCAAGTAGCTGGGATGACAGGTGCCCACTACCACGTCTGGCTAATTTTTGTATTTTTAGTAGAGACAGTGTTTCACCATGTTGGCCAGGCTGGTCTCGAACTCCTGACCTCGTGATCCGCCCACCTCAGCCTCCCAAAGTGCTGGGATTACAGGTGTCAGCCACCGCACCAGGCCTATTAACTACCATTCTTATAAAATATCTGTAGTATGAAAAGCAGGTACATTTTGCATATAGACTGAATGTAGCACTACTTTAAAACAAAAGCAATACACTGAGAAAAAGTTAAAAATAAAGCCACCAAATGTTATTAATAATGACAGTCTTAATGTATTGAAACTCTACGTATTGCTTCAACTTTGTTTCTCAAAAGTTTTTTAAATGTATCATATACATTACACTTTCAATGGAAATGTGTTTGTTGTGAGAGATCCGTTCAAAGTTAAGAATTTTTTAAAATGTTAAAATAAAGAGAAATTTTTGGAAATGCTATTCAACAAATATTTACTACATATCCACTATAAACAAGAATAGTGACATATTCTATAATATAAAGAGATATCAGTTAGTAAAAACTGTCTATTTAGCTATGTTTTTCTAAGAGTTATATATCTAACAGAAATGAAAGTTGCAGAGAAGGTAAATGGGTAGAGAACACAGTGTGACAGGAGACGGAAAAGGAAGGAAGATTCAAAAATCTTGCAAATACTTTTGTCAATTAATTTTCATTTTTTCTAAGTGCCCATGAAGAAAAGTGCTCTATAGGTTAGGAAATAACTATATCTTAGATTTCCTTAAGTTTTTTTCTATCTTTAGGCCTCAGAAAAAAGAAAAATTTGCTGGGTGCGGTGGCTCACACCTGTAATCCCAGCACTCTGAGAGGCCAAGGCAGGCAGATGACCTCAGGTCAGGGGTTCAAGACCAGCCTGGCCAACATAGTAAAACCCTGTTTCTACTAAAAATACAAAAACTAGGGCTGGGCGCGGTGGCTCACGCCTGTAATCCCAGCAGTTTGGGAGGCCAAGGCAGGTGGATCACAAGGTCAGGAGATTGAACCATCCTGGCTAACATGGTGAAACCCCATCTCTACTAAAAATACAAAAATTTAGCCGGCTGTGGTGGCACATGCCTGTAGTCCCAGCTACTCGGGAGGCTGAGGCAAGAGAATGGCCTGAACCCTGGAGGGAGCTTGTACTCCAGCCTGGACGACAGAGCAAGACTCTGTTCCAAAAAAAAAAAAAAGGTAAAAAGAATAATTTTGGCAAAAATGTTTAAGTAAATATTTCATGAGCTCAACTTTTTCTTCAGTTACTAAGTTAATGTCCTTTAATTTTTTTCTATTATCAAAGCCATCTTAGAGACCAAAGACACAGACACCTATAGTCTCTGATAATAGATTTTCCAGTAAATAATGATCTGTATCTATATATTGGCAAACAAAAAGAATGACTATTATTAGGTTCATATTGCTTTCTTCGACATGAACCATAGTGTTGGATACCCAGTAGATGCCCAATAGATACACAAATTTAAGTTCCCAATATCAGTGAATCCATTAAAAAATAAGAGAGTCTTAACTGCCTTACCTTTGTAAAACACTACACTATGATCTGAGGGAGTTTAGAGATGGAGGAACACTTCAAGGAAGAGATTGTATGCTGTAAATGGCATTAAGAACTCCAAAATACTGATTTCAGTGCTGTTTCCTCCTCCCAATCCCTCCCAAATTAAATGATTAACAGTAATTATAAAAAGTAACAGTAAGTACAAATAATTTATTTAGTGGTTTTTGTTTCCAATAAAGAAATAACAATATAATTTACACTAAAATTTCTAGAAGACCCCAGAAGTAACAAAGGTGTGCTTACCTGTGAGGGTCCTTGGAACTTGGTATAATATATACACATTCCCTCTTGGTCAAAGTGCTTTCTATCCAGGATTTCTGGGACTAAAACAAAATGTTTTAAAGAATTGTTTATAAGTTAACCCACTAAATAAGAAGGAAACAATTTCATGATAAACACATAAACAGTTCTTTTTTTTTTTTGAGACAGAGTTTTGCTCTTGTTGCCCAGACTGGAGAGCAATGGTGTGATCTTGGCTCACCACAACCTCCGCCTCCCGGGTTCAAGTGATTCTCCTGCCTCAGCCTCCCGGGTAGCTGGCAGTACAGGCATGTGCCACTACGACCAGATAATTTTGTATTTTTTTAGTAGAGATGGCGTTTCTCCATGTTGGTCAGGCTGGTAACGCCCGACCTCAGGTGATCTGCCTGCCTCGGCCTCCCAAAGTGGTGGGATTACAGGCGTGAGCCACCGTGCCCGGCCCATAAACACTTCTATACTACATAATTTTTTATTTACTTTTCACTACATACCATAATCTGAGGATGGCACCCCAAAACGTCAGAATAATTCCATTTAAATCCCAAGTGACCTAGGTTATTAAATCAACAGTACTGTGTAGATACTATTGCTTCAAATAGTCAAACAGGAGGGAAGCCTAGTTTGAGATTCCCACTACGAACCAAAAACCTTAAGAGGGGCTGGTATTATTCTGGGATATGAGCCATTTAAAAGACAACTAGCTCGGCACAGTAGCTCACACCTGTAATCTCAACATTTTGGGAGCCAAGGTGAGAGGATCCTTTTAGACAGAATTCAAGGCTACCCTGGAAAACATGGTGAAACGCCATCTCTACCAAAAGCTAAAAAATTAGCCAGGTATGGTGATGTGCTCCTGTAGTCCCAGCTACTTGGAAGTCTGAGGCAGGAGGATCGCCTAAGCCGAGGAGGCTGAGGATGCAGTCAGCCATGATCAGGCCACTGCACTCCAGCCTGAGTGAAAGAGTGAGAGACTCTGTCTCAAAAAACAAAGCAAAAAAAACCTGAAAAAAAGACAATTAGAATTGACAGATTTGGCCGCGTGCGGTGGCTCACACGTATAATCCCAACACTTTGGGAGGCTGAGGTGGGCGGATCACAAAGTCAGAAGACCAAGACCATCCTGGCCAACATGGTAAAACCCCGTCTCTACTAAAAATACAAAAATTAGCTGGGTGTGGTGGCGTGTGCCTGTAATCCCAGCTACTCCGGAGGCTGAGGCAGGAGAATCGCTTGAACCAGGGAGTGAACCAGGGAGTCGGAGGTTGCAGTGAGCCGAGATCGCGCCACTGCACTCCAGCCTGGCGACAGAGCAAGACTCCGTCTCAAAAAAAAAAAAAAAAAAAAGTGATAGATTGATAAAAAATAAAACCCAGCTACATTCCATTTCTAATATAAATACCTAAAGCATAAGGGCATGGAATGGTTAATGATACAGGAATAAAAAGACATAAAGCAAATTCTAATTAGAAGAAAAATAGTGTCAGAAAAATGGGTACAACACATCAATAGGGATAGAGAAGGTTATTACAAACGTTAAATCTGCCAGATTGCTATTATAATCTTAAATATGATTAACCAAATAAAAGTTTCAAAATACATAAAGGGAAAAAATTAGTAGCATTAGACAAATCTAGGCTCACAGAAGATTAACACATTTCCCTCAATACTGAAAAGTCAATCAAACAAAACCTAACAGCAGAAGCCAGGCATGGTGGCTCACGCCTGTAACCCCAGCACTCTGGGAGGCAGGAAGATGGCTTGAGTCTGTGAGTTCAAGACCAGCTGGGTAACACAGTGAGACTCCATCTCTACAAAAAAATTAAACAGTCAGCCGGGTGTGGTGGTGCACACCTATAGTCAGTCCCAGCTACTCAGGGGGCTGAGGTGAGAGGATCACTTGAGCCTGGGAGGTCAAGGCTGCAGTAAGCCAAGATCACACCACTGCAATCCAGCCTCGTTGACAGAGCAAGACCCTGTCTTAAAAATAAATAAATAATCAGCAGAAATATTTAAAAGATTTTAACAACATGTTAACAAGCTTCATTTAATAAATATACGCATGTTTCTGTATATTAGAAACAGAAGATCCATTCATTCTTCTCAAGCACACATGAGGCATTTATAAAAATTAATCATGGGTCAGGCCCAGTGGCTCGTACCTGCAATCCGAGTACTTTAGGAGGCCTCATGGATCACCTGAGGCCAGGAGTTCGAGACCAGCCTAACCAACATGGTGAAACCCGTCTCTACTAAAAGTACAAAATAAGTCGTGTGTGGTGGCACACATCTGTAATCCCAACTACTCAGGAGGCTGAGGCAGAACTGCTTGAACCCGGGAGGCAGAGATTGCAGTGAGCCAAGATCATGCCACTGCACTCCAGCCTGGGTGAAAAGAGTAAAACTCTGTCTAAAAAAAAAAAAAAAAATTGATCATGTGCTTGACCATAAAATAAGATTCAACAAATTTCAGACACTGGGTATCTGGCAGATCATACTCACTGATCACAATGCAATTAACATAATGTAAATAAAAATTTTAAACCACCAACATTCAACACTTTATATAACTTGAGGATCCAATAAAAATTCATAATTAAAAATTTTAAATTCTTAGAAGTGAATAATAGTGAAAATTCTATGCACTTGAAAACCTGTACAATGTAGTCTAAATGGTGCATGTATAGGAAAATGTATAGGCTTAAGTGATTACATTTAAAAATGAAGGCTGGGCCAGGCACAGTGGATCACGCCTGTAATCCCAGCACTTTGGGAGGCCGAGGTGGGCAGATCACTTGAGGTCAGGAGCTCAAGACCAGCCTGACCAACATGGTGAAAACCGTCTCTACTAAAATACAAAAATTAGCAGAGTGTTGTGGTGGGCACCTGTAATCCCAGCTACTCGAGAGACTGAGGCAGGAGAACTGCTTGAACGTGGAAGGCAGAGCTTGCAGTGAGCCCAGATCGTGCTACTGCACTCCAGCCTGGGCAACAGAGCGAGACTCTCTCTCAAAAAATAATAATTTAAAAAAAAGGCTGAAAATTAATGAGCTAACTCTCGGACTTTAAAAACATATTGAAAGAATAAAGTCAAAGGAAAGAAATAAAATTAAAGAAAAAAATCAGTAAAACAGATTTTAATAAAACAGCAAGATAAGCAAAAGTTAAAAGTTGGTTCTTAGGTTAACAAAATTGGTAAACCTTTATCAAGACTGAACAAGAAGCCAGGCAGATCACTTGAGTCCAGGAGTTTGAGACCAGCCTGGGCAACATGGCAAAACCCCATCTCTACGAAAAATACAAAAAATTAGCCAAGCATGTGATGGCACGTGCCTGTAGACCCAGCTACTTAGGAGGCTGAAGCCAGAGGATCATCTGAACCCAGGGAGCTCGAGGCTGCAGCGAGCTGTGATCATGCCACCGTACTCCAGCCTGGGTGACAGAATGAGAGAAGGGAGAAGAAGGTAGAAGGGAGAAAGAAGAGGAGGAAGAGGAAGAAGAGGAAGAAGAAAACGAAGAGGAAGAGGAAAAAGAAAAAGAGGCCGGGTGCAGTGGCTTATACCTGTAATCCCAGCACTTTGGGAGGCTGAGGCGGGCAGATCACCTGACGTTGGGAGTTCGAGACCAGCCTGACCAACATGGAGAAACCTGTCTCTACTAAAAATACAAAATTAGCCAGGCATGGTGGTGCATGCCTATAATCGCAGCTACTTGGAAGGCTGAGGCAGGAGAATTGCTTGAACCTGGGAAGCAGAAGTTATGGTGAGCCGAGATCGTGCCATTGCACTCCAGCCTGGGCAACAAGAGCAAAAACTGTCTCCAAAAAAAAAGAAGAGGCGGTGGAGGTGGCAGCACAAGTAATAGTAAGACTGAAAAGATACAAGGTAATTGAAAGATAAAGAAGAAAATAACAGGCTGTTCTGCCTCTGGAGTAGCCATTCTTCTGTTTCTTTACTTTCCTAATAAACTTGCTTTTACTTTACTGTATGGATTCGCCTCAAATTCTGTCTTGCACAAGATCCAGGAACCTGTTCCTGGGGTCTGGATCAGGACCCCTTTCTGGTAACATCTTTCTGGCAAACCATAAAGGGATGATACTGAGGAGACCCCCAACCCAAAGGAAATAGACTGCAGCATTGATTGGCCGACTCTGGGGGTGTCTAATGGCAGTTATGGGGAAATACACAGCTCTCTGCATGTCTGGATCAGAGAAACATGCTCTTGGCCCCCTAGAAGCTGTGCCTGATTACTAGGCCCTAGAAACTGAACGCTTTCCTCGCCCTGTTCCTCCAAGGGCTCTACCTTGAAGCCAGTAATCCAATTAAGAAATTGGCAAATGAAAGACCTTACAACTGATGGATCTCCCGCCTATGTATTTATATGTGTTGTGTGTGTATGATATGAAAGAGCTTTGATTAACTGGTTTAAAAATAAGAGCTGCTGGCCGGGCACAGTGGTTCACGCCTGTAATCCCAGCACTTTGGGAGGCCAAGGTGGGCGGATCACTTGAGGCCAGGAGTTTTGAGACCAGCCTGGCCGACATGTAAAACCCCACCTCTACTAAAAATACAAAAAATTAGCTGGGAATGGTGCCTTGCACCTGTAATCCCAGCTGCTAGGGAAGCTGAGGCAGGAGAATCGCTTGAACCCAGGAGGTGGAGGTAACAGTGAGCCAAGACTGTGCCACTGCACTCCAGCCTGGGCAACAGAAGGAGACTCCATCCCCCTCCAAAAAAACATATTTAAATAAGAAATAATAAAATAAAATTGGATCAATTTGTCTATAAGGTTTTATTAAGAACTGGGTTTCACATATCAATAATGCACTAGTCCAACAGTGAAATTTGGCTTATTGACATAAAAATCATACAGGAAGCATTGCCAAATATGAAATGGTGTTTGGCTTTCTTTGGGTTGCATTTGTATAAATATGTTATTGGTATGTGTTCCAAAATTATGAAAAGCTCCTATAATTCTGATATGATTCAATGTACCTTATCAGCAGTAATTATGATTATTATGTTAAATTATTGTGTGCCACAAAGGTAACCAAAATTCTTTGTCAATCGTGTCTTTGACTATGGCTGTCCTAAGACTTTTTGTCATCAACATACAACTGTTGTCATGTTTTGATCCTCTTCGAAAGGTGGTTTATAATCAGCTATAGGACTTTCACAGGTGCTCTTAAATGCAGGTTTCTGATAACTTTGGAGACTCTAACATTAGAATAAAGGAAAAAACATTCAGGACTGTCATGGAGGGCTGGAATGTTCACGTGTATCAAACAGGAGTTAACTTCATGGACTGAATTAATGTAAGACTCATCTTTTTTACTTTTTTGCTTAAAACGTCGCTGATCCTTTATTTTGTTTTGCAGTCAAGGATTTGAGCTATTGACAGCTATTAACAATTGAGTAAAGTATACTCCTGTGGACAAAATTTGGAGCATATTTGTTTCTCTCTACCCCATTTCTCAATTTGGAGACTATTTATGAGTACTCTTAACTTATGGCAATAGATTTGTTTTTGTTTTTTGTTTTTTGAGACAAAGAGTTTTGCTCTGTTGCCCAGGCTGGAGGGCAGTGGCATGATCTCAGCTTACTGCTAACTCTGCCTCCGGGGTCCAAGTAATTCTCCTGCCTCAGCCTCCCAAGTAGCTGGGATTACAGATGCCCGCCACCACACCAAGCTACTTTTTGTATCTTTAGTAGAAACAGGTTTTCACTATGTTGGCCAGGCTGGTCTCAAACTCCTGACATCAAGTGATTCACCTGCCCCAGCCTCCCAAAGTGCTGGGATTACAGGCATGAGCCACCATGCCTGGCCTACAATAGATATTTGTATAAGTGCAGTAAGAATCGGTTTTCTCTTGTGACAGGACACAATTGGAGAAACTGGTTATTTTACCAAGGCTTTGACTGGAATGATGTGCTCTCCTTAAAGGAATCAAACTTGACTTGTAGAGCCAATTAAAAGCTGCTTGGGAAAACTGGCCTCATATCTTGTCTACGCAGTCCCTGTACAGGGTTCCTGACCTGTGATAAGTTAAGAATGTCACTTTTTGACAGGCCCAGGAGCCCCAAGTTATCTTGGGACCTCAAGAAGAGAGAAATTTACCCAATACATAAAGGTATTTGAGGGTACAAACCCACAGCTGAGGTCAGGCGCAGTGGCTCATGGCTGAGCGTGGTGGCTCACGCCTGTAATCACAGCACATTGGGAGGCTGAGGTAGGTGGATCACCTGAGGTCTGGAGTTCGAGACCAGCCTGGCCAAGACCTCATCTCTACTAAAAATACAAAAAATTAGCCAGGCGTGGTGGTGTGTGCCTGTAATTCCAACTACACAGGAAGCTGAAGCAGCAGAACCACTTGAACTCAGGAGATGGAGGCTGCAGTGAGCCGAGGTCATGCCAGTGCACTCCAGCCTGGGCAACAGAGTGAGACTCTGTCTCAAAAAGAAAAGGAAAAAAAAAATCCATGCTGGGCTCGGTTTTAAAAGTCTTATCGGAGATTCCTTATGGAACAGAGTTCCATCAAAGCCAATTTCGAAAGCCTATATAATTATTCTTGCTGCACTTTATACAAATAATCTGGCCAAGTATAACAAAGCAAATCGGTCATACTATAACTTGTCTTTAGTAAAAATGGGACACTGGAGTGAGAAAAAATTGTGTTTCAAGAACTATGGTATACCTGTCAGTAGATTCTAGTCTCATCAGTTGTTTGAGTTTTTTTCCTGCAATTTAGGCTGACCTTGCTTTCTCCTGTGAACCAATCAGTGATCTCTGACTGAAGTCCAGGAAAAAAAAAAGGGATGGCTAATGTAAAAATCTGGATCAATATTCTAATTCTGGGCACATAATACAATCAGCGATCCCTTATCAGCATGGTTCCAACAGTTGCCAGTTCATGGAAAGCCTTCTAATTTAGTTTACTTGGGACAGTTTTACTTATTTTGCTTTACTGTTATGGAATACATTGCTGTTGTACTCTTTGTATAGGAATGCAGGATAAGCTTACTGAATGTTTTATTAAACACTTATTAATCTTTCAGATATCATGTTTTGTCAGAACTCTGAGTTATGGATGGCCCTCAGCAAACTGATGTGTTGTGAATGAGTGCCTCTCTATCACGGACACAAGAGACCTTAATAGTTAGGCAGGAATATCATCACCCCATTCAGCAAGAAGAGGTTACAAAAGGTGTATCTTCATCCCTCTACAACCCTTAGGATGAAGGATTCTCTTATAAAAGAAGGGGGGAAACGTCAGAGGTGTTTAAACCAGAGTGACTCCATCTTGAATAGGGGCTGAGTAAAATAAGGCTGAGACCTGCTGGGCTGCATTCCCAGTAGGTTAGGTATTCTAAGTCACAGGATGAGATGGGAGTCCAACATAAGATATAGGCCATAAAGACTGTGCTGATAAAACAGGTTGCACTAAAAAAGCTAGCCAAAACCCACCAAAACCAAGATGGCAACAGAGTAGACCTCTTCCTCACTGCTCATTATATGCTAATTATAATGTATCACCATACTAAAAGACACTCTAACCAGCACCATGACAGTTTACAGATGCCATGGCAACATTCAGAAGTTACCCTATATAGTTTAAAAAGAGGAGGAACCCTCAGTTCTGGGAACTGCCCACCACTTTCCCAGAAAATTCATTAATAATCCACTCCTTGCTTAGCATATAATCAGGAAATAACCATAAAAGTGGGCAACCAGCAGCCCTCAGGACTGCTCAACCTATGGGGTAACCATTCTTTTGTTTATTTACTTTCCTAATAAACTTGCCTTCACTTTACTGTAAAAAAAAGAAAAAGAAAAAAAAAAAAAAAGCAAGAAAATAATAAGAGGATACTATCAACAACTCTGTGCCAAAACGTGTCAAAACATATTAAGTAGGCCAGGTGCAGTAGCTCTTGCCTGTAATCTTAGCAGTCTGGGAGGCCAATGGGGGCAGATTGCTGGAGCTCAGGAATTTGAGACCAGATAAAAGGGGGCTACTATACATTGCGGAATGGCTAAATCGAGCTAATTATCATATACATTGCCTCACATACTATTTTTTTGTGGTGAGACCACTTAAAATATACTCTTAGTATTTTTCAAAAATACATTGTTATTTAGCGTAGTCACCATGTTGTACAGAAGATTTCTTGAAATTATTCTTCCTAACTGAAATTTTGCATCCTTTGACCAACATTTCCCCAGCAATCCCCACCCAAGTCCCTGATAACCACCATTCTACTCTCCATCCAGAAATTGAACTTTTATCAGTTCAATTTTTTAGATTCTACACAGAAGTGAGACCATGTAGTATCTTGTCTTTCTGTTCCTGGCTTATTTCACTTAACATAATGTCCTCCAGGCCCATCCAGGTCACAAAAAACAGAATTTCCTTCTTTAAGATTGAATGATATTCCTTTGTGCATACTGTCATGTGCCACATAACAACACTGAGGTCAATGATGGACCGCATATTTAACAGTGGTCCCATAAGATTATAATGGACCTGAAAAATTCCTATTGCAGGCTGGGTGCAATGGCTCACACCTGTAATCCCAGCACCTTGCCGTGGGAGGAGGAGATGAGAGGACTGCTTGAGGCCAGGAGTTCAAGACCAACCTGGGCAGCATAATGAGATCCTGTCGCTACAAAAGTTTTTTTTAATTAGCCAAGCATGTTGGTGCCTGCCTATAGTCCCAGCTACCTGGGAAGCTAAGGTGGGAGGATCATTTGAGCCCAGGAGTTTGAGGTTAAAGTAAGCTATGATCACGCCACTACACTCCAGCCTGGGTGAGAGAACTTGTCTCGAAAAAAAAAAATTCCTATGGCCTACTAACATCGCAGCCATCATAAGTTCATAGCACCAGGACTACTTGGGTATTTGTTTTGATATTGGTGTAAACAAACCTGCACTGCCAGTTACATAGAAGTATGGCATATACAACTATGTACAGTACATAATACTTTGTAATAATAAATGACTATGTTACTGATTTATGTATTTACTAGACTACGCTTTTTATGGTTAGAGTGTACTCCTACCTATTTTTGTTTGGTTGGTTTTTGTTTTTGTTTTTTGAGACGGAGTCTCACTGTCGCCCAGGCTGGAGTGCAGTGGCATGATCTTGGCTCACTGCAAGCTCATCTCCCGGGTTCACGCCATTCTCCTGCCTCAGCCTCCTGAGCAGCTGGGACTACAGGCAACCACCACCACACCCAGCTAATTTTTTGTATTTTTAGTAGAGACATTTTCACCATGTTAGCCAGGATGTTCTGGATCTCCTGACCTCGTGACGTGATCCGCCCACCTTGGCCTCCCAAAGTGCTAGGATTACAGGCGTGAGCCACCTCGCCCGGCCACTCCTACCTATTTTTTTTTTTAACTGTAAAACAGCCTCAGGCAGGTCCTTCAGGAAGTATTCCAGAAGGCACTGTTATCATAGAAAATGACAACTCCATTCATGTTATTGTCCCTCAAAACCTTCCATGAGGCAAGATGAGAGGTGGAAGACAATTCTACTGATGATCCTGACCCCGTGTAGGCCTAGGCTAACGTGTATATTTGTGCCTTAGGTTTGAACAAAAAGTTTAAAAAGTAAAATAATTTTAAAATGTTGAAATAGAAAAAAGTAGCCAGGTGCGGTGGCTCACGCCTGTAACCCCAGCACTTTGGGAGGCTGAGGCAGGCGGATCATCTGAGGTCACGAGTTCGAGACCAGCCTGATCAATGTGGTGAAACCCCATCACTACTAAAAATATAAAAATTAGCCAAGTGTGGTGGCGGATGCCTCTCATCCCAGCTACTCAGGAGGCTGAGGCAGGAGAATCGCTTGAACCAGGGAAGCAGAGGTTGCAGTGAGCCACTGCACTCCAGCCAGGGTGACAGAGTGAGACTCTGTCTCAAAAAAAAAAAAAAAAAAAAAAAAAAAGCTTATAGAATAAGTATATAAAGAAAATGTTTTTATGCAGCTGTACAATGTGTTTTATACGAAGTGTTATTACAAGAGTCAAAAAGTTTTAAAATGTTTACAAATCTGTTAAATTAAAAAGTTACAGTAAGCTAGCGTTAATTTATTATTGAATAAAAAAATACTTTTTATAAATTTAGTGTAGGCTAGGTGTACAGTGTTTATCAAGTCTACATAAGTGTAATGCCCTAGGCCTTCACATTCACTCACCACTCACTCACTGACTCGCCCAGAACAACTTCCAGGTCCACAAGCTCCATTCACAGTAAATGCCTTATACACCTATACTATTTTTTATTTTTATTGTTTTTTACTTATTTCCATAGGTTATTGGAAACAGGTAGTGTTTAGTTACATAAGTTAGTTCTTTAGTGGTGACTTGTGAGATTTTGGTGCACCCATTGCCCGACCGGTACACACTGCACCCTATTTGTAGTCTTTTATCCCTGACCCCCTTCCCACCCTTTCTCCCTGAGTCCCCAAAGTCCATTGTGTCATTCTTATGCCTTTGCGTCCTCATAGCTCAGCTCCCACTTATGAGTGGGAACATATGATGTTTGGTTTTCCATTCCTGAGTTACTTCACTTAGAATTAAGAGTCTCCAATCTCATCCAGGTCACTGTGAATGCCATTAATTCATTCCTTTTTATGGCTGAGAAGTATTCCCTCGTATATATATATATATACCACAGTTTCTTTATCCACTCGTTGACTTGATGGGCATTTGAGTTGGTTCCACATTTTTGCAATTATGAATTACGCTGCTATAAACATGCGTACGCAAGTATCTTTTTCTTATAATGACTTATTTTCCTCTGGTAGATACCCAGTAGTGGGACTGCTGTATCAAATGGTATCCTAAGGAATCTCCACATTGTTTCCCATAGTGGTTGTACTAGTTTACATTCCTACCAGCAGTGTAGAAGTGTTCCCTGTTTACCACATCCACATAAATGTCTATTATTTGTTGTTTTATGTATTATGGCCATTCTTGCTGGAATAAGGTGGTATTATTGCATTCTGGTTTTCTGTTTTGTTTCTTGAGATGGAGTTTTACTCTGTCGCCCAGGCTGGAGGGCAATGGCATGATCTCGGCTCACTGCAACCTCCACCTCCCAGGTTCAAGCGATTCTCCTGTCTCAGCCTCTGGAGTAGCTGAGATAACAGGTACCTGCCACCACGCCCAGCTAATTTTTGTATTTTTAGTAGAGATGGGGTTTCACCATGTTGACCAGGCTGGTCTCAAACCCCTGACCTCAAGTGATCCATCTGCCTCGGCCTCCCAAAGTGCTAGGATTACAGGCGTGAGCCACCATGCCCAGAAGCCCAGCTAATTTTTGTATTTTTAGTAGAGATGAGGTTTCACCATGTTGGTCAGGCTTTTCTTGAACTCCTGATCTCAGGTGATCCACCCGCCTCAGCCTCCCAAAGTGCTGGGATTACAGGGGTGAGCCGTGGCACCCAGCCAGTGCCTGGTTTCTAATAAATTTCTGATGTCACAATGTATATGTTTTTGTACTATGTATCCCTTAACAAATTATTGTTGCTATTATTATTTTTAATGGTTTTTGTCTTTTAACCTTCATACTAAAAATACAAATGATTTGCATACCACCATTATGGTATTAGAGTATTCTAAATTAACTCTATTTACATTTACCAGTAAGTTTCATACTTTTCATATTCTTTTTGTTACTAATTAGCAACCTTGTCTTTCAGCTTGAAGAAATTCTGTTAGCATTTCTTGTAACACAGGTCTAGTCTCTGAGCTTTTGTCTGGGAAAATCTTCAAATCTCCTTCATTTCTAAAGGAGAGCTGTGCCAGGTACAGTATTCTTGGATAATGGGTTTGTTTTTGTTTTTTTGTTCTTCAACACTTCGAATATATCATCCCCTCTACTACATCCCATAGTTTTGGGTTTTTTCCAAGAGCTGGAAACCAGAGTTGTTTCTCATTGGCAAATCCACCCAAAACTTTAGCAAACAATTTGCTAAAAGTCACTTAAATTGTGTCACTCCCATACTCACAGATTTTTACTAAATTTTATGCCTACAGGGACACATAATGACATTAGCATGTTTCAAGAAAATCTCCTGGCTGGGCACGGTGGCTCATGCCTGTTATCCCAACACTTTGGGAAGCCGAGGCAGGTGGATCACCTGAGGTCAGGAGTTTGAGACCAGCCTGGCCAACATGGTGAAACCCAGTCTCTACTAAAAATATAAAAATTAGCTGGGCATGGTGGCGGGCACCTGTAACCTCAGCTACTCAGAAGGCTGAGGCAGGAGAATCGACTGAACCCAGGACACAGAGGTTGCAGTGAGCCAAGATCACGCCATTGCACTCCAACCCAGGCGACAAGAGCAAAATTCCATTTCAAAAAAAAAAAAAGAAAATCTCCTACAGCCTTCCCTACCTCATTCACCAATTTTGTTTATTTCAAAAACTTACTACCTCTCATTCTGTTTATGTAACAGCCAAATGTACATACATTCTTCCCACACGTAGCATTCTCATCATTTACGGCCTTCACTTGTTACACAGGAATCGGCTTCACAAATCCAATATTCACATACCCCAGCTGAAAGTTGTAAATATCACCTAATGATAAAAAAAAGTTTTTATAGTTTTTGAAATTCTAAGTTTCTTCTCTGCCATCAGTTACCCAATCAAATGTGCCCTGGTTATAAATACATATAAAAATCCTAGTTTTATACACTTTGCTTTTTAATTTTGCTAGGTTGCACTACCAGATTTTACCAAGAGGTGGCAAACTACAAACACAAATCTGAAAATTCCTAAATTTGTATGTTCCAAGTAATGTAAAAAGTAACTATATCCACAGAATGCTAGTAGAGCAGGGAATCTTAAAGATCAGTTGGTGATCTTCAGTGGTTAAATAGTACAGATTCTGGAATCAGACTGGTCTGAGTTAGGATCCCAGCTCTGCTGTTTACTATGTGTGCAACCTTGTGCAAGTTTCAGAGCCTCTTTTTGCTTCCTTACCTGTAAAATAGGATAACAACAGTACTTACTCACAATGTTACTCTGGTGATTAAACAAAATGATCCATGTAAGTTGTTTTAGCACAATGCATGGCACATAGTCAAATTTCAACTATGATGGTGATCACTTCAAAACTCCTTAAATTATAAATTCTTACACCAGTCTACCAGCAATAAGGGACATGTATTACAAATAAACCTAAGCACACCTTACTCTCTAAACAAATCACTACCAGCACATCCTTCCTGCCTAGATGCTGCTAGCAAAAATTGGGGGAAAAAATTAAAGATTCCTAAAAAATTCTGCTGTTAAGGTAACATGTGGAAATCAAATTTTTTTTTAACAAATACATTCTATGATTATATATATTAAAATTAGAAAATTCTAGCTATGGAGAAGTAGGTCCTATTAGGCTAACCATCCCTCAGATAACCACCATAAATTCTGGACAAAAGATAAAAAAGAGGCTAGACACAGTGGCTCACACCTGTAATCCTAGCACTTTGGGAGGCCAAGATGGGAGGACTGCTTGAGGCCAGGAGTTTGAGACCAGCCTGGTCAACACAGCGAGACCTCATCTCTATCGTTTAAATTTTTTTTTTAATAAAAAGATAAAAAAGACTTGAGGACACTGAAGAGCAACCAAAAGCAAGCAGAAACCAGACGGAGTCTATACTTAGAATAAAGGAATGGTATTGAGTGAGTTTCCCAATTTTTAAGGCTTTTTGCCTGAAAACAGTCCCCATCCTATGCCTAGTGAACAGCAAAATATCAATAGAAATCCCACAGTCTTACTGACTTATAGAACCAGAATACCCAGTTCAAGGTGAAAACAGCAGCTGGAAAGTGATGGGAAAGTTTCCGCAAGAGTTGAGAAAAGGAATCCTAAATACTTAATATTAATTCTACACAAATCTCTCACTGACCCATGAAGATCGTACACATGGGGCAGCCTCCAGGCAGCCCAGCTAAATAAAATAACTGAGCAGATATTCCTGCTGCCCATTGTAGGAGAGACAGTTTGGAGTTTGAGTACAATGAAGTTAATCAACAACTGTCTTAGTCGGCTTGGGATGCCACAACCAATACCACACAGACTTGGTGGGATAACAACTGAAACAAATTTTCTCACAGTTCTGGAGACTGAAAGTTCAGGATCAAGATTCCAGGAGGGCCAGTGTCTGATGAAGGCTCTCAGACAGCTGCCTCCTCACTGTGTCTTCACACAGTGAAGAGGGAGTGAATAAGCTCTCTGGTATCTCTTCTTCTAAGGACATAAATCCTATCAGACCCAGGGCCCCACCCTCATGACCTCATCTACCCCTGATTACCTCCATCTCCCAAAGTTCTCATCTCCAAATACCATCACACTGGAGGTTAGGGCTTCAAGATATGAATTCTCGGGGAGCGAGGGAGATCACATTCAGTACATAACAACAACAACAACACACACACACACAGAGCACAGGATTAAAAGAGAACCCAGAGGCTGGGCGTGGTGGCTCACACCTATAATCCCAGCACTTTGGGAGGCCAAGGCAGGCGGATCGCAAGGTCAGAAGTTTGAGACCAGCCTGACCAACATGGTGAAACCCCATCCCTACTAAAAACACAAAAATTAGCCGGGTGTGGTGTCACGCGCCTGTAATCCCGGCTACTCAGGAGGCTGAGGCAGAAGAATTGCTTGAATCTGGGGGACAGAGCTTGCAGTGAGCTGAGATCACGCCACTGCACTCCAGCCTGGGCAACAGAACAAGACCCCGTATCAAAAAAAAAAAAAAAAAAAAAACAAAAGGTAACCCAGAGCCTCTACTAAGTAACAATCCCAATGTCCAATATACACTCCAAAATGACTAGATATGGTAATGGACAGGAAAATGTGACCCATATTCAAAAGAACGGTAATCAAATTAAAAGAAATTGCCTACTAATAAAGTTCATGTGCTCAAGAAAAGAAAGTTAAATGACACTAAAGACCTAGAAATTGGCTGGGCGCAGTGGCTCATGCCTATAATCCCAGCACTTTGGGAGGCCGAGGCGGGCGGATCACGAGGTCAGGAGATTGAGACCAGTCTGACCGATATGGTGAAACCACGTCTCTACTAAAAAAATACAAAAAATCAGCCGGGCGTGGTGGTGGGCGCCTGTAGTCCCAGCTACTCGGGAGGCTGAGGCAGGAGGATGGCGTGAACCCAAGAGGCAGAGCTTGCAGTGAGCCAAGATGCACCATTGCACTCCAGCCTGGGCAACAGAGTGAGACTCTCTCTCAAAAAAAAAAAACAAAAACAAAAACAAAAACAAAAACAAAAACCAACACCTAGAAATTCAGAGTTATGTGATAAATTTGTACATGGGTCAACATGCCTGCCAAGGGTGACCAACATGCCTGCCAAGGGTGACACAGACAATGACAAATAAGACTAGCCTAAAGCAAAATGTTGAAATAAGCTGGCACTCTCTGACTTCCCCTATCAGAGTTCAATACATTTGACTTTCTGACACTCTTACAGACCCTACTCTCTAGTTCCATTCTTTAAAAAAAAAAAATATATATATATATATATATATATACACACACACACACATATACATAATTTTATTATGTCACAGAGTTCCACTCTTACTCTAAACTGGCTGCCAACTACTCAACTAATTAATAATTAGATATTACTGACATTTTAGATACGAACCCTATGAGAGTTTTAAAGATATTATTGAAAAGCATCTATAATTCTGTAACAATTGGTAGAAAAGTTCTATATATTTAAAAACTTAAGGCCAGGTGCAGTGGCTTATGCCTGTAACCCCAACACTTTGGGAGGCCAAGGCAAGAGGACCACTTAAGCCCAGGAGTTCAAGATCAACCTGGGCAACAGAGTGAGAAACCCATCTTTGCAAAAACAAAAAAAAAAATTTTTTTGAGACGAAGTCTCGCTCTGTCACCCAGGCTGGAGTGCAATGGCGTGATCTCAGCTCACTGCAACCTCCACCTCCTGGGTTCAAGAGATTCACCTGCCTCAGCCTCCCGAGTAGCTGGGACTACAGGTGCGTGCCACCACGCCCGGCTAATTTTTGTATTTTTAGTAGAGATGGGGTTTCACCATGTTGGCCAGGATGGTCTCGATCTCTTGACCTGGTGATCCACCCGCCTCAGCCTTCCAAAGTGCTGGGATTACAGGCATTAACCACCGCACCCAGTCAAAAAAATTTTTTAATTAGCCAGGTTGGTGGTATGGGCCTGTCATTTTAGGTACTTGGGAGGCTGAAGTGGCAGGATCACTTGAGCCTAGGAGGTTGGGAATACAGTAAGCCATGATGATGTCACTGCACTCTGACATGGGCAACAGAGCAAAACACTATCCAAAAAAAACAAAACAGAAAACTTGGACGCTTGGACGTTCACACTGCGAGTAAGCCATATCAACCCATTATCTATCAGTGAGCAGGGTGTTGATACTTTTGTTGATACATTCATGATAGGTTTCTACAGGTTTTATTTCATTTATATATATATATATTATATATATGTGTATATATATAATATATATATATATATATATATATATATTTTTTTTTTTTTTTGAGACAGAGTCTTGTTTTGTCACCCAGGCTGGGGTGCAGTGGCGCAATCTGGAGTCACTGCAACCTCCATCTCCTGGATTCAACCAATTCTCATGCCCCAGTCTCACAAGGAGCTGGGATTACAGGCGCACACCATCACGTCCAGCTGATTTTTATATTTTTAGTAGAGGTGGGGTTATCTACGTTGGCCAGGCTGGTCTCAAACTCCTAGCTTCAAGCAATCCTCCCGCCTCAGCCTCCCAAAGCACTGGGATTACAGGCAAGAGCCACCATGCCCAGTCTTTTCCTGCTGCTTTTAACAAAGAGTTACACCCATCCAGAAATCTATTTAATGACTTTTCTAATCTACTAAGGATTGCCCCAGAGTATGTGTCTCTGCACTTGTCAAAATAAAATGCATGACCGGGCGGTGGCTCACGCTTGTAATCCCAGCACTTTGGGGGGCCAAGGTGGGTGGATCACTTGAGGTCAGGAGTTCGAGACCAGCCTGGTCAACATGGTGAAACCCTGTCTCTGCTAAAAATACAAATATTAGCTGGGCATGGTGGCGGGTGCCTGTAATCCTAGCTACTCGGGAGGCTGACAGAGGAGAATCACTTGAACCCGGGAGGCAGAGGCTGCAGGGAGCTGAGATTGTGCCACTGCACTCCAGCCTGGGTGACAGAGCAAGACTCCATCTCAAAAAATATAAAAATAAAAATAAAATAAAATGCATACAGACTAATGCGTGTAATCCCAGTACTTTAGGAGGCCAAGGCAGGTAGATCACTTGAGACCAGGAGTTCAAGGCCAGCCTGAGCAACATGCCAAAACTCTGTCTCCAGTAAAAACACAAATTTTTAAAAAATAAAAATAAAAACACAAAAAGTAGCCCAATGTGGTGGCGCAACCTGTAACCTCAGCTACTTGGGAAGCTGCAGCAGGAGAATGGCTTGAACCCGGGAGGCGGAGTCTGCAATGAGCCAAGATCGCACCACTGAACTCTAGCCTAATTGACAGAGAGAGACACTTGTCTCAAAAAAAAAAAAACAAAAACCAGACAACTGAGTTGTAAATTATCTGTCCTAAGGTTAATACACAGAAATTTGATAGTAAAGGAAATTCTATTAGGTTTCATTATCATTTGAAGAAAATCAAGTACAGCAAACTTTTTAAGTTATAACTTTTTTAAAAAAAACCTTAACTTTTTTAACTTGACATAACACCTGTCATCTGAGGTCTTACAAATATACATGTCCCTGAATATCAAAAGCCTTCTCCAAGTTTCTGTAGTTTGGCAGGTCAACACCTACTCTACCACTTATTAGCCTTGTGACCGTTGGCAAGTGATTTTTGATTCTCTGCTCTTTATATATAAATAATGGAGAAAACAGTATTGACATCACAGAATTTTCCTGCGGGATTAATATATGTAAAGTGTCGGGCGAGGTGGCTCATGCCTGTAATCCCAGCACTTTGGGAGGCCAAGGCGGGCAGATCACGAGGTCAGGAGTTCGAGACCAGCCTGACCAACATGGTGAAACTCCGTCTCTACCAAAAATACAAAAATTAGCCGGGCATGGTAGCACATGCCTGTAATCCCAGCTACTCAGGAGGCTGAGGCAGGAGAATCACTTGAACCCGGGAGGCAGAGGTTGCAGTGAGCCAAGATCACGCCACTGCACTTCAGCCTGGATGACCGAGCAAGACTTCGTCTCAAAAATAAATAAATACACACACACACACACACACACACACACAAAGCATTCAGAGCAATGGCCACAGCTAAATGCCGACACATTAGCTAATGCAAAAATGTGCCTAAAGCCTATTACACACTTCTCTTAGTCCAGAGTATCTTCCGGGTACTGGGTATGATAAATTAGACTAGGAAGACTATCATTTCATATAGTAAAGGCTAATGTATAGCCCTATCTTTCTAGTCTAATTATGTTTCTCCAGTGTCCTCCTAACAGTAATAGTCTGCTTCTCAGGTAACTTTCCTCCTGTTATCTCCAGCATACTACCAAACTGCCAGCAGAAAGCAGAAAACTAAGCCTGTTAAATTTCACTTTGCACACATTTTTCAATCAGTGAACTCTGTCTCAGGGTTGCTATATTATTGATGACTTAGCTCAAAAGCTTTTTGCTCACTTTCCACAAGGAGCTTTGTTTCCAAAGGTTAAGGTTTCCAGAAGTCTGGCAGCTGGATAGTTAAGGTGTTATGTTATTGACATGTTTATATGATAGTAAGAGGGGTAAACAGTGTTTCACAGACTTTAATCCTAATATTGCTCCTTAGGTCAAGTAGGGAAAAGATTATCATTTGCCTTTTACAGATTGAGAAGATAACAGTGATGCTCATAAAAGACTGTGCGGTGGCTCACGCCTGTAATCCCAGCACTTTGGGAGGCTGAGGTGGATCACTTGAGGTCAGGAGTTCAAGACCAGCCTGGCCAACATGGGGAAACCCTGTCTCTACTAAAAGTACAAAAATTAGTCAGGCATGGTGGCAGGCACCTGTAATCCCAGCTACTCGAGAGGCTGAGGCAGGAGAATCACTTTAAACTGGAAGGCACAGTTTGCAGTGAGCCGACATCGCGCCACCGCAAGCCTGGGCAAAAGAGCAAAACTCAGTCTCAAAAAAAAAAAAAAAAAAGGACTGTGACCTGGCAAAAATATGTCAAGAGTCAAGTCTTGACTTATCAACTTCAAAAAACTGCTTACCTCCACACACCAAAATTCCTTTAACAGGGTTCTAAAACCCCTACGTGGACAGAAAACTAAATACACAGTCCCAGAAAAACAGGTTAAAAAAATCCAGAGCATGAGGTCAAGAGATCGAGACCAGCCTGGCCAACATGGTGAAACCCCATCTCTACTAAAAATATAAAAATTAGATGGGCGTTGTGGTGTGTGCCTGTAATCCCAGCTACTAGAGGCTGAGGCAGGAGAATCACTTGAATCCAGGAGGCGGAGGTTGCAGTGAGCCAAGATCGCACCATTGCACTCCAGCCTGGGCGACAAGAGGGAAACTCCATCTCAAAAAAAAAAAAAAAATTCCAGAGCAATTTCCTAAATCCAAAATTAACTGTACCAAAAAGTCAACAAAATCTCTAAAAGAACTAACAATTTAAATTAGAACTAATCATATTTGTATAAAGTACAAGAGGTCCAATTCTCCAAGTCAAACACTGTATTCACATTCAACTAATCTAATAATTGCAAAGCATCATCTAAAAGTGACACCCATCTTAAGTTCTTTTTACTGATTCACATAAATGACTCAGTTAAAATCCCCATAGTCAAGTAATGCTTATGTCCTAAACTAACCTCAACCACTGAATTTTGCTTCCCGGTACCAAACTTTTTTTTTTTTTTTGAGACAGGGTCTGGTTCTGTTACCCAGGCTGGAGTGCAGTGGCATGATCTCAGCTCACTGCAACCTCAAGCCATCCTCCCACCTCAGCCTCCCAAGTAGCTGGGACCACAGGTGCGCATCACCATGCCCAGCTAATGTTTTTTTATTTTTTTTGGTAGAGACTGGGTTTCGCCATCTTTCCCAGGCTAGTCTTGTACTCCTGGGCTCAAGGGATCCACCCGCCTCAGTCTCTCAAAGTGCTAGGATTACAAGCATGAGCCACTGCACCCTGACCCAGGTACCAAACTTAAAGCATTTGACATTTAACAGGCAGTCACTTAAAAAAAAAAAACTGCAATTTACTTATATGTTGAAAGATTTCCCAAAAAGAAAGGAGAAAAGGAAACCCAGAATGAAATAATAGATCAATGACAAAAACTAAATGACTACTACAAAAACTACTACATGAATAACATATGGGGAACTTCACAACTGAGAGATCAGGCATCAGACAACACGAATCCACTGGTCAATCTTAACATTTAAAAAAAAAAAAAGAAGCCAGGGTCAGTGGCTCACGCCTGTAATCCCAACACTTTGGGAGGCCGAGGCGGGTGGATCACCTGGGGTCAGGAGTTTGAGACCAGCCTGGCCAACATGGCAAACCCTGTCTCTACTAAAAATACAAAAATTAGCCGGGTGTGGTGGTGGACGCCTGTAATCCCAGCTTCGGGAGGCTGGGGCAGCAGAATCGCTTGAACCAGGAGGCAGAGGCTGCAGCAAGCCAGGCACTCCAGCCTGGGTGACAAGAGCAAGACTCTGTTCCAAAAAAAACAAAATAAAACAACAACAACAAAAAAAACAAGTGCAAGACTCCTTCTCAAAAAACAAAGACAGTATGTGCCTCTTAATGTAATGCAACAGAAAGTACATAGTACTATCTATGAGTATTGTCAAAGTATGAAACTAGAATCTGATCAAGTCTTTTTTTTTTGAGAAAGACTCTCACCCAGGCTGGAGTGAATGGCGCAATCTTGGCTCACTGCAACCTCCGCCTCCAAGTTCAACGGAGTCTCCTGCCTCAGCCTCACGAGTAGCTGGGATTACAGGTGCCCATCACGACGCCCTGCTAATTTTTAGTAGAGACGGGGTTTCACCATGTTGGCCAGGCTAGTTTTGAACTCCTGACCTCAAGTGATCCGGGATCAGCCTGTCGCCGCCTCCCAAAGTATGGGGATTACTGCGCCCCACCTGATTAAGTCGTTTTTTTTTTTTCTGAGACAGAGTCTCACTCTGTCACCCAGGCTGTAGTGCAGTGGCAGGATCTCCGCTTACTGCAACCTCCACCTCCCAGGTTCAAGCGATTCTCCTGCCTTAGCCTCCTGAGTAGCTAGGATTACCACGCCCGATTACTGATCAAGTCTTTAGATTAACTACTAACTAGTTCACAGGAAATAAAGAGTAGAAGCTGGGCAAAGTGGGGCATGCCTGTAATCCCAACACTTTGGGAGGTGAGACAGCCAGATCACTGGACATCAGGAGTTCAAGACCACCCTGGCCAATATGACGAAACCCCATCTCCACTAAAAATACAAAAATTAGCCGGGTGTGGTGGCTCGCACCTGGAGTCCCAGCTACTCGGGAGGCTGAGGCAGGAGAATCACTTGAACCCAGGAGGCGGAGGCTGCAGTCAGCCGAGATCGCTACACTGCACTCAGCCTGGGCAACAGAGCGAGACTCGGTCTCAAACAAAAAGAAAAAAGAAAAAAAAATACAGAGGAGAAAGAAACATGTTACATGACACTACAGGGATGCATTCAACAAAATCCAAACTGATGGAAATTCTACAAGGCAAATGATGGGTTTCTTTCAACAAATAAATGGTAAAAGACACCCCCACACCCCAAGAGAGAAGGTACTAGAGACTGAAAGAGTTACCGACCAAATGCTATGTGCAGAATTCTTTGTAACCTGATTCTAACAAATCAACTGACTAAAACATGAGACAATCAGGGAAATATGCTGAATATTTAATGATACTAAGCAATTATTAATTTTTAGGCATGATAATAATATTGTGGTTATGTTAAAAAGTCCTTGTCTTTTTAGACATAAACACAATAAAGTATCCATAAATGACATTTGTCTGGGATTTGCTTTAAAATTATCCCATTGAGGAATGATAGAAGAAATAAAATTCACATGGTTGAAGCTGTTGAAACTGGCCAATGGGTATATGGTAGTTCATTCTACAATGTATCTTTGCAAGTTTGAAATCTCCCATGTTGGCCTGGCGCGGTGGCTCACGCCTGTAATCCCAGGACTTTGGGGGGCTGAGGCGGGCGGATCACCTGAGGTCAGGAATTAAGAGACGAGCCTGCCAAACATGGTGAAACCCCGTCTCTACTAAAAATGCAAAAATTAGCCGGGCATGGTGGCTACAGTCCCAGCTACTCGGGAGCCTGAGGCAGGAGAATCGCCTGAATCCCGGAGGCGGATGTTGCAGTGAGCGGAGATCGCGCCACTTCACTCCAGCCTGGGCGACAGAGTGAGACCCTGTCTCAAAACAAACAAACAAAAAAGAATAAGGTGGAAAATAGTGAAAGACACATTATTTATTCAAAGTATTACTACATTTGTGTTATAAGTAAAACTCTTATTTTAGTTTTGTATGGCACTTGAATTAGCGTCCAGTGAAAAGCAAACTTGCCAGACTCCAGCAGAGGGAGAGTTGTTTGCATAAAGCCTATCAAATTCAAGTACTGACCAAAAATACCTACTTTGCTCTTCATGTCCCTGATGTAAATGACTTTCTTAAGAAATCTTCAAAATTGGTTCCTGATATCCAAAAATAAAAAGCTCTATCGGAAGCTGCAATGCACCGCCTCCCTCTCTCCATTCCGCACCTTTCGGTTTAAAACACGATCAACTGTTCTCTGGGGCAAGGGATGCGGTAGTTCGACTTAAATCCTGACTGACAGTACATTGTCTTGGTCCCCACAGAAGCCTCCCCCCACCCACCAAAATCCTTAATTCTTGCTAAAGAAAAAAGATCTACCATCAATATTGTCAAATCCCTCCCTTTTGGTTCCAAAAAGGAAATGTACCTGTAGAGTATCCGCTGCACAGCAAACAAGGCACTGCTCCAAACCCGTGTCCTCTACCCCCTTTTTGCACCCTTCTAGCCCTCCCTCCCTTTTTTCCATGTAAAACTTGAGCAGAGCATTTGGTTCCCTTATCTGCCAGCAACTGGCGCCAGGAGGACCGTGCTCCCAGGAGATGCGGAGCTTGTAGGCTGAGCCCTGCGTCGGGCGCGCTGAGGCCGCTCAGCTGAGCCCAGCCAGGTAGTCCCGGGCTCGCGCCTCTGCCGCCTGGAGAGGCCCTCGCTGGGAGCCGAGTCTCGGCTCAGGGGATTCCCGCGAAGAGGTGTCGCCTCTAACTTGCTACCTGCTCCCGCCCCTCACCCCAGAACGAACTGCACACCCGTCCCGAGAGGACAAATCCGGAAGCCTCAAGGCAATTCGAGGGTCCTTCGCCGCATGGAACGCGGCTCCCCACACACTTGCCTGCCAAGTCTCTCCTTTACCGCCCGCAACCCCAGAACCATTCCCCGCCCGGGCCTGCGTGGGTCCAGTACCATTCTCCTCACGGGGCGGACTCCGGAAGGGCAGCAACTCCACCTCCTCCTCCTCCGCGGCCTGTAGCCATCTATCGGGAAGCGTCTCCGGAGGCGGCAGCAGAGGCCGCCGGACAAGGAACGCCCAGGGAAACCTTCTCAGAACTAACTCAGCTCCGGCGCTAGCAGCAGAAGCCGAGTCTTTCATAATTGTGCGACCAACTCCTCCGGGTGACTGGCCACAGGGACGCGCCCGCGCCCGCCTCCGCCGGCGACGGGGCTGGGGACGGACCACGTGAGCGGCGCGGCGCGGCGCGTGCGTCGCCGCCCGCGGGTCGGGTCACGTGAAGGGCGCGCGCTCCCTCGATTCCAGGCCGCCTCCCTGCGCGCCGCGCGCACGCGCTGGGCAGGTTCGCGCCGCCACGCCGACCGCCTCTGGGTTCCCAGAAAGTGGTGGGGTGTTCACGCCGTATCTCCGTTGGGTACCTAGGCGGGACTTAGACAAACTTCAGCCTCAGCTACGAGAGTGGAACTTGGGGAATCGGAGGTTGAGGGTTAAGGTTCAAGGCTTGCGGATCCAGTCTGGAGTTGCTGTGTGGGCTCATTCCGCTAACTAGGCCTGGCCTGTGCCGACTCGCTCCAGCAAACTCGAGTGTCGCAACACACTCTGTGTGCTTCAGAGCGAGTAGAGGCTTTAAATGTTACTCTCTCCTCGTCCAAAATGCAGAATCATCTTTTTACCCCAATCATGTTCTTTCTCTAGCCTCTCCTGTTGCTGCCGGTAAATATTCTTCTTTGTTTAACTATGGGACTGTCTTTTTCCCTCCAGAGATACTCACCCACATACACGCATACACCACACCTTCTGCACCAAAAACTGGGTTGTTCCCTTGATGTAATATGTACCTATCCACCTTTCCATTTATTTTGCTGTCACACATGCCAAGGTTTGGCTATTAGCAATGGTTTACTAAATGTTATTCCTTATCTACTGGGAAGACCACAATCAGTTTAATTTTCTTAAAACTGCTTTAACATCTTTCTGCTCCTGAAGTCTTCGAGAGTTCCTCAATCTGACCCTCAGGGATCTGACTGTCTTATCTCTTTTTTAAAAACGACTTTATTTTAAAATAATTGACATGACAAACTGCACGTATTTAAATGTCCAATTTGATAAGTTTTGACATACCTGTGCACCCATGAAATCACCATAATCAAATGAACGTATTCACCTCTAAGTTTCCTCCCCCCCCTTCATAATCCCTTCATCTCGTCCCTCTCCATCACGTCCCTTATCAACTACAGATCTACTTTCAGTACAGATAAGTTTGCACATGCTAAAGTTTTATATACGGGAATCATACAGCACGCACCTTTTTTTTCCGTCTAACTTCTTTCATTCAGCATAATTATTGCCTCTCAAACATTATGACCCACAATTCACTGAAGTAGGATCTTCTCTCAGAAAAAAAACTAATCCACCCACTGGTTCCCCCAGCTTGTGAACAATCTTCAGGTATTGTGTATTTCTTCCCCATCTGGCAGGTCCAGCAGAACCAAGACTTAAAAATGTTTTAATATATGTGTCACACTAAATTGTCAGCCTTGGGGAAGGCATCTTGACTAATTTATGCATGCAGTCAATAAATGTTTATCTTCTGGATTTCAGTTGGGCCTACACATTTCCTGCCTGTAGGGAGTTTATAATCTAGAAGGTAGAGGCAGACAAACTGGAAAATCAAAATAAAATGAGATTAGAGTGCTTTGTTTCGTTAGAACTTTGTAACTCTGGTCTTTTTGTACTCACGAATGCTTCGCTCCTTAGTTGGATGGTGTAGAAATGAAACAAGATGAGCTCCTTGGCACTTGCCAGAACTCTTTGGTAAATTGGAAAATTTAGAGTTAGAAATGGGGAACAGGATTGGGTGGGCGCGGTGGCTCATGCTTGTAATCCCAGCACTTTGGGAGGCCGAGGCGGGTGGATCACCTGAGGTCAGGAGTTCTAGACCAGCCTGGCCAACACGGTGAAACCCCGTCTCTACTAAAAATACAAAAATTAGCTGGGCATGGTGGCAGGCGCCTGTAATCACAGCTACTCGGGGGGCCGAGGCAGAAGAATCGCTTGAACCCAGGAGGCAGAGGTTGCAGTGAGCCGAGATCGCGCCATCTCACTCCAGCCTGGGGGACAAGAGCAGGACTTCGTCTCAAAAAAAAAAAAAAAAAAAGAAAAAGAAAAGAAATGGGGAACAGGATTTATCCTTAATTGAACTAATCAAAATAAATTCCTTAATTTTCAAGTGATCAACCAGCCTTGAAATTCACAGATGCTGACTTTCAATCAGCAATCAATTCTGGAGAATGAATTTATTCATTCAAAAAATATGTATTGAGTCAGGCACAGTGGCCCATGTCTGTATTCCCAGCTACTCCAGAGGTTGAGGCAGAAGGCTCATGTGAGCCCAGTTCTGGGCTGTAGTGTGCTATGCGGATTGGGTGGCTGTGCTAAGTTCAGCATCAACGTAGTGACTTCCTGGGAGCAAGGGACCACCAGATTGCCTAAGGAGGGGTGAATCAACCCAGGACAGAAATTGAGCAGGTCAGAATTCCTGCTGATCAGTAGTTGGATAGTGCCTGTGTATAGCCACCGCACTCAAGCCTGGACTACGTAGCAAGACCACGTCTCTTAAAAAAATATCACGCCAGTAATCCCAGCACTTTGGGAGGCCGAGGCGGGCAGATCACAAGGTCAGGAGATCGAGACCATCCTGGCTAATACTGTGAAACCCCGTCTCTACTAAAAATACAAAAAATTAGCCGGGCGCAGTGGCGGGCGCCTGTAGTCCCAGCTACTCGGGAGGCTGAGGCAGCAGAATGGCGTGAACCCGGGAGGCGGAGCTTGCAGTGAGCTGAGATAGCGCCACTGCAGTCCGGCCTGGGCGAAAGAGCAAGACTCCGTCTCAAAAATAAATAAATAAATAATAAATCTTGAAATATATATATTTATATTCAGTGTCTAAGAATATGTCAGGAGCAGTTATAGTCAGTGTTCGGTGATGACAAGATTGATAAATTCAGTGCTTCAGAACATGTTTGTTAAATGTTCTTACACCTTTTTTCCAGAAGGGTTTTGTTTCCATTTTGGTCAATGGCATGTCTATTTTTCACTCTCACTAGATCACATACTAATTCTCCTCCTTGTCCTTGCCTAGTTACAACATTTCAACACTTACTACTATGCTGTTTAAAATGCTAAGCAAAATATTATGAGAATAAAATGATGCAGTCTGGGCAACATGGTGAAACACTGTCTCTACAAAAAAACTAGAAAAATTAGCCCAGTGTGGCTGTGCGTGCCTGTAGTCCCAGCTACTCGGAGGCTGAGGCAGGAGGATTGTTTGAGCCCAAAAGGTTGAGGCTGTGGTGAGCAAGATCATGCCACTGTACTCCAGCCTGGGTGACAGAGCAAGACCCTGTCTCAAAATAAAGAAATAAAAAATAATAATAAAGAGTCTCTTGATTTTTTTTTTTCGAGATGGAATCTCACTCTGTAGCCCAGGCTGGAATGCAGTGGCGCGATCTCAGCTTACTGCAACCTCTGCCTCCCAGGTTCAAATGATTCTTCTGCCTCAGCCTCCTGAGTAGCTGGGATTACAGGCACGTGCCACCACACCCAGCTAATTTTGAGTAGAGACAGGGTTTCACCATGTTGGCCAGGCTGGTCTCGAACTCCTGACCTCAAATGATCCGCCCACCTCGGCCTCCCAAAGTGCTAGGATTACAGGTGTGAGGCACCATGCCCAGCCTATATATTCTCTATTATAGCATTTATCCTGTTGTATTCAACCAACTTACTTGTTAATCCCCTACTAAACATTCAACTGCATGAGGATCATAACCTTATCCATCTTAAATGCCTACTAAGTAGGTGTCATCAAGCATTCAGTCATTTAATAAATATTTGTTGAACAAACAAATAAACTCTCTTGATAGGCCAGAATCTTAAAATGTTACTCTGTCCTTTGATTCTGGCATGCAGAGTGTCATGTCAGATTAAGATAAGATACCGTTCCTAAATAGTAGAGGGTAGCCGGGTGTGGTGGCTCATGCCTGTAATCCCAGCACTTTGGGAGGCTGAGACGGGCGGATCACCTGAGGTCAGGAGTTCGAGACCAGCCTGGCTGACATGGTGAAACCCTGTCTCTACTAAATACAAAATACTTGCTGGGTGTGATGGCACATGCATATAATCCTAGGTACTTGGGAGGCTGAGGCAGGAGAATTGCTTGAACCCGGGAGGCAGAGGTTGCAGTGAGCCGAGATTGCGCCACTGCACTTCAGCCTGGGCAACAAAGGTGAAACTCTGTCTCAAAAAAAAAAAAAAGAAAGAAAGAAAAGAAAGTAGAAGTAAGAGAAACATGAAGTTAAATTTCCCTTATAAAATCAATTATGTAAATATCAATTCCCCTAATACTACCCATATTCCTTGGAAACTCTTTGTACATCATCATGGCATATATACCTCAGTTTGAGGACAACTGCCTTAAGCACTAACTCTGATTACACCTCTTTCATCTCAGTGCTTCAATCTATTGATATGTGTATAATTTTGTGGTAGAGAAGTATCATAGCAAGGTCAATATTTTAAAGCAAATCATATAAGAGGACAGGTGCAGTGGCTCACGCCTGTAATCCCAGCACTTTGGGAGGCTGAGATGGGCAAATCACTTGAGTCCAAGATTTCAAGACTAGCCTGGGCAACATGGTGAAACCCCATCTCTACTAAAAATACAAAAATTAGCTGGGCATGGTGGCACACGCCTGTAGTACCAGCTACTTCGGAGGCTGAAGTGGTAGGATCTCTTGAGACCAGGAGGTGGAGGTAGCAGTGAGCCAAGATCACACCACTACACTTCAGCCTGGGTGACATAGTGAGACCCTGTCTCCAAAAAACTCAAAAAAAAAATCATATAGAAGCTAGGCATAGCAGTGTGCACTTGTAGTCCCAGCTACTCAGGAGGCTGAGGCAGGAGGGTCACTTGAGCCTAGGAGTTGTGGGCAAAACAGTGAGAGGCCATCTCTTAAAAAAGATGATATGGGGAAATGAATAATTAAAATTTGTAATTTAAGCACATTACCATTTACATTAGCACCAAAAAAAGTAACAGGTATAAATCTTGCAAAATATGTATAAGATTTATATGAAGGAAGCTGCAAAACTCTGACAAAAACAATCAAGCTCTAAACACATAGATAGTCCATCTACATGAATAAGAAGACTCAATATTGTCAAGATACCAGTTTTTCCCTACTTGACCTATATATTCAATGCACTCTTAATCAAAATATTGGCAAGTTGTTTTCTGGATATAGACAAACTAATTCTAAAGTTTATGTAAAAAAGCAAAAGACACAGAATAGCTAACACAATATTGGAGAAGAACAAAGTTGAGGACTGACATGATACTACCCAGCTTCAAGACTTACTACAAAACTGTAGTAATAAAGACTGTGTTTTGGCAAAAGGATAAACAAACTAAATCAATGGAACAAAATAGAGACCTCAGAAGTAGACCCACACAAACACAGTCAACTAATTTTTGACAAAAGAGAAAAGGCAATTCAGCAGAGAAAGGACAGTCTTTTCAACAAATGGTGCTGGAACAGCAGGACATCCACATAGAAAAAAAAAATCTAACACAGACCTTATACCCTTCACAAAGATTAACTCAAAAGAGATTTTAGACAAAATGGAAAATAAAAAACAATAAAACTCATAGAAGAAAATCTGGGTGATCTTGAGTTTGGAAATGACTTTTAGATATAACACTAAAAGCACAATCCATGTAAGAAAAAAATTGATGTTGGATTTTGTTAAAATTAAAAACTTCTGGCTGGGCTCGGTGGCTCATGCCTGTAATCCCAGCACTTTGGGAGGCCAAGGCGGGCGGATCATGAAGTCAGGAGATCGAGACCATCCTGGCTAACATGGTGAAACCCCGTCTCTACTAAAAATACAAAAAATTAGCCGGGCGTGGTGGCAGGCGCCTGTAGTCCCAGCTACTCGGGAGGCTGAGGCAGGAGAATGGCATGAACCCAGGAGGCAGAGCTCATAGTGAGCTGAGATCGCGCCACTGCACTCCAGCCTGGGCGACAGAGTGAGACTCCGTCTCAACAACAACAACAACAACAAGCAAACTTCTAGGCCAGGCACAGTGGCTCAGACCTGTAATCCCAGCACTCCGGGAGGCCGAGGTGGGCAGATCACTTGAGGTCAGGAGTTCGAGACCAGCATAATGAAACTCCGTCTCTACTAAAAATACAAAAAATTAGGCCATACGTGGTGGCTCACGCCTGTAATCCCAGCACTTTTGGAGGCCGAGGTGGGTGGATCACGAGGTCAGGAGTTCAAGACAAGCCTGGCCAATATGGTGAAACCCCATCTCTAATAATAATACAAAAATTAGCTGGGTGTGATGGCATGCACCTGTAGTCCCAGCTACTCAGGAGGCTGAGGTAATAGAATTGCTTGAACCCAGGAGGCGGAGGTTGCAGTGAGCCGAGATCATGTCACTGCACTCCAGCCTGGGCAACAGAGCGAGATTCTGTCTCAAAAAAAAAAAAAAAAGGCCAGGCGCGGTGGCTAACGCCTGTAATCCCAACACTTTGGGAGGCCGAGGCAGGAGGATCACGAGGTCAGGAGTTCGAGACCAGCCTGGCCAACATGGTGAAACCCTGTCTCTATTAAAAACACAAAAATTAGCTGGGCGTGGAGGCGCGTGCCCGTAATCCTAGCTACACGGGAGGCTGAGGCAGGAGAATCGCCTGAACCCGGGAGGCGGAGGTTGCAATAAGCTGAGATCGCGCCATTGCACTCCAGCCTGGGCGACAAAGTGAGACTCTGTCTCAAAAAAAATAATAATAATAAAATAAAATAAAATAAAATTAGCCAGGCGATGTGGCGGACGCCGGTAATCCCACCTACTCCGGAGGCTGAGGCAGGAGAATCCCTTGAATCCCAGAGCCTGAGGTTGCAGTGAGTTGAGATCATGCCACTGCACTTCAGCTTGGGCAACAAGAGCAAAACTCCATCTCCAAAAATAAATAAATAAATAAGTAACAACTTCTAGGCTGGGCATGGTGGCTCATGCCAGTAATCCCAGCAATTTGGGAGGCCGATACTGGTGGATCACTTGACATCAGGAGCTCGAGACTGGCCTGGCCAAGAGGACAAAACCCCAAGTCTACTAAAAATACAAAAAGTAGTCAGGCATGGTGATGTGTGCCTGTAATTCCAGCTTTTGGGGAGGCTGAGGCATAAGAGTCCCTTGAACCTGGGAGGCAGAGGTTACAATGAGCTGGGATTGTGCCGCTGTACTCCAGCCTGGGTGATGGAGTGAGACTCTGTCTCAAAAACAAAGAAACAATCAAATCAAATTAAATTAAAAAACAAAATTACCCAACCATGGTGGCACATGCCTGTAGTCCCAGCTACTCGGGAGGCTGAGGCATGAGAACCACTTGAACCCGGGAGGCAGAGGTGGCAGTGAGCCGAGATTGCGCCACTGCACTCCAGCCTGGGTGATAGAGTGAGACACTGTCTCAAAAGAAACCCAAAAAATAAAAACAAAAACAAAAACCCTTCTACTTTGTGAAAGATGCTATTAAGAGAATAAAAAGATAAGCCACAGGCTGGAAGAAAATATTTGCAATATGCGTATCTGATCAAGGAAGGGATGGTATCCAAAATATAAAAAGAACTCTTTAAAATCGATAAGAAGGCCGAGATGGGTGGATCACGTGAGGTCAGGAGTAAAAACCAGCCTAACGAACATGGTGAAATCCCATCTCTACTAAAAATACAAAACTAGCTGGGCGTGGTGGCGCATCCCTGTAATCTCAGCTACTCGGGAGGCTGAGGTAGGAGAATCACTTGAACCAGGGAGGCAGAGGTTGCAGTGAGCCGAGATCATGCCATTGCACTCCAGCCTGGGCAACAAGAGCAAAAATCTTTCTCAAAAAACAAAAACAAAACAAAACAATAAAACAACTCACTAAGAAAACAACCCAATTAAAAAAATCTGAAGTTAAAAACATTGAAGAGAAGGTAAAAAATTTGAACAGACATTTCATCAAAGTATACAGATGGCAGACTTTAGTTACAATTGGTTATCCTTTTTTTTTTTTTTTTTTTTGAGATGGTGTCTCGCTTTGTCATCCAGTCTGGAGTGCAGTAGCATGATCTCAGCTCACTGCAACCTCTGCCTCCTGGGTTCAAGCGATTCTCTTGCCTCAGCCGCCTGAGTAGCTGGGACTAACAAGCATGCGCCACCACACGGGGCTAATTTTTGTATTTTTAGTAGAGATGAGGTTTCACCATGTTGGCCAGGCCGGTCTTGAACTCCTGACCTCAGGTGATCCATCCGCCTCGGTCTCCCAAAGTGCTGAGATTACATGCATGAGCCACTGCACTCAGCCCACAATTTCCTGTTTTTGAAGGAGAGTTTGTTAACTTTCTTAAATGAGTGACAATGGGTACATTGAATCATTATAGTATTTTGCTGGACCTGGTGGCTCACGCCTATTCCAGCATTTTGGGAGGATCATTTGAGCTCAGGAGTTTGAGGTGAGTCTGGGCAATATAGTGAGACTCCATGAAAAAAATAAAAAAGGCCAGGTGCCTTTTTATTACACTGTAATCCCAGCACTTTGGGAGGCCGAGGTGGGTGGATCACCTGAGGTCAGGAGTTTGAGACCAGCCTGACCAACATGGCGAAACCCCATCTCTACTAAAATGCAAAATTAGCCGGGTGTCGTGGCTCATGCCTGCAATCCCAGCTACTCTGGAGGCTGAGACAGGAGAATCACTTGAACCCGGGAGGTGGAGTCTGTGGTGAGCTGAGACTGTGCCCATTGCACTCCAGCCTGGGCAACAAGAGTGAAACTCTGCCTCAAAAAAAAAAAAATTACTATCTCTTATGGTATTCAGGTTTTATAGTTTCCCACAATTATTTAAAATGTTGACATTCACAAAAATAGAGGTTTAAATTTATTTTATTTTATTTTTGAGATGGAGTCTTGCTTTGTCACCCAGGCTGGAGTGCAGTGGCACCATGTCGGCTCATTGCAACCTCTTCCTCCTGGGTTCTAGCGATTCTCCTGCCTCAGCCTCTCAAGTAGCTGAAACTATAGGCATGCACCACTACGCCCAGCTAATTTTTATTTTTAGTAGAGACGGGGTTTCACCATGTTGGCCAGGCTGTTCTCAAACTCCTGACCTCAGGTGGTCCGCCCACCTCAGCCTCCCAAAGTGCTGGGATTACAGGTGTGAGCCACCACACCCAGCCAGAGTTTAAGTTTAGATAAACAAAAGCAGGCCAGGCATAGTGGCTCTCACTGGTGATCCCAGCACTTTGGGAGGCCAAGGCAGGATGATCACTTAGGTCCAAGAGTTCAAGACCAGTCTGGACAACATAGGGAGACCCTTGTCTCTAGAAAACAAAACAAAACACAAACTAAAAGCAGAATCCTGAAGGATCTGAAGTAGGGCTATTGAAGACATGAGAGTCCTTCCCTTCTTATACTGAAAAGCTAGCATTTATTATGTGGTTTTTTACTTGCTGGGTGCTGTTCTATTCACTTAACATGTATTAACTCATTAGCTCCTTTCAACTCTGTAAGCCAGATGCTATTATTATTCCTCCACTGCACAAAGGAGAAGATTGAGGCACAGGGCAGAGCCAGGATTTCAACCATTACAGTCTAATTCCAGAGTTTGTGCCCTTGAGCCTTATGCTATATTACCTCTTGTGACAGTAAGTCACAACTGAGAAATCTGTCACTAACAATAGAAAACAGATTGTATGTGATTCAGTCTCTCACAAAATCTTTACCTCAACCTGTTTAATCAACGAGTCAAAGATCTTTTTTTTTTTTGAGACGGAGTCTGGCTTGTCGCCCAGGCTGGAGTGCAGTGGCGTGATCTTGGCTCACTGCAAGCTCCGCCTCCCGGGTTCCCGCCATTCTCCTGCCTCAGCCTCCCGAGTAGCTGGATCTACAGGCGCCCGCCACCACGACCAGCTAATTTTTTGTATTTTTTAGTAGAGATGGGGTTTCACCGTGTTAGCCAGGATGGTCTCGATCTCCTGACCTCGTGATCCGCCCGCCTCGGCCTCCCAAAGTGCTGGGATTACAGGCATGAGCCACGGCGCCCGGTCCAGTCAAAGATCTTTGTTTAATGCACTAGATACCAATTGTTGGCTTATGTGATTGTTTCCACATTAATCATGCCTCTGGCTTCTCTCTGAATGGATCTGCCATCAGTGTGAGTCCCTGGGCAACTGAAAAAGAGACACACACTTTATCGCAAAACTAAAAAGGAACTATTTAGGGCTGGTGCGGTGGCTCACGCCTGTAAGTGGGAGTCTTTGGGAGTCTGAGATGGGCAGATTGCTTGAGCCCAGGAACTGGAGACCAGCCTGCACAACATGGCGAAACTGTGTCTCTACAAAAAATACAAAAATCAGTTGGGCATGGTGGCACGTGCCTCTAGTCCCAGCTACTCAGGGGGCTGAGGTGGGAGAATAACCAGGGGAGGTCGAGGCTGCAGTGAGCTGTGATTGCACCATCCCATTTCAGCGTGGGTGACAGAGTGAGATGCTATCTCAAAATATATATATATACAAATAAAAATAAATAAAAAGAAATGATTTAGGGCCAGGCACAGGGAACACGCCTGTAATCCCAGCACATGGGAGACTGAGACGGGAAGATTACTGGAGCCCAGGAGTTTGAGGCTGCATTGAACCATGATCATGCCACTCCAGCCTGGGCACTCCAGCCTGGGCAACAAAGCAAGGCCCTGACTCTAAGAAAAAATTTTAAAAAGAAAGGACGTAGAATGTTGACAACATTAAAACAATTAAAATTGTTTAAAGCATGAAAACAAAGATAGAGTCAATATATGAGATCTCCATTTTATGTAACTTTCTCTGTCATTTAAACTCAGACACTCATAGATGCCTGGCAAATGACTACAGAAGCCTTTGTTTATATAAGCAGAAGGTGATTAAACCAGTTCCAACAAATTTTGCTGTACTTTGGATAGAGGATTAATGGATTTTCTTTCTTAGGGACTCTTTCAAAAGAATTACCCTCATTTGCTAGTGGAAAGCTTATAAAATGCCAACTAAAAATACCTGGAATGTTTCAAACACTAATCTCTAACCCCAGTACCTTAGTACAGTGGCTGGCATATCATAAGTATTCAATAAGTATTTCTTGAATAATTGAGAGGATGAAAATCAGGCTTCTTTCAATTGTATTATATGTGATATGCTAATCACTTACACAATATACAACTAAAAAATTTTTAAATATTTTCCCACTTTATTTTTTTTTTGAGACAGAGTCTTGCTCTGTCTCCAGGCTGGAGTACAGTGGTGTGATCTTGGCTCACTGCAACCTCCACCTTCCGGGTTCAAGCGATTCTCCTGCCTCAGCCTCCCGAGTAGCTGGGATTACAGGCGCGCCCCACAACGCCTGGCTAACTTTTTTTTGTATTTTTAGTAGAGACGGGGTTTCACTATTTGGCCAGGATGGTCTCGATCTCTTGACCTCGTGATCTGCCTGCCTCGGGCTCCCAAAGTGCTGGGATTACAGACGTGAGCCACTGTGCCTGGCATATTTTCCCACTTTTAATAACCTTTTCTTTGGCCTGTGTTTATTTCTAAAAGGGAAAAAAGTTTCTTCCTAAAGCTCTAAAACTCTGCCCCAAGTGACTAGATTTGGGCAAAAGCCAGGACAAATTACTGGTAACCATAGAGAGAAATTCCCCTTTGAATTCAGCAAAGCCCTATGTTGATTAAGAATATTATTGTTGGGGCCAGGCACGGTGGCTTACTCCTGTAGTCCCAGCATTTTGGGAGGCTGAGGCGGGTAGATCACCTGAAGTCAGGGGTTCGAGACTAGCCCGGCCAAAATGGTAAAACCCCATCTCTACTAAAAATACAAAAATTAGCCAGGTGTGGTGGTAGGCACCTGTAATCCCAGCTACTCGGGAGGCTGAGGCAGGAGAATCGCTTGAAACCAGGAGGCGGAGGTTGCAGTGAGCTGAGATCGCATCACTGCACTCCAGCCCCAGCCTGGGCGACAGAGCGAGACTGTCTCAAAAAAAAAAAAAAGATCTGATTTTCTGACACTGGATGTAATCACATTTCTATTTCTATGATATATTAACATTGTTAATGTCAATTTATTATAATAAAATTTTAACATTGTAAGATGAGCTAAGGAATATCCTAAAATGCAAGATAAATGGCATCAATTCAAAGTTACTGTATGGGTTTTTATGTGTATGAGTGTATATATACATGTCTCACTGTTTTTATTTTTCCTCTTTTTTTTTTTTTTTTTTTTTTTTTTTTTTTTTCTGAGATGGAGTCTTGCTCTGTCGCTCACTGCAGGATTTCCGCTCACTGCAACCTCTGCCTCCCGGTTTCAATCGATTCTCCTGCCTCAGCCTCCTGAGTAGCTGGGATTACAGGTGCCTGCCACAATGCCTGGGTAATTTTTTGTATTTTTGGTAGAAACAGGTTTTCACCATGTTGGCCAGGCTGGTCTTGAACTCCTGACCTCAGTTGATCCGCCTGCCTCAGCCTCCCAAAGTGTTGGGATAACAGGCGTGAGCCACCTCGCCGGCCCTCTGTCTTTTTTTGTTTTAATTTTATTTTTAGAGACGAGGTCCCACATGTTGCCCAGGCTGATCTTGAGCTCTGCCTCAGCCTCCTAAAGTGCTGAGATTACAGGCATGAGCCACCAAGTCAATCCTTGTCTCATTATTCTTTTTTCTTTTTGAGACGGAGTCTTGCTGTGTCGCCAGGCTGGAGTGCAATGGCTCGATCTCGGCTCACCGCAAACTTCGCCTCCTGGATTCAAGCGATTCTCCTGCCTCAGCCTTCCGATTAGCCGGGATTACAGGCACGGGCCACCATGCTCGGCTAATTTTGTATTTTTAGTAGAGAGGGGGTTTCTCCATGTTGGTCAGGCTGGTCTCAAACACCCGACCTCAGGTGATCCGCCCGCCTTGGCCTCCCTAAGTGCTGGGATTACAAGTGTGAGCCACCGCGCCCAGGCGTTAATGTGATTTTTAAGGTCTGACTAGTGTAGCCCCTGTTCATTTCCAACTTAATTTCCCATTGTATAAACTCCATCTCAAAAAAAAAAAAAATCATGCTAACGATTTTGGACTATTCTTAGATAAATTAGGTGCTGTTAAGGGTTTTTCTAAAGCACTGTAGTTGAATGATCAGATTTCCACTTTGGAAAGATCACTGGCTATGATGTGGAAAGGGAATCAGTGGCACAATTAATGGCTGGAAGACCCATTAAGAAACTGTTACAGTACAGACAGATTAAGTTAATTTAGTGGTGGTGGGGATGGTGATTCCTGGAACTCTTTTGAGACAACTGGAAGACAGAATGGAGAGGACTTGGCAACTGCCTTTGTATATTTTATTTCTCTGCATTGAAAGGGACTGAATTTGGTCAATAGTTGGTGAGACTTCAGTGGAAAAGTGTTGCACATACATATTAACACATTTGTGGATGAAACATTTTTCACATTTATAAAAAAATTATTTGGTTTTCTATATAATTAAATAGGTAGCAGAGCCTATTTATAGGTGACTTACTAATTAGAAGCCAATTGGTACCTTTTCCCACTTAATCTAGAGAAGTGACTCTTTGATCTAAATTGTTAAATTGCTTTTAACAGAATGATATGCCAAACTGTAGACATTCAGTTTTAGCTGACTAGGAACTGTTAATATTTGCCCATAGCCTCCTAAGGAAGAAAGAATTAGTGCCTTACTATAGTTTACAGCGATCTCTCTCCAGAAGTCCGCTAAGAAGTCTGGCTATTGCTACAAGTGCAATGCTTCTATTCTAAGGGCTCATACACAGGTAATTGGAATTTCCAAAATTTTTTTAGAGAGAACATTTTATCATCAGTGTTACCTAGAATGGTCATTGTTTTCATTTTCTGGCACTAATGCTTTTCAGTGATATTTTAATTTTTGCTTTATTTTTAATTTGTCGTGGGTCAGTAGGGTAAGCGTCACAACAAAAAAAATTTTAAACTATTGATCTGGCCAAGCGAGGTGGCTCATGCACTTTGGGAGGCCGAGGCAGGCAGATCACAAGGTCAGGTGTTCGAGACCAGTGTGACCAAGATGGTGAAATCCCGTCTCCACTAAAAATACAAAAATTAGCCAGGCATGGTGGCTCACGCCTGTAATCCTAGCATTTTGGGAGGCCGAGGCAGGCGGATTGCCAGAGCTCAAGAGTTGAAGACCAGCCTGGGCAACACGGTGAAACCCCGTCTCTACTAAAATACAAAAAATTAGCCAGGTGTGGCGTGGTGGCGTGCACCTGTATTCCCAGCTACTTGGGAGGCTGAGGCAGGAGAATCACTTGAACCCGGGAGGGGGTGGTTGCAGTGAGCCAAGATTGTGCCACTGTACTCCAGCCTGGGCGACAGAGCAAGACTCTGTCGCAAAAAAAAAAAAAGAAAATGATATGAATAATTTACTATTTAACCAGCTGTTAGTATGATTATTTATTAAGAGAAAAATAATTATCTGAATGTTTAAACGAATAAATTTTATAACATCCCCCCAAAATTAACTCAGTAGATTCTTATGGTATTTGTATTTTAAATTCATAACAGAAGCATATGATAGAAAATGCAGAAAGTAAGAGTATAGGCTGGGCTTGATGGCTCATGCTTGTAATCCCAGCACTTTGGGAGGTTGAGGCAGATCACTTGAGCTCAGGAATTTGAGACCAGCCTGGGCAACATAGTGAGACCTCGTCTCTATTTTTCAAAATATTAAATATGAGAAAAAAAAAAAAGTATACATGGAAAAGTCCTCACTCCGGTGCCCTAGCCATCTTACTTCCTTTCTCCCTAAAAAAAAAAGCCACTCTTTCCAGTTTCTGGAAAGTTATGTATCTTTCCAGATATATGGGCCTGTAGTATGACAGAAGGTTCCTGTATGGAGGGAAGAACAGGATTTTCTCAACATATCATCAAGACAAACTACAATACATATCAAGGCCAATCTCATCTGAATTAAAAAGAAAGTACAATGGCAGCAAGGATCTTGGTAATTTCTGGGAACAATATCAGCAAAAATGCAAATGCCAGGATTGTTCATCACAAGGGGTGGGACTTTGTTTTTTGGTAAAAAATAGCCTATATAGACCTTGGTATTTATTTATCTATTTTTTTTTTTTTTTTTGAGACAGAGTCTTGCTCTGTCGCCAGGCTGAAGTGCAGTGACACGATCTCGGTCACTGCAACCTCCACCTCCCGGGCTCAAGTGATTCTCCTGCCTCAGCTCAAGTGATTCTCCTGCCTCAGCCTCCTGAGTAGCCAGGACTACAGGCGCATGCCACCACGTCCAGCTAATTTTTGTATTTTTAGTAGAGACGGGGTTTCACCATGTTGGCCAGGATGGTCTCCATCTCTTGACCTCGTGATCCGCCCACCTCGGCCTCCCAAAGTGTTGGGATTACAGGTGTGAGCCACCGTGCCCGGCCAGAATCTAGGTTTTAAGGATAATTTGTAAAACCTAAATAGCTACATAATTTCTTAAGCAATTATTACCATTTTTGTGTTATATGAACATGATCTATCTAGCACACTGTTAGTTCATTTTCAATTAGTTTCCTCATTCAAAATAAAACAAATTCAAATTTTATTTTAAAATAGAATTTATTGAATACCATAGTATATTAAATACATAAAAAATTGTTTTTCTTGTCAGTATTGGCACATAATGATAAAGTACTGCTAAATTAACACTTCAAAAATTTCAAATTTTAAAACATTCCATAAAAATATAAAGCCTAGTAGTGTTATAAAAGTATTAATTTACACTAACTTACATATCAAAGTGTTAAAAAAGAAATTCCACACTCAAACCAATTATCTGAGAAGTAAAAATTCAATCATGTTTTAAAAAATGTTTTCATTTGAACAAAATGCAACAGAAGGTATAAAACAGGCAAAAATTACCTAATTTACATTGACTTGTCCTACTAGAAAATGTTGCAGGTTAACTTTAGACATTAAAAAGATTCATATTCCAAAGGAATAGAAAAGCTGTTTGCAATACTTTTTATGCCTAATCAAAGAACCACATAATGACATTTTGTGGGTTGCTCCTTAATTGCCAGTAATGGAGGACTACTATAAAAATTTAGTTTTAAAAATAATTTTTCTCCCAATGAACATTTTTATATGCAGAGGCTGTCCTCAATATGGAAAGATTAAACGAGGACATTTATACTTATGATCTTCACTATAATATGGCCTATATATTACCCTGTCAATTTTTTTTCACTCTGAAAATTCAGTAATCTAGCATATGAGTATTACAGTAGAGGATCAAATTCCAAAAGGTTGAGTAATTTGATTCAGATCTCTTGAATTTACAGAGTACTTTTCCTCCAGGAAATGTATAAAGTTATTTATTTTATGTTATATATCTATATTTCTTTGAGATGGCATCTTGCTATGTCACCTAGGCTGGAGTGCAGTCACTATTCACAGACACAATCACAGCTCACTACAGCCTCAAACTCCTGGGCTCAAGGGACCCTCCCATCTCAGCCAGTACATTCCATTGTACTGGTCTACACTGAATTCCATTCAATTGTAGACTGAAGTACAGTTTTTGTTTTTGAAATTTCATTGGTTAAGATCAGGCTGAAATTTTAGAGATTAAGCCTAAATAAATTAGTTCATATATACATATATATATATATATATATACATATATATATTTTTTTTTTTTTTTTTTTTTTTTGAGATGGAGTCTCGCTCTGTCGCCCAGGCTGGAGTGCAGTGGTGTGATCTCGACTCACTGCAACCTCCACCTCCCAGGTTCAAGCGATTCTCCTGCCTCAGTCTCCTGAGTAGCTGGGGTTACAGGCGAGCCCCACCACACCCAGCTAATTTTTGTATTTTTAGTAGAGACGGGGTTTCACCATGTTGGTCAGGCTGGTCTCAAACTCCTGACCTCATGATCCACCCGCCTTGGCCTCCCAAAGTGCTGGGATTACAGGTGTGAGCCACCGCACCCGGCCTTAGTTCAAATATTTTTTATTCAAATGTAAAATATGTCTATAACTCAAAGGATAAATGCTTGAGGGAATGGATACCCCATTCTCCATGATCCGCTTATTTCACATTGCATACCTGTATCAAAACATCTCATGCACTCCATAAATATATACACCTACATGTACCCACAATTTTTAAAAATGTAAAAATAGTAATTTTTGCTTATACTAAAGCATAAATTGAAAGAGCAAAGAAAACTGGAAAGCTCATTTGTATTTATTATAAATGTATCAATTCACTAAAATCTCTATGGACAAGTAAAATATAAGAATGCCAATAGCAGATGGGTTAAAATTCTCTTTAAAAGAGAAATAAATTGCAGATTCTACTAAGGAATTGCTAATCTAAAAAAAAATCTACAAGTGCCAGGCACGGTGGCTCATGCCTGTAATCCCAGCACTTTAGGAGGCTGAGGCGGGCGGATCACCTCAGGTTGGGAGTTCGAGACCAGCCTGATCAACATGGAGAAACCCCGTCTCTACTAAAAATACTATATTAGCCGGGTGTGGTGGCACATGCCTATAATCCCAGCTACTCAGGAGGCTGAGTCAGGAGAATTGCTTGAACCCGGGAGTCGGAGATTGCAGTGAGCTGATATCATGCCATTGCACTCCAGCCTGGGCAAAAAGAGCGAAACTCTGTCTCAAAAAAAAAAAAAAAAAAAAATCTACAAGCTAGAAGAAAATATAATGTATTAGAATATCAAGGTCTTTCCCCACAAGCCTCACATTTATTTTTGCTAAACTAAACTGAGACAAAAGTAATCTACATTACAATTTGAGATAGTGATTTCTGTTGATAAGCCACAAAAATGTTCAAAGGGATTTTCTAACTTTTTTTTTTTTGCATCAAGAATTAATAAATACAGTGTATCATTATTTTAAAGACATGTTTAGGGAAAAAACCAGCTTCTCTTCCCCTTAAAGTTATTGGTGGTGGGAGGGCAAGAGAGGAAGAGATGGCAGCTTTTTAAGTGAAATTTTAATCTTATCTATCTTTTGTTCATTTTGAGTCCCCAAATAAAATATTTCTGTACTTTAATTTCTTAATCACTATTGTCAGCTTGGTTGCTACACATTTAATTACAATATAAAGTTGACATTGAGGATGAAGAAACTTAATTATACTTTTTCTTATTTCTATTTAACCAATAAGATTTTAATAGCAAATTAGAACAAGATTTTACCTCCTTAATAACTAATGGTTAGATAAAGTAGAATTTGTATCAAGTAACTCGGATTTCAGATTTCTGGATGTACCAGTTACTATGCTACTGAGGAGATACATCTAGTTGATGAAGTTAAAATATTAATTACTACTCCAGTTATATGAAACCAAATTATTTTGAGAAATTATCTTATTTTGCCAGGCGCGGTGGCTCATGCCTGCAATCCCAGCACTTGGGGAGTCTGAGGCGGGCAGATCATGAGGTCAGGAGCTCAAGACCAGCCTGACCAACAAGGTGAAACCCCGTCTCTACTAAAAATACAAAAATTAGCCAGGTGTGGTGGCACGCACCTGTAATCCCGTCTACTTGGGAGGCTGAGGCAGGAAAATTGCTTGAACCAGGAGGCAGAGGTTGTAGTGAGCCAAGATCTTGCTACTGCACTCCAGCCTGGGTGACAGAGGGAGACTCCATTTCCAAAAAAAAAAAAAAGAAATTAATTATCTCATTTCGATGTAGTAAAAAAAAAATTTTCTTTAACATTCTTCATAAAATGTGATTAAGGCTATTAAATATAAAGCTTGGATGAGGGTGCAGATAATTTTACAAAACAGCTGTATTTTGGCAAATATTTTATTATTATAAATGAAAATACAGAGTTTTAAAACGGCACTTAATCTGTTCTCTCTCTCAGAGTCTGCCAAATAAATCAGATTTCTTGGAAAATATTCAAACTTGATACAATGGAGGCAAAATTAACTCTTGTCAGGTAAGTCATTTGCCATAAACGAAAGGACCCATAACTGCATTAAGCAGAGAGGGACTGACTGTCAATGAAGCTTCTCTATTTGCAATTTATTCAGCAAAAGCGAACAATTTTTAAAAAGTCTCTAATGCAAAATTTAGTTCAAGTATCAAAGGTCTGATCAATTTTAAAAGGCATTAGTTTTATTTTTAATAAATTGAACTGGCCTTAGATGAAAGATATAGTTCTGTTCACATATTTTATACATTATTTACAGAGAAATGAAAAATCCTGCTGCCTTTGTTATCACTTGTCATTTGCGAAATTCTTACTAAAATAAAAGAAAATGGAAAGATAATTTGACCTCTGACTTCCAGGAGAATGTTCAGGCCACATCTAAAATTTACCAAAGAATGGGGAAAAAACTTTTTTCAAGTTGGAAGGTACCAGAGTGATTAGCTGGTCTAACCTACTCATTTTACAGATTAGAAAACTGAGATATGGCCGGGCGCGGTGGCTCACGCCTGTAATCCCAGCACTTTGGGAGGCCGAGGCGGGCGGATCACGAGGTCAGGAGATCGAGACCATCCCGGCTAAAACGGTGAAACCCCGTCTCTACTAAAACTACAAAAAATAGCCGGGCGTAGTGGCGGGCGCCTGTAGTCCTAGCTACTTGGGAGGCTGAGGCAGGAGAATGGCGTGAACCCGGGAGGCGGAGCTTGCAGTGAGCCGAGATCCCGCCACTGCACTCCAGCCTGGGCGACAGAGCGAGACTCCGTCTCAAAAAAAAAAAAAAAAAAAAAAAGAAAACTGAGATACAAGGTCTTGAGATGCGGCAAATTACTCAACTCTTCCTTGTATTGTAATTAAACTGAGACTAACACCAAGTCTCTTGCTGTTGTTGCCAATTCTTTTCTCTGAACCGCACTTTGTACATCCTCCACCAAGATTAAGAATCATTACCTATGGGAAAAGGGGTGGGCATCAGGAAGAAAAAAAGATAACGGGTGGGAGTGGGGGAATGTGGGATAATGTTAGGAATGCTGTATTCAACGATGAGCCATATGTATTAATACATAATTTCTTAAGAAAAATAATTTTTTTAAAAAATCAAACCTTAACATTAACAGAACCAAATTGCAAAGATCAGAAATACCAAAGTGAAACTGAATGTTAGTACTGAAATTTAAGCTACATTTAAAAAAAAAAGGCTGTCAAACCAATGAAAACTAGATTTCAGTGTCTGTCTCCTTTTAGTGACTAGTTCTATATATTATGTTTCTCTATATCTGGAAAAATGTTCTTAATATAATACACGTGCAGTCTGAAGTAATTTCAGTTCTCAAGTTTATGAAAGGATTGGGTTTAAAAAAATACTACAAAAATATGCACTTATATTTCCAAAATTATGTATTTCTAACCTCTGCAGTGATATAAGGTCCAAATTTTCACCGTTGAACCGCCTTCTTGCATGGTGTTAAACAGTTATTTCTACAGAGCAGATATAATTTGCATAAATCTTTTTTTTTGGGATGGAGTCTCACTCTGTCGCCCAGGCTGGAGTGCAGTGGCGTGATCTTGGCTCACTGCAAGCTCCACTTCCCGGGTTCACGCCATTCTCCTGTCTCAGCCTTCCCAGTAGCTGGGACTACAGGCACCCTCCACCACGCCCAGCTAATTTTTGGTATTTTTAGTAGAGAGGGGTTTCACCGTGTTAGCCAGGATGGTCTCGATCTCCTGACCTCGTGATCCGCCCGCCTTGGCCTCCCAAAGTGTTGGGATTACAGGCGTGAGCCACCGCGCCTGGCCAATTTGCATAATTCTTTACAGTAAAACCCATTCAGAAATAGTAACTACTTGTATCTACCATCAGAGCTGAAAGAAACAGATTTCGTTAAAAAAAAGTATAGGGGTGGGTCAAGGCATTTTTTTTTAGAAAAATATACTGTATATAGTACATCTCGGAAACTACACAGACCATATGTTTTATTTAATGTGAAGGCACAACTTTAACATTAAAAGCAAAGCGTTTTAGTTATTTATGATGTAACTGTCAGTACCAGCTCATAAAAATATATTTTTGCAAGCATATCATTGAAGACTCTTTCAGATTGTCAATTCAAAAGTCAATTTAAAAAGTCGAAGTCTATTTGTAGAAAATCAATGACACATTATAGCAGTTCCACATAATATTATTGCTGGACAATCTGTTCACCAGATATCACAGGGTTTTCTTCATTTGTTGCACAATCCAAATGGTCCATCATCTAGGCATAAATAAAAGACGTTAGGAAATGCAAAATTTCAACTTGCCCCCAATATTCACTACATTAGCAAAAGGATTCTTTTTCTAAAAAACACAGATTGCTCTATGAAACTGAGCACTCCTTCTGGAGCACTGTTCTGGTTCAACATCCACACTTCTAAGGAGATAGTCAGGGTGACACTGAACCTCTCAGGAAGCCTAATCACATGACTCAAAGCCAATTTGTGTTCTCTGGATCTTCCGTTATCTCCATTTCCCAATATGAATACTGCCCTTCATGGCAGTGAGAACTCCAGAACAAAAGGAAGATATTCCTGACACTTATTCCAGGACACTATTCCAGGCAGTGTCCAATCATACAAATGGGAAAACTAAAAATGGCCTCATGAGTCACTGTGAGAATACCTGCTGACTCTGGGACAGTGTGATATTATTGACACCTTGAAATAACCGTAAGATAATTTAAACTTTGGAAACATTATAATAATTTCTACAAAAAATGAACTTGAGGTCATATGATATCTGAAAACAAAACCAAGAATACATTTGCTAGGCCGGGCGCAGTGGCTCACACCTGTAATCCCAGCACCTTGGGAGGCTGAGATGGGCAGATCATGAGGTCAGGAGTTCGAGACCAGCCTGGCCAAGATGGTGAAACCCCGTCTCTAATAAAAATACAAAAATTAGCTGGGCGTAGTGGCGGGCGCCTGTAGTTCCAGCTACTCGGGAGGCTGAGGCAGGAGAATTGCTTGAACCCAGGAGGCGGAGGTTGCAGTGAGCCGAGATCACGCCACTGCACTCTAGCCTGGCAACAGAGTGAGACTCTGTCAAAAAAAAAAAAAAATACATTTGCTATAGACTATTTTAAAGAAATTATCAGCTGGGCACGGTGGCTCATGCCTGTAATCCCAGCACTTTGGGAGGCCGAAGTGGGTGGATCACGAGATCAGGAGATCCAGATGGTCCTGGCTAACACAGTGAAACCCCGTTTCTACAAAAAAATACAAAAAAAAATTAGCCAGGCGTGGTGGCAAGCGCCTGTAGTCCCAGCTAATTGGGAGGTTGAGGCAGGAGAATGGTATGAACCCAGAAGGCAGAGCTTGCAGTGAGCCGAGATCGTGCTACTGCGCTCCAGCCTGGGTGACAGAGCGAGACTCCGACCAAAAAAAAAAAAAGAAATTACCAGTTAAACTTTTCTCAAATGGTCACTTCAGCTCTGCCTATATTCTCATAAAAAATTGTCTTATATTTGGAAATGAAGGATGAAGAAACTGTTTAAATGCTTTCAGTGTTTCAGCAACTCAAATACAATTACTAAAAATAGAAAAAAGTATTTAATGCCTTTGTGAAGACTGTTAAAGACTTTTAGACTAGTGATTAAATTTCAGTATTGCGATGCACTTTTTTCCTTTCCTTCATCAAGAATTAGAAGAAGGAAAGATCAGCAAGATAAATGTTCCTATTTTTGAAAAGTGGTTCTGAAGGCTTTAGTGTTTTTTGGAAGAAGAACAAGAGGGTGGAATCATCTTGAAACAGGGTCTCTTGACTTGCCAGGCAGAAAGAATACAACGTGAGCTAAGGCTTTTGGCTGACAACTGTCTCAACTAATGGAGACAGCTTACAAAATCAAAACCTGGGCCGGGCGCGGTGGCTCACGCCTGTAATCTCAGCACTTTGGGAGGCCGATGCAGGTGGATCACGAGGTCAGGAGTTCGGGACCAGCCTGGCCAACATGGTGAAACCCTGTCTCTACTAAAAATACAAAAATTAGCCAAGCGTGGTGGTGCGCCTGTAATCCCAAACCTACTCGGGAGACTGAGGTGGGAGAATTGCTTGAACCTGAGAGGCAGAGGCTTTGCTGACCCAAGATCGCGCCACTGCACTTCAGCCTGGGCAATAGAGAGAGAGACCCTGTCTCAAAAAAATAAAAAAAATAAAAAAATAAAAAACCTGCTGATACTCTACAAGCCATTTCAAGACCCAAAACCATTTTGAGGTCTTCTAATTGCCAAAGATATCCCCTAGATTTAAGGTCACTAGTTTGTAGCAATTCTAAGGGGAAAAAAACAAAAGCCAAATCAAGACAGATAACATTAAGCAGTTCACTACATGAAACATAAGATGAAGATGTTGAACATTTAATTTTAGTCAATTTAAATGAAGAGGGGAAAGGAAAAGTATGTAAGATATATTTAGGCCCCTCTTCTTCTAGGAATTTAAAAGTTCTGGGTCTAAGAGATTAGGGCTGTGTAGAGAGAAAATTGAAGCAGCCTCAGCAGAATGGATGGTGGAGAAACCCTCTTTCTTCCCCACGATCTGCTTACCCTGGCAACTGTAATCTAATGAAATGATAGCCCACATACCCTAAATTATAACATGCTTCCCTGGTGCCTCGTTAGCACAGTAGGTAGTGAGTCAGTCCCATCTAACTTGCCTCTTCTTTCCTAATCCCCAGGTACCTCACTGGCACTATATAATCTAATCCCTGAACATAGAAATATATTAATTAAAAAAACCACTTTCAAAGTCAACTTATTGAGAAGTAAGCATCTCTATTCCCTATTTACTTTTCTTTACTGACTTTCCAATAAAAACAATACAGAAACATAAAGAACAAAGTTTTAAAAAATATGACAATAAATTAACATAAATAATACAATTAATTGACAAAATTGCCAAACATTTTCATCATATTTGGAAACAGGAAAGCTTGATTTGGAAAGATGGGCTCTGAAATCAGATCAGCTAACCTGGCATTTTCTGATAGCTCTGCTTGCTTATAATTGAACCAATCTCCAGAAATAGTCTAATAAAACACTCATTAATGCAGGGTAACTGGAGACTTGCTGATACTAAAGCAGAGTTGTTCTAACTTATCTCTGTATTCTGACTTGTCAGTTACAGCTTGTGACTTCTAAAAATAATGAGAAGTACTAGTGACATTTAACAGACACAACTCACTGTTTACTGGGTATCACAAACTGAAAACTTACTACCTGCCCAGAGAAAAATAGCCCATTGGATATTGCTGCACAAATTTAACTCCACTTATTTCATTACAGAAGCAAAAAATATCCCCTAAAATGATGACTCCTTTTCATTGTGCTATATGCCAAAGTAATTATGACTCTGCTTGATTTTTCTCTTCTGAGAAAAAAGTATCTTTATTTGCTTTATACTAATTAGAACTAAGACTTCACATAAAATCAAATAAGTGGGTCTGAGTACTGTAGCTCTTGAAGCATTCCACAAAAAATGTTCATAGGAAATACAGTGTAACTAGTTTTGGGCTGTAGAAAATAATTTACAATTAGTATTTCCAAATTAGTATCCTTTTTTTTTTTTTTTTTTGTGAGATGGAGTGTTGCTTTTGTTGCCCAGGCTGGAGTGCAATGGCGCGATCTCGGCTCACTGCAACCTCCGCCTCCCGGGTTCAAGCAATTCTCCCCCCTCAGCCTCCCTAGTAGCTGGGATTACAGGCACACGCCACCACGCCTGGATAATTTTTTGTATTTTTAGTAGAGATGGGATTTCACTATGTTGGCCAGGCTGGTCTCGAACTCCTGACCTCAGGCAATCCACCCGCCTCAGCCTCCCAAACTGCTGGGATTACAGGCGTGAGCCACCGCGCCCAGGCCAAATTAGTATTATTTTAGTGAAACCCTATAGAAACATTACTTCTTTTGATGAGAGAAACTCACAGTAAGGGCTGAAAGACTCGAAGTAAGATCCTGAAGTATTTCAATAAGGTCTCCAAGTTACAAGTGAGGTATAAGTTGCCCCCTAAAAACAGCATGGAAAGACTGCCAGGGGTACCTGGACATTTAAAGAGTCTCCAGTGAAAAGTCCTGCTTTTTACTACCAATAATCTTGCACTCAACTCTATTATCAGGCATTCGAATGAACCAAATGACTAATAGTATAAACAAATTTGCCTTAGCCTTAGATTGTAACTTTATATTACCTGTTTTGTCTTTGATTATTTCAAAACAGCAGCAAAAACTTGCAATATTTACAAAAAAAGATTGCACATAAAGACTGTAGAGATACATGTCTAGTTTAATGTTTTAAAAGTGCCTCACTTTTACAGTGGCATATGACAATTACAGTCATTTTATAAGGGCTGCTGAAATACAATCAGGAAGCTTATACACACATGCAAAAGTAACTAAAGGCCAGTGGATGAAGGATTGAGCATTAGAGGTGCACTGCATAAAGACTTTCAATAACATTACCTGAGAATTTACAGCATAAAGACTACTGTCATAAGCATTGTGGATTCCTAATACGTAACAGCTAATACTTAGTGAGGGAGGCATATATAAATACCTGCACTGCAGGGCAGATGTTAGTAAGTATTTAAAGTACAAAGTCTAAAAAATTACGGTGAAAGGTAAATGTGATTTTAATTGGAGCGCCTACTTCCTTCTAATTTCTTAGAGATCTGCTTGGAGAAGGCAGAATTTAAGTTGGGAGTTAAATAGGGATATTCTGGAAATAGAAACTGACAAAGCTTAGGAGATGATGGAGGTTGGGAGAGAGAAGCAAATGATTATTATTACACTGTTAGCCTAAGAGATGAGCCAGAGCTGACCCTCAGGCCCATCTCACAGTGGAACCATATCAAGTCTCCCTCTGTCTCACCAGGCATGTAAAAGCTCCCCATTCTATTTCAGAAGTCTCTGCCTAGCCTTAACAGATTTCAACATCCACCTGCCTCACACCAAGCCTTAAGCTAACCCACCACTATGGATTTCCTTCCTTCCTTTCCTTCCTTTCCTCCCTTCCTCCCTCCCTCCCCCCCCCTTTTTTTTTTTTTTTCTCGAGGCGGAGTCTTGCTCTGTCACCCAGGCTGGAGTGCAGTGATGCGATCTCGATCTCGGCTCACTTCAACCTCTGCCTCCCAGGTTCAAGCAATTCTCCTGCCTCAGCCTCCCAAACAGCTGGGATTACAGGCGCCTGCCACCACACCTGGCTAATTTTTGTATTTTTAATAGAGACAGAAGTTTCACCATGTTGGTCAGGCTGTCTCAAACTCCTGACCTCGTGATCTGCCCGCCTTGGCCTCCCAAAGTGCTGGGATTACAGGCATGAGCCATCATGTCCGGCCCCACTATGGATTTCTTATTCCCCTACCTCCCTGTAGATCCAATCTCATTTTATGGATGAGGAGACAGTCTTCAGAGATTAAGTTATTCGTCAGAACTGATGTCAAAGGCCACAATACACTGTCTCCCACAAATGACAACATTCAAGGTAAGCTAATTTTGATTTTAAATGTTGGACATAAACAATGAGAGATTTTCTTTTTAAAAGGGAAATAATTTTGTAAAGGCATTATATTACATAACTTTCAAAAATGCTAGTTTTCTGAAAAAATACTCTTTCCTGAGTATTTTTTTTTTTTTTTTGAGATAGAGTCTTGCTGTCGCCCAGGCTAGAGTGCAGTGGCACAATCTCGACTCACTGCAAGCTCCGCCTCCCAGGTTCAAGCAATTCTCCTGTCTCAGCCTTCCGAGTAGCTGGGACTACAGGCGCCTGCCACCATGCCCAGCTAATTTTTGTATTTTTAGTAGAGACAGGGTTTTACCATATTGGTCAGACTAGTCTCGAACTCCTGACCTCAGGTGATCCACCCACCTCAGCCTCCCAAAGTGCTGGGATTACAGGAGTGAGCCACCGCGCCCAGCATTTCCTGAGTATTTTTTTTTTAACATCCTGCAAGTTGCCTAAAATTTGAGCAAATGTCCCTTCCCATATTTCAACATTTTGTGCATAATGAGAAAAATGACTGAGTCTAAACATAATTTTTTCTCTGCAGCTTGTGATAGCTCAGAATTTGTTCTTTTACGAGTAAGTTAAAGGAAGCAGATTTAACAAAAACCCAAAGTTTTCATATCCAGACCAGGAAAATGAAAATTTAGTCAATGAGTCGAGAAATAACCAAACCAACAAACAACAAAACAAAAAATCCTCACTCCTACAAATAATGATAGCAAATAAATTCACAGCACCTATAAGCAATCTGTAGATATTAACATATTTATTACAGCAACCCTCTGAAATAGGTTGTTATCCCATTTTACTATGTAGAAAAACTGAGGCACCAAGAAGCTAAGCAACTTGCCCAAGGCTACACAGCTAATAATTAACAAAATTAGAATTCAAATTTAGGCAGCCTGGTACTAGACTCTATGCTCTTTACTTCTATGGGTTATTTTGTATTCTGAATGTCTTTACCTAATACAATTACGATACTACACTAGAAAGTGAGAATTTTATTAACAAAGTTGGCCTATGTTTTTATACGCTTTTAAACAGATTTTCCTACAATCAAATGCCTTACTTAGCTACTATGTTATATGGTAAAGCTCCTGATGTCTGCCCTCCTGGGGCTATTATTACTTAGTGACTAGCAACAGTGTTCTTTCCCTTTGTAGGTAGCTGCTGTGAAGCAGAGGCAAATTTTTTTCTCAGGCCAGGAATGGTGGCTCACGCCTATAATCCCAGCACTTTGGGAGGCCGAGGTTGGTGGATCATCGAGGGTCAGGAGTTTGAGACTAGCCTGACCAACATAGTGAAACCCCATCTCTACTAAAAATACAAAATTAGCTGGGCATGGTGGCGCATGCTTTTAATACCAGCTACTTGGGAGGCTGAGGCAGGAGAATCGCTTGAACCCTGGAGGTGGAGGTTGCAATGAGCAAAGATAGTATCATCGCACTCCAGCCTGGGCAATAAGAGTGAAACTCCATCTCAAAAAAAAAAAAAAAAATTTTTTTTCTTGGCCGGGCACGGTGGCTCATGCCTGTAATCCCAGCACTTTGGGAGGCCAAGGCAGGTGGGTTCACCTGAGGTCAGAAGTTCAGGACCAGCCTGGCTAACATGGCGAAATACTGTCTCTAGTGAAAATACAAAAATTATCCAGGGATGGTGGTGCATGCCTATAATCCCAGCTACTTGAGAGGCTGAGGCAGGAGAATCGCTTAAACCTAGGAGGTGGAGGTTGCAGTAAGCCAAGATTGTGCCACTGTACTCCAGCCTGGGTGATAGAGCAAATTCCGCCACCCCTCCCCGCCCAAAAAATTTTTCTCAAGATCATGATTTTTAAGAAGTTTTTTTTGGTGTTTTTTTTTGTTTAGACTGTGTCACTCTGTTGCCCAGGATGGAGTGCAGTGGTACAATCTTGGCTCACTGCAATTTCTGCCTCCCAGGTTCAAAAGATTCTCCTGCCTCAGCCTCCTGAGTAGCTGGGGATTACAAGTGTGTGCCATCATGCCAGGCTACTTTTTTCTTGTATTTTTAGTAGAGATGCGGTTTCATCATGTTGCCCAGGCTGGTCTCGAACTCCTGATCTCAAGTGATCTACTAGCCTTGGCCTCTCAATGTGCTGGGATTACAGGTGTGAGCCACCGCTCCCGGCCTAAGAATGAAACTTGGATGGTCCAGGGCAAAGCATTTGTTCACTGGGAATACAAATGTAGCCCTTGGTTGAAATCTTTCCTTAACTACAATCCTGTGTCAGTAACAATTATGGAAAAAGAAGGAGGAAAGGTGCTAGAATCAACCAGAGGAAAAAATGTGCTGTAGAATATTTCCAAAGAAATGCAATGTTAATAACTTTATGTATACAACAACTCTAAATATTCAACTATTTCCAGTATGAGTTAGCACAAAAAGATATGGAAGCTACAAAGAAAGAAACTGTTTACAGTAGCTGCCCGTTAAGGGTGGGGGTGGGGGAAGAATGGTTAGAAAAAGGACTCCCATTTTTACTTTAGACACTTTTGTATTGCTTATTTTAAAAACACAAATATGCACTAATTTGTAATTAAGATACAAAAAAGAAAAATTACTAAAATGCAATCAGTAAAGGTCTATGTAAAAATTTTAGTAAATTAACTACCAATAATATTAACCTACAAGACATTAAAATAGAACAAAGAAGACTAGAATTACTATAATGAACATCTTTTCACATCATTTTTGCCCAAATTTTTAATCATTTTCTGAAAATACCTTAAGAGAAATTACTGGGTCAAAGTAAATAACAAAGTATGATATATGCATATAAGGAAATATTATATAGCCATTAAAATAATTTTATAAGGAATTTAAAATAAAATATAAAATGCACTGAAAAAGAAAGAGAACTATTTATAGTATCATTCACTCGTCTATCCATTTATCCAGAGAAGGCACAGAAGGAAATTCACTTAAACCTTAACTATCTCTAGGTAGTAGGATTATGGGCGGACTTAATTTTCCTCTTGTATTTTTAAAAAATATTTTCCAAATTTTCTATAATCACATATTTTTATTTTTATTTATTTATTTTTGAGACGGAGTCTTGCTCTATCACTCAGGCTGGAGTGCAATGGCGCAATCTCAGCTCACTACAACCTCCACCTCCCAGGTTCAAGCACTTCTTCCGCCTCAGCCTCCCAAGTAGCTGGGATTACAAGTATGTGCCACCATGCCCAGCTAATTTTTGCATTTTTAGTAGAGATGAGGTTTTGTCATGTTGGCCAGGCTGGTCTCAAACTCCTGACCCCAGGTGATCTGCCCGCCTCAGCCTCCCAAACTGCTGGGATTACAGGCGTGAGCCACTGCACCTAGCCTATAAGCATATATTTTTAATAATAAAATACTTTAAAAGCTGTATGAAAGGGAAATGAATTTTTTATAAGTAAAAATAAATTCTGACAATGAAAATAACAAGAAACATAATTCTGTAAGACAGCACATGTGCTCTCACTAACAATCCTAAATTTCAATTCTAAACTAAACAAAGATTTAATGTCAACTCACAATAAAATTTCCTGATGTTGCTTGTCTTCTTTGTCCTGATTTACAGTTAATCAGATAAGTACCCCTAATAATAGAAATCTCTTGCTCACAGGCCTGTCCTGAGTCTTTTCTTCTGCCTCTACATTCTCAACTCTTTATTCTGTATGCTAATGGTACTCCCAATTATCTATCTCTAGCCAGGTCTGTCTCTTGCACATCAGACCTATTTATTCAACTGCCTATTATTTCTCTCTTTGTGGTGATCCAATAGGTACTTCTGAAATGTTCAAGACTGAATTCATCATCATCTTCCTCAACCCTGTTGCCTTTCCTTCATCACCATCCCCCCACTCAGTTTCCCAATCCAGAAGCCCTGAACTCTACTTCTTTTCCTCCACCCATACTGACTCCATCATGAGGCCCTATTATGCCTCTAAATTTCTCTTAACTTTGTTCACGTCTTTCCATCTCACTATTTTGCTAATTTAGGCTTCTATCACTTCTTTTTTGTTTGTGTTTTTGTTTTGAGACAGGGTCTCACTCGCTCTGTTGCCCGGGCTGAGTGCAGTGGTGCAATCATGGCCCACTGAAGCCCCTATCTTCCGGACTCAAGCAATCCTCCCACCTCAGGCTCCCGAGCAGCTAGGACCAAAGGCATGTGCCACCACGCCCAGCAAATTTTTTCTTTTTTGTAGAGACAGGGTCTCACATGTTGCCCAGGCTGCTCTCAAACTCCTGGGGTCAAGTGATCCTCCTGGCTTAGCCTCCCAAAGTGCTGCAATTATCAGGATAAACAACCATGTCTGGCCTTCTATCACTTCTTATTGCAATAATTGTCCCCAGTTTTGCTCCCTTAATTTTCTAGATTTCTTAAAACCTTAAATGGTCTCCAGTGCTTAGTATAGAGTCCAAACTCTTAAATGTGGCTTATAAGATGCTACATACAAGGCTCTCACTCTTGCTTCCTTCTCCAGCTTTCATTTCCTGTAACTCCCGTAACCCTCTACTCAGCATTATAGCCATCCTAACCTTCACTGAGTTTCTAGCATGTGCCATGTTCTCTTCCCTCTGAGCCTCGGAAGACATGGTTCCTTCAACATGGAACACACAGCTCAGTCTTAAAGTCTGGACATAAATTTAATATTCTTTAGAAAGCCCTCCCCAAATCACCTAGGACTCTTTCCTGAAACCACAAGCACTGGATATCCCATCTATAGTTTTCATGGCACCTGCCGTAACTAATAGGTTTATCACACTTTATTGTTAGTGACTTTATGTCTATTCCTCACTAGACTGTAACTTTCGTTTTTTTTTTTTTTTTTTTTTGAGACGGAGTCTTGCTCTGTCCCCCAGGCTGGAGTGCAGTGGCACGATCTCGGCTCACTGCAAGCTCCGCCTCCCAGGTTCACGCCATTCTCCTGCCTCAGCCTCCCGAGTAGCTGGGACTACAAGGCACCCACCACCACACCCGGCTAATATTTTTTTTGTATTTTTTAGTGGAGATGGAGTTTCACCGTGTTAGCCAGGATGGTCTCGATCTCCTGACCTCGTGATCCTCCCGCCTCAGCCTCCCAAAGTGCTGGGATTACAGGCATGAGCCACCGCGACCGGCTAGACTGTAACTTTCAAGAGGTCATGAGAATAGGCCTCTTTCCAACTTGATCATCTTGTATCACCAATACCAAAAATAGTATCCTCTCATAGAATCACTCATAAACATTTGCTAAATGAAGAAATATAAAACCATTAAAAAATGATGTAGAGTACTTTTTGAGATGTGATTTTTAGATGTTATTAGCATAGTGTATATCATAGGATACACTTTATTTTTAAAAATCTATAAAAAACCTATGTGAGTGTCATCTTCAATAGAAAAGTTAAAAGTTACCTTACTAGTTTAGTCAAGGGCATTAGGATCATAAACTAATTCTATGTATAACAGTATAAGTTGAGACAACAGCTTTGTGATGTAGGCAAGACAGGTATTATTAGCTTAACCAAATCTCAAAGAAATGTTAAGATTTCCTCAAAAGAATTCTAAACCAGTGTTTTTTCAAATCATAGTAGTCTGTAACTTAATGTGTTAACCACCTCTCATTAAGTAACACTATAAATGACATGAAAGACCAAGCACAAGATGGACATGGACTTTGAACTGTTTATCTACTATCAGAGTTTCAGCCACCCATCCAAAGTGTCTCTCTTTTTGTTCACGTGTCAACTGACACAGAAGCATGAGGGTGGATGGAGGAGAGTGGTAGTTGTAATAGGGGAAAGCAGAGCTAACTGCCTCACAAAGTGCCTTCATGAAGGGGTCAGTGCCATGGCCCTGACCTCAATAGGCTAGGGTTTCCCAACTCTTCTTAATTTCAATGCAAACAGACTTTACTGGAATACCAAGAACATTTAGGGGGAAAAAAAAGAAAAGGCTTTAACTTTAATGAAGAAACCACTCAAGCAAAAGAGACCTTGGTATCAAGATTTTCTTTGTTTAGAAATTTTAAAGAAAGCTCAACCTTGATTCACTTAAATCTCAAATGAATGCCCTATCTAGTTTGGTTAGGCCCATTTAGATGCTGAAGAGGACACTTTTTTTTTGAGATGGAGTTTCACTCTTGTTGCCCAGGCTGGAGTGCAATGGCGTAATCTTGGCTCACTGCAACCTCTGCCTCCTGGGTTCAAGTGATTCTCCTGCCTCAGCCTCCCAAGTAGCTGGGATTACAGGCGCCTGCCACAACACCCGGCTAATTTTTTGTATTTTTAGTAGAGACGGGTTTCACCATGTTGGCCAGGCTGGTCTCGAACTCCTGTCCTCAGGTGATCCATCTGCCTCGGCCTCCCAAAGTGCTGGGATTACAGGCGTGAGCCACCGTGCCTGGCCAGAGTACACTTTTTATCTGCAAAACCTTAGGACTCTTACTACAAATAGCTAATGCTTAGTCTCAAAATTAAGTACTTATTTTAAACAACGAATTTTATCTTTCATGAAGTCTGCTTTTGTGTAGGTTTTGAAAATACATGTTGAAATGCTATTTTGTTTTCCCTGATGTCCTCTGCTGTTTTTTTTTTTGTAGTTTTGTCTTGAATCACCAGGCTTTTGGCATTAGATTGCAGGGGAGGTCACAAATGATGATTCAATAGGTGGACAGTGAGTAAGGGGGTATTACAGTACTTTTTGGTACATAAAAGCTTTGCTACATATAGGCTGTTCCCACCCAAAATCAGTCAGTAAATTAAGCCATAAGATAACTTGGTAACCAAAGTATAAGCACATACCTGATAGCTGTTACCTTTCCAGAACTTTTTCATTTCCTTACGTCTCCAGGCAACAACTGAGGCAGTAATAAGTGTGCAAGGTACTAAATAGAGGAGAGCAGGTTGCCCCTTTTTCATCAGCACCAGAACAACAAATGTAAGTATCATGCCAATAGCATAGGCTGCAAGAAGAATACCAAGCTATAAGTCATTTCTACATGTTACCAAAGGTGGGTTTTTTCCTCTGTCATTTATGTACTGGTTTTCAAACATTTCTGAGGATATTTTTGCTCTATGACTTCTTGTAATTTCATCATTTTCCTAGATAGGATTAGGAGACATCTTCTATGGAGCTTTTGAAAAATGTGGAAACTGGTTAGCATTTCAATTATTACTAACCTAACCATGTATCATTGATAAGAGATAATAATTCATGAGAGCTTCAATTATCTGTTGCTATTAAAGATGTTAAATAGTTTCATATTTTAGATAACTAAATCTGTACCAATAGGTAATATAAGTTGTTTAAAAAAAATCTTCCTAACACTGATTACATACTTCCTAAGCTTTGTTAATAAGCACATACTTTTGAACTTTTCTTTTTTTTTTTTTTTTTTCGAAATGGAGTTTTGTTCTTGTTGCCCAGGCTGGAGTGCAATGGCACGATCTCAGCTCACCGCAACCTCTGCCTCCTGGGTTCAAGCAATTCTCCTGCCTCAGCGTCCCAAGTAGCTGGGATTATAGGCATGTGCCACCACGCCTGGCTAATTTTGTATTTTTTAGCAGAGACTGGGTTTCTCCATGTTGGTCAGGCTGGTCTCAAACTCCCGACCTCAGGTGATCCACCCGCTTCAGCCTCCCGAAGTGCTGGGATTATAGGTGTGAGCACCGCGCCCGGCCTGAACTTTTCTTAATGACTCAGGGTTTTACTAGGAACATAGGATCTCAGAATATTCCCTTTATAAACAATTTAGTATAGTTTCTAATTTTAAAGATGAGGCAATGGAGGAACAGGGAGTTTAAGTTGTCCAAAGGTACACAGGAGAATTAATGAACACTCCTATAATCTGCCTTTGGATACTAATATGTTAAAGCCCTGGAGAGTACCATACTTAGTGGCCTCAAACTGCTTTTTTTGAGATGGAGCCTCGCTCAGTTGCCCAGGCTGGAGTGCAGTGGTGCAATCTTGTCTCTTGAACCCACTTCCCAGGTTCAAGCAATTTTCTTGCCTCAGCCTCCCGAGTAGCTGGGAATACAGGTGTGCACCACCATGCCCAGCTACTTTTTGTATTTTTAGTAGAGTTGAGATTTCACCATGTTGGCCAGGCTGGTCTCAAACGCCTGACCTCAAGTGATCCACTTGCCTTGGCCTCCCAAAGTGCTGGGATTACAGGCATGAGCCACCACGTCTGGCCAGCCACTGTGCCCAGCTGAGACTGCTTTTTGAATTTCTTTATACTTTTTTTCTTTTCTTCATCTTCTCCCTCACTTAGCTATTTCTTTTCTTTTTCTTCCTTTCTTTTTTTTTTTGAGACAGGGACTCAATCTTTCGCCCAGGCTATAGTGAAGTGGTACGATCATGACTTACTGCAGCCTTGACCTCTTGGGCTTAAGCGTTTCTCCCATCTCAGCCTCCTGAGTAGCTGGGACCATAGGCATGACCACCACACACAGCTAATACAAAAATAATTTTTTTTTTTTTTTTGAGGCAGAGTCTTGCTCTGTCACCAGGCTGGAGTGCAGTGGGGCAATCTTGGCTCACTGCAACCTCTGCCTCCCAGGTTCAAGTGATTCTCCTGCCTCAGCCTCCCCAGTAGCTGGGACTACAGGTGCGTGCCACCACGCCCAGCTAATTTTTTTTGTATTTTTAGTAGAGACAGGGTTTCATCATGTTGGCCAGGATGGTCTCAATCTCTTGCCCTTATGATCTGCCTGCCTCGGCCTCCCAAAGTGCTGGGCTTACAGGTGTGAGCCACTGTGCCTGGCCCTAAAACTGTTTTTTTAGAGATGGGGTCTCACTATGTTGCCCAGGCTCATCTAGAACTCCTGGGCTCAAGCAATCTGCCTGCCTTGGCCCCCAAAGTGCTAGGACTCCAGGGGTGAACCACCATGCCCAAACTGTACTCCTTCTTTATTTTTAGACCTCTGTCTTTTCCTCCAGACAATACAATTCAACATTTAATACAAAGAAAAACAAAAATTTACCAACTGTAGACGAAACATAGTATATGTAAGAAGAACCAGTCTGAACATCAAATCTTCTACAGTATGCAATCAACAGGCCTTAAAAACAAAACAAAACATTATTTTCTTAAAACAATAACAGCAATGCAAATTCAATTGTTAACAATAGTAAGTATATGTTATATTGAATCTTCATTGTTGCATTATAAGAACATTCAAGTACCTCAAATTCTTGACAAAATTTTATATGCTGATTTTAAAAATACTTAATACCATAGTTTAAACATTTCCTCAAGCTATTAAATAGTTTTTAACTATCATTTTTATCAGCTGCTCAATATTCCATGTCATGAAGAAAACTTTTTTTTTTTTGAGACGGAGTCTCGCTCTGTTGCCCAGGATGGAGTGCAGTGGCGCGATCTCGGTTCACTGCAACCTCTGCCTCCCGGGTTCAAACAATTCCCCTGCCTCAGCCTCCTGAGTAGCTGGGACTACAGGCGCGTGCCACCACACTTGGCTAATTTTTTGTATTTTAGTAGAGATGGGGTTTCATCATGTTGGTCAGGGTGGTCTCGATCTCCTGACCTCGTGATCCACTGGTCTTGGCCTCCCAAAGTCCTGGGATTACAGGCATGAGCCACCAAGCCCAGCCATGAAGAAAACTTTTAAAATTTATCATTAAAAAATATATTGAACAGACAAATGGGTTTACATCAAACTAAAAAGCTTCTGCACAGCCAAGGAAACAGTCAACAAAGTGAAGAAAACACCTGTGAAATGGGAGAAAATATTTGCAAACTATGTATCTGATAAGGGGTTAACACCTAAAATATATTAATATAAGGAACTCAAACAACTCAATAATAAGTAAACAACCCAATTAGAAAATGGGCAAAGGATTTGAGTAGCTAATTCTCAATAGAAGACACATAAATAGCCAACAGGTATATGAAAAAATTGCTCAAAATCACTAATCATCAGAAAAATGCAAATTAAAACCACAATGAGATATCGCCTTACATATGTTAGAATGGCTGTTATTAAAAAGATGAAAAGTAAGCCTTAGAGACGATGTACCAAAAGGGAACCCTGTACATTGCTTATGGGAATGTAAATTAGTGTAGCCATTATGGAAACCAGTATGGTGGTTCTTCAGAAAATTAAAATTAGAACTACCATTAGGTCTAATAATCCCACTACTGGGTATATATCCAAAGGAACTGAAATCAGTATGTCAAAGAGATATTTGCATTCCCATATTCACTGCAGCATTATTCGCAATAGCCAAGATATGGAAGCAACCTAAGTGTCCATCAACAGATGAATGAATAAAAAAATGTGGTACATACACAGACTGGAATACTATTCAGTTGGGTTTTTTTTGTTTTTTTTTGAGACAGAGTCTCACTGTCACCCAGGTCAGAGTGCAGTGGTGTGATCTCAGCTCACTGCAACCTCTGCCTCCTGGGTTCAGGTGATTCTCCTGTCTCAGCCTCCCAAGTAGCTGGGATTATGGGCGTGTGCTAACACACACAGCTAATTTTTGTATTTTTAGTAGAGATGGGGTTTCACCATGTTGGCCAGGCTGGTCTTGAACTCCTGTCCTCAAGTGATCTACCTGCCTCAGTCTCCCAAAGGGCCGGGATTACAGGCATGAGCCGCCAAGCTCGGCTCATGCTTTCATTTGTGAATATGCAATTATGCAGAAACAACTCATTTAATATCTATTTCTTGTAAGAAATTTGTTGAACCTTTTCTTCTTCCCAAAGAAGAAATCTCAGCTTGTCATGTATTGTCAGTACCTCTGCTCTTTGGAGAAATATTTTTGTTTTAGACCTTTGACATTTACTTCAATAATGTAGTATTTATATGCTATTTTTACCAGTTCTATGCCAAGTTCTATATAGAAGATCTTGTATAGCCCTTGGTGTGGAAATGGTAAAATCAGGCATAAGTTTAATGATATTCAAAGAAGTGTAAGGTTACTCAATAGAATGTTTTCCTTATTTTATCAATTATGTGAATCAAGATTCACTGAGCTAACATGTCAACTTGCAAGGCAACGCTGCTAGCTTTTCTCTCTCTACCTGGTTTTACTATGTAAATAGAAGGGCTTTTTCAGAAGCACCAGTACTCCTCACCCATCCACCACAGGCAGTTAGTACATAGGAAGACTAAGAAAAATGAAGAAGGAGCCGGCGCGGTGGCTCACGCCTGTAATCCCAGCACTTTGGGAGGCCGAAGCGGGCAGATCACAAGGTCAGGAGATCGAGACCATCCTGGCTAACACGGTGAAACCCAGTCTTTACTAAAAATACAAAAAAAATTAGCCAGGTGCGGTGGCAGGCGCCTGTAGTCCCAGTTACTCAGGAGGCTGAGGCAGGAGAATGGCGTGAACCTGGGAAGCGGAGGTTGCAGTGAGCTGAGGTCATGCCACTGCGCTCCAGCCTGGGCAACAGAGCAAGACTCCATCTCAAAAAAAAAAAAAGAAAAATGAAGAAGGAAAAACTCAGTTGATAGAGGAATATTATTAATTACTTCTAAACTAAATTATTAATGGGCTTGGATTAAGTTTATTCTACAGACAGAGCAGTGAGGAAAGTAAGGCAAAACTACACTGTCAGAGCAGACATGCTAAGAGATGGTGATCAGTTCCACTATAAACTGTGTCTTTTTGTATTACGCAGTCCTACAAGCTGGTGTTCTTCTATGTTTCTCCTCTTGATCACAGCCTTGCCTAATATTCTTAAACCCCTTTTTCTAAAACATAACTATTATCTTAAAATATAAGTAATATAAACTATTTGTTTGGCATTATTATATTCAACTTCTAAAAAGAGTCACAAATATACTTTCTTGAAGAAGAAGGTTAAACTGATCCTAGTTGCTTTCTCTAACAAACTTTTTGAGCCATGGGAGCTATTGCAGTACTTTAGTTGTTACCATTTGGGCTTTACCTTCTACCCCTCAACAAGCTTTTTTGTTATGACAATCTCAGCTCTAGTGACAGCCAGAAATAGTTAATACAGAGTAGGTAACTTTTAACAGATTCTATACATATGACGATTTAAAATCATCAGTGTTTTTTTTTTTAACTAAAATTGTTACAATTGCTTACCTGGTACAATAATGTCTCCAAAACCCAATATTGAAACAGGCATGAGGCACACACTCATTACTGAGAAATAGATCAGTTTTGGTACTCTGATGACTACTGGCAACTGTTCAAAAACAAAACAAAACAAAACAAAACAAAACAAAAAACAAAACAGAGGCCGCCAATGAACTTCTTGGCAATCTTTACTCATATCTTTTATTTACTAATTTATTTTTTGGAGACAGAGTCTCGCTCTGTCGCCCAAGTGGAGTGCAGTGGCGTGATCTCAGCTCACTGCAACTGCAACTGCAACCTCCGCCTCCCAGGTTCAAGCAATTCTCCTGCCTCAGCCTCCCAAGTAGCTGGGATTACAGGCATGAGCCACCATGCCTGGCTAATTTTTCTGTTTTTAGTAGAGACAGGGTTTCACCATGTTGGCCAGGCTGGTCTCAAACTCCTGACCTCAGGTGATCTGCCTGCCTCAGCCTCCCAAAGTGCTGGTATTACAGGCATGAGCCACCGTGCCTGGCCACCCATATCTTCTAGAAATGGAATGATTAACATTAGAATAGTTCTTTTGACAGTTTAAAGGAACTTGAAATACTCTGTTTCTATCTATTTCCAAAAGAAAAAGATTAGTTTTGAAAAAAATGCTCAACACACATGTAGGATTAACAGTATTAACCAAGTATCCCCACATTTAACCTTTTTTTTTTCTCTTTACCAAGGATAGAACTCAGGCCTTGAAACATAGAAAACAGAACAGGCCTAATTTTTTTTGGCAATCTGGATTTTTTTTTCCCCCAAAGAAGAGTCTTGTCTCAGAGGGTATGATTTAAAGTCCAATGAACATATCTAAAATACAATCCTTACTTTCTCATGGGGAGCTGAGGGTTGACCAGTGGCTTCCACCAAGTTTCCATCATTCTAGGATGAAACCCAAGTCAATAGGTATTTAATAATTTAGAATAACTAAGAAAAGAGCTATATTTTCTGAGAAATAAGTTTTACAATACCTTAACATGCACTATGTGGCCAGTGAATTACACAGGAAGGCAAATTATTAACCGGATACACATACATACACTGGATAGCCATTTCTATTTCATTGCCATCCCTACCTTTTCATTATTTCCAAAAGGTCCAGCTGCGAGTTCAACCATGATACTCTCACCATTCTAAAATTGAGAAGGAAAAGAAGTTGTCTAATCATTTAAAGAGAACAATCTGCCACTATTCAAGTGTGATTTAAGCCCCATGGCATATGGCCAGTTACACTGATTGAAAATGGGCTGCAGACTGCTTTTTTCCTAAAGTCTTTGTAGATTGCAAAAACTGAAGTCATCTAAAACAAAGTCCACCTAGTACAGTTGCTCCACTTTATCAGAGCTCAATAATTCTCAGAAATTGGCAAATGAATCATGTAAAAATAATTCAAGTGAACCCTCAGTTCTGATTTGTAATGACATATTCATATCTGACATTTGTAATGGGTTAAAAATTTTAGGTACAGTACTTTTAGTTACATTATGCCTTATACTATATGTTCTTAGCAGTTTTCAGTAATGTCAGTGAAGAAGATCATACTAAAATCTTTTACACTTAGCTTTGTAAAAAATATTGGTAACTTTATTTGAATAAATATACATCTGACCTTCTGGCTACTCACCACAATAACAAAACAATGAAACCAAACTCGAAAAGACCCAACCCTATAGAATCTGAGAAGCTTCTCTAGCCTAACTCTCATCCAATTTCAGCCCTGCCTGCTTTCTATGATCCAATCAAAACATTAACCTTAGCTAAATTTCCCTCCCTTGTGCCTGGATAAAGTCTTTTTATGTGGGTTGTGTGAGGGGTTCATTTAAAAATTTTTTCCTGATAGCCAAGTCTGTTGTGGAGAGGGAAAACATTGTGAGGCAGCAAGCTAAGACTGCATGAACCACTCATTTTATCATTCGTATTATTGTAGTGTATCAGCAAAGCAGGTACAGGGAAGATAAACAAATGCTGAATTTCAGGAAAATTTGATTGACTAACTATAATATTTTCCATGTGGGTGGGGTGCACAGGAGAAACCACTTGAGTGTTTTTAAAAGGACCTCACTGATTCCTGAGCTGAGCAGAAAGGAGGATAAAACCCGTAGCTGCAGAAATCTTCTGCGCATGTTAAGCTTTGGGTTACAGAGGGGTTAAGTCAAAGGAGTTTAGGAAAATAAACTAATACTAAGTACAGTTCCTTAAAGCAGATTCCCAGGTTGTGATAACATTTCCAGATAAAGAGTTCATTTTGGTTCACTTTCTAATTGTTATGTAAAACATTTAACTGAAGACCATCATTGACATCCTCCCATACATTTAAAGATACCCGAGTAACTACTACTTCTAAGACACAATACTGAGCACAGTGGTGGACGGAAAAAAATGAACAAGACAGGCTCTTATTGCTGTACTCTTATGGTGACCTGCCTTGCCAACTCACTAGAAGGCCACTAATACTTGGGTCAAGAACATGTTTAGAATATGCAATATTTAATCCTTCAAATTTACAGTGAAAACCAGGAAAATCAGCAATCTGATTTTTGAGTTACCTACTAAACTAAGGCCTGCTGCCTTAATAAAAACAAACAAATCAGACTCAGAAGAAGGTATTAAAGTAAATCTACAGCAGTGAACTCCAAAGAGCGAGCACTTAGCTTTTTCCACCACATTAGGTTGCTAGAAATCATGTTCCTAGTCAGTAGGAACTAAGATAGAAATAGGAAGACGAAAAATTTCTTAAGCACAAAAGAAAGAAGGCTAAAAGACACCTTTATTTTCATCCTATACCTTTAAAATTCTGAAACATTCTATGTATATGGAATGCAAACAGTTTGCTGGGGCAGATATGTTTATTCACAAAGTGAAGAGTAGTGTCAGAATGGAAAAGTTATTTTAAAAAACAGTTTAGTTACAGTTTACAGCTGTATCTACTGTGTAATATATGTGTCATATGTTATGGATTATCTGTTGATTTATGGAAATGGCTTTGTAGAGGGAACATTTCACTTTTGCTATGAGATCTCTCATGGGGTATCCTACAAAAACACACTTTTGAACCAAGTTAAAAATACCCTAATAAATTAACAATTTTATTTTTTATCTTTATTTTTATTTATTTTTGAGACGGAGTCTCACTCTGTTGCCCAGGCTGGAGTGCAGTGACACGATCTCGGATCACTGCAAGCTCTGCCTCCTGGGTTCACGCCATTCTCCTGCCTCAGCCACCCAAGTAGCTGGGACTACAGGTGCCCGCCACCATGCCCGGCTAATTTTTTTCTATTTTTTTAGTAGAGACGGGGTTTCACCATGTTAGCCAGGATGGTCTCAATCTCCTGACCTCGTGATCCGCCCACCTTGGCCTCCCGAAGTGCTGGGATTACAGGCGTGAACCACTGCGCTCGGCCAACAATTTCTTTTTTTGAAACGGAGTCTCACTCTGTTGCCCAGGCTGGAGTGCAGTGGCACGATCTCGGCTCACTGTAACCTCCGCTCCTGGCTTCAAGCGATCTTCCCACCTCAGTCTCCCGAGTAGCTGGGACTACAGGCGTGCACCACCACACCTGGCTGATTATTGTATTTTTTTTTTTTTTTGAGATGGAGTCTCGCTCTGTTGCCCGGCTGGAGTGCAGTGGCGCAATCTTGGCTCACTGCAACCTCCACCTTGTGGGTTCAAGCGATTCTCCTGCCTCAGCCCTCCAAGTAGCTGGGATTACAGGCGCCCACCACTGTGCCTGGCAAATTTTTGTATTTTTAGTAGAGATGGGGTTTCACTATGTTGGCCAGGCTGGTCTCAAACTCCTGACCTCAAGTGATCCACCCGCCTTGGCCTCCCAAAGTGCTGGGATTACAGGCGTGAGCCACCGCACCCGGCCTCTTAATTATTGTATTTTTAGTAGAGATACAGTTTTACCATGTTGGCCAGGCTGGTCTCGAACTCCTGACCTCAAGTGATCTGCCTGCCTTGGCCTCCCAAAGTGTTGGGATTATAGGCATTAGCCACCGCACCTGGCCAAATTAACAAGTTTAGTTATAACCCATAATACTAGTTCTATGAATTTTTCTTTTTTTAGGTTACTATTGTTCAGTGAAGTCAATGAATCAAATGGCTCATCATTAAGTGACAGAAAGGTGCTAGTAAAATGGTTTGGTTAGGCCAGGCATATGCCAGCTGACCCATATGCCAGCTTGGGCAATATGGTAAAACCCCATCTCTACAAAAAATACAAAAATTGGCTGGGTATAATGGCGTGTCCCTGTAGTACCAGCTATTTGGGAAGCTGAGGTGGTAGGATCACCTGGGCCTCAGGAGGTTAAGGCTGCAGTAAGTCATAATTGAGCCACTGAACTCCAGCTTGGGCGGCAGACCGAGACCCAGTCTCAAAGAAGAGGAAAAAACCAAAAAAAAGGTTTGTGTCTCAAAGAAGAGGAAAAAAAAAAGTTTGGTTGGTTAGCTGTATTTTGGGACAGTTAATTATATTTGTTACCTATTACAATTTTAGCTCCCCAATAGGGTACAGTTTGTCTTTATGCCATTATAGCAAATATCAGAAGTGTAGATTTTTACAGTGATTTCACAGATGATAGGTTTAATGAATGGGTAAAGAAGAAATGAGGCCAAGCACTATGGCTCATGCCTGTAATCCCAATACTCTGGGAGGCCAACGTGGGAGGACTCCTGGGCTTGAGCCCAGGAGTTTGAGGCTGCAGTGAACTAGGACTGTGCCATTGCACTTCAGCCTCAAGACTCGGCCTTTTAAAAAAAAAGAAGGAATGATAAATAAAGTAGAGAATATCAAATACTTAAATATATGAGTGACAAAGGATAAATGGATAATATAAAGTTACAAAGCAAGACTCAAAATGGGAGAAAGTAGGGGAATTAAGCAATAATTAATATTATATTCATGAGACAGGAAAAGGATCAAGGTAGAAAAGCTTGACAAATAATTAAGGACCACCATACTCACCCAACACCTCTCCTCATTTTACTGAAGAGCTAGCGGCAGATCTGGGAATATATGACCTAGGAGCTGCCAGTTGCTCAGATTCTAACTTCATGGAAAAAGCCAGTCTGAGAGAATGAACAAATGGACAGAAGCAAAAAGGGAGAGTATGTGGCCCTGAGTCTAGTTTCTCTTGACGCCAGTCCCACACTGGCCTACAAACACAGCCTAGATAAATGGGACCTTTTTGGTACAGAAGGCTTCGGTTGGGTTCTGTTAGTTGGAACCAAAAGAATTCCACTGATGGAGGTGGAAGATGAATAGCTAGCAGTACTCCCTCATTCAACGCGTTAGTAAATGCAAGCAGAAAGGGCTAAGTAACTTGCCTATGGTTGCAAGGTTACAGAGCTACATTCTAGGCCTTCCGATTTCCAGCGTGCTGCTCTTTCTTAGTCTCAAACTAGGGCTTCAGAAATGATATTTTATTTTTTTTATTGTCTATATTGCCTACAGTAAACATTTAGCTCATAAGAAAAAATACTTTAAAAAGGGAAGAAAAGTACAGATATTCTCATATTTATATCAGTCAAGAGACATTTTAAAATCTAACAAAATGGATTAAAAGCTTGAAAGTTAAAAGGCCAATTTCAATGACAGTTCTTTTAAGAGAATTAGAATTCACTCAGTGGTAAACATCTGCAAAATTAATAATCTAGGAGCAGATTTAAGATGATCATTTTTTAGCATGTTTCTTCACCCATTTCAAAAATATGGTCATACCTTTGTGATGAATGGTGTTATGAAAACAAAAAATACATCATAGAGGAGGAGAAGGCCTAGAAGTATCACACATGACTGTCAAAGAAAGAAACAAAATTAAAGGTCAATCTTCCTAAATGTAAATGAAGGCATTAAATTGTTTTTCAAGTGCAAATAAATATATGAATATACATTTAAATATTACTTTTAAAAAGATATCTTATGGTTAATACTATGTATAGTTTTATTCTACATATTAAAACCCTTATCTTCTTTATCTTATTTTTTTAAAAAAAATCACCGAACCAAAGAAATGTGCTGGGTTGGGCCTGGTGGCTCACGCCTGTAATCCCAGCACTTTGGGAGACTGAGGCGGGGCGGATCACGAGGTCAAGAGTTCGAGACCAGCCTGGCCAACATGGTGAAACCCCGTCTCTACTAAGACTACAAAAATTAGCCGGGCATGGTGGCACGTGCCTATAAACCCAGCTACTCAGGAGGCTGAGGCAGGAGAATCACTTGAACCCAGGAGGCAGAGGTTGCAGTGAGCTGAGATCGTGCCACTGCACTCCAGCCTCGGTGACAGAGTGAAACTCTGTCTTGGAAAAAAAAAAAGAAGAAATGTGCTTCCCTGATATTTGGTCATGTTAAAGATTTTATGAATTTGGCATATTATATGAATGATTAAAAATATTTTAGGCAGGCTGGGCACAGTGGCTCATGCCCGTAATCCCAGCACTTTGGGAGGCCCAGGTGGGCAGATCATTTGAGGTCAGGAGTTCAAAACCAGCCTGGCCAACATGGTGAAACGCTGTCTCTACTAAAAATACAAAAATTAGCAGGGCTTGGTGGTAGGTGCCTGTAATCCCAGCTACTTGGGAGGCTGAGACAGGAGAATCACTTGAGCTCAGAAGGCGGAGGCTGCAGTGAGCCGAGATCACACCACTGCACTCCAGCCTGGGAGACTGAATGAGACTCCATCTCAAAAAAAAAAAAAAAACCAAATAAATAAAAAAAAAAATATTTTAGGCAGGGTGCAGTGGCTCATGCCTGTAATCCCAGCACTTTGGGAGGCCAAATCAGAAGGACTGCTTGTGGCCAGAAGTTTAAGAACAGCTTGGGTAGCACAGCAAGACCCCTATCTCTACAAAACCAAACAAACAAAATTTAGCTAAAATAAAGTGTACACATGGATAAGAGTGAGGAATAACAGGCACTGGGATACTCGGCATGGTGGAAGAGTTAGAAGGGGTGAGGGATGAGAAATTACTTAATGGGGACAAAACACATTAGTCGAGTGATGGTTATACTATAAGCCTCATCACTACCCAACATATCCATGTAATAAAACTACACTTGAACCCCTTAAATTTATACAAATAAAAGAAAGAAAAAAAAACAATAGTTTAGCTAGCAAATCAGTGGTTGTCTGGGCCTGGGGGTTAAGGACTGATTGCAAAGGCCATGGTAGAGCTTTTGGAAGAGATGAGAAATGTTCTACAACTTCACTGGGATAGTGGTTATAAAGTTACACATTCATAAAATTTTCATAAACAGTACGCCAAAAATTGGCGCATTTAATTGTAGGTAAATTATGCCTTAATAAAGTTGTCTTTTAAAAATTTATTTTAACTAGCAAAGTAGTATTGTATACATTACCTTGAAGTTGGGCAACTTCAGTGTTTTAATTAAATTCAGACAGAAAGCAATCCCCAAGATATCCTGTAAAATCCAAGCCCACCTAAAATCAAAAAATATTACTCTATTGCTTTATCAATGTTTAGATGAAGCCTTTCAAAAGACATAGATCACTGAGGTAATATCATTTAATTGCTATGATTTGACTATTCCTTTTTTTTTTTTAAGACAGATTCTCACTCTGTCACCCAGGCTGGAGTGCAGTGGCATGATCTCGGCTAACTGCAACCTTCACCTCCTGGGTTCAAGTGATTTTCATGTCTCAGCTTCCCAAGTAGCTGGGACTAAAGGCATGCACACCACCATGCCTGGCTGATTTCTGACTATTCAATTATTAAACAGCAAGCATAACAACAAAACCCCTCATATACTCTATATTTGGTAATTTTACTGTCCTAGTAGAATAATGAATATTATTACACTAAGAAAAAGTTGAAAAGGCTACCTCAGAAGAACATATATCAGACATAAGTGCATTAACACGTCTCGCTCTAGAAAACAGCTGTTAACAAAATACCAGTGTTAACACAGATCCAAATAGCTTGAACATAAAGAAAACAAGAGCTATGCAACTTACTCCATCAGAAATTGACATAAGTAATTATCCATTGATTATCCTACCTGAAGCTGCATAAAGCTGTATGAGCTTTGTTTCCCAAATTTTAGGCCATTAAATCCTTTCAGTCCTCAATAATTTTATTAATAAACCATTAATATAAACCTAAGTATATATTTTTTCTGGTTATCTTCCTACAAATGAACAGATATCTGTATATTTTCTTATATCCCCCTCTTTCTTGCATAAAAGACAGCATACTCTATATATTTTTTTGCACTTTGCTTTTTTCACTTAAAAAAATACAAATATCAAATCAAAGTGGATTAAAGACTTAAATCTAAGACCTGAAACTATGATGCTACTTGATGAAAACATTGGGGAAATGCTCCAGGACATTGGTCTTGGCAAAGATTTCTTGAGTAAGACTTGAAAAGCACAGACAACGAAAGCAAAAATGGACAAATGGAATCACATCAAGCTAAAAGGTTTTGCATGGCAAAGGAAAAATCAAGAAAGTGAAGAAACAACCCACAGAATGAAAGAAAATATCTGCAAACTACCCATCTGACAAGCAATTAATAACCAGAATATGTAAGGAGCTCAAACAACTCAATAGAAAAAAAAAAGTAATCCAATTAAAAATTGGGCAAAATATCTGAATAGACATTTCTCCAAAGACATAAAAATAACCAACAGATATATGAAAAAATGCTCAACATCTCCAATCAGATGAAATCTGATTGCAATTAGAGAAATGTAAATCAAAACTACAATGAGATATCATCTCATCCCAGAATGCTGGCAAGGATGTGGGAAAAGGGGAAACCTTGTACACTGTTGGTGGGAATGTAAATTACCACAGCCACTATGAAGAACAGTATGGAAATTCCTCAAAAAAACTAAAAACAGAATTACCATATGATCCAGCAATCCCGCCATTGGATATACATGCAAAAGAAAGGAACTCAGTATATCAAAGAGATACCTGAACTCTCATGTTTATTGCAGCACTATTCGCCATAGCCAAGATATGGAATCAACCTAAGTGTCCACCAGTGGATAAAGGAAATATTATACACACTCATATATATATAATTTTACAAATACACACAATGGAATATTATTCAGCCATAAAAAATAATGAAGTCTTGTCATTTGCAAAGACATGGATGGAACTGAAGACATCATGTTAAGTGAAATAAGCCAAGCACGGAAAGACAAATATTGCATGTTCTCACTCATCGTGGGAGCTAAAATTAAGAAAATAAAAATAAAAAATGGAACTCATGGAGATAGTAGAATGATGGTTACCAGAGGCTAAAAAAAGGTAGAGAGTGGGGGTGATAAAGTGAAGATGGTTAATGGGTGCAAAAATATAGCTAAATAAAATAAATAAGATCTAGTGTTTGGTAGCACAATAAGGTGATACAGTTAATAACTTATTGTATATTGTAAAAATAACTAAAAGAGTGAAATTGGAATGTTCCCAACACAAAGAAATGACAAAGGCTTGAGGTGATGGATACCACTATTACTCTGATGTGATCATTCACATTGAATGCCTGTATCAAAACACCACATGTATCCCGTAAATATATATAGTCATTATGTTCCCATAATAATTAAAAATAAAACTTTTTAAAAAGTATAGACTGTGCTCCTTTTTGTACTTTATATATCATAGAGTATATTCTCTCTCTCTCTTTTCTTTTTTTGTTTTTTTGAGACGGAGTTGCACTCTTATTCCCCAGGCTGGAGTGCAATAGTGTGATCTCAGCTCACTGCAACCTCTGCCTTGGGTTCAAGTGATTCTCTTGCCTCAGCCTCCTGAGTAGCTGGGATTACAGGCGCATGCCACCATGCCCGGCTAATTCTGTATTTTTAAGTAGAGACGAGGCTTCTCCATGTTGGTCAGGGTGGTCTCGAACTCCTGACCACAGGTGATCTGCCCACCTCAAGCCTCCAAAAGTGCTGGGATTACAGGTATGAGCCACCATGCCCGGCAAGTATGTTCTCTTTTGTATCTGACTACTTTCACTTGGCATTACGTTTGAGATTCATTCACGCCTCTGCATGTGGTATATGGCTTACTTATTGGTGAACAGTATTCCATTGTGTAAATATAACGTAATGTATTCACCCATTCAAAGTTTGATGGACATTTTGATTGTTTCTGCACTCTCTCTCTCTTTCTCTCTCTCCTGGAACTCCCTGCATATCAATTCATAGAGATCTTCATTGTTTAGAGCTGCACTGCACTCAACTGTGTGGCTATACCAAAATTAAGTGTGTGTATATATACACACACACACATACATATATACACACACACACATATATACATACACACACACACACACACACACATATTTTTTTGAGATAGAGTTTCACTCTTGTTGCCCAGGCTGGAGTGCAATGGCGCGATCTTGGCTCACTGCAACCTCCGCTCACTGCAACCTCCGCCTCCCGGGTTCAAGCGATTCTCCTGCCTCAGCCTCCCGAGTAGCTGGGATTACAGGCATGCACTACCACGCCTGGCTAATTTTTTGTATTTTTAGTAGAGACGGGGTTTCTCCATGTTGGTCAGGCTGGTCTCAAACTCCCGACCTCAGGTGATCCGCCTGCCTCGGCCTCCCAAAGTGCTGGGATTACAGGCGTGAAATTAAGTATATTTTTAAAGTCTATTTCAGTGTATGTGTTAAAATCATAATTCATATTTCCTTCTCTATATGAGTTCAAATGCATTAACATAAGATCTGCTTATTTAAGAAGTAGTTCATTACAAGACTGGTGTTCTGGCATAGAAGCAAAAAAATTCCATAATAATCATAATAAGTATCAGGGCAAGATAGGAAACAATTCATCCTTAATCTAAAAGCAAATACATTGAGTATTCATACCTGTCTTCATTTCGAAACACAGCCCAAACAACAGCTACTGCTATGCACAGTCCAGAGAGAAAAATAAGTCTCACTTCCATGTTTTTGCCACGACATGCAATCCTAAAAAACAGATTAAAATAGTTAACACTGCAGATGAAGTACAATGTTCACTTGATATAAGAAGTAGCAAATATTAACCACAGTCATAAGAAGTGACTGAAATATCAATTTTGAAAGTCTTGATTTTAAGTAAAACAAATGAGACGTAATAAAATGTTTATCAGTCCAATATAATTTTCTGTGATGATGAATAATGTACTATATCTGTGCTGTCCAATATAGTAGCTACTAGTCATATGTGGCTATTGAGCACTTGAAATGTGGCTAATAAGAATGAAAAACTCAATTTTTAATTTTATTTAATTTTACTTAAATTTAAATTTAAACACCTGTAGGTCCAATGTATATTGGACTATATAGGTTTCAAATAATACTCCTACTTTTGTATTGTTTCAAATTATAAACACCAACATTATAAGATTTCCTGTAAGAGATACGTACGTGCATTGTCCATATGGTATCTTATGAATTAGTGCAGCAAGACAGTTGTACAGACTCATTGCTGATGCTATGCAGAAAATTGCTATCATAACATAAACTGAAAAAAACAAAACACTAAATTACATGAGAACAGAAGGAAAGGTGATAAGAAAATATTTATACAAGCAATATTAATTCTTTACTTTCTTTATTGAATCATACTTCCAATGAAGTGACTATACGATGACCTGAATTACTTACTAAGCTGAAATTTAGATCGTGAGGTTTTTTGTTTTTTTTTCTGAGAGTCTCACTCTGTCGCCCAGTCGCCCAGGCTGGAATGCAGTGGTGTAATCTCGGCTCTCACTGCAATCTTTACCTCCTGGGCTCAAGTGATTCTCATGCCTTAGCCTCCTGAATAGCTGGGATTACAGGCATGCGCCACCATACCCAGCCAATTTTTGTAGTTTTAGTAGACGGGGTTTTGTCATGTTGGCCAGGCTGGTCTCAAAGTCCCGACCTCAGGTGATATGCCTGCCTTGGCCTCCAAAAGTGCTGGGATTACAGCAGTGAGCCACTGCACCCAGCTGTCTTCTTTTTAAATAGCGATGAATTTAAGGAAATCTCTTACCAAAAACTAAAATATGCTTTCAGGTAAAGTAGAGGGCTCTCTTTTTTCTATCAATGACTACTATAAACTAAGAGTTGATAACAGAAATTAATCTGAAGGAGTATTAAATTAATAAAATCACCTGTTTGATGCCAACATAATACAAATATCATTTTAGTACTCGCTCTCTCAACAACAGTTTAAAATGAGTGATATTAACAAAATGAGTTTTTTTTTTGAGATGGAGTCTCACTGTGTCACCCAGGCTGGAGTGCAATGGGGCAATCTTGGCTCACCGCAACCTCCGCCTCCCAGGCTTAAGCGACTCTCCTGCCTCAGCCCCTTGAGGAGCTGGAACTACGGGCACGCACCACCATGCCCAGCTAATTTTTGTATTTTTAGTAGAGACAGGGTTTCACTATGTTGGCCAGGCTGCTCTTGAACCCCTGACCTCAAGTGATCCACTTACTTTGGCCTCCCAAAGTGCTGGGATTACAGGCGAGAGCCACCGCATCTGGCCAGAATGACTTAATTTTAATTAAAAAATACATGTCATAAGCTGGGTACAGTGGCTCACACCTGTAATCCCAACACTATAGGAGGCCGAGGCAGGTGGATCTCCTGAGGTCAAGACTTTGAGATCAGCCTGGCCAACATGGTGAAACCCTGTTTCTACTAAAAATACAAAAATTAGCTGGGGGTGGTGCCAGATGCCTGTAATCCCAACTACTTGGGAAGCTGAGGCAAGAGAATCGCTCCATCTCAAATAAATAAATAAATACAAATAATAAAAGTACAAATATTAGCTGGGCATGGTGGGATGTGCCTGTAGTCCCAGCTACTTGGGAGGCTGAGGCAGGAGAATCGCTTGAATGCGAGAGGCAGAGGTTGCAGTGAACCCAGATTGTGCCACTGCACTCCAGCCTGGGTGACAGAGCAGAGCAGAGCAAGACTGTCTCAAAAAAAAAGATATCATAGGTCTAGTTTTTAAACTGCTGTCACAGGACAAGAGAAACTGAACAAAAACTGAATGAGGCTGGGTGCGGTAACTCACGCCTGTAATCCTAGCACTTTGGGAGGCCAAGGCAGGTGGATCACTTGAGGTCAGGAGTTCGAGACCAGCCTGGTCAACATAGTGAAATCCCGTCTGTACTAACAATACAAAAATTAGTCGGGCACAGTGGCGCACACCTGTAATCCCAGCTACTCAGGAGACTGAGGCAGGAGACTCACTTGAACCTGGGAGGTGGAGGTTGCAGTGAGCCAAGACTGCGCCACTGCACTCCAGCCTGGGCGACAGAGCAAGACTCTGTTTCCAAAAAAAAAAAAAAAGCTGAATGAAACAAATCCTAGGCCCTAGTTTTCTAGTCCAGAAATTTATGCTAATGCTATACACATAAGCATGGTAGCCTTTGGTGGTTCTTAAAAGGGCTTTTTGCTAGTTCTTATCAGGTACACTCCTTTTACCCTGGTCTCCCTTCTCTTTGTGCTGTATACTGTCCAGGGATGGCAAATTTCCATTCTATTAAGCCATTAATAAGACTGTTCAGGAGATGGACAAGCCATTATAGTTCCTGCTCCCACTTTCTTCAAGGAAAAAAAGAACTAGTTACTTTCTAGACCACAGGGAAGTACCTGTGTGTCTTCAGATATATGATCCTAACTGTTTATATAAGTAACATAAAATTCAAGCAATAAAACATCTTGATTTGCAAATTGACAAAAGATAAACTACACTTGGGAGTAAGTAGAGGCAATACATCAGTAATTTGAATAATCTTCTATTTCATGTAACTAAATATAGCCACCAAGAACTCCTTAATCCACTGCTTAGATACTGAGCTATATCATTCATCTACAGAGAGGAAAACTTAGGGACCATGGCAATTATTTCAAGTCATCCATGAAGAAGTGTTCTTATCTGAAAACATAACGTACTTTTTTTTTTTTTTTTTTTTTTTTTAAGACGGAGTTTCGCTCTTGTTGCCCAGGCTGGAGTGCAATGGCGCAATGTCGGCTCACTGCAAACTCCACCTCCCAGGTTCGAGCGATTCTCCTGACTCAGCCTCTCAAGTAGTTGGGATTACAGGCACGTGCCACCACACCCAGCTAATTTCTGTATTTTCAGTATAGATGGAGTTTCTCCATGTTGGTCAGGCTGGTCTCAAACTCCCAACCTCAGGTGATCTGTCCACTTTGGCCTCCCAAAGTGCTGGGATTACAGGTGTGAGTCACTGCTCCTGGCACATATTGTATTTTTAATCTGAATATTTTTATCTCAGAGTAACAGAGACCTAACACTCTGATAATTAAAAAAAAATTAATATTAACCAAATTATTCACATACGTTTTCCAGGTAGAATGGCTTAAAGGAAAAGATAAATCTAGTAATAGTCAGTGAAAAGAATGTATGTTAACAGTAGCAAACATAAAATATGACTTCTTACCCAACCATTTGTAGAAGAAATAAAGTAAGACCATCATAACACAGCAGATGACCACAAATATTACAACTGTAAGAGGACTAAAAGTTAAATATTCTTCCTTCTTTTTCCTCATTTCTCTATCTTCAGTTGTCACTGCTTTCAAGTTTTCCCTGTACAAACACACAGGAACTTTAGCAAATCTTAGCCAAGTACAGTTATTTAAAAAATTTATCTCTAACACCAATTTAAATCTGTTTCTGAAGAAAACAATGTATTTTTATTTATTAAAATATTTTTATTTTATTATTTTTCTAAGCTATCTTGTTATAGCAAGTAATGTACTTTTTAAAAACTGTACCCTACAAAGAAATATTTAATCTAGAAAGTAAAAACCTCTTAAATGCTACTCTCCAGAGATGATCTGTTTTCAACCACTAACTTTTGAAACATTTTTTTCTGCAGGCAAAATTGTTGAAAGAGATGACGTTGGCCGAGCATGATGGCTCATGCCTGTAATCCCAGCACTTTGGGAGGCTGAGGCGGGCGGATCATGAGGTCAGGAGTTCGAGACCAGCCTAACCAACATGGTGAAACTCTGTCTCTACTAAAAATACAAAAATTAGCCGGGTGTGGTGGTGTGTGCCTGTAATCTCAGCTACTTGGGAGGCTGAGGCGGGAGGATTGCTTGAACCCGGGAGGCGGAGGTTGTGGTGACCTGAGATCGTGCCATTGCACTCCAGCCTGGGCAACAAGAGCGAAACTCCGTCTCAAAAAAAAAAAAAAAAAAGAAAAAAAAAAGAGATGACATCTATTATATAAACAAATTAATACTTGTGGATGTTTATATTACCTAATTTGAAAATTATATTGACATAATAAATTTCAAACTAAAACCAATGCTTCTTACAAACTTACTATTATCAACTTACAGATAGTAAAGTACTTCTAAAAATTAGCTTCTCTGTTTTTTGAGACAGAGTCTTGCTCTGTTGCCGAGGCTGGAGTGCAGTGGCGCGATCTCTGCTCACTGAAACCTCTGCCTCCCAGGTTCAAGCAATTCTCCTGCCTCAGCCTCCCAAGTAGCTGGGACTACAGGCACATGCGGTTAGGCCCGGCTAATTTTTTGTATTTTAGTAGAGACGGGGTTTCACCATGTTGCCCTGGCTGGTCTCGAACTGAGCTCAGGCAAACCACCCACCTCAGCCTCCCAAAATGCTGGGATTACAGGTGTGAGCCACCGCACCCAGCCGCTTCTCTTAAATGTAAACGCTAAATTCTCCTCTCAATCAACTTAGCATTTACTATATGCCTAGTCTATGCTCATCAATGTATTATAAAGGACTCAAAAGAAATTCAAGGCATAACTTTGTCCTACCTTTATTTAAGATAACGAAATATTGTATCAACCCTTGCTAGGCCACAGAGCTAATAATAGAGACAGAAGTCGAGGAGGAAAAGAACTGCAACTGTTGTTTGTTGGGCAATCTCTCTTGTCGACCTTACTACTGTCTCCTCCTAGTTATATGCAACCTATGACACATTATTAATACTACTTCTGAATACTTTTCAACAACTCTGTTCTAAACTCTGCTCCCTCCTGGGCAAATCCTGGCCCTGCTTGTTAGGTCTGGGCTCAATATAAAATTTAGGTTAAAAAAGTTTATTTATTTTAATATATTTTTAAAAATTAATTTTAAAAATAAAAAAAAAAAAAAGAGTAGATTGCCTGGGAAAAGAGGAGGGAGAGAGTTGATGGAGACATGCTAGCACCTCCCCCTGAAACTCCAGAGCTGAATGACAGGGTATTAAATAAATTTCTACAAATGTGGTACCTGAGTGTAAAAAGGTGCTAATTATGATATCTGTCACTACAGAAATACATTTAAAGCAATTTTTGTCATAGTATACATATGAGCCATAATAATTCAATATCTATTCATAGTCATTAAACTAAAAAGCACAGGCAATTTCTTGAAGGAAAGCATACAGTGTACTAGATTTATATCACATTAAAATATTACAATTCTGCTGGGTGTGGTGGCTCACACTTGTGATCCCAGAACTTTAGGAGGCTGAGGTGGGCGGATCACTTGAGGTCAGGAGTTGATACCAGCCTGGCCAACATGATGAAAGTCCATCTCTACTAAAAATACAAAAATTAGCCAGGCATGGTGGCACGTGCCTGTAATCCCAGCTACTTGAGAGGCTGAGGCAGCAGAATCGCTTGAACCTGGGAGGCAGAGGTTGCAGTGAGCGAAGACCGCATGCCACCGCACTCCAGCCTGGGTGACAGTGAGACTCCAACTCAAAAAAAAAGAAAAAAAAATTACAATTCATCTTTTTTGAAAAAAAAAATTGTACTTTCATATCAGCTTGAGAGCCATACGCAATAGAAACCTAAGCTTTATTGCATGCCATCTAGAGGTTATAAAGGCTGAGGACCAGTGACCTTATTATAAAAAGATTTTAGGCTGGGCATGGTAGCTCACGCCTGTAATCCCAGCACTTTGGGAGGCTGAGGCAGGCGGATCACCTGAGGTCAGAAGCTCAAGACCAGCCTGGCTAACGTGGTGAAACCACATCTCTATTAATAATACAAAAATTAGCTGGGCATGGTGGTGCATGGGAGGCTGAGGCAGGAGAATTGCTTGAACCCAGGAGGCGGAGGTTGCAGTGAGCCAAGATCGCGCCATTGCACTCCAACCTGGGCAACAAGAGCAAAACCTCGACTCCAAAAAAAAAAAAGATTTTAACACTGTGCTGAAAAGTCTTTCTACAGAACCCAGGCATCTTTCCCTTTTGCTTAAGGTACATCTCTCATTTGGTAGAGTAATTTTGGGTTGTGAGGTCCTGTTCTGGCACATTTTCCCTTCCCTAAGCCTTACTCTCTTTCCATCCAACTGTCATTACTTGCTAAATGATGGGCCTTATGTTTTTAATAATTATTTTTATGGAACTTTTTCCTTTACATCACTGATTCATATTCTCTTTCTCCATACGGTCACCACCCCTTTCTCCTCCCACATACACTTACTTCTCTCTATCTTTATTTTGCTCTTAGAATCAGCCCCCTCAATTTTAAAATCCATGATCCTGCAGGTATGGGACATTTCCTCTCCCAATCTGGTTTTTGAAGGCAACAAATTACTTGTTTCTGCTCCATCATCATGTTTTACAAATAAAAAAGCTGATATGTACTCCCCTCCAATTTTCAATTTTCTCAAGGAGGAGCTTGTCCTAGCGTGTATATAAAAAAGCTTGCCTTGCTAAACTCAAAGTGTGGTCCATAGGCCAGCTAAATTACTTGGGAGTTGTTAAAAATGCAGAATTGGGCCAGGCACGGTGGCACACACCTGTAATCCCAGCACTTTGGGAGGCTGAGGCGGGCGGATTGCCTGAGCTCAGGAGTTCGAAACTAGCCTGGGCAACACGGTGAAACCCTGTCTCTACTAAAATACAAAAATTAGTCAGGCTTGGTGGTGTGCACCTGTAATCCCAGCTACTGGGGAAGGTGAAGCAGGAGAATTGCTTGAACCTGGGAGGCAGAGGTTGCAGTGAGCCGGGGTCTCACCACTGCACTCCAGCCTGGGCAACAGAGTGAGACTGCATCTCAAAAAAATAAAACACACAATGCAAAATCTGGGCCCCTATCCCAAATCTACTAAATCTGAATTTGTAGTTTATTATTCTTTTTGTTATCTTTTTGAGATAGGATTTTGCTCTGCTGCCCAGGCTTGAGTGCAGTGGCATGATAACGGCTCACTGCAGCCTGAAATTCCTGGGCTCAAATGGTCCTCCTACATCAGCCTCCTGAGTAGCTAGGACTATAGGTTCATGTCACCACACCCAACTAATTTGTAAATTCTTTTTGTAGAGATGGGTCTCACTATGCTGCCCAGGCTGGTCTCAAACTCCTGGGCACAAGTGATCTATCTGCCTTGGCCTTCCAAAGTGCTGGGATTACAAGTGTGAGCCACCACGCCTGGCCTGAATTTGTATTTTAATAAGATCTCTAGATAAGTATATGCACTTTACAGTTTGAGAAGCACTATTCTAGAGAAGAAAAAATTTACATGGTAATGGAAGTACAGTAAGAATCTATAATAAATAGGAAAACATTTTCAATAAATCAGCAGCTTTTGGAAAATTATTTCTAAAGTTTCCCTAAGTAATATACAAAATGATTTTAGAGATATGGAGATCTTACATACTATGCTTTATAAAGATTAATAATTGCCAGGCGCAGTGGCTCACACCTGTAATCCCAGCATTTTGGGAGGCTGAGGCAGGCAGATCACCTGAGGTCAGGAGTTCGAGACCAACCTGGCCAACATGGCGAAACCCCATCTCTACTAAAAAAAATACAAAAAATTAGCTGGGTGTGGTAGTTCACACCTACAATCCCAGCTACTTGGGAGGCTGAGGCAGGAGAATTGCTTGAACCTGGGAGGTGGAGGTTGCAGTGAGTCAAGATTGCACCACTGCACTGCAGCCTGGGTGACAGAGTGAGACTCCATCTCAAAAAAAAAAAAAAAGATTAAAGATTAATAATGAAGGAGAAAAACATGCTTACTCATATGAAAGATGTGACTGATATATGTTGAAACATGCTTTCCAAATACAAAAAATGTTTAAAGCTCAATGCTCCAGGAACCTACACTTGTTAAACTCTTAACATTTCCCTCTTGATGTAAGTCAATCAAATTTTAGTATTTAAGAAATTACAAATAACCTTAGCTTCATTTAGTTACAAATAAGATCTTTTAAATGGAAGCTATAGATCAATTCACAAGGCAAATATATTTTGCCCTTCATACATGAAATAATATGCTCTGGGCACATTTTTTTCATTGAGAGTTATGAATATACACTGACTCTTTTTAATTTAGAGCCAAAAGTACAAAACTGTAAGGAGACCGAGTTAAGGTTACTACTAAATAGGAAAATCTGAATTTTATGTACATTTGAAATTTCTATATTTAAATTAAAATACAGACATGCTTTAAAGTTTTAGTTAATCTTCATGCTATAGATTTTTCTTCTCACTGTATAATTTTGGCCATTTGAGTCTTTTTGTTTAAACTGGCAGAAAGTTGAAATCTTTGGCTATTCAGGAAATCAAGACTACAGATGCTTTGCGCCCCCACAAACAGTACATTGCATCATTGTTCACTTTAGCAGCAGATGTGGTGGCTATGGGGGCAGTAGGGTTAGAAGTTTGTAGAAGGTAATTTTAAGGATAATTTATCATAAATCATTTCCCCTAATCTGCATAAATTAATTAGAACTGATTTTAATAAAACTTATAAAGTATATAGAAAACATTTAAAACTGTTGTTGGAGAAAAGGGAAGCATATACAGATTCAGCTGGATTGCATTTTACTTTCTGGTGTATGAATTTATGGCAAACAATGCAGTTTGTGGCTTTTTCATTTCTTTCAATAAAAATACTTAGAAAATATAATTTTTATTTTTTATGTTTTTGTAGAGATGGGTTTTGTTCTGTTTTGAGATGGAGTTTCGCTCTGTCACCCAGCTTGGAGTGCAATGGGATGATCTCGGCTCACTGCAACCTCCACCTCCTGGGTTCAAGTGATTCTCCTGCTTCAGGCTCCTGAGTAGCTGGGACTACAGGCGCACGCCACCACACCTGTTTGATTTTCGTACTTTTACTAGAGATGGGGTTTCGCCATGTGGGCCAGGCTGATCTCGAACTCCTAACATGAGATGATCCGCCTGCCTCAGCCTCCAAAGAGCTGGGATTACAGGCGTGAGCCACCACATCCGGCTGAGACGGGGTTTCACTATGTTGCCCAGGCTGATCTTGAACTCCTGGGCTCAAGTGAACTGCCCACCTGACCTCCCAAAAATGAGTCACTGCAGCTGGCCTTTTTTTTTTTTTTTTTTTAGTAGGGTCTCACTCTGTTGCCCAGGTTGGAGTGCAGTGGCACAATCACAGCTCCCTATAACCTGAAACTCCTGGGTTCAAGCAATCCTCTCACCTCCACCTCCTGAGTAGCCTCTGGGGCTAGAGGTGTGTGCTAATTTTGTTATTTTTAGAAGAGATGAGGTCTTGCTATGTTGCCAAGGCTAGAAAATATAATTTTTAGGCCGGGCACGGTAGCTCACGCCTGTAATCCCAACACTTTGGGAGGCCGAGGTGGGCAGATCACCTGAGGTCAGGAGTTCAAGACCAGTCTGGCCAACATGGTGAAAACTCATCTCTACTAAAAGCACAAAAACTAGCCAGGCATGGTGGCAGGCACCTGTAATCCCAGCTACTAAAGAGGCTGAGGCAGGGGAAGCGCTTGAATCTGGGAGGCAGAGGTTGCAGTGAGCTGAGATCATACCACTGCACTCCAGCCTGCATGACAGAGCAAGTCTCCATCTCAAAAAAATATATATAAATATATAATTTTTAATGTGAGAAATCCTAAAATTGAGAGATGCCTCAATTTATCCGTGACTTTATAAAGCAAAATTAAAAACAAACATGGAGGCCAGGCACAGTGACTCACACCTGTAATCCCAACACTTTGGGAGGCCAAGGCGGGCAGATCAAAAGGTCAAGAGATCAAGACCATCCTGATCAACATGGTGAAACCCCATCTCTACTAAAAATACAAAAATTAGCTGGGCATGGTGGTGCGTGCCTGTAGTCCCAGCTACTTGGGAGGCTGAGGCAGGAGAATCACTTGAACTGGAGAGGCGGAGTTTTCAGTGAGCCAAGATCGCACCACTGTACTCCAGCCTGGCAACAGAGCGAGACTCTGTATCAAAAAAAAAAAAAAAAAAAAAAAAAGGAAAATGTAAAAACATTTATGTTTATTTTGTCTGACTAGCTTGCGGCTAATTATGTTCTCTAAATGCATAAGAGTTCTCTGATATTTTACTGTTCCCTTACAGTATGCTAAATAGCCATTGCTTTTGAGAATTGAATAGTGTGGTGTTTAGTGGTTATTTAACTGTGTCTATGTTTTTCAAAGTTTTATATTAATTATTTACTTTTTTTTTTTTTTTTTTTGGAGACATAGTCTCACTCTTGTCACCTAGGTTGGAATGCAATGGCACAATCTCAGCTCACTGCAACCTCCACCTCCCAGGTTCAAGCAATTCTCCTGCCTCAGCCTCCCAAGTAGCTGGGATTACAGGCACGCACCACTGCACCCAGGTAATTTTTGTATTTTTCGTAGAGACAGGGTTTCACCATGTTGGCCAGGCTTGTCTCAAACTCCTGACCTCAGGTGATCTGCCCGCCTTGGCCTCCCAAAGTGTTGGGATTACAGGCGTGAGCCACCGTGCCTGGCCTATTTATGTATTATAAAAAGTGACAGTAGTACCATTTTAGTTGGCCTGAATGTTTTCAAGCCTTGAAATAAATCTTGACTAAGTGAAAAAAAAGATGGACATTACTAACATCCTTAGAATTCCTAAAGCATTAAACAGAATGATGAGGCCACACTGTAATGACCCAGCCCAGGAGGAGCTGAAAAACTCCCCACTTTCTCTTGCTTATTTTCTTCCAATCTAAATCAATAGGCATATTAGGATATCTCCCATGACCTTTCCTGGGAGACAGAATTAAACATTTTAACTTAAAAGGGTCTCTGATGTGATGTCAATGTTCCTCTGACAGTGGAAGAGTTAGAGAAATCTGTGACTCTTTTCTCTCTGGTGAAAATGTAAATGATCTACATGAGGACAAACCTGCAGACTGGGCTTACTGGCATCATATTCTGAGGGCAGATAAATTTTTAAATGTTGTTATATAATTAAAATGATTGCAGAAATTTTTAACCATTTATTACAAAAACGCTTAAGTTAATTAAACTTACAATTCAACTAGTCCACTCCAGTATCCACCTAATGCCACAGTGAACACCGCAATTACAAAAATAACCACCATAGTATAATCAAAGTTAGGCCACGATGGAGAATACATTTTCACAGTAATGTTATCTCCTAGAGTCTGAAAGGCAAAATAACAGTTAAACACAGGAATAACTTTTCTTTCTACTATAGTCATAACAGCAATAGTCCACATTTCACTCTGGAATGGACATTATACATCAGACAGTCAAGAAGACTAGAATTATTGTCTGATGACATGATATATTCTCTAGTCAAAAGTATGATGATATGCTTTGGTTTATAAAATCTTTAAAGTACAGTGTTCTACACAATCATATTTTGTTCAGGAACCTAAAGTTAAGATAAATGACATGACAAGAGATTTTTAAAGAACTGAAAACAAACATCCTTTCTAAAGTTTAGGCTTTGAGACACTTGGTGCCAAATGAGAGATGAGTACTTTCCAAACAAAAACTTGATAGGCCTTATAGCTTCTTGTTAGCAAATGGAGCAAATATAACACTCAAAATTAAACATTAGTGATTAAAAATAAAGAGATACAGTATTTATAAACTTTATCTAATATGTAATTGCTAATTTACCTGGTTCATATCTCTAAAGTCTTTGTAGCTTATAAATGCAATCAGTATTTTCACATCAGGAAATTCAGATCTGTTACCTGAGGGAGGAAACTAAAAAAGAAAAAATTATGAAAACTTATTTACTACTAATATATTTATAGAATAAAATACTATTCCATTAAATATAAATATTACGTCTTTCTTTAAGTTATAAGACAAAATTTCAGGTATTCTTTCTTAACACTCTAAGTTCTCAAAATTGAATCCTTTTAACATGAACTTAAACTGATAAATGCTATAATATATATAGCATTTATGATATATTCATATTACATATGTGTAATACATATATATCTCTATATATATGCATATATATATATTTGTTCCTAACAAAGTCTTGTCTGCTCTAGGAATAGAAAAACTGAAAAACTTTCCAAGTAAATGCCTATTAGATCTTGATTATTTATTTACAAAGAATCTTGCCATCAGATCATTCAAAACTCAGCCTCTAAACCACACACAAAGACGTTAATTCCATTTTTGTGAAATTTCACATCATGAACTCAAAATAAGATATGATTGTTTTTATAACTTACTAGGACACTGTTATTGACAACTAACATTGCTTCAGCACCTCCTTTCTGTGCAATTCTGGCTTTTTCAAGAAAATGGCAGCTTCCCCATGGAACCACAACTGCTTTGCTCTTTATGCCAACAGGAGGAATATCAGAAAGGTTGCATAGTGGTGTGGAAGTCAGATTCATCAAACTAATGGAAGTCTGAAAATAAGAAATGTCTTTTTAACATGTTAAAAATCTATTTCATCCTAAATGCATTCAGTTATAAATACTGCCTTTGGTTATCAATATTGGTTTAAGACAATATCTTTTGAATTAGAAATATTTAGGCTTAGAATTAAGTATTTTAAAATTCCCTATTTTCCCAGAGAGAAAAATACTTGAGAAAAATCAATAATTATTTATTAACAACCGTACATGACAATGGTTCACACAATAAAACATAATTATCAGTCATTCTCACTTCTTCAATATTTTTTCTTTTTTCTTTTTAAATAGAGACAGGGTGTCACTATGCTGACCAGATTGGTCTTGACCACTTGGTCTCAAATGATCCTCCCATCTTGACATCCCAAAGTGCTAGGGTTACAGGTATCAGCCATTGTACACAGCCTTCTTCACTATTTTTTTTTTTCAGAGACGAAGTCTCACCCTGTTGCCCAGGCTGGAGTGCAGTGGCATGATCTCAGCTCACTGCAAGCTCTGCCTCCTGGGTTCACACAATTCTCCTGCCTCAGCCTCCTGAGTAGCTGGGACTACAGGCGCCTGCCACCACACCCAGCTAATTTTTGTATTTTTAGTAGAGAAGGGGTTTCACCGTGTTAGCCAGGATGGTCTTGATCTCCTGACCTCATGATCCGCCCGCCTTGGCCTCCCAAAGTGCTGGGATTACAGGCATGAGCCACCGTGCCCAGCCTCCTTCTTCACTATTTTTATGTTTATGAATAGTAACTGTGATTTACTTACTGCATTTTCTAGGGTACTTGGAAGAGCTGTCCAATAAGGGTTATAAAGCATGCAGTAGTCCTTGGTTGTGCCATTTCCAGACGCATGCAAGATTGCTTCCTGAGCGGCTGTCTAGGAGACAAACAATAACTTTCAAACTTGCAATGTTATGGCTTGCCAACAACTAAGGATTTTAATAAAGCTATTTATATGCAGGGTTGATCACATTTCCTTGAGAGGGATGGTCTTCCATGAATTTGTTTCTTCTTGTTTGAGGAAATAAAAAGGATGGTTAGGAATATTAAAACTATACACAATTGCCCAGCACACCTTCTTTAAGGAAGATAGGTCACTTTCTTAAGGGAGTAACAATTATGACTCTTGTTATAAGGGCCGTACCCCAGGGAGAATTCTTGCTATGATGTAATTTCAATACTTGACAGCTGGAAACTTTCCTTTCCAATCTCCTATGAATTATTACTTCATTGTTTATATTATTTTCTTTTTGACACAGAGTCTTGCTCTGTCACCTAGACTGGAGTGCAGTAGCACAATCTTGGCTCACTGCAACCTCCACCTCCTGGGTTCAAGCAATTCTCCTGCCTCAGCCTCCCAAGTAGTTGGTACTACAGGCGCGTGTTACCATGCCCAGCTAATTTTTGTATTTTTGGTAGAGACAGGGTTTCACCATGTTGGTCAGGCTGGTCTCGAATTCCTGACCTCCCAAACTGCTGGGATTATAGGTGTGAACCACCGCACCTGGCCATTGTTTATATTCTATAAAACAACATGTACTCAAAATCCATCAATCTGTCTTACGTTCCATATTCTACTAGGAACTAGGGTACAAAGAAAAAAAGTACATTATCATTTCTAAGTGCTATCTTTGGAAGAGAACCAGCTGGAACTTGAAGTAAATTATTCTTGCTCATGTTTTCAAAATTCTGCAACTGCCTATTCAAAAAGACCAATCCAGAATTTAAAGTACAGAAAAAGAAAAGCGTTGTCTCATTTCCCACTACCTGGAAAGAAAAGCCAAGAGGTAAGAAGTGATTGGAAAGAATAACTATTGTACCTGGGGGGAGAGGAGAGTATAAAATGAAGAAATATCCAAAAATATTTAGAATACACATCACAATAGATTAAGAGTTCACATCACAATTTCCTTAAAACTTGGCTCAATACAAATCCTTCTCTCGTCCTCTGAGCAAATCTTTTTCTAAACCCGTAAGGAAGGAAAAAGAAAGAATGCTTGGCAAATGTTGATGTACTAAGCTTCTGCCACCAAAGCACATTATTAGATTGAATCACATGACATTGCTGATATTTGACCAATTTTAATCTAGAAAACTGGTAGTTTCATACAAGTCAACGTAAGTTTCTAATGAGTATAGAAATGTTCTAATCCCATGCTCTGTTACCTAAAATGTCCCTTGAACATTTTGGATTAGAGGGTTTATGCCATACTTGGGGCTGCACAGCTTATGGATCTAAGCAAGTATAGGGAATTCATAAAACATGCCATCAGATTACATAGAATTAGATAAGGAAATAAGATGTGAAAAAGAGAAATGTAGTTTTCATTCAGCTATATACTTGGTGGCTATGAATGGATTCTGATAGCAGAGATGAACTAGTATTTTACATTCTTATGATATAACAAACTACATGCTAGGTTACTTTCATGCATTTTTTCTGATTCAATGTCACTGTTTTTACAAACAAGGGCTCTGAGACTCAGACAAGTCACTAACGTAACCTACCTAAGGTCATATAGTAAAATCATTTACAGTTCTAGCTAAAGAAGATAATCCTGCAGATAAACATGAAGGTTGCTTAGATTTAATTTAAACATTTTTGGAAAGAATGCTTCATAAGTGAATTGGGTACTTCTTACTGCATCCAACAAAATAACACATTAACATCATGATTTCCTGCACTAGTGATGCTGACTTTGACGATCTGGTTAAGGTGGTAACCGCAGGATTTCTCTAGTGTAAAGACATGTTTTTCCCTTTATGTTTGATGAGTAAGTAATCTATGGCACCATGTGAACAGCCCAACAGCTTCTTCTCACCAGGATATTAGCCTCCATGATGATCCTTAACTAAATTTAATTTCCCATATCATACTAGGGATTACAAAATGGTGAATTTTTAAAATATTGTCATTCCTTCTACCCTTACTGGCTAGTATCCTTTGTTTTTTTCTTTTGTTTGTTTTTTTGTTTGAGACGGAGTTTCGCTCTTGTTGCCCAGGCTGGAGTGCAATGAATGGCATGATCTTGGCTCACTGCAACCTCCGCCTCCGGGGTCAAGCAATTCTCCTGCTTCAGCCTCCTGAGTAGCTGGGATTATAGGTGCCTGCCACCACGCACAGCTAATTTTTTGTATTTTAGTAGAGACGGGGTTTTGTCACGCTGGCCAGGCTGGTGTGGAACTCCTGACCTCAGGTGATCCACCCACCTCAGCCTCCCAAAGTACTGGGATAACAGGTGTGAGCCACTGCACCCAGCCATATCCTTCTTTTTAAAAGAGCTTTACTCTCTCCCCTACCATCTTTTAGTATCAGTAGAGATGCATTAATTTTTTAAAAATTTCAGTGTGGTATAATTACGATGGTTTGTCTGATATTCAAATTGTTCCAAATTTGGGCATTTAGAACCTCTTATAGCTGGCTCTTTGTATCCTTTATGCAAGACTCATGCCTTTAATCCCAGCACTTTGGGAGGCTGAGGCGGGTGGATCTCCTGAGGTCAGGAGTTCGAGATCAGCATGGCCGATATGGCAAAACCCCGTCTCTACTAAAAATACAAAAATTAGGCCGGGCGCAGTGGCTCACACTTGTCATTCCAGCACCTCGGGAGGCCGAGGCGGGTAGACCACCTGAGGTCAGGAGTTTGAGACCATCCTGATCAACATGGTGAAACCCTGTCTGTACTAAAAATACAAGAATTAGTTGGGTGTGGTAGTGGGCGCCTGTAATCCTAGCTACTCAGGAGGCTGAGGCAGGAAAATTGCTTGAACCTGGGTAGTGGAGGTTGCAGTGAGCCGAGATCGTGCCACTGCACTCCAGCCTGTGCAACAGAGCAAGACTCCATCTGAAAAAAAAAAAAACAACCCAAAAAAACAAAAAACAAGTCTTTGAGGACTTCTTGTTTTTTTGACACAGGTATCCTAGGCTGACCTTGTCCTTTATCTGCTATACATCCAGATCCAGCCATTCCATTAAGCTCCTTGTGGAGAGGAAAGATACCCAGATCAGGATCTGGGTCTTAACTGTGCATGCTGCTGCTCAAGTGGTATAACCTTTTTAATAAAAAATGAGCAGCATCTATCAAAAATTGTAATACATAGAATCTTGTGATTCATATCTACAGATATAGTATGCAAAAGCACAAAAATAAATGTATAAGGATATTAACTGTAATATTGTATGTAATAGCAAAAAAACCCAACTTCCACCAATAAGGTAACTGTTACATTATGATATGCACAGTACACAGCTACTCAAAACAAAGAGCTAGATCTATTTCTAGAAACAGAAGATGTCCATAGTGAGTTTTAGAGTGATATTTATAGTATAATCCTATTTTTATATAATGACCCCTCAAGAAGCCCCTACAATGTATCTGTGCATTTATATGAGCTTGAGGAAAAATGTGGAGAGATACATAAAGAGGCTATTAAAAGAAAAGAACATGCAGCAAATTTTGTGAGGGAGCCAGCATGCCCAAACAAGTTAAGCCTTTCCATGACATTTTAAATATCTTAGTAAAATTTCTCATAGATATTGCATAGCTTCGAAAATTCAGTTTACTACAATAGATATGGTAGAAAGGTTAAGAGCATGAGTTTTTAAATGATAGTACAAGGATACAATGCTAGTTTCATCATTTACTGGTTATGTTACAAGTTTTTTAACCTATCTTAAGTTTCAATATCCTCAGCTTTGAGATAACAATAAACACTCAGACCTCACAGTTATGATAAGGATTAAGTTAGATGATGCAACTGTTTATACATATTAATCTCTTAATAAATATATCTAGCACTTTGCCAAGTACTTATGCAATGTAAAAGAAATACAAAAGATTAATGGTTGGAAGATTAGTGGTTACTTGGGTCCTGGTGGGATGTGGAGATAAGGGGTACAGCTAAAGGACATGGAGTTTCTTTCTCTCTTTTTTTCTTTTTTTTTGAGACAGAGTCTCACTCTAAAGCCCAGGCTGGAGTGCAATGGCGTGATCTCGGCTCACTGCAATCTCCGCCTCCCGAGTTCAAGCAATTGTCCTGCCTCAGCCTCCTGAGTTGCTGGGATTACAAGCACCCACCACCACGCCTGGCTAATTTTTGTATTTTTAGTAGAGACAGGGTTTCACCATGTTGGCCAGGCTGGTCTCAAACTCCTGACCTCAGACGATCCGCCCGTCTCAGCCTCCCAAAGTGCTGGGATTACAGGCGTGAGCCACCATGCCCGGACTTCTTTCTTTCTTAAAAGACTTTATTTTAAAGCAGTTTTAGTTTTACAGCAAAATAAAGCAGAGAATACAGAGTTTTGACATAGCCTCTTATCCTACACATGTGTAGCCTCTCCCAGTATCAATATCCCACAGCAGAGTGGTACATTTGTTACAACTGATGAACCTCCATTGACACATCGTCATCATCCAAAGCTCATAGTTTACATTAGGGTTCATTCTTGGTGTACATCCTATGGGTTTTGATAAGTGTACAATGACACATATCCATCATTACAGCATTGTACTACATAGCTTCACTGCCCTAAAATTCCTCAGTGCTCTACCTACTTTCTTTTTCTGATGATGAAAATGTTATAAAATTGGCTGTGGTGATAGTTGCACGTATCTGTGAATATACTAAATACTATCGGCTTATACATTTTAAATGGGTGAATTGTTTGGTATGCAAATTATACGTCAATAAGGATGTTGAAAAAATAACACAAAACAAGAAAGTATAGTCTTACTGGGGAGATTAAAAGCAAACTTGAAACTGATAATCATGAGCAGGAAGTAATTAAAGCCAAAGACTTCCTAGCAAAAACTTTAATAGTTTTTAAGTTATTAAAAACGCAAATTGGCCAGGCATGGTGGCTGGCACTTTGGGAGGCCTAGGTGGGCGGATCAACTGAGGTCGGGTGTTTGAGACCAGCCTGACCAACATGGAGAAACCCTGTCTCTACTAAAAATAAAAAATTAGCTGGGCATGGTGGCCCACACCTGTAATCCCAGCTACTCGGGAGGCTGAGGCCGGAGAATCACTTGAACCCAGGAGGCAGAGGTTGCGGTGAGCCAAGATCGAGCCATTGCACTCCAGCCTGGGCAACAAGAGTGAAACTCGGTCTCAAAAAACAGAAACGAAAACAAAACAAAAACAACAACAAAAAAAACGCAAATTCGGGGCCGGGCATGGTGGCCCACACCTGTAATCCCAGCACTTTGGGAGGCCTAGGCAGGAGGATCACGAGGTCAGGAGATCGAAACCATCCTGGCTAAGAAGGTGAAACCCCGTTTCTACTAAAAATAAAAAAATCAGCCAAGCGTGGTGGCACGTGCCTATAGTCCCAGCTACTCGGAAGCCTGAGGCAGGAGAATCGCTTGAACCCGGGAGGCAGAGGTTGTAGTGAGCCAAGATCGCACCACTGCATTCCAGCCTGGGTGACAGAACGAGACTCTGTCTCAAAAAAAAAAAAAGCAAATTTGGAAGGGCACGGTGGCTCATGCCTGCAATCCCAGCGCTTTGGGAGGCCAGTGCTGGAGGGCCACTTGAGGCCAGGAGTTCTAGACCAGTCTGGGCAATATGGAGAGATCTCGTTTCTACAAAAAAATAAAAAATTAGCTTGGTGTACAGGCGTGTACCTATAGTCTCAGCTACTCCAGAGGCTGAGGTGAAAGGATTGCTTGAGGCTTGGAGGTTGAAGCTGCAGGGAGCCATGACCATGCCACTGCATTCCAGCCTAGGGCCTAGGTGACAGAAGGACACCCTGTCTCAAAAAAAAAAAAAAAAAAAAAAAAAAAAAGAAGAAAAGAAAAAAGCAAATTCTTGGGCCCCATTCCAGACCTACTGAATCAGAAGTTCTGACCAATTTATGTTTTAACAAGCCCTTCTGGAGATTCTGACATCAGTTAAAGTTTGAGAACCACTGCTATAGGAGCAGTGCTTATAGGAGACAAGATCTTGCCATGGTACTCAGGCTGGTCTCAAACTCCTGGCCTCAAGTGATCCTCCCACCTCAGCCTCTCAAAGTGCTGGGATTACAGTTATCAGCCACCACGCTTGGCCTGATATTCTGCATTTCTAATAAGCTCCTAGGTGATGCTGATGGTCAATGGACCCCACCTTGAGTAACAAGGTTATAAAAGAACAGAACAGTGGAAACCACAGTGCTGTGTCAATTAAGTTGGGAAACATACAGAAAATGGGCTTGAAAGTCAGGGTCTGGACTGGGCGTGGTGGCTCATGCCTGTAATCCCAGCACTTTGGGAGGCCGAGGTGGGCAGATCACGAGGTCAGGAGATCAAGACCATCCTGGCTAACATGGTGAAACCCCGTCCCTACTAAAAATACAAAAAAATTAGCCAGGTGTGGTGGTGGGCGCCTGTAGACCCACTTACTCTGGAGGCTGAGGCAGGAGAATGGCGTGAATCTGGGAGGCGGAGCTTGCAGTGAGCTGAGATCACGCCACTGCACTCCAGTCTGACAGAGTCAGACTCCGTCTCAAAAAAAAAAAAAAAAAAAAAAGGTCAGGGTCTGTTTGAACATTACAAGTGCCAAATTAGGTGATCCACTCATACTAGTATTAGATCATTTGACAAAGATCCTTCCTTTTCACCCTCCAAGTTAGAGACATGCTCCAGAATGTCTGAATTTTCCTTTGTAATAAACTGTGGTCTGGTCTTCTATGGCTTCATTAAAACCTTAAAAAAAATTCTTTTAGTAAAAAGTTTAGTATCAAGAGCTAAAAGGGGGTGGGCATGGTGGCTCATACCTGGAATCCCAGCACATTGGGAAGCTGAGGTGGGAAGATCGCTTGAGGCCAGGAGTTTGAGATGAGCCTGGGCAACATAGCCAGACCCCATATCAATTGACAAAAATCATTTAAGAGGTAGAAGGGATTTAGAAATAACATAATCTAGTCTCTTCATCTTATATATGAAACAGATCCAAAATGACCAAAAGGATGAGGTCAGTCTCAGGACTAGAACTGGGCTCTCTAAAACCGAGATCAGTAGTCTTTGAAATCTGCTGTCACTTCAAGTCCCTTCACACAGCTAGATCCCCAAGCACCTCATTCTCAGTGCCCAACCATCACACTCCAGTTTTAATAATGATCACATATTTCTCTGCATTCGCTGTTAACTCCTTCCCTTCTACAATACTGGCATGGGTTTCCTACCGCTTCTCAAGTTCCTCTAATAACCAATCAGTTCCTCCCACATCCTAAATCCTTTCTTTTTTTTTTTGAGACAGAGTCTCACTCTGTCGCCCAGGCTGGAGTGCAGTGGTGCGATCTCTGCTCACTGCAAGCTCCGCCTCTGGGATTCACGCCATTCTCCTGCCTCAGCCTCCCGAGTAGCTGGGACTACAGGCGGCCGCCACTGCGCCCGGCTAATTTTTTGTATTTTTAATAGAGACGGAGTTTCACTGTGTTAGCCAGGATGGTCTCGATCTCCTGACCTCGTGATCCGCCCGCCTCGGCCTCCCAAAGTGCTGGGATTACAGGCGTGAGCCACCACGCCCGGCCCTAAATCCTTTCCTTATACTCTTCTAAATACTCCCAATTCTAGGACTGTAGAGCTCATGGAACTCCTTTCCCTATGACAAATGCTCCTTACTGCTCACCCCCAATCTTCCTTTTACAGGCCAATTCCTTCAGACTGGTCCTGGAATCGAGTGTCCTCCAGGGCCATCAAATCAAGCTCACAACAGAATCTTTATATTCAGCATCTTATTTGATCCTTACACACAAAGGAAGCAAGTTTACTAGCCCATACTGTGAAGTTCTACTTCCTTTTTCTCTGACTTTATGAGGTGCCTGTTATGGTATTCTGGGATCTCATGAACAATTTTAATTTACTTTGTCCAGATCAACTGACTTCAATCATATTCCCTATCATTTTCTTTTCAAATTAAAGAATTTTAATGTTTCCAGCCTGTACAACATGGCGAAACCCCGTCTCTACTAAAAATACAAAAATTAGCCAGGCATGGTGGCAGGCGCCTATAATCCCAGCTACTCGGGAGGCTGAGGCCTGAGAATCGCTTGAACCCAGGAGGTGGAAGTTGCAGTGAGCTGAGATCGAGCCACTGCGCTCCAGCCTAGGCGACAGAGTGAGACTCCGTCTCAATTATAAAAAAAAAAAAAAAAAGGCCGGGCGCGGTGGCTCACGCCTGTAATCCCAGCACTTTGGGAGGCTGAGGTGGGTGGATCACGAGGTCAGGAGGTCGAGACCATCCTGGCTAACACGGTGAAACCCCGTCTCTACTAAAAATACAAAAAAATTAGCCAGGCAATGTGGTGGACGCCTGTAGTCCCAGCTACTCAGGAGGCTGAGGCAGGAGAATGGCGTGAACCTGGGAGGCGGAGCTTGCAGTGAGCTGAGATGGCGTCACTGCACTCCAGCCTGGGCGACAGAGCGAGACTCCATCTCAAAAAAAAAAAAAGAACAATTTTAATGTTTAAATATATCTTAATGTTGCCTATTCCTTTGATCATTTAGAGTCTCACTCTGTCGCCCAGGCTAGAGTGCAGTGGCGTGATCTAGGCTCACTGCAAGCTCTGCCTCCCAGGTTCACGCCATTCTCCTGCCTCAGCCTCCCGAGTTGCTGGGACAAGAGCAGGTGCCCCCCTGGCCCATTTTTTTGTATTTTTAGTAGAGATGGGGTTTCACCATGTTGGCCAGGATGGTCTCGATCTCTTGACCGCGTGATCTGCCTGCCTCAGCCTCCCAAAGGGCTGCAATTATAGGCGTGAGCCATCATGCCCAGCCATTTATGATTTACATTAGAATTCACAAACTCAAATGCCTACAAGGCCAGGCAAGTAATATAAATGCTTAAGTCAGAACTGATTTAAGACCATAGGGCATGGTAAAGCTTGGCAAATTCTGGCCTAAAAACAATCAACTTAAAAAAAATTTTTACTATCTTCAGGGAAGGGCCTATACTTGGAGACTTTATGGTTTGGATTTTCATAAACGGACCAAATTCCAGGTGATTTTAAACAACTGATCAAATATATAATAAGCATATCTATCTATCTATCTATCTATCTATCTATCTATCTATCTATCTACAGGATCTCACTCTATCACCCAGGCTACAGAACAGAGGCATGGTTGCAGCTCACTGCTGCCTTCAACTCCTGGGTGACTCACCTCACCCTCCTGAGCAGCTGGGACTACAGGCATGATCCACTGTACCCGGCTAATTTATAAAGTTTTTTTAAAGATGGGGTCTTACTATTATACTGCGCAGCCTGGCCTCAAACTTCTGGCCTCAAGCAATCCTCCTGCCTCAGCCTCCCGAAGTGCTGGTATTACAGGCATGAGCCACCATGCCTGGCCAACTTTTCCTATTTTTAAGCCTTTTCTTATAAATAAAGTTCACAAATTTATCCTATCAGTCTTATACCCTATTTTTGATTCAGAAAAAAATTATTAGCTGGGTACAGTGGCTCACACCTGTAATCCTAGCATTTTGAGAGGCCGAGGTAGGAGGACTGTTTGAACCCTGGAGTTTGAGACTAACCAGGGCAACAGAGCAAGATTCTGTCTCTATTAAAACATATATAACCTATTTATATTACATTAATAAGAAAAAAAGGCCAGGCGCAGTGGCTCACGCCTGTAATCCCAACATTTTGGGAGGCCGAGGCAGGTGGATCACAAGGTCAGGAGAACAAGACCATCCTGGCTAACACGGTGAAACCCCGTCTCTACTAAAAACATAAAAAATTAGCCGGGCATGGTGGCGGGTGCCTGCAGTCCCAGCTACTCGGGAGGCTGAGGCAGGAGAATGGCGTGAAGCCAGGAGGCAGAGGTTGCAGTGAGCCGAGATTGCGCCACTGCACTCTAGCCTGGGCGACAGAACGAGACTCTGTCTCAAAAAAAAAAAAAGAAAGAAAAGAAAAATTATTACTGCCTAATTTAGTGGAAAAATAGCAAAAGACCTTGGTTCTAGTCCTATTTTTCATGACTTTCTATGTGATCTAGGATAAGTCATAATTTTCCTGAACCTTCTCAGGATTTTTTGAGTTTCAAAGGAGATTATAGGTGTTGAATTTTGGGAAAGAGATATATAGCCATTAGTGACTTAGAAAGGAGCCAATGGGTTGTAGAAATCACAGACAGTTCAGAGGCAAGGTAAAACAAAAATTGTGAAGAACCTGAAAGTTAAAAGGAGGAAATGTAATAAACCTAGCATGTTTTAGTCAGCTCAGGCTTCATAACAAAGTACCACAAACTGGGTGGTTTAAACAACAGAAATTTATTTTCTCACAGTTCTGGATCAGGTGCCAGTTGGGCCAGTATCTAGTGAAGGCTCTCTTCCTGGCTTATAGATAGCTACCTTCTCACTGTGTCCTCACATGGCAAAGAGAGAGAGAAAGCTCTCTGATGTCTTTTTTTTTTTTTATTTCCCCCAAGACAGTCTTGCTCTGTCGCCCAGGCTGGAGTGCAAAGGCACGATCTTGGCTCACTGCAACCTCTGCCTCCTGGGTTCCAGTGATTCTCCTGCCTCAGCCTCCCATGTAGCTGGGGTTACAGGCACCCACCACCGTGCCCAGCTAATTTGTGTATTTTTAGTAGAGACGGGGTTTCATCATGTTGGCCAGGCTGGTTTCGAACTCCTGACCTCAGGATCTGCCTGCCTCAGCCTCCCAAAGTGCTGGGATTACAAGTATGAGCCACCACACCTGGCCTGATGTCTTTTCTTAAAATGGCACTAATCCTATCATGAGGGTCCCGTCTTCATGAGCTCATCTAAACCTAATGATTTCCTGAAGGACCCATCTCCAAATATCAATACACTGGGGGTTATGGCTTCACCATATGAATTTGGGGTGGGGCTGTTGGGGGTGTGGGGGACACAATTCATTCCACAGCACAGCAGCTCAGCAGATTTCTTACTGCCTGGGTAGCAGAACATACCTACTTTCCCTTGGAGGTTGAGAGAACAGAGCAGAAGAGAAAGAATTGAAGAATCTTTGAGTTGGTGTAGTATACAAAAGGAAGGCAAATTTTCAGCAACAGATTTTTCTGCTGGGGATCCTGATTATCATTTCATTGTATCAAGCTCAAGATGCAGCTATATGCTACTTCAAATTCTTTGAAGAAAAAAAAATCAACAAAACTATTTTTTCATTTGTGTGTGTGTGTGTGTGTGTTTTTAGAGACATGGTCTTCTCTGTCACCCAGGCTGGAGTACAGTGGCGTGATCATAGCTAACTGCAACCTCAAACTCTTGAGCTTAAGTGGTCCTCCTACCTCAGCCTCCCACGTAGCTGGGACTAGAGACACAAGCCACCATGCTCAGCTAATTTTTTAATTTTTTGTAGAGGTGGGGTCTTGCTATGTTGACCAGGCTGGTCTGAAACTCCTAGCCTCAAGCAATCCTCCAAAACAGAACTTTTAAAGACACTATGAGGAAGACTCAGGATTCTTCAAAGAACTTTGAAGCAATTTAAAAAGACAGAGCTGCCGGGCACGGTGGCTCACACCTGCAACCCCACACTTTGGGAGGATGAGGCAGGCAGATCACCTGAGGTCAGTAGTTCGAGAGTAGCCTGACCAATGTGGAGAAACCCCCGTCTCTACTAAAAATACAAAATTAGCTGGGCGTGGTGGTGCATGCTTGTAATCCCAGCCACTGGGGAGGCTGAGGCAGGAGAATTGCTTGTACCCGGGAAGCAGAGGTTGTGATGAGCTGGGATCGCACCATTGCACTTCAGCCTGGGCAACAAGAGTGAAACTCCATCTCAAAAAATAATAATAATAAATAAAATAAAAAGAGCCAGGGCCAAGAGCGGTGGCTCACGCCTGTAATCCTAGCACTTTGGGAGGCCGAGGTGGGTGGATTGCCTGAGCTCAGGAGTTCAAGACCAGCCTGGGCAACACAGTGAAACCCCGTTTCTTCTAAAATACAAAAAATTAGCCGGGCATCACGACGTGCACCTGTAATCCTACTCGGGAGACTGAGGCAGGAGAATTGCTAGAACCCAGGAGGCAGAGGTTGCAGTGAGCCGAGATAAGGCCACTGCAATCCAGCCTAGGCTACAGAGCAAGACTCCATCTCAACAAAAAAAAAAAGAGAGCCAGCATAAACAATATCCATTGTCTTTGAAACAGAATCCCATGACTGCGTCCACACTGAGAAATAAAGTTCTGACCATTGTGACCCAGGGTCGAGGTTGAACTGGGGAAGGAGAGGTGCAAAATGTAATTATGGCAGCCAGGCATGGTGACTCATGTCTGTAATCCCAGCACTTTGGGAGGCCAAGGCAGGAAGATCACCTGAGGTCAGGAGTTCGAGACCAGCCTGGGCAACATGGTGAAACCCCATCTCTACTAAAATTACAAAAATTAGCCAGGTGTGGTGGCAGGCACCTGTAATCCCAGGTACTTGGGAGGCTGAGGCAGGAGAATCACTTGAACCCAGGAGGTGGAGGCTGCAGTGAGCTGAGATCGCACCACTGCACTCCAGCCTGGACGACAGAGCAAGACTCCATCTCAAAAAAAAAAAAAAACAAAAACCCAAAAAATAAAATGTACTTATGGCAAGGTCAAGACACAGCTAACTACCTGCTAGGCGCTCATTTAATTTCTAGACCTAATGGGTTTAAAAAATATTAAAACAGCCAGATGTGCTGTAGCTTCAGTTCAAAATACACAGTGAGGTCACTCTGATGTGAAGATGACAAGATGAGGAGGGTAGGCAAATGATCTTTAAGGGCCTTTCCAATACTAAATCCTCTGCCTCTTCTAGATGGATGTGCCAGTGGTTTCTGAAGACTACGTGCTGCTTCCATTATAGATGAGGATGTTGGCCCTGTTATTACATGACTAAGGGGAAGCAGTGCCAGTTTCTTTTTTTCTTTTCTTTTTTTTTTTTTTTGAGATGGAGTCTCGCTCTGTCACACAGGCTGGAGTGCAGTGGCACGATCTTGGCTTACTGCAACCTCTGCCTCCCGGGTTCAAGCAATTCTTCCGCCTCAGCCTCCCAAGTAGCTGGGATAACAGGCACGCACCACCACGCCCGGCTAATTTTTTTTTTTTTGTATTTTTTTTTAGTAGAGACGGGGTTTCACCATATTGGCCAGGCTGGTCTCAAACTCCTGACCTTGTGATCCACCCACCTGGACCTCTCAAAGTGCTGGGATGACAGGCGTGAGCCACCACGCCCGGACAAGTAGTGCCAGTTTCAAGAGCCCAGAGAGGAGAAATGAAATGATTGAGCTGGCATCACTAATCAAAGGAACTCAGAAAGGCTACCTAGAGCTGTAAAATTAGGGAAGAGGAATAAACAAAGGGCTTCAGGGAGAAAATGGTAGAAGACTTCAGACAGAGTTGGAGGAAAGGAACTAGGTATCCAGAAAGGAGAAAGAACTCCAGCTGAGGAAAAGGAAACCAGATCTACCCAAGTTCTCAGAACACGAAAGGAATGAGAAAGAACATCTCAGGAAATTAAAGGAAGGAGGAACCAAGAAGAAAACAAATCCATAAAGAAATCAACAAGAAATAGAAAAATCAGTGATACTAGCTGGTATCGAAAAAAGATCCTTACAATTTAAACAGATATTGTCAGTTTATTCAGTCATCAGGACATTACATCCCATATAATAAGATGCACACCAAACATTTGCAGTGTAGAAAAATGTTACTTAATCTTCACAACAACCCTAGAACCGAGGAATATAGAACCCGAGATTACCATGGTGAGGTACAACAAAGCACATAGGTGCAATATAAAAGGCCTAAAATCGCCGGGCATGGTGGCTCACGCCTGTAATCCCAGCACTTTGGGAGGCCGAGGAGGGTGGATCACGAGGTCAGGAGTTCGAGACCAGCCTGACCAACATAGTGAAACCCCCATCTCTACTAAAAATACAAAAATTAGCTGGGCATGGTGGTGCTTGCCTGTGATCCCAGCTACTCGGGAGGCTGAGGCAGGAGAATTGCTTGAACCTGGGAGGCGGAGGTTGCAGTGAGCCGAGATCGCGCCACTGCACTCCAGCCTGGGCGACAGAGTGAGACTCCGTCTCGAAAAAAACAAAAACAACAACAAAAAAAGGCCTAAAATCCAGAACGTGGGAGACAGCCTAGATACAATTTAGAACAGGGATGATCTTTAGATTTGTGAAGGCTATGAAATCAAATGACAAGTCTACTTAAGTAGAGTTTTCTGGTGAGAGGGCTCAGGGCCTTTAATAAGAATTTCAATGTGAGTTTATGAGGAACTGATGTATCACTAAGCTATTAATTTATGTTGAGAAGGGATTAGTACGAATGTGATATTCATTCTTAAAATCAGCTCAAGAGATTCAAATGAAAATGAATGCAAAAACACTTTGAAAAGTTTTATATCTAGGTTATAGTTTTGCATACATCTACATACTATCTGAATATCTTTTGGACATAAGTATTATCTGTCTGATTACACAGTAAACACCTTAAAGACTCCGACTAACACTGCTACTTTGTTGCTCTTTTTATATCGAACTCCCCTCCCCCAGCAATTTTTAGATACATTCTCTCAGGTTCCTGATGTTGCCTGTCAAAGTTATGAATACACCAAAAGGCACTTACTTTTTGGCTTAGATTTTGGTTTTTCAATAAATATTAAAGACACTTTTGTATTCACTAATACTAACCCCTTAAACTGGAGAGTCAGCAAAACAGTCTTTCAAAGAAATCACACATTCTAATAGAACGAAACAAGCTTACACGACACCAATTCTGTAATAAATAACATGCGTAAGTTTCCAACCTGAAACTCCCTAAGTAAAAGTCACTAGAAACAAAAACTGAAACACCGGGTTCCTGACACCCCACTCCCACACTGAAGCTCGAATTACTTGAGGCTGAATTTTAAAACACTATTACTTCTCTGTGACTATGAAAACAAATCTATGAACACATATTTCTTACTTACATTTAACCGACGCTCCCCACCCATCCCTTTAAATTAGGCAGAAAACTGAAAACCACTAAAAGCATTACATTTTGGTGTCTTCTTTTAAAAGTTATTTTAAATTACTGCTATTAAAACCCCCCCTCCAAAAAAAAAAAACCCTCATAACAGAATCAAATGAGCCCTAAGGCGAAGCAGGAGCTACAGTGGGGGAAGGGAATTTTAAAAAGACATCCGTGTTAGTGCAATTAAAGTGCAGTCCTCGAACCGCTAAACATACTGGCGCCTTGTATAATTTTTTTTTCTTCCCAAGGGTAAAAAGCGGTAAGAAAGGCTTAGACAATAAAACCCAGAGGTCAATTTTAAATATGCTGGGACAGTGAGCAACTATCGAGAAGCATCAAGGTCAACGCAACCTAAGGGGCTCCTCTGATCTTTTTGCGGTAGGTATTTCGCCAGACTTCAATGGGCGGGAACCGAGTGGGGGGCGGGAAAGTTGGGGGAAAGAGGGTGGAAAAGAGGAGGGTGGAAGGAAAGAGATGAGTAATGGAAAGAGGAGGGGAGGAAAGAGGAGTGCGAGAGCAGGCCGCGGAGGTGCGGGCAGAGGGGAGGCCGGGCGAGGAGTAGGGGAAGGGAGCCCCGGCCTTGGCCCCGGCCCCGCCCAGCCCCTGGGAGGCCTGCGCGCCTTCCCGCCCCCTTACCAGCTGGAGCAGGAAGCCCCAGAGTAGGGCGGCCCCGGCAGGGGACAGCCGCCGCTGCGGCCCCATCGGACTGGTGGGTGCCGGGTGGGACGGCACGGTGCGGCGCAGCTCACTCGGCGGGGTAGGCTCGGAGTCCCGCCGCTGCGCTGCCTCCGTGGCCGGACCGGACCGGACAGGCGCGGGCGGCCGGGCTACGACTGGACCGCCGCTGCTACAGCGGCCGCCACAGCAGCGCGACTTCCTCTTCCGGCCCCGCCCGTAAGATGCGGAAACCCCCGCGCCGGGCTCGGAGAGTCCCAGCGCTCTCCCGGTATCCAGGCGTCCCGGCGTCCCGGCGCTACGAGGCCACCGGCTGCGGGTCTGAGCCTGTCGCTTTCCGGCTGCCCGACTTTAACTCACACCGAAGCCTGGCGGGAGAACGGATTTCTCAAGGCTCGGAAGTGTCTGAGCGTCTGCTCGGTTCCCCAGTAACTACCCGAGTGTTGCATGCAGCCAGAAATCTAAGGGTCACCCTAATTCATCTGCCTGTCATTTGTTCCTGGCCACTCTGACTCACCACATAACCCAGATCCATCCACTTTCTCCAGAACTGCTGCCACCACTCTATCCAGGCCACCAACTTCCCTCTCCTCCAAACGGGTCTCAGTTTCCCCTCCGGACAGCCCAGTAGCCACATAACAGTCCCAGAGCCATCTTTCAAAACATATAAGTCAGATCATGTCTCTCTCTATCACACTTGGAATAAAATAAAAACTTGGCCGGGTGTGATGGCTCACACCTGTAATACCAGCATTTGGATGGCCGAGGTGGGCGGATCACAAGGTCAAGAAATCGAGACCATCCTGGCCAACATGGTGGAACCAAGTCTGTACTAAAAATACAAAAAATTAGCTGGGCGTGGTGGCACGCACCTGTCGTCCCAGCTACTCGGGAGGCGGAGGCAGTAGAATCGCTTGAACCGGGTAGGCGGAGGTTGCAGTGAGCCGAGATTGTGCCACTGCACTCCAACCTGGGCGACAGAGCGAGACTCGGTCTCCAAAAAAAAAAAAAAAAAAAAATCAAAACTCTACTCTAGCCTGCAAAGGTAAATCTGGCCCCTGCCTTCCTGTCTCCCCATCTTCACTACTTTCCCACACTTTAAGGCGCACGGACCTTTGGCCCTCCCGGCCTTTGCTCTGGTGGGCCGCCCGGACTTTGCTCTGGTAGTCCTCCCTGCTGGAGTGCTCTTCTCTCCAAAGCTCAGAATGCCTGCCTTGTTGACATTCACTTATCAGCTTCAATGTCGCTTCCCCAGACGGGACTTCCTGACATACCCAATCTAAAGTACCTGTCCAGTCACTTTCTTTTCTTTTCCTTTCTCTTTTTTTTTTTTTTTTTTTTTTGAGACGGAGTTTCGCTTTTCTTGCCCAGGCCGGAGTGCGATGGTGCAATCTCGGCACACTGCAACCTCCGCCTCCCAGGTTCAAGCAATTCTCCTGCCTCAGCCTCCCCAGTAGCTGGGATTACAGGCGCGTGCCACCACACCCGGCTAATTTTGTATTTTTAGTAGAGACGGGGTTTCACCATGTTGGTCAGGCTGGTCTCAAACTCTCGACCTCAGGTGATCCACCCGCTTTGGCCTCCCAAAGTGTTGGGATTACAGGCATGAGCCACCGCACCCGGCCTGTCCAGTCACTTTCATATTATTGTTTATTTTAATTATCTGCACAGCACTTTTCATTCTATGTATAGGTTCATTTATTTATGCCACCTCCCACTTCATAGCAAGGGGTGTCTTTGCTTTGTTGACTGCTATACCCTTTACATCTACAGTATTTGGCATATAGTAGGTCCTCAGATATTTGTTGGATGAATATTTAATATCAAATGCTGAATAGGACAGTGTGCCTGCCACCCCACAGCTCATAGTTTAACGAGGGACACAGATGTGTGAGCAAACACAGTTCAGGGTGAGTAGTGACTCTTGTTTGCACAAGATGTTATGGAAGTATCAAAAGGAGTTATAAAAGGGGTGCCAGGAAAAATACCAGCCTGAGCTGAGTCTGGGTGAGTTAATTTTAGCCAGGCAAAGGGTAGAAGAAGGGGGGCACTTCCAGGAAGAGTGAGCCATTAGTGTCAAAGCCAAAGGTGGCATTGAAGGAACTGCAAAACTTGGGCTTGGCTGAAGTTATGAGTGGTGAAAGATGACATGTGAGAAGAGGCCAGAGGCAAAATCATAAATACATTGGGACTGTTTGTGACTTTGGGCTTTGTCCTGCCAGGGGTAGAGAACAAATGAATAATAAATAGGGCAATGACATACACTTTCTGTTTTAGAAAGCTCTCTATGGTGGCTGGCAGGGCAGCAGACGTGTTGAAACAGGTCAAGAAGTGGAAGCCAGGACACCTGTTAGACATCTGTAGTAACAAAATCCAGGGACACTGAGGGCTTGAACTGTGGCAGAAGAAATAGGGAGGAGGAGATGGATCTAAAAGACTTGTAGCAGAATTTGGTAACTTTGAAGACATGGAGATAAAGGGAGAGGTATGATTCCCGGGTTCTTGCCCTCGGCTATTTATTGAGTTGGGTGCCAAAGGCGAAGTAGGTGGGGGTTGATGGGATAAATGGGTCGGGGGGAATACTTTTGGAAGTGGGTTTGAAATGCTTTTAGGATATCCAAGTGCAAATATCTGCTGTCAATGGCTATGTGGGTTGGTCTGAAGCTTAGGGGCACAGTGAGGTAAGAACTGCCTCATCTGCTGCCTATCAATTCTGGACTATTTTCATACTTTCTAGTTGCCCACAGCAAGCCAGGTTCCCCACCCCCTCCTTTTCTTTTTGTTTTGAGATGGAGTTTCACTCCTGTTGCCCAGGCTGGAGTGCAATGGTATGATCTCATCTCACTGCAACCCCCGCCTCCCAGGTTCAAGCGATTCTCCTACCTCAGCCTCCCAAGTAGCTGGAAATACAGGTGCCCACCAACACACCCAGCTAATTTTTGTATTTTTAGTAGAGACGGGGTTTCATCATATTGGCCAGACTGGTCTTGAACTTCTGACCTCAGGTGATCTGCCTGCCTCAGCCTCCCAAAGTACTGGGATTACAGGCGTGAGCCACCGTGCCCAGCCTAGGTTCCCCTTTTATAGAATAGCTGTATGGACTGGATGACTTCATCTCTAAATATTCCCATCTGCCTCTCGTGGCCCTTTGCCTAGTGAATCTCTAAACTGGCTCTTGGGCTATCAGAAGAGCTCTAGTTTTTGTTTGTTTTTATTTTTTGAGACAGGGTCTCACTCTGTGCCCCAGGCTCTGAAGTGCAGTGGCACGATCTCGGCTCACTGCAGCCTCGACCTCCCAGCTCAGGTGATTCTCCCACCTTAGCCTCCTGGGTAGCTGAGACTACAGGCATGCACAACCACGACTGGCTAATTTTGGTATTTTTTTTGTAGAGATGAGGTCTCGCTGTGTTACCAGCTGGTCTTGAACTCCTGCACTCAGGTGATCTGCCTACCTCCCAAAGTGCTGGAACTTGTGAAAGGAAAATAAATCTTGGGACCCCAAAATCACTAAGCCAAAGGGAAAAGTCAAGTAGAGAACTGCTTAGTGGAAACTTGCCTCACATTCTATTCCTTAAAAGCGGATGGATCTGGGTTGTGTGGTGAATCAGGATTGTTAAAGCTCCCCAGATGATTCTAATATGCAGCTAAGGTTGAGAAATGTTGGCTTAGACTGTGATTCTTAAAGTGTGGCTCCTGGATCAGCATATCAGAAATACCTGGGAACTATAAAAAATGCAAATTCTTGGCCGGGTGCGGTGGCTCACGCCTGTAATCCCAGCACTTTGGGAGGCCGAGGCGGGTGGATCACGAGATCAGCAGATCGAGACCATCCTGGCTAACATGGTGAAACCCCGTCTGTACTAAAAAAAAAAAAAAAAAAAAAAAAGAAAGAAATGCAAATTCTTGGACCTCACCCCACAAACTCTGGGAGTAGCGTCCATCAATCTATTCTATTAATAACAAGTTCCCTGTGTGATTCTGATGTATGCTGAAGTTTGAGAACCATTGGCTTAAAGCAATGTCCCTCAACGCTGGCTGCATATTAGAGTGATCTGAGAAATTAAAATGAAACATAAATCCCATGCTCCAACACGAATTAAACTGAAAGGAAAAATAGATGAATTCATAATTACAGTTAAAGATTTCAAGTAAAATCTTTTAATAATTGAAAGAACAAGTAGGCAGAAAATCAGCAGGGATACAGAAGACTTGATCAACACCATTGACCAACTTGACCTAATTGGCATTTATAGAACTCTCCACCCAACAACTACATAATTTTAAGGGTACACAGGACCTTTACCAAATAAACTATTTGGCCATAAAACACATCTTGATAAGTTTAAGAGGTTTTTTTTTCTGTTTTCTTTTTTTTTTTCGAGACGGAGTCTCGCTCTGTCACCCAGGCTGGAGTGCAGTGGCACAATCTTGGCTCACTGCAAGCTGCGCCTTCCGGGTTCACACCACTCTCCTGCCTCAGCCTTCCGAGTAGCTGGGACTACAGGCGCCTGCCACCACGCCCGGCTAATTTTTTGTATTTTTAGTAGAGATGGGGTTTCACCGTGTTAGCCAAGATGGTCTCAATCTCCTGAACTTGTGATCCGCCCGCCTCAACCTCCCAAAGTGCTGGGATTACAGGCGTGAGCCACCGCGCCTGGCCAAGTTTAAGAGGTTTTAAATCATACAAAGTATGTTCTTTGACCACAAGAGAATTGGAAATCAATAACAAAAAGATGTCTGGAAAATCCCTAGATAATTGGAAATAAGACATATGCGCTGAGTGCAGTGGCTCATGCCTGTATTCCTAGCACTTCGGGAGGCTGAGGTGGGTGGTGAAAGTGGGACCAAGTGACGCATCTACTGAAGAGTTTTGAATAAACTCTTGAGAGGAATGGGAGAACTGCTTGCCCAAACACAAATGTCTGTGCCATCAGACTGCAGATGCATTGTGACTGTAATCTCTTGAGAAAACTCCTAAGAGGACCCCTGTACTGTCTAGAAGACTATTTAGTTTCACTGATATTCATAATAAAGTCTATAATCATGTACTCTGGACCAACATCAGAGCATCACCTGAAAGCTTGTTAGAAATGCGTAATCATGCCAGGAATAGGTACAGTTCTGCTGGATCGGCTGGGCGCCATGGCTAACACCTATAATCCCAGCACTTTGGGAGGCAGAGACGGGCAGATCACCTGAGGGCAGGAGTTCAAGACAAGCCTGGCCAACATGGTGTAAACCCCATCTCTACTAAAAATACAAAAAATTAGCCGAGTGTGATGGCGGGCGCCTGTAAAACCAGCTACTCGAGAGGCTGAAGCAGGAGAATTGCTTGAATCTGGGAGGTAGAGGTTGCAGTGAGCTGAGATCTTGCCATTGCACTCCAACATGGGCGACAAAAAACAAACAAACAAACCCCTGCTGGATCAGAATCAGAATCTGCATTTTTTTTTTTTTTTTTTGAGACGGAGTTTCGCTCTTGTTGCCCAAGCTGGAGTGCAATGGCGCGATCTCGGGTCACTGCAACCTCCACCTCCCGGATTCAAGTGATTCTCCTGCTTCAGCCTCCCAAGTAGCAGCGATTACAAGTACAAGCCACCACGCCCGGCTAATCTTTTGTGTTTTTAGTAGAAACGGCGTTTCACCATGTTAAACAGGCTGGTCTCAAACTCTTGACCTCAGGTGATCGGTCCACCTTGGCCTCCCAAAGTGCTGGGATTACAGGCGTAAGCCACCACGCCTGGCCTTTTCTTTTTTTTTTTTTTTGAGACAGGGTCTCACTTTGTCACCCAGGCTGGAGTGTAGTGGCGCAATCTCGGCTCGCTGCAACCTCTGTCTCCCAGGTTCTAGCGATTCTCCTGCCCCAGCCTCCTGAGTAGCTGGAATTACAGGGGCACACCACCATGCCCAGCTAATTGTTGTATTTTTAGTAGTGTAACATTTCACCATGTTACCCAGGTTGGTCTTGAACTCCTGACCTCAGCTGATCCACCTGCCTTGAACTCCTGGGCTCAAGTAGTCCTCCTTTCTGGGCCTCCCAAAGTGCTGGGACTATAGGTGTGAGCCACCAGGCCTGGCTACAAATTCAATTTTTAAGATTATGACTGGGTCCGATGGCTCATGCCTGTAATCCCAACACTTTGGGAGGCCCAGATGGGAGGACTGCTTGAGCCCAGGATTTTAAGATCAGCCTGGGCAACATAGCAAGACCTTGTCTCTATTTAAAAATATATGAAAATCAGGCCAGTCCCGGTGGCTCACGCCTGTAATCCCAGCACTTTGGGAGGCCGAGGCGGGTGGATCACGAGGTCAGGAGATCGAGACCATCCTGGCCAACATGGTGAAACCCCATCTCTACTAAAAATACAAAAATTAGCTAGGCATGGTGGTGTGCGCCCATAATCCCAGCTACTCAGGAGGCTGAGGCAAGAGAATCGCTTGAACCCCGGAGGCAGGGGTTGCAGTGACCTGAGATCACACCACTGTGCTCCAGCCTGGGCAACAGAGAGAAACTCCATCTCAAAAAAAAAAAAAAAAAAAATGAGTGTGGCCGGGTGTGGTGGCTCACGCCAGTAATCCCAGCACTTTGGGAGGCCAAGGTGGGCAGATCACGAGGTCAGGGGTTCAAGGCCAGCCTGGCCAACATGGTGAAACCCTGTGTCCACTAAAAATACAAAAATTAGCTGGGCATGGTGGCACGCGCCTGTAATCCCAGCTACTCGGGAGGCTGAGGCAGAGAATTCTTGAACCTGGGAGGCAGAGTTTGCAGTGAGCCAAGATCGTGCCAGTGTACTCCAGACTGGGCGACAGAGGAAGACTCTGTCTCAAAACAAAAACAAAAACAAACCGAAAATTAGACGGGCATGGTAACATGCACCTGTAGTCTCAGCTACTCAGGAGGCTGAGGTGGGAGGATTTCTGGAGCCCAATAGCTTGAGGCTGCAGTAAGCCACTGTACTCCAACCTGGGCAACAGAGTGAGACCCTGTCTAAAGAAAGAAAAGAAAATACCATTTACTGGCCAGGTGTGGTGGCTCACGCCTGTAATTCCAGCACTTTGGGAGGCCAAAGTGGGCAGATCATGAGGTCAGGAGTTCAAGACCAGCCTGGCCAACATGGTGAAACCCCATCTCTACTAAAAATACAAAAATTACTGGGTGTGGTGGCGGGTGCCTATAATCCCAGCTACTCAGGAGGCTGAGGCAGGAGAATCGTCTGAACCCGGGAAGCAGAGGTTGCAGTGAGCCAAGATCATGCCATTGCACTGCAGCCTAGGTGACAGGTCAAGACTCCATCTCAAAAAAAAAAAAAAAAAAAAAAAAAAATATATATATATATATATATGTTGGGTTTCATCAAAATAAAAACTGCTCTCTGAAAGATACTGTTAAGAGAATGAAAGCATAGCCTAGACTGGGAGAAAATATTTGCAAAACCTACATTCAACAACAACAAAAATGAATCCAGAATATATAAAGAGCTCTTATAACTAAATAAGAAGACAAAAAATTTTTAAAATGAAGCAAATAGTTGGATAATTCACCAAAGACGATGCACATATGACAAATAAGCACATGAAAAGATGCTCAACATCATTAGTCAGTAGAGAGATGTAAATTTAAAACATCATGTACCTAATAGAACTACTGGTATAGAGAAATCAACTTTTTTTTTGAGATGGCATCTCACTTTGTCGCCCAGGCTGGAGTGCAGTGGCGCAATCTCAGCTTGCTGCAACCTCTGCCTCGCGGGTTCAAGCAGAGAAATCAACTCTTTATTACTGGTAAACTCAAAGAATTTCTAGGAGTTTCCAGCCAACAAGGATATGAACCAAATCTTATTGCTTCATTATTTTCCTTTCTAAAAGTGGGAAAAGATATCTCATGAGTTATTTTTAAGCTTTACTTTATTTTTACCTGACAAATAATAATTATATATATTTACGAGGTACAATGTGATTTCAATACATGTATACATTGTGGAATGATCAAATCAGGCTAATTAACATATTCATCATCTCAAATACTTTTCATTTCTTTGTGGTGAGAACATCTGAAATCCACTCTGTTAGCTATTTTGAATACTGTATACAATACATTGTTATTAACTATAGTCACTATGCTGTGCAATAGATCCCTAGAACCTATTCCTCCTGTCTAACTGAAACTTCGCACCATTTAACCAATGTCTCCCCTTTCCCTGTCCACCCCCCCGCACCTGTAGGCCTCTGGTAACCACCATTCTACTCTCTACTTCTATGAATTCAACTTTTTTAGATTCCACATATAAGTGAAATCATGAGGTATTTGTCTTTTTGTGCCTGGCTTCTTTACCACATTTTAAAATCCATGTATCCATTGATGGGCAATTTGGTTGTTTCCATATCTTGGCTGTTACGAATAATGCTGCAGTGAACATGGCCATGCAGATATCTCTGACATACTGGTTTCATTTCCTTTGGATATATACCCAGAAGTGGGATTGCTGGTTCCCACCATTTTCATTTACTGGTTGTGTTGTTGGGTTTGGGTTTGTGTGTCAATACCTATCTCTGAACATAACTTCTAGGAGACAATATGTTTATTACCCTTTGCCGGGCACGGTGGCTCACCCCTGTAATCCCAGCACTTTGGGAGGCTGAGGTGGGCGGATCACCTGAAGTCAGGAGTTGAAGACCAGTGTGGCCAACACGATGAAACCCTGTCTCCACTAAAAATACAAAAAATTAGCTGGGCGTGGTGGTGGGTGCCTGTAATCCCAGCTACTTGGGAGGCTGAGGCAAGAGACTCACTTGAACCCGGGAGGCGGAGGTTGCAGTGAGCCGAGATTGCGCCATTGCACTCCACCTGGGCAACAGAAGCTAAACTCTGTCTCAAAATAAATAAATAAATAAATATATGTTTATTACCCTTTTAATGGGAATAATCAATGTTACCACCTCAGTCTCAGTAATTATCTTGTTCACAGATGAAAAAGCTGCTCCAAGTTTCCTGGTGGTGTTTTTCCGAATATCTGACTTTAGCTAAATGCTTGCCTCCTTGATACCTGCTTATGAGACATTTCTTCTTGAGCAAAGCATGTGACTTGAATGCTTCCTGGTTCACAGGAGGTGACTAGGAGCAGAGAGGCAAGCTGTCAGCTGTGGTTTCATCACTGTATCTTCTGTTTACGTGTTCACATGTATTTATTACTGCTCTTGACAGAACTACTGCTCCTTTGAAATTGTGTCAATCAGTGAAACATAGTATATACTTCCTACAAGACAGGTGAATTGAAATGTTGACTTGAATGGCAGGGAGTTCAGAAGAGATGTATTCAGTAGATGGAAAGTTCAGGAGAAAGGATTTCACACAGCTCACAGTTGGAGGACTCAAGGTGATAGACCAAAACTCAGGCTTTGGTCATCTTCCCTTAGGAAATCTTTTTTTGTTTTGTTTTGTTTTTTTTGAGACCGAGTTTTGCTCTTGTTGCCCAAGCTGGAGTGCAATGACGCGATCTCGGCTCACTGTAGCCTCCACCTCTGGGATTCAAGCGATTCTCCTGCCTCAGCCTCTTCTGTAGCTGGGATTACAGGCACGTGCCACAACGCCCGGCCAATTTGTTGTATTTTTAGTAGAAATGGGATTTCACCGTGTTAGCCAGGCTGAGTCTCAAACTCCTGACCTCAGGTGATCCACCCGCCTCGGCTTCCCAAAGTCCTGGGATTACAGGCGTGAGCCACCGCACCCAGCCAGGAAATCTTTATAAGCTCTCAGCAAGAGAACTTGAATGCAAAGCCATGCAAGGTTTTATAATGTCTTATAAGTTACTATTTTTTTCTAATTAGCTTCATTTAAAGCAGTTTTATGACACAAATTATTAGTCTCATGTTGCAGATAAGGAAATTTATGCATATGAAATCTCCCAGCAAGAAATGGTGCCAGAAATTAAATCCAGTTGTGGGTGCTCTATAAATGTTTATTAAATTAAGAAATTTTGCTAATAATTAAGAAGCCAGTGTTGTGGTTTTGAATATTTTCGAGTGTGACTAAATTACCTCTGAAATGTCTTATAAAACATAAAAAAGACTCGTCTTTTGAAGAATAACTGGATCTAATTTCAAACAAAATCAACTCTTTAGGTTTCGATTTGCCTAAAAAGTCCAAGGGTTTCAGCTGGGCGCATTGGCTCACAACTGTAATCCCAGCACTTTGGGAGGCCGAGGAGGGTGCATCACGAAGTCAGGAGTTCGAGACCAGCCTGACCAACATGGTGAAACCCCGTCTCTACTAAAAATACAAAAATTAGCTGGGCGTGGTGGCGCATGCCTGTAATCCCAGCTACTCAGGAGGCTTAGGCAGAAGAATCCCTTAAACCCAGGAGGTGGAGACCGCAGTGAGCTGAGATCGCGCCACTGCACTCCAGTCTGGGTGGCAGAGCGAGATTCCATCTCAAAAAAAAGTCCAAGGTTTTCTTCACTGATAAAAGCTTGAATTATTTTTCCCTCCAGGACATATTTCTACACTAAAAATGAATAAAAATAGCCTGGTACATAAGATAACTTTAGAGATTTTATTTATATACATATATATTCTTTTGTATGAATGGTTTTTAAATACAAATTTTAAAGAAATAACTAATAGGCCAGGCTTAATGGCTCACGCCTGTAATCCCAGCACTTTGGGAGGCCGAGGTGGGCAGATCACTTGAGGTCAGGAGTTCGCGACCAGCTTGGCCAACATGGCAAAACCCCATCTCTCCTAAAAATACAAAAATTGGCCGGGCGCGGTGGTGTGGGCCTGTGGGCCCAGCTACTCAGGAGGCTGAGGCAGGAGAATCGTTTGAACCCAGGAGGTGGAGGTTACAGTGAGCTGAGATCATGCCACTGCACTACAGCCTGAGTGACAGAGTGAGAATCCCTCTTAAAAAAAAAAAAAAAAAGAGATAACAAATTGTAAGCTAGAGTTACATTGTTCTTGGTGTTGAGGTATACCAAAGGCTGCTATTGTCTGTATAAATCAGTGTTGCTGCAAGGAACAGTAGTTGACTTTAGATATTGCTGGAAAAAGCAAAACCCAATCCATATCCAAAGTTTTCTGGCATAGTGGATTGATTCACATATTAATCAAATCCTCCTCTGACTCCAGGTAAATTAATTTATATGATTTTCTTGGTTGGGCACTACAGTATTAACTATTGACATATTGAGACTACTCTGGGCTTTTTAAACCAAAGTTGTTTATTACTATTATTATTATTTGAAACAGAGTCTCGCTCTGTCACCAGGCTGGAGTGCAGTGACACCATCTTAGCTCACTGCAACCTCTGCCTCCTTGGCTCAAGCAATCTTCCTGCCTCACCCTCCCCAGTAGCTGAGACTATAGGTGCAC